>NC_000005.10:143828659-144453659 GCF_000001405.40 Homo sapiens
ACCTCTTAGACTCTAAGCACCCCCCTCTCTCATAATACCTTGTAACTTTGGAGACATTCTTTAATCTGGTTAAACCTCCATTTTCTTGGTTATAGCATGCAAATAACTAATTCCTGCTGGATCTCTATCTCGGTGGTTGTGAAGTTCAAGTGAAACTGAAAGCTGTGTGAAAACTATAAAGGCCTACAATAGATAAGACAGCATGAGACGAGTGTGGTGCTGATAATGTTGATGGGTCACAGGCATGGGTACTCAAGTTCCTGCCCAAAACCGCATGAAGGAGTGGGTTAGGGGAGCCAGTCACCTCACATCACTGGAGAACAGGCAAGGGTCTTTGGCCTCAGTTATAGCACTTAGTAGGTACTCAAGCCCAAGGGAACAAGTTTTCATGCAAGTGTCAACACAGCCACCATGAATTGCTCAGAGCAGGACATAAATCAGGTGATTTAGCCCCTCCAAGCCTTGTTTACTCTTAGAGAAAATGAGGAAATCAGGCTAAATGGCAGTGGAGTGACACAGTCTTGGATTCGAATCTCATTTATACTCCTGGCTAGTTGTTTGGCCTTGGACAGATAGCTTCACTTTAAAGTTATTTTTTATTTCTAAAATTAACATACAAGGAAACTGATTTTTTTGGTGTGCAGTTCTATACATTTTAGCACATGTATAGATTCACGAAGGTACCACTACAATTAGGATATAGAACGATTCTAGCACCTCATAAAACCCTCACATGCTTTTCTTTTGTAATCACACCCTATCACCACCCATAACCCCCGGTGACCATTGAGTTCTTCCCTGTTACTAGAATTTTGTCTTTTCAAAAATGTCATAGAAATAGAATTATAGACATGTAACCTCTTGAAATTAGCTTTCCTTTGGCATAATGCTTTTGAGATTCTCCAAGTTTTTGCCAGTGTTAATAGTTTGCTCTTTTTAAATAGTATTCCTTTTAAATATTTCCATTGTATAGATATACCACAATTTGTTTAGCCATTTATCTGTTGAAGTGCATTTGGGTTGTTTCAAGTTTTGGGCAATTATGAATAAAGCTACTATTAAAATATTTGTGTGCAGGCTTTTGTTTTCATATACTTGTATATGTCCACCCAAACATGGGACAGTCCATTGTTTCTGTATAGGGCTAGAGAGTAAATATTTTAGTTTTTTGGGTCTTACAGTTTCTGTTGCAACTGGTGTGAAAGCAGCCATAGATAATACATATAGAAATAAGTGTGGCAAGTGGTATGGCTGTGTTCCAATAAAACTTCATTTACAAAAACAAGCAGTGGGCTGGATTTAGCTTGTTGGCCATAGTTTACCAATCCTTGCTGTTATAAATACTTAAGAGCAGGATTGCTAGATTATATTAGATTTTTTGCTTTGTAATAAAATGCTAAAACATTTTTCAGAGTGGATGTACTATTCTGTGTTACCACCCAACAGTGTTTATGAGTTTATGTTGACATTTTCACCAGCACTAGGTATTGTCAGTGTCTTTAATTGTAGCCATTCTGATAGGTGCAGTGGCAGGAGTTTGCATTTCTCTAATGGCTAATGATGTGGAACGTCTTCTCATGTGTTTATAGGCTGTCCCTACATTCTCTTTGCTGATGTGTCTGACCAAATGCTTTGTCTACTTTTTAACTGGGTAGTTGATTTTCTTACTTTTGAATTTTGAGATTTCTTTACATATTTTAGATATAAGTCCTTTTCTGATTATTTCATTTGCAAATACTTTCTCCCAGTCTGTGTCTTTTTTTTTTTTTTTTTTAGTTTCTTAACAGTGTATTTTGCAAATAAACATTTCTATTTTTTTCATTTCTAATTTAGATGAAGTCCAATTTGTCAATGCTTTCTTTTATGGATCATGCTTTTGATGTTATTTCTAAGATCTTTTAGCCAAAATCATGAAGATTTTCTCCTATTTTTTTTCTAAAACTTTTGTAGCTTTACATTTTATGTTTAGATCTATGCTCCACATTAAGTTGTTATTGCATAAAGTTGTGAGGTTTCAGTCACGGTTTATTCTTTTATATGGGTATGTCTAATTGTTCTAGCACCATTTATTGAGAAGACTAATCTTTTTGCACTTATTTGCCTTTGTATCTTTGTAAAAAATTAATTGACCATTTGCAGTGTGGTATTCTGGATTAGGTCCTGGAACAGAAAAAAAAGGGACATTAATCGAACAACCAGTAAAATCTAAATGAAGATTCGAGTTTAGCTAATACCATTGTACCAATGTTAATTTCTTAGTCTTGGCAAATGTACCATAGCAATGTAGGATGTTAATGTTAGAGGAAACTGGATGAGGGGTATATGGAAACTATTATCTTTTCAACTTTTCTATAAATCTAAAATCATTCCAAAATTTTAAAAAATATTTTAAAATCAATTGATTTGTGTGGGCCTATTTCTGTACTCTCTGTTCTGTTCCATTGATCTCTGTGCCTACCCCATTCACAAATACTATATTGTCTTGATTACTATGGTAGCATCACTGTTTACAAAAAATGCACAGACTTCATTTAGTTTGTAAATCTCTCCTACAGACTAAAGCTCTGCAAGGACAGGCACAGGGATGGACAGAAGTTATCTGGTTTACTATTGAATCCCCAGCATCATGTCTGGCATATGGCAAACACTGAATAAATTTTTTTGTTAAATGAATTAGAAAATGAATCTTAGTGACTGACTGAATGAATGAATAAAGTATATCTGAAGTGGTGATTCTGCTTCCCTGTTTCTGTCAAATGACTGGGGAGTGCAGAGCAATGTAGATGGCTGGGTGCATCCTTAGGAGGGGTGAGAGACTGACACCTGGGAGTTCTGTTGGGTTTCAGCTGCAACTCCTTACGCACCCTCTAAGTCTCTTACTTAGGTGCCTTTTTTTCCTATTATCGATTCTTTCTGTCCTATGGGAATTGAGTCTCGCTGCCAGGGAGTTCCAGGTCAAGTTATGCCAAACATTTAACATGCCCACCCAGGAGATGATATAGGTAAAACTCTTAGCATGTTCCAGAGCCTGGAGCATGGTGCGTGTTCAGCAAAGGTTAGCCTTAACTACTATTTTTAATCATTAAGAAATTAAGAGATTTGTATTTTTTACTTGAAACCCCAAATTACTTCATTCATTCTTTCATTTATTCATAAAATATGAATCCATTTGGTAGGATTTATAGACTGTTACATGCCACACATTTTGCTAGGAGCTGGAGACATGTCTGAGAATAGGGCAGATACAATCCTGCCCTCAAGAGTAAATCTTTTGAATGAGCACTGTAACCAATTTACTCCATGTGTCCAAACGTAATGCACTGTGAAGACCTTAGTCCATACAGCTATGCATTTGATGTAGAAGCAAAACTCTCTTTCTCCTTTAAAATGAAAAAAACCAACCAACCAACCAACCAACCTGTCTAGATTCTGATGAAGTAGATCTGTGCTAATTTTCTTAGCTTCAGTAATTGCTTGTGACATCCAAGTGTATGAGAATACGAAAGAGGAAAGGCTAATTCTGGAAACCTGTTGGGGGGTTCAAGAGAAATGGGTGTAGATAGCCTTCAGAGCTCTTCCAACTCTGGGATGTGGTTGCTGAGTTCTTCCCCCCTCCAATATAAAATACAGAGTGATTAACTAATACAAACACACATACACACATCTACCAATCATATTCCTTATTGTAATTAATGACTTTTATCATTGTTCTCAACTCTTTACTGAAAAGAGGGAAAAAAGTATGCAGTGAAACCTTTACCATTTAGAGAGAATTATTTTGAAGTCCCACTTCAGGTAGCTCAAGGAGGTTCCCTTGTTGAAAAATCTTTTCTCATTTTCATGTCAAAGAAACTTCCCCATATCTGTGTCATTGCTTGCGTGTATACATTCCCAGACTCTGTAATTGTCATTGAGTAACCCAAAGAGGGTTTTTATTCCCCTCCTTCTGATTGAATTAGGCCCAAATGAGCACATCTGATTTCTGCCGTATGTTATCCTCATTGGCTAGGAAGAAATGGAGTTATGTACTAGAGGAAGCTAATTAGGCATTTTCCTCTTTAAAATCTGCCTTCGTTTTGAATACTTTGATCTCAGTTAAACTGCATCCTTAGCTAATTAACAGCAAAACAATTAAGAAGCTGTGTTGGCTGTTGAAAATAAAAACAGTTTTCCAGCAAAGCCAATTCATTACATGTGGGCAACCATGGTCTTTGAAATCAATTTCCTGTAAAAACTAATAAGACAAACTGCTTCTTCTGAATATCCGCCTCTAAGATGTATCTAATTCTGTTTACAGTGATAAAATCTTCCCAGCGGAATATCCCTCTGATCCTTGTAACCTCACAGTAAACATGGCAAGCTGGTGGATCTACATCATTCCCATGAGCCAAATCAAAATATTAGGCCTGTCTCATCTGCTCCAGGATCAACATATTCAGGAGGGTTCATCATTATCATGAATTTTATACTTCACAGAATTTGAGAAGAAATAGGAGGGTATTTTTAAAAAGTTTTTTCAGACAAGCACAGCAATCTTGTCTGCATTATATTAATATTTACCACAAGCCTACAGAGTCATTCCACCAGTTTTGTAGACATTTATCTTCTTCAAATCACCCCAGAGAAAAGCCCAGCTTCAAATACCAGCTAGTACTGTCCTGGAAATGATAAATTGAAACTCCCTCCAACTCTGTCATACTTTCAGCTGGATAATGCTTAGTTTGCAAAATGCATTGGTCGTGGCTCTTTTTTCCCCCCTTCATTTGTAGATATGGTAAGGGCAATTGGTCAGAGTTGACACGTAATACTATTTTGGTGTCAGGAAATTTACATTAGTCAGGACACAGTCACGATGCTGAAAAATAAGTTAACTTCTGTAGTAGCCAATGAAGAGGTACCACATATGTGATGAAGACGCCATTATAAATAAGAAACTCTGCAGAACACAATGATTGGTTGGTAAGTAAGAAAACTGGCTGATTGGTTGGTTGGTTCATTCATGAAGTATTTCATTCAGCAATTACTTATTGAGCACAATATGCCAGCCACTGAAGCAGGTGCTGATTTGTGATGGGAGACCTTTGAAGCCCGGCCCAAACAAAAAAAAAATAACTCTACATTTTGTGATAAAATTCCTCAATTATTCTGTGGTCACTCAGTTATTCAGCAGCCCATAAAGCAACACCTACTGTGTGCCCAGCATTACTTGTGGAGTTACAATTTAATTGATTAAGCCAGATGGTGTTTTTCCTAAGCTCATCTATAGCAGATAGCTAAGCCCTCATGAAAGTCTGTAGAAAGGGGATCTCAACCGTTCATAAGGTTTAGTTATTCTCTGGCCCATTGTGTTAATGGGCACCCTCACTGCCAGAAAGACAGAAGGCAGTTTCCAGTCAATTAAGCAAGCAATTGACAGTATTTGTTGAATGTTTACTCTGTGCCTAGTGTTGTGCTTGATGCTTTCCTTCTTTCTAGAGAATAGGCGGAGATTGTGAGAATCTGGTTAATTGCCCATGAACGTACAATGTAGAATTGTTAATTTAGCAAATACTGGCTAAATACAGAATGCCTGCTCTCTAGGCACTCGTTACAAAATAGTACAATAGGTAGAGTAGGTACACATAGTATAGCAGTGCCTTATAAGCAAATGCTTCATCCATGAGCCCTAATTATCTTAATTGGTAGTATTTCCTTTTACTTTGCTTTTAAATATTTTTCTCTAGTCTCCAATACTCAACTTACAATACAAATGGAAACTTACAATAGCTAGACAAAAAAGATGAATATTTCACTTAAGAGACGATACTTAGGTAATATTAATGAGAAAATATTTGATATCTCCTTAGGGCAATGTACAAGCTTTCACTGGACTCAGGGGAATTAAGTTTTTGAATAATGTATTTTTTAGTAACTGAATGTACTGATGGGCTGATATCATGATAGACAAACTTGTTATGCCCCATTAATTCCAATTGTATAATAGTGTAGTATTTGCTATAAACAATTGGCATTTTAAAATACAGTTTCTAAAGTAGATATTTCGAATGTGGTTAATTCATGAGACATTTCAACAAAGTATAGTGAGGGTGGGGAAAAGTGAATATGGGATAACTTTTTTTTTTTTTTTTTTGAGACAGAGTCTTGCTCTGTCACCCAGGCTGGAGTGCAGTGGTGTGATCTTGGCTCACTGCAACCTCTGCCTCCCAGGTTCAAGCAATTCTCCTGCCTCAGCCTCCTAAGTAGCTGGGAATACAGGTGCTCACCACCACGCCCAGCTAATTTTTTTTGTATTTTTAGTAGAGACAGGGTTTCACTGTGTTGGCCAGGCTGGTCTTGAACTCCTGACCTAGTGATCCACCTGCCTTGGCCTCCCAAAGTGCTGGGATTACAGGTGTGAGCCACTGTGCCTGACCTATGGGAGAAATTTTAAGTGAAACAGGAAAGAGGCAGAAGTTCTAGGAGTTAGAAGAATTTTTAGAGAGCATTCAGTCCAACCTTTGCCCTGACCCTTTCTTAGTGCCTCCTATAGCACATTCTTATTCTGAAAACTAAGAAAGTTGGTCCTTTCATTAAGTCTCAGAAATTATTTTCCCTGAGCTCTAGTGAAGAGTATCTTTATAACAGCAAAGTTTGTCAAGCCTCCTTGGTGTCAGCTCTGGATGATGTTGGAAGCCGGTCCTTAAGAATGATCCTAATTACATTGATGTCAATAGAAACACAAAAGAGTGATGATAATAAATAGTGCTTGGTTGAAAACACGATGCCAGATCCTGCAAATGACGGAAACCAGGCCTGGTTCCTGTCTGGGAGCATCTAATAAAATGTTATGAGTTCTGCCTCAGAGAGGTTGAGATTGATGGTATACTGTCAACCCTGGAGTTTTCCAAATGCTTTTTGATTCTGTGTTGCAAAAACTCAAGTAAATATGTTTGTTTTGGGTTATTTGTTGATTTGGAATGATGAACATGATTGATATCTTTGCCATGCAGAAAACTGAGATGAAACCATTATCATCCACATTGGTACTTATTAGACTTTCAGTAGAAATGAATGAATACATTTATCCTCAGATGTGAAGTCAAATTAAAACTTGAACTTTCGGGCTTAAGGAAAACACTATTCCTGCTCAACCACTCTTTGGCTGAGGTGCCCTCCACGTTTTTGGAAAAATCAGGCCTTAGATTGTTTGAGTACAGCGAAGGGCACAATCTTCCATTGTACACAGCTCCACGACACCCACTAATGTCCAGGACAGGGGCCATTCAGGATGAGAAAGGCTTTGGGGTCAGACCCATTCAGGATTAGGGCTTAATCACCAGGTGACCTCTCGGAGTCATTTTCCTTATCTTGGAGTCACATAATTGTTGAGTTTGGTACCTGAATACATTCAGGTATGTGAAGCACATGTAGCAAGGCACAGAATGTATTTGGTAGAAGTGCAGACATTGCAGGCATAGAGTGGGTTTCTATTCTCAGCTCTGCCACTTACGAGGGTGTCACCCTAAACTCATCAATTAGCTTCTCAGAGGCTTAGTTTCCTCCTCTGAAAGAAGGGTCACTCATAATAACTACCTAAAAAGGCTGGCATGAGGATTGAATTATACTAAGTGGAAAACACATGCATGTAAAGCATTAGATTTTTGTGCGTGTGTTCCCAATGTGTCTTACCCACAGACATACCCCTTCAGTGACTGGTTGACATTTTGAAAATTCCAAGACATTAGGCTAACCCAGTTTGAGCAACAATGTTTTTATAAATATCTCTTGCAAATAAACTGGAGGGCTGACAATGGAAAGACATAATGGACTCTGGGGATGGGGTTAGGGAGATCGTCACCTTTAGTGTTCTTTCTTCTTTAAGAGATGACTATAGGAGGCTGCTGTCCAACACTGTTGCTGTAGCATCTCTGACAGTCCTTAACATTATAAACATGTAACATCAGGGAACTATTTTAATACCTATAGTTTTCTCAATCTCATTAAATAATTCCTTCAAGTATCATCCTCCAAGAATAACAAGGTAGATTTTATGGATGGATTTTCTCTGTATATTTGGACAATACTTGAAAAAGAAACGGTGGAATTTAGTGATAAGAACTCCCTTGCAGCCGCCTGCCTCCATTTCCAAAGTGACTGCTCTACTTTGTGATGTTATCTGGAAAGATAACTAATTAGTTTCATGATAGTCAGAAAATAGGCATTCTAATACAGCTTGAGTTCAAGACTGTTGCTCTAAACATTAAAATGATTTGGCTTCCTATCTCAGCTCTACTACTTATCAGTATATAACCTTGGGCCAGCAGCCACGAACCTCCTTAAGCTTCAGTTTCCTCATCTGTAAAATGGGGATAGCAGCAGCCACCTCCTGGGATTGTTTACAGATTCCCTCAGTGAATGCACATAAGGTGTCTAAAGGGGTATGGCATCAAGGCAAGAGTTCAAAAAATGTCAGTCGTCATTATTATTGTAATCATTAGCTACTATCTCAAAGCTACCTTTCTCTTTCGACTGATGAAGTGAAAGGTTGTTAACTGTTTTCATAATTGGATTCTCAAAACCTGATATTTCCCAGCTCATCTTTCTTAAGAATAGTCGTTCATCAGATAGGTCCATCTGGAGGTCATCGTTTGTTCGTGAGAAGGCAAGGAGCCATCGCTTCCTGGTTATATTCGAATGGAAAAAAAGACACTTCTTGAAAGCTGCTCTGGGCAAATGTTTCCCAAAGGAGACTTAGTGCAGGGCAGAGCAGTAAGGAGCAAGGTCGTGCATTCAGGCAGAAACTCTGTTGTCTGTGGAGCCAACCCCACCGCCCCTTGCAGGGCTGCACATGAAGCTCACTCTTATGAGCCCCATCTGGTACTAATCATCCCATTTCCTGTCTGTTGAGTGCTCATGTACACTGTAGCACTGTATGAATTGATGTTTGCTTAGGGCTTTTTGCACGAGTCTGCCTTTTTAAAAGAGGGCCTCTTCCTTCCCTGTATCCAAATGGAGGTTAAGAGCAATGCCTTTGGAGTCAATTAGACCTGGATTTAAATATGCACTCTGCCCCTTACTATCTAGGTTACAGCGCTTCTTTGAGCTTTGCTTTTCTCATCGGTTAAATGGAGAGTTAACATGTGTAAAGGGCTTAGGAGAGGGTTGGCACATAATAAACACTCAATAAACATTAACTCTATCCTGAGAGACTACTTCATAAATAGTAGTGGTGGACAGGATATGAAGTGGTTACAATAATGATATTCTTTGGGTGTATCATTTCCAGAAAAGCCACTGTCAGTCGTAATGATATCATTCTTTCTTGTAACATATAAATCTAGGAAAAGAGTACCCCTCCTCCTCTATCCTTAGATATAACTGCTCTATATTAGCACCTAGTAGTATAATCCAACTCTAAAACTCCAAAACCACTTCAGCTCTTTGGAACAATTTCATAATCTCTTAATTTTATGAAATAACTTTCACTTTTAGACAAAACTGAGAACAACTTCAAAGCAGTTGCTCTTAGTAAAAGAATGAAGATATGGAGTCAAACACTGTTTTCCATTGGCAAAAGGAACTCAAAGAGATATTTTAAGACTTACTCTGTCAGAAAAACAATTTTTTTTTTCTTGAGTGAAATTAGGTGCCTTGATCATAGATCCCACCACTACGTTTTACTGTGTCCCCATCTCTCCTTCATCCTGACATATACACCCTTTCTGTTTCTTAAAATGGTTTTTTTTCTAGACTGGAAGAAGTATTAAAATATTGGTGACAGCCTTTCTTAGCTGCTGAGAAAATTAATGCTTTGGAAGAAGGCTAGACAGATTCACCACTAGGCTGATATATGGCTTTTCTGATATATTTAGAAGTCATATGTGAGCATGAAGAACTTGCAATTTGAAGTTCAATTAATGTTCAAATATTTCCTTATCCATCTCTTTCCCTTGAGTTCTTACTGACAGGCCCAGATTAGAGAGCCAGTTTCAGGAGGAGGAGTGTGTCTGGGGATCATGGAAGCTCTATGTTCAAGGAGATCTCAGGATCATCTAGAAAAACCCTCTAATTGCTCCAGCAATTTTTAAAATTTAGAGAATCATGTATTTCTTTATGAGGCTGAAGGAAACGGAATCACCTCCTAGAAAAATGCACATACAGGTAGGCTCACATGCAATTTTAAATATGGTTCCAGGAGGTCTCACTGATGCATCTCCGGACTTCTAAGTCATAAAGTCTGCAGGTAAGAGCGGCTGGCTGGTACTGGTGCCAGTATTGTCCTGAGGCCTGGCAATCAGGGCCCTGATTAGAAAGACCTACTCTGACCGTTTTCTAGTTTTAAGGTCACAATGGGGCAGAGGCTACAGAGCAAGAAGATGCCTGGTTGGAGCTCACCTCATGTATCCATTTCTAGACCACTCTCTGGGGACCCAGAACACACTTTCAGAGCCTATTATAAGCCTCTTCCCAGGGTTTGCCATCTCAAAGATACACCATATCACCAGGGGGTATGCCTATGGGTAGCTGTTTTTCTTTGGGATGGGTTAAGAGCTTGGGTATTAGCATGTGTGTCAACACATTTAAGTGTAAGTCCCCTTACAGTACAAGATGGAGGCAAGTGAGAAAATAAAAGGAGGCAGTATGGCTTTAGACCTGGCCCCTCCATTTTCACTCGTCCTAGACCCAGCAAAGGGGCACATGCTGTTGCTTCTGATCTCTTTACTCCTCTTAGCAATTTCCACCAGCTAATTCCGACATAGCCTTTCAGCCACAGTTTACATGTCCTTTCCCCGGAAATGCATTCCTTGACCCTCAGGCTTCGTTCCTTAGTGGATTATCAGTACCCTGTAACTTTCCCTTCACAGTACTTATTTAAAGATTATTTGAGTGATTATTTGAAATGTCTGTCTTATGTACTTAAAAACTATTTGTGGTTATTTTTGTAAAGTCTAGCTTGTCACTGCTGTTTCCTCAGAACCTAGCATGGTGCCTGGCACAGAATTGATCCTCAATAAATATTTGATGAATGAGTGAATAATGAATGGATACTATCTTTGGGACCTATGTTGTCCATATCCTAAGAAATGATCCTCAGCCCCCAGCAGCTATCTTCCTTCCTAATCTTGCAGAGCCTACCAGCCAATATGTAGGTGTAATTGCCCTATGATGCCAGGGAACTAGGAGACCAGGCTCACTGGGGTGCAGCAAGCCAATAAAAGTGCAAAGACCTTCATGTAGATCATGGGCCTCTTGTATTCCTGTGATCACTAGCTAACACCTTGATGGACTAATCACCAAAATCTACTATCTAAATGAAAATCAAAGCAGTTCAAATTTGGCATGTAGTGTGACTAACAAATAGAAATTTCTTACTTCAATATTTCCTTTAAAATGGCAGCCTGGCCCCAGATAAAGTGAACATCCTAATTTCAACCCATCAAGAATTGAATTATGTCCAAATAACACAGCTCCCCTTGTTCTGATTGGAAATATCATTGCCTACAAAAACAAATAATTGTCTATGTAAGAAAATATTGCCTGAATGCCGTGATTAAAAATTAATTAGCAGAAATTAGGATAGCTTTTCCAAAGATTTGGTATTAAGTTAAAGGCAGTCTGTTGTGGAGCCATGGCAATTAGGCAAATTATCAGGGTGAAGGCAAGAATATTAACAGTCATAGTTACTATTTATTGGGTGTTTTCTCTGTTCCAGGCTTTCTGTTGAGTGCCTTATGTTCATTATCTAATTTATGTTTTACAAAACCCAGGGAGGTGGGTGTTATTATCCTATTTTACAAATGAGGGAACAGAAACTCAGAAATGTTTGGTAGTTTCTCCAAGGTCACCTTAACTGCTAAGTGGCAAAACCAAGTTTTAAGCCTATATTTTAGGACTCCATTTTACATTTTACCACTAAGTATATTAAAATCTCCTTATATACCAGAAAGAGAGATAACTCCCAGGCCATGCTTAAAGTACAGGAGAAAAGCTAGACTTGGACATTCTCAGGGGCCACTTAATCCTGTTTTTTTGCCCACATCTTACATCAAGGAAGATGTCATTTCAGCTCTGCCTTGTCAGTCCTTCCTCATGTGGACCTCAGAGGACGAAGGCTGTGCTCTATTGTCGATTGCTATATGATAAGCTATCCCCAAACACAGTGGCTTAAAGCAACCATTTTAATTTGCTGATGGTTTTGTGGGTCAGGGATTTGGGAAGAGTTTGGCTGGTGGCTTGTTTCTGTTCCCCAGAGCATCAGTAAAGGCAGCTGGGGCTGGAGCAGCCACTTCCACTTATGGTGTCTTCACTCATTTGACTGGCATCTCTGCCTCCCTTCATGTTTCACTGTACTGATGCCTTATTCTCCAGGGCTTTCCATGTGGCACAGTGATTTTAGGATAGATGGACTTCCTGCATGGTGGCCAACTCCTCCAAGGGTGATTGTTCCAGAAATAGGTGTTCCAAGAAGCCCAGGAAGAAGCTGTGAGGCTTTCTAGGACTCTTTTTGTCAGTGCAAAGATGTCACTTCTATTGAATTTGTTGGTCAAATAAGTCACTAAGGCCAGCTCAGTTTCAAAGTAGGGGGAAGGGAGTAAGGGAATGGCAAGTGAAATAGGGAAGAAAATTGATGGTGATTCTCTTGGAGACAAGCTACTACAGACTGTCTTCAAAAACTATTGCCATCTCACCAGCAAACATCCAAATGAATATTCCTTTAGAGGACAGATTAGACTATAAACCTCTTGGTGGAAAGTAGAAAAGGTAAATAGCATGTAATAATCACTTGCTGCACACCAGACCCTACGCTAAGTGCTTTACATATCTGATTGCATTTAATTCTTATAACAACATTTTAGGTAGTCCAATTATTTGCAATGCTACAGATGCTCAGAGAAGTTAAGGAATTTACTCAAGGACCCAAGTAAATGCAGTCTCTGAGATCTGAACTCCAGTCTTGTGAACCTCAAACTTGTGCCTTTAGTCATTACACAAATGTGGTAAGGGCTTATCAGGAAGGTGGATTCATGGATGAGGTAAGACAAATTAGCAGGCAAATTTCAATAAGCAGGCAGGATAGATATAAAAAGGCAACAATGTGGTTGGAAGCAGAGAAGTGGGGACTGATCTGCTGGCCTGTCAAGTGATATGAAGACTGGAATTGGATAGCTTGGCAAGAGAAGTTTCTGGTGGCCATGAAATTCAGGCAGAGCCCAACATATTGAGATGGGAAGTCAGGCAGCCCACGCACTCCAGAGGAAGCCCTTATACCCAAGGCTTAAGACCTCAATTGACTGCTTTTCTTTTCTTTTCCTAACAAAGGCTCAGAGTTTCCTCAGTCATCTCAGTTCCCAAACACAATTCAATTTCAGAGGGGAAGGAAAGTTCATGCGAATCAATGAGGAGCGCTGAAGAATGGCCCCGTTTTCACTCCAGAGAAAGATTACCTTGTGTGTGAGAAACTCTGTTCCTCCCTTTTCTCAGAATTGACATTTGGGAGCCAAAAGAGAGCTGTTAACTGGTGAAATGATTTCTAAATCAATTATTGAACTTTGACTCAACTGGAAGATGTAATAAAGCAGTATCTTAGGTAGACATTTGGGTAACTGAGTTTTTGTACAAGTTCAGGATAAAGAAGTCTTGATACATAACTTTGTAATATAAAATTTCATACCTTCAGTAAAGTACAGTGGTTAAGAACAACAGCACCTGAACCAGACTGACCTAGGAGAGTCTTGCTCCACCACTTATTAGCTGGGTAACTTTGGACATGTCACTTATCCCTTAGAGCCTCACTTGACTCATCTAAAAATTGGAACAACAATCCCTGGAGAAGGTGGTGAGAAGTCAATGATATGGTGCATATAAGTGCCTGCACAGGGTTTGGTGTGTAGAAAGTGCTCAATGCAGTTAGCTATCAATGTTACGTTCCCAGATACTTGGTCTGACTTCAGAGTCTAGAGCCTGCTCCATTTTTCAGGGCTGGGAATGGAAGCACTGTAGTAAATTCTATAATTATGATTCTGAGACTCAGAGCCATCTGGAAATTCAGTCTCCTCACTGACCAGAAGTGGGATGCGGGAGGAGGTTAAGTCAAAACCTCCCCCTATTCTTTATTAACATGATAACTGAAAGCATACTTGTACCTCCCTCTTGGGGCTGTTTTGAAGGATAATTTCTGTAAATCACACAATAATGCTAGTCACAGGTATAACTATCACATAGTGAACAGCCTCTATGTATTAACTATTATTATTATGTATTAAAACATTGGTTGAGTGGCTTCCATGTGGCAGGTATTGTTCTAGGAACATCTTCAGGACAGATGGGCCCATGTCTAGAGGATTAGCTCCGTGAAGTCATGCAAGACTTGTTCCCTGTCATTCAGATATTGGCTAAAAGTATTGACAAAGTACATCTGTGGTCAAGGCAAACCCAGGGACTGTGATACTGCTGAAGCCCTAAGCCAACATCTAAGGTACCATGAGTCACCCCAAACCAGAGAGGATATGCTTATTACTCAGGATGTCCAAGGCATGACATGGCCAGAGGGACAGTCTGGCTGAGGCTGAAGAAAAAAGCAGAGAAGATGAAGCCCGGTAAGTAGTGTCAGACATCATGCAAAAGAGAGGAGAGAAAAGTGAGGAGGACATACAGGGAGTAGAGCACAGGCTGGGGCAGGTCAGGGTGAAGACCATGGTCAATGTGGGTATCCGAGCATGACCTTCATGTAATACTGACAGCCTGGTGCAAGAGTGGGGCTTCAACCTAAAGAGACTGGGTAGTATCAGACTCAAAATGACTTCTATACGTTTCATGAAATTTTGAGGTTCCCATTTTTTTGAATGAGGTCCAAGTTCAGATCTGGAAGTTTGTGGAAACAGAAGTTCTGAGAAATAATTAACTACCACATCATTCTTACTTTCCACTGCCTCCTGCAGAACAACTAGATTCTAACTTTGTTGACCTTCAAAGCATATGCGTGGTTAGTCATGATTTATGCTAAGGAGCAAGCCATATGGCATTGGAGGGTTTAATTTTGGTGCCAGTCACAGGTGTGTGCTTTCACTGGCATGCCTCAGGCAATTTATTTGCTGACAAGAGACTGTAAACAGGTTAACAAGGTAAGCTATCCTGGACAAGGCTGAATAAGAAAAACATGGCTGGTCTGCTTTCCTCCACCGAGTCTGTGAGTTCTGCACATTAAACATTAAGTAGAAAAGGTGAAAATGACTGACTTTGAGATGATCTTGACTAACAGGCTCTCTGTAAGCAAAGAAAGGAGTCTTAAATCAGAGGTATGGCTCATAGAATAGGAGTGAAGGCTTCACCTTGAAGTAACTGGGGAAATCAATGCCAAATTATTAAACAAGCACAATATAATTACATGAGATGATAAACAAATGTTCAAACCAATCACGGCAGAGGAAAAAAAAATTTAAACCAGGTGTATGGCACTGAACAGGCAAACCTGCCATTTCATTGTCTAATCTTTTGGCTTTTCATCTGATTAAGGTAAGTCTCTTCATATTTCAGAATCGCTATAGGACATATTTTCCTCTGAGTCTGCCCCCGCAACCAACAGCCTTTCCTGGTGTCATTTACCGTCTTTAGTCTTGATTCCATCATCCATCATCATAATAATTCCCTTGCAAATTCTCTTAGCTCCAGTGTCCATCGTTACCTTTTCTATCCTCTCCTGGAAAAACATCAGCCCAGGCGAGCATCATCTGCCTTCACCAGGCTTAGAGCCAAGCAGATGAATGTTGCCAGATAAATTCACAAACTGAGATTGCTTTCCCTTTAATTCACATTATATCTTCATCAAGCACTTGGTGCCCTCCAGTAATCCTTACTGTTTCTTGAGTTGATTTCCCGTTTGCTGGGAACACTATTTTGTGCCTTCTCCCATCTCATACCTCAAGCATTCTTTCTTCCAGTGCTGTTGAGCTCCCCTCACGCTGCACTGAGGGAAACCTTCCTCCTCTTTCTATAACTGAAGGACCAAACTGACCTACACTTGCAATCTGGAATGCTCTCCTACTTCCTGGATCACAGTGGGGATTGAGGCTGTATTCTTCTCAAAGCAAACCCTTCTTGGGCTCCAGATTCCATCTCTCTCCCTTCCATGAGTCTCCCTCTTTCCTTTGTCCTGATTCATTTCCCTCAGCAAACAAACAAGCTCCAATATCTCCCATCATAAAATCAACAAGTAATGAAACCCTTCTCTTGACCCTACACATTCTAGATATGGCTTTAATTCTCTGTTCCCTGTTATATTAAACTTCTCAAAGAGTTGTTTACACATGCTGCCATTCCTTTCTAATCTTCCTTTCACTCATTTATTAACGTGGCCTCTTCCCATTTACTCCTCTGAAACTGCGCTTGTCAAGGTCTCTGGTGACTTCATTTAGCTAAAGCAATGTCCTTATTTTAGTTGACGTCTCGGCAGCATTCATCCCAACATTTTCTCCTTTTGGACATACCCTCCTCTCTTCGTTTTCATGATGCTATCATTTCTTGGTTTGCCTTCTACTTTGCAAGCTACTCTTTCTCAGTATCCTGCTGGCTCCTTCATTTCTGATAAAGTTTTGTAGTTCTCAGGGCTCAGTCCTGGTTTCCTCCTCTATCTCCTTCTCTCTCTGGGCTATGGAGAAGGATGCTTTATCAATTCCCATAGATTTAAATACCATCTGTATGCTAATGACACTCAAAGGTATATCTCCAGTCCAAATCTGTCTTATTTTAAGCTGACTCTCATATTTGCTTGGACTTTACCATTCTTCTCCATATGTATGTCTTACAGGCATCTCAAACTTAATATAAGAAAAAGGAAACTCTTGGTTTTCTATTCCAAATCTATTCTTACCCTCACTCATATCAGCAAATTGTACCACCATCCACATTGTTATTTAAGCAAGAATCCTGATGGTCATCTTTGATTTTTGCTTTGCTTCACTTCCCGTATCAAACTTTTCCATCAGCAAGTCTTGTCAATTTTGTCTCTAAGAATAATGCCCATCTGTCCACCATTGCCATCTCAATTGGTTCTGCCATAGCCTAAGCTGTTGTTGTCTCACACTTGGATGACTTCATCTGTTCATGAGCCTCTCTCAGCCATTTTCCATGTTTAGCATCAAAAGGGATCTTCTTCAAAAAGCCAATCAGCCTCTAGTGGCTTCCAACTACACCTAAAAAAAACGATGAAGGCCCTGAATAATCTTTTCCTGGCTTTCTTCTTCCAATCTCATCTTACAAAACTCTCCTCTTCACCTACCATGCCATAGCCATGCTGATATAAGAATTGCAAACGTACCAACCTCTTTCTAATCTTATGGATTTGTTCATGCTGTTCCTTGAACTTTTGCATCACTTAGTCATGTCTCTTCTTTTAGGTCTCAGTTTAAATGCTACCTCTTCAAAAAAGCCTTTCAAGGCTACTCTCCCTAAAATGTATATCAGTCTTTCTTTAGTTCAGCCCTGTATTTGTTACCCTGATGAGAATAAGATTTAAAAAAAAAAACAACCCTGACAACAAAGACCATATATTTTCTCTTCATCATTGTATGATCAGCATCTAGCAAAGGCCAGGAACAAAATAACTGCTTAATAATATTTTTAAATGAATGAAGAAGCTTTTCAGGAACCTAACCCATATAGTGTTATCTATAGGAATTGAAACATCTGTATTTTCTCACACCCAGGACACTATGATCTTTAAAGAAACAGGCCTGACTGCTCCCTAACTTTCATTTTAGTAAAACATCAAGCTGCCAAACCATCTTGCTTAGTATTGGCTGACATTGATACTGAACAATATGTTTATTCATTTCAAGCTAGCATTTGTAAAAAGCTTTCTTTCTGTTAGAAACTCAGCTAAGCATTTTTAAACAGATTTTCTCATTTAAAACTTAAAATAATTCCATGAGACAGGCATTATTAATTACTATCTTAGGCACATATGCAAAACCTCTGCACAAAATTTCAGGGGTCTTGTGTACTTCCTGAAAATCTGTAGACTCTCTGGTAGAAGCCAAACCCCACTCATAATAGTGCTCTACAAAGTGGAGTGCTCCTACTTAATATTTTGAGGTGCATAAAGAAAATACTAGAATATTTATCTATGTATCTATAAATAAAAATACATTAAGTTTTGCTAATATTTGTTAAACAGATTAACATGGTCTCATGTCATACATCGGTCTCAAGGTATCATAGAAGAAGAGCAGAAGATGCTTCACACCATGGGGCAAGGGGCAAGGGGCAAACAGGGGCTGGTGCGGATTTAGCAACTGCACTCTCATTTTTTCCACCTTCAGAAGAGATGAATGACACTAATAGATTACTCTAAGAAATATTAATTGGAGACCGTATTCAGTGCAAACACAAGCAAACAAGAATATGGCCACCTGTCAGCTCCCTTACACCTAGTACAAGTTCTTTATCAACATTATAAATGTAAAAGTATGAAAGTATGATCACTGCTATGAACTAAATTTGCACCCCCATCCCACCAAATTCAGATGTTGAACCCCAACCCACAATGTGGCTCTATCTAGAGATGGGATCTTTAGAAGGTAATTAATTATAGTTAAATGAGGTCATAAGGGTAGGTACCTAGTCCAATAGGAATGTAGCCTTATAAGAGAGGAAATGAGAGATCTCTGTCTCCCTCTGTCTCTGCCATGTGAGGACACAGGGAAAAGGCAGCTGTCTGCAGGCCAGGAAGACAGTCCTTCCCAGAACCTGACCATATTGGCACCTTGATCTCAGACTTCCAGCCCCCATCACTGTGAGAAATAAATTTCTGTTGTTTAAGCCACACCACCAGTGGTATTTCCTTATGGTAGCCTGAGAAGACTAATGCAATTACCTAGTCAGTTCTAATATAAATTTGTCCCTTCACCTTTCAAAATTATTAAGACAACTTGAAATACAAATTTATAAACATTATTAATTATTATCCTAGGCCTGATGAACTTATTTAAATTATGCATTACAAGATTAACTTGAGATAGTGTGAGGTTATGATAAGCAGGACCTCTAAAATTATACATCCAGAACATGAAGACAAACTATATAATTTTAAAGCAATTTTTATAACCATATCATTCTCAGTCCAAGAACTGATGAAATCTTCCTGAGTTTAATGATGTTTGGAAGCCTTTTCTGAGGTTTCTTAGTTAATGCTTTGGCAGAGACTGGTGGTTGCCTATACCAATATCCATTTTCCCTTTTTTTCTTTCAGTAATAGAACCCCAATATTTAGCAGGAAATATTGCTGTCAAGGTGAAAAAAAAAGGTACTTCCTAGCCTCCTTTGCAGCTATATATGTCCTTGAGACTAAATTCTACTTAATGAGTTACACATATAAATAATCATAGACTTCCATAGAGCCCCCTTAGAAGGGAGGACATACTTTTCTTCCTCTTTTATTCCCTCCCTGTTGGATAATCTATTAGTTATCATTGCATAACAAATTATCCTGAAAATTTAGTACTTTAAAACAACATTTATTATCTTGCAGTTTCTGTAGGTCAGGAATCTTGGCATGGCTTAGCTGAGTCCTCCAGCTCAGAGTCTTTGAGAAGACTATAATCAAGGTGTTGGCTACACTATAGTCACCTTGAGGCTCAGTAGGGAAGGATCCAATTCCCAAATTAACTCACATTGTTGTTGGCAGGATTCAGTTCCATATGGGCTATTAGACTGAGGGATTCTGGCCCTCAATGGCTGTTATCCAGAGGCCACCCTCAATTCTTTGCCACGTGAGTCTCTCCATAGGGCAACTCTTGATATGGCAGCCTGCTTCATGAAAGCAAGCAGGCAAGAAGAATGAGAGGGAGTTCCAGTAAGGCACTCGGAAGTCATAAGCTTCCGTAACTGAATCATGGAAGTGGCATTCCATCACTTTTGCTGTGTTCTATTCATTAGAAGTAAGTCAGTAGGTCCACCCCACATTCAAGGGGATGGAATAGCACCAGGGTGTGAATTTCAAGGGGCAGGGATCATTGCCATAGCAGAGGCTGCCTATCCTAGCTGGAATTTAGAAGTGTAAGCAGGACTTCGAGAAATCCTATTGGAATTTGAGAAAGTATGCTACAGATGGTAGAGCAGCAAAGACAGGAGACCATGAGCTACCTACCAATCTGGGTTGTCAACTTACAGACTTCTTTTACCTAAGACAGAAATAAACTTCCCTTGAATTGAAGCCACTGTGACTTGGAGTTTTACTATTACATGCTGACAATTCTAATTTTATGTGGTGAAGTGGCCAAAGACAAAAAGTCATGTATCATTGGAACAAAACTTGTTTTCCTGTTGTGACAAATATGGTTGAAATAATATGATAAAAGCAATATGATGACAAACTAGAAAACATTTCTTTGGACGAAAATACTTTTGGAATGTACGTATGTCAAATATATTGATGAAGATTGGAAGAAACAACTTTTAGGGCAGATGATACGGGATAGGAATTTTGTTCTACAGCCAGATGGAAGTACAGATGTTTTTAGGATGTCTTAAAGTGAGCTATTGCTAGATTTATTATGTTTTAAATATTTATTATTAACAACATAATAAATAATAAACAGCATAAAGAATTACATTTTTCTGGTATGTCACTAAATTACAGATAGCCAAAGAAGATATATTTCTGAGATTGAATAACTTCTACAATTAAAACAATGTCTTATGGGGAAATATTTAAGTATATTCACTGATAGAGCGGCCCCTCTAAGATTTTTCTTTTTAAGTTTCTTGGGTAATGTTATACAGATAACACCGAAATTGGAATTCATCCTTTGCATTGTTTATAGGTAAGGTAATGCAGATGAGAAGTTAAAACCAGAAAAGCACAAATGGCTATACTGATGTGACTGATTTTAAAAATTAAATTAAAAAAATTTGAAAATCAAGACTAAAAAATATAGTAGAATCTGTATGTCATTTTGTAATGAGATGGCAAGAGATATTTTTTCAGCCACTCAGAGGTTGACTAAAAGAGCTGGATTTAAAGATAAGATACACATTTTTCTTTTACAAAAATATAAAGGTACATAATTTGTTGATCTTTTCCCTAATGACAAGTCCTATTAGTTTAGGTTTGCCTGACAAAATTTTTGCATATAAACACACTGAATCTATCCCTTAATTGCAAAATTTATATTTTAATAATGTGTGAAGAAGAGACTGTTTCACAAAACAAATTCTTGTTTTGGATAGAGCATTTGAAAATATATATTTAAAAATGTTTCCCTTATTTTTTGATTCTATAGCTAAACATGATCATGTGCTATGTATAAAAACTCATATTTCTATACTTTAAAATATTAGAAAGAGTATATTAGTTTTCTATGGCTGTGTAACAGATTACCAGAAATTTAGCATCTTAAGACAGCACATAAATTTATTATCTCACAGTTTCCCTAGGTCAGGTGCAGGGGCATGGTTTAGTATCTATTGCATAGGATCTCCTAAGGCTGCAATGAAGGTCTCAGCTGGCTGTCTTCATCTGGAGGCTTTACTGGGGAAGAATCTGCCTCTAATTCATTCAGGTTGTTGGCAGAATTCATTTCCTTGTAACTGTATGACTAAGGGCCCCAGCGTTAGGCTGGCTGTTGGCTGCCTGCAGCTCCTAGAGGTCACCCACAGGTCCTTGCCATGTGGGCTTTTCAACAGGACCACTCACTTTCTCCAGGTCTTGAGAAGAGTCTCTCACTCCAGGATACTAAGACAGAGTCTTATGTAACAAACCCAATCACGAGAGTGACATCCCATATTCTGTGGGTTGGAAGCAAGTCACATGTCATGCCCACAGTCAAGGGAAAGGATTTCACCCAGGCAAAGGTATCCTCTTCTGGAGGGGGGACATTTTATGTTCTATGTGACACACAGAATTTTCCACTTTGCAAGTCTTCATAATAAAGAGCCCAGTGGACATTGAATACATGTGTTGATAATATAAAAATGAAACTGAAAAACCACCGACATCAAGGAAGTGGAAATTTGCTTGCTGAACAATGGCAAATTATTTCAAACAATTAGTGAATGGGGTTGAAAAATGAATATTATGATTTCATGTGCAGACAATAATATACTCTTTAATTTAGATATATTTATCTTTGAGAGATTTTTTCTCAGCTTTGACAGCCATTAAAACCAAGGATCAAAATAAGCCAAACTTAGTGACAGACCTTTGAACTGATAAATTATACATATTACGGGTGTTAAATCAAGATTTTCAAATATAATGATGCTTATTTTATCACACTGTATTTACTAATAAAGTTCTGTTAGTAAGGAGGTTTTTGAAGTAATAAGTGAAAATTTTAATGATGTATTTATTTTATCTGTATCTCATTTGATATGTATTTTAAAAAATTTAGAACATATATAAAATATAAAATAATATGTGTACAATTTCTAAAGAAATACATATGCATATATTGTGTTAGGGATACATATTCATTTTTTTTCTAAAAGGGTTGTGTCATAGAATGAGTTTGGGACCCACGGCTCTTGCTCTGTGCTGTCTGGTGCAGTAGCCCCATAGGGCTATAGAGCACTTGAAATGAGGCTAGCCCAAAATGAGATGTGAGAGAAGTGTAAAATACACATTTTCAAGACATCAGTTAACAAGAATGTAAACTACCTCACTAGAAGTTTTTTTAATATTGATTGCATGTTTAAATGACAATTTTAAAAATATATATTGGTTAAATAAATTATCAAAAGTAATTTCACCCATTTCTTTTTACTTTTTAATGTGGCTACTAAAAAATTAAAATCACACATGTGGTTTGCATTATATTTGTTAGATGATGCTACCCTAGAGGATTTGACAGAGTATTAGAAAAAACAGAAAGGTTGGGTCAGTTGTACTTTTGCACTAAGCAACAATGCAATTAATCCAATTGACTTGGTAAGACATGGTTTCACTTGAAATGATTTGCTATGCTTCATGCTCTTGTAGCTACTTTTTTTACTTTACTCATCATCAGTGGTTAGTGTGATATTTTAATCTCATTGGTTGAAACAAATTCTAAGCAGATGAACTGATTTTCCCTTTGGGTTGTACCCTTTGTTCTGTTTACCATCACCAGATAAACTGATAGTGCTTTTTTGATAATACAGCAGTTAAGACTTCGTTTTTAGGATTAATAGCTAAGTACTCTCAGATAAATATTCCAATGCCGTGTGTGTTTGTAGAAATTTACTAACCTCAATGCAATATAATGAGTTATCTTTATTAACTACTAATAAAGCTACACCAAATATAGAGCAAAAAGGTAAATTCTGCCAAGTACTTGAGGCATCCTCTTTTAAAACTTGCCTTAAAAGTATTTTAAGACATGATTTTGTATAGTCCAGTCTTACCTCTGATAATTTCCTTTGCAAATTGATTTATTACCCACCTTTCTGTTAAGATGTATATAGATAGGAGGAGCCAAGATGGCCGAATAGGAACAGCTCTGGTCTACAGCTCCCAGCGTGAGCGACCCAGAAGACAGGTGATTTCTGCATTTCCAATGAGGTACTGGGTTCATCTCACTGGGGAGTGCCAGACAGTAGGTGCAGGACAGTGGGTGCAGAGCACCTTGCGCGAGCCAAAGCAGGGTGAAGCATCGCCTCACCCAGGAAGCGCAAGGGGTCAGGGAATTCCCTTTCCTAGTCAAAGAAAGTGGTGACAGATGGCACCTGGAAAATTGGGTCACTCCCACCCTAATACTGCACTTTTCCAACGGGCTTAAAAAAACAGCACACCAGGAGATTATATCCCGCACCTGGCTCAGAAGGTCCTATGCCCATGGAGTCTCACTCATTGCTAGCACAGCAGTCCGAGATCAAACTGCAAGCAGCAGCGAGGCTGGGGGAGGGGTGCCCGCCATTGCCGAGTTAGTTGTTTGATTAGGTAAACAAAGCCATGGGAAGCTCAAACTGGGTGGAGCCCACCACAGCTCAAGGAGGGCTGCCTGCCTCTGTAGGCTCCACCTCTGGGGGCAGGGCACAGACAAAAAGACATCAGTAACCTCTGCAGACTTAAATCTCTTGACAGCTTTGAAGAGAGTAGTGGTTCTCCCAGCATGCAGCTTGAGATCTGAGGTTGGGCAGACTGCCTCCTCAAGTGGGTCCCTGACCCCCAAGTAGCCTAACTGGGAGGCATCCCCTAGTAGGGGCGGACTGACACCTCACATGGCCGGGTACTCCTCTGAGACAAAACTTCCAGAGGAACGATCAGGCAGCAGCATCTGCGGTTCACCAATATCTGCTGTTCTGCAGCCACCCCTGCAGATACCCAGGAAAACAGGGTCTGGAGTGGACCTCTAGCAAACTCCAACAGACGTGCAGCTGAGGGTCCTGTCTGTTAGAAGGAAAACTAACAAACAGAAAGGACATCCACACCAAAAACCCATCTGTACGTCACCATCATAAAGACCAAAGGTAGATAAAACCACAAAGATGGGAAAAAAAAGAGAGCAGAAAAACCGGAAACTCTAAAAATCAGAGTGCCTCTCCTCCTCCAAAGGAATGCAGCTCCTCACCAGCAACGGAACAAAGCTGGACGGAGAATGACTTTGAAGAGTTGAGAGAAGAAGGCTTCAGATGATCAAACTACTCCAAGCAACAGGAGGAAATTCGAACCAATGGCAAAGAAGTTAAAAGCTTTGAAAAAAAATTAGACGAATGGATAACTAGAATAACCAATGTAGAGAAGTCCTTAAAGGACCTGACGGAGCTGAAAACCAAGGCACAAGAGCTACGTGATGAATGCAGAAGACTCAGTAGCTGATGTGATCAACTGGAAGAAAGGGTATCAGTGATGGAAGACGAAATGAATGAAATGAAGTGAGAAGAGAAGTTTAGAGAAAAAAGAATAAAAAGAAATGAACAAAGCCTTCAAGAAATATGGGACTATGTGAAAAGACCAAATCTACATCTGATTGGTGTACCTGAAAGTGCCGGGGAGAATGGAACCAAGTTGGAAAACACTCTGCAGGATATTATCCAGGAGAACTTCCCCAATCTAGCAAGGCAGGCCAACATTCAAATTCAGGAAATACAAGAATGCCACAAAGATACTCCTTGAGAAGAGCAACTCCAAGACACATAATTGTCAGATTCACCAAAGTTGAAATGAAGGAAAAAATGTTAAGGGCAGCCAGAGAGAAAGGTTGGGTTACCCACAAAGGGAAGCCCATCAGACTAACAGCAGATCTCTCGGCAGAAACTCTACAAGCCAGAAGAGAGTGGGGACCAATATTCAACATTCTTAAAGAAAAGAATTTTCAACCCAGAATCTCATATCCAGTCAAACTAAGCTTCGTAAGTGAAGGAGAAATAAAATACTTTACAGACAAGCAAATGCTGAGAGATTTTGTCACCACCAGGCCTGCCTTAAAAGAGCTCCTGAAGGAAGCACTAAACATGGAAAGGAACAACCAGTACCAGCCACTGCGAAAACATGCCAAATTGAAAAGACCATGAAGGCTAGGAAGAAACTGCATCAACTAACGAGCAAAATAACCAGCTAACATCATAATGACATGATCATATTCACACATAACAATATTAACTTTAAATGTAAATGGACTAAATGCTCCAATTAAAAGACACAGACTGGCAAATTGGATAAAGAGTCAAGACCCATCAGTGTGCTGTATTCAGGAAACCCATCTCACGTGCAGAGACACACATAGGCTCAAAATAAAGGGATGGAGGAAGATCTACCAAGCAAATGGAAAACAAAAAAAGGCAGGGGTTGCAATCCTAGTCTCTGATAAAACAGACTTTATACTAACAAAGATCAAAAGAGACAAAGAAGGCCATTACATAATGGTAAAGGGATCAATTCAACAAGAAGTGCTAACTATCCTAAATATATATGCACCAAATACAGGAGCACCCAGATTCATAAAGCAAGTCCTTAGTGACCTACAGAGACTTAGACTCCCACACAATAATAATGGGAGACTTTAACACCCCACTGTCAACATTAGACAGATCAATGACACAGAAAGTTAACAAGGATACCCAGGAATTGAACTCAGCTCTGCACCAAGCAGACCTAATAGACATCTACAGAACTCTCCACCCCAAATCAACAGAATATACATTCTTTTCAGCACCACACCACACCTACTCCAAAATTGACCACATAGTTGGAAGTAAAGCACTCCTCAGCAAATGTAAAAGAACAGAAATTATAACAAACTGTCTCTCAGACCACAGTGCAATCAAACTAGAACTCAGGATTAAGAAACTCACTCAAAACCACTCAACTACATGGAAACTGAACAACCTGCTCCTGAATGACTACTGGGTACATAACGAAATGAAGGCAGAAATAAAAATGTTCTTAGAAACCAACGAGAACAAAGACACAACATACCAGAATATCTGGGACACATTCAAAGCAGTGTGTAGAGGGAAATTTATAGCACTAAATGCACACAAGAGAAAGCAGGAAAGATCTAAAATTGACACCCTAACATCACGATTAAAAGAACTAGAAAAGCAAGAGCAAACACATTCAAAAGCTAGCAGAAGGCAAGAAATAACTAAGATCAGAGCAGAACTGAAGGAAACAGAGACACAAAAAACCCTTCAAAAAATTAATGAATCCAGGAGCTGGTTTTTTGAAAAGATCAACAAAATTGATAGACCACTAGCAAGACTAATAAAGAAGAAAAGAGAGAAGAATCAAACAGATGCAATAAAAAATGATAAAGGGGATATCACCACTGATCCCACAGAAATGCAAACTACCATCAGAGAATACTACAAACACCTCTACGCAAATAAACTAGAAAATCTAGAAGAAATGGATAAATTCCTCGACACATACATCCTCCCAAGACTAAACGAGGAAGAAGTTGAATCTCTGAATAGACCAATAACAGCTTTGAAATTGAGGCAATAATCAATAGCTTACCAACCAAAAAAAGTCCAGGACCAGATGGATTCACAGCTGAATTCTACCAGAGGTACAAAGAGGAGCTAGTACCATTCCTTCTGAAACTATTCCAATTGATAGAAAAAGAGGGAATCCTCCCTAACTCATTTTATGAGGCCAGCATCATCCTGATACCAAAGCCTGGCAGAGACACAACAAAAAAAGAGAATTTTAGACCAATATCTTTGATGAACATCGATGCAAAAATCCTCAATAAAATACTGGCAAACCGAATTCAGCAGCACATCAAAAATCTTATCCACCATGATCAAGTGGGCTTCATCCCTGGGATGCAAGCCTGGTTCAACATACACAAATCAATAAATGTAATCCAACATATAAACAGAACCAAGGACAAAAACCACATGATTATCTCAACAGATACAGAAAAGGCCTTTGACAAAATTCAACAACCCCTCATGCTAAAAACTCTCCATAAATTAGGTATTGATGGGACGTATCTCAAAATAATAAGAGCTATCTATGACAAACCCACAGCCAATATCATACTGAATGGGCAAAAACTGGAAGCATTCCCTTTGAAAACTGGCACAAGACAGGGATGCCCTCTCTCACCACTCCTATTCAACATAGTGTTGGAAGTTCTGGCCAGGGCAATTAGGCAGGAGAAGGAAATAAAGGGTATTCAATTAGGAAAAGAGGAAGTCAAATTGTCCCTGTTTGCAGATGACATGATTGTATATCTAGAAAACCCCATCGTCTCAGCCCAAAATCTCCTCAAGCTGATAAGCAACTTCAGCAAAGTCTCAGGATACAAAATCAATGTACAAAAATCACAAGCATTCTTATACACCAACAACAGACAAACAGAGAGCCAAATCATGAATGAACTCCCATTCACAATTGCTTCAAAGAGAATAAAATACCTAGGAATCCAACTTACAAGGGATGTGAAGGACCTCTTCAAGGAGAACTACAAACCACTGCTCCAGGAAATAAAAGAGGATACAAACAAATGGAAGAATATTTCATGCTCATGAGTAGGAAGAATCAATATCGTGAAAATGGCCATACTGCCCAAGGTAATTTACAGATTCAATGCCATCCCCATCAAGCTACCAATGACTTTCTTCACAGAATTGGAAAAAACTAAAGTTCATATGGAACCAAAAAAGAGCCCGCATCGCCAAGTCAATCCTAAGCCAAAAGAACAAAGCTGGAGGCATCACGCTACCTGACTTCAAACTATACTACAAAGCTACAGTAACTAAAACCATGTGGTACTGGTACCAAAACAGAGATATAGATCAATGGAACAGAACAGAGCCCTCAGAAATAATGCTGCATATCTACAACTATCTGATCTTTGACAAACCTGACAAAAACAAGCAATGGGGAAAGGATTCCCTATTTAATAAATGGTGCTGGGAAAACTGGCTAGCCATATGTAGAAAGCTGAAACTGGATCCCTTCCTTACACTTTATACAAAAATTAATTCAAGATGGATTAAAGACTTAAATGTTAGACCTAAAACCATAAAAACCCTAGAAAAAAACCTAGGCAATACCATTCAGGACATAGGCATGGGCAAGGACTTCATGTCTAAAACACCAAAAGCAGTGGCAACAAAAGCCAAAATTGACAAACGGAATCTAATTAAACTAAAGAGCTTCTTCACAGCAAAAGAAACTACCATCAGAGTGAACAGGCAACCTACAGAATGGGAGAAAATTTTCGCAACCTACTCATCTGACAAAGGACTAATATCCAGAATCTACAGTGAATTCAAACAAATTTACAAGAAAAAAACAAACAACCCCATCAAAAAGTGGGCAAAGGATATGAACAGACACTTCTCAAAAGAAGACATTTATGCAGCCAACAGACAATGAAAAAATGCTCATCATCACTGGCCATCAGAGAAATGCAAATCAAAACCACAATGAGATGCCATCTCACACCAGTTAGAATGGCGATCATTAAAAAGTCAGGAAACAACAGGTGCTGGAGAGGATGTGGACAAATAGGAACACTTTTACACTGTTGGTGGGACTGTAAACTAGTTCAACCATTGTGGAAGTCAGTGTGGTGACTCCTCGGGGATCTAGAACTAGAAATACCATTTGACCCAGCCATCCCATTACTGGATATATACCCAAAGTATTATAAATCATGCTGCTATAAAGACACATGCACATGTATGTTTATAGTGGCACTATTCACAATAGCAAAGACTTGGAACCAATCCAAATGTCCAACAACGATAGACTGGATTAAGAAAATGTGGCACATATACACCATGGAATACTATGCAGCCATAAAAAATGATGAGTTCATGTCCTTTGTAGGGACATGAATGAAGCTGGAAACCATCATTCTCAGCAAACTATCGCAAGGACAAAAAACCAAACACTGCATGTTCTCACTCATAGGTGGGAATTGAACAATGAGAACACATGGACACAGGAAGGGGAACATCACACACCAGGGACTGTTGTGGGGTGGGGGGAGGGGGGAGGGATAGCATTAGGAGATACACCTAATGCTAAATGACGAGTTAATGGGTGCAGCACACCAACATGGCACATGTATACATATGTAACAAACCTGCACCTTGTTCATATGTACCCTAAAACTTAAAGTATAATAATAATAAAATTTAAAAAAAAAGTAAACAAAAAAAAAGATGTATATCATCTTCACTTTTCTTCCCTGAATGTCAGGAAGGATGCTCGCTCTAAAACATATTGGAGTAACCGTCCTGCTGAGGCAGATCTTGCCTTTGCTTTTCTTTCCAAAGAAGACTTGTACTTTGAACTTTCCTCCAATCAGTCTCTACTTGCTAGTATTCTCCCTGCAACTGGACTCCCTCTGAGCTGCTCTTGAACTCTAGAAGTCTGTGATAATGTTCTCCCTGGAGGAAATATAATAAAGTCTGGTTGTTGACAGTCTTTCTTGTGTTGATCCAAGGTCTACTTTTCTATAACTTCCAATTTATTGGCTTCAGATCATCCCCCAGGGATAGACAAAACACACTCCTTCTGCCATCGATAATTTTAATACTTACTCTAAATCTTCTGTTCTCTGGGTTACCTAGTTCCACTAAGGATTCCTCTTTTTCCTTAAGCAGTTATTTATTGAGTACTATGTTGGTTTGCTAGGACAGCCATAACAAAACACCACAGATGGGTGGTTTAGGCAGCAAAAATTTATTTTCGCACAGCTTTAGAGGCTGAAAATCCAAGATCTAGGCACCAGAGGATCGCTTTCTCTTGAGGCCTCTCTCATGGGCTTACACATAACTGCCTTCTTCTTGTGTCCTCACATGGCCTTTTCTCTGTGCCTGCACATTTCCAGTGTCTCTTTCTCTACTTGTAAGGACACTAGTCCTGTTGGATTAGGGCCCCACTCTTATGACTCTATTTAATTTAACTTTACCTCCTTAAAGGCCCTATCTCCAAATAGGAATTTGAGCTTTAACATGAATTTAGAGGGATGCAAATCAGTCCATAACAGATTCATATGCAAAAACAGCAGGGAAAAAATAGAACACCCTTGGCCCAGTGGACAAATGACACCCAAGGTAATACTAGTTAGTGGCAGAGCCAGGGGCAGAACTCTGGATGGAGTAAGACTTATTTCCTCTCTCTTTATGGAATTTATATCCCTATTTATTTTGCCCAATATAACATTTACTCTTGTGGAAGATCTGTTGACATAAAAGAGAGCTCAGCTGTATGCTTTTCTCCAAAACCATTGTACCTTGGTTTGTGTCTGTGTAATTCTTCTATTTTCATACTAGGTTGAAATCTGGGTGGAGTTAAAGGTAATGTCTTCCAAGACTTTGTATGGCTGTACTCTGACAAATACTGTGCACTGCATACAAGGAAAATGGTGTTACCTGACCAGGACTGGCTTTGTGTGTGATCTGTGCCCGTGGTTTAATGTTTCACCATGGCCATCTTGAAATTCTAATAATTTTTTAACAAAGGGCCCCACATTTTCATTTTGCACTGGGGCCCACAAATTATGTGACTGACTTTAAAAAGGGAAACGTTTGGGCCAGGCACGGTGGCTCATGCCTGTAATCTCAGCACTTTGGGAGGCTGAGGTGGGTGGACCACCTGAGGTCAGGAGTTCGAGACCAGCCTGACCAATATGGTGCAATCTCGTCTCTACTAAAATTATAAAAATTAGCTGGGGATGGTGTCGCGTGCCTGTAGTCCCAGCTACTTGGGAGGCTGAGGCAGGAGAATCACTTGAACCTGGGAGGCAGAGGTTGCAGTGAGCCGAGATCACGCCATTGCACTCCAGCCTGGGTGACAGAGTGAAACTCTGTCTCAAAAAAAAAAAAAAAAAAAAAAAGGAAACATTTATGAAGGGTCAATTGGACAAGAAGTCAGAACACCTGAGTTTTGTCCCAGGGTCAGCCACTAACTAGTTAAATATAATGATCAATCTTCATTTACCTCCCCACCAGCAAGATCCTATCTTCTAGCTCAAAATTATGCAACCATGCTTAAACAAAAGGTTTCTGTAGAGAACATCTGCTGTTTTTGCCTGCCAAGCATTCACTCCCTCATCTTTCAGAGTGTTCCTTCTCACTCTCTGTCCAGGGGTTACCAGGTTCAGGTTGCTGGCCCCATTTAACCCACTACCTCTGCTCCAAGGAAGTGGTCCAGGCCCAGCCAATCAGTATATTTTACCCTCTGGAAAAGTATGGAACTGTCCAGAAATGGGCATGTGGCCCAACTGGGGTCCATGGGATTCGGTTACATTACATTCAGGGACTGTTGTGGCACTGCTGAGAGAAAGAGGTAGGCCTGGAGCTGCTGATCATTACCTGGCCTCCATGGGGACACCTGCTGGAGGACAGAGCCAGTCCAGAGGAACAGCAACTGAGAGAAGAAGAGAGTGAGACCAAGTCCTGAGGACATGGTGTGAACCTGTGGATGAGCAGCCAGTTGTGCTTACACCCTGGAGATAACAGTTGTGTCAATAACTGAGAGAAGAACCAATGATGTCTCAGAATCAACCTAGGTGAGTGTCCCTTCCAACAATGGGGATTGTTCACCACTGGATCCTGGGTGCATAGCAGAGTGCCTGCCACATAACAGACATGAATTAATAAATGGAAATCACTATAAGAGATAAATCTAAGTGTTGCAAGATAATAAGTTCCTGAAACAGGCAAATTTTTTTTTTGTTTATATATACATTTCTGGGTCCCAGAGATCACAAAGAACCAGGAAACATCGTTCAGTGAAACCCACTCTGCAAAGAATCACTTTTAATGCCTGCCAAAGTCATCCTAATTGAGCCAATGAAAGCAAGATCTAAGACAAACTTCCAGGAAATAGCGTCTGAAATTCAGCATCACCTTTTAAACTTGGGCGTTTGGTTTAAATACGAGTATATATTTTCTTTATTAAATTAAAATGCACCCTGTGTGATACAGGAAGAATGAGGTGGTAGCCTTTGCTGAAGGAACAAGTAGAACTAAAGGAAGCTTAAAACAATCTGCCTTTACCCTACCTGCTGTGTAATCAGGTATGTTGAAAGGTAATGAAGCAGCTTAATTATTATCTTTTAAATATCTGTTTAAAATACTATTATTTCTTTGAAATTGCTCTGATTAAACATTTCTTTGATCTCAGTAAATAAGGAGGTTTGTAAAATTCCCTTTGGGGCAGGAGCCTACAAATTCCTCTATCAACTGGCAAATGATTGTGCGAAAGGAGCAGAGAGAAGAGTCTGTCTCAATATGAAGAGATAAAATTTCCATAGTTATCTATTAGTGGAAATGGACATCTCTGAAAGGAGCTCTTTGTCCTCAGAGGAGTTCAAATGGAAGACATGTGTGCTCTGCAGGGAACACTGGAGAAAAGAAAGGTAATACATAACTGATAATTGAATAGATCTCCAATTCTGCAAATCTTGGGACAAGCCAAAGGAAATTCTGATATCTTAAGTTCACAGTTTGATCTATGCACATGCTATGGTTTGGCTCTGTGTCCTCACCCAAATCACATGTCACATTGTTAATTCCCATTGTTGGGGGAGGGACCTGATGGGAGGTGATTGGCTCATGGGGGCAGATTTCCCCCTGGCTGTTCTCCTGATAGTGAGTGCTCATGGGATCTGGTTAAGAGTGTAGCACTTCCCCCTTAGCTCTCTCTCCTGCTCCACCTTAGTAAGACATGTTTGCTTCCCCTTCATTTTCTGCCATGATTGTAAGTTAACTGAGGCCTCTCAGCCATGCTTCCTGTACAGTCTGTGGGCCTGTGAATCAATAAAACCTCGTTTCTTCCTAAATTACCCGGTCTCAGGAAGTTCTTGATAGCAGTGTGAAAACGGACTAACATAGTACAATCTTTGTGGTGGCAAATGTGAAACAGGAGAAATCTGACACTTCAGCAGGGATAAGCCCCTTTCCAACACTTCAACAATTGATTGATATATCCAACAGCATATCCACCTTGGCTTACCACCCCAGCACTGAGCAGAGCTCTTGGCAAAGTGAGCATGCCGTAAATACTTGTTAAATGATTGAATAAATTGAATAAATAAATGAATTCATCTCTCAGAGGTTATGTGCTCATGTTTTTTTCTACATTTATTTTGCTCCATACTTTTCTTATGTAATAATTAATCATGTAACACCTTGTGGCAGATCACATTACTCACCTTGTACTGCATTATTTAACTTCTCATATATTTATGTCTTACTTTCTAAGATAGACCATGAGTTATCTGAAGCAGGTATTATATGCCTTTGTAAGCCCTTCAGTACCTTTAGGTACACTTAAAGTAAGTTAATAACATTCATGGAGACCACAAATAGTTGGTGCAGTCAGCCTCCTCCTTATAAGGGTTGCCCCTCTGAGGATATTACACAGTTCCTTCTTTACAGCCCAGGATTTCTAAAGTTCCTCAATTGAATTGCCCTCTATCTTGTTTCTCAATGCACAGGGCCATTGTCAACATAGTGGACCTCAAAAATCAACCCAACTAAAGAGGGATTAGCAGATTATTGGAAGTAAAAGTGGTATGGAGGAACTCAGGGATGGTCTAAATCAATTCCCTCATTTTGGCTATGAGTAACCAAGGGCAACTCTCAAAGTAAAAATATTTGCTTAAGGTTATAGAGCAACTTGAGAGCCCAGAGATCCTGACCCCAGAAATTCTGCTGCCTGTGGAGATGACAAGCTCCTGGATGCAGGACACTACCTCAATAATGACTTTACTTTTCATTAACTAGACTTACATTTTTTAAACATTCGTTTTCAAATGGCCCCATCAGCCAACACAAAAGAAGAGGGATTGCTTTGAGTATAAAATGCGTAGGGGATCATGCTTCTCTTTCTCCACAAATCAAAGAAATGAAAGATTGGATGTCAGGACTTGCACCACAGAAGCCCTTTCTGGAGGGACTGAAAAGATTTTATTGTACTCTCTGAAAGTTAGTAATTGCATTTCAAAAAGAAAATAAAAGTGATGAGTATTTCCCCTTGAGTTCAAAGACACCCGCTAATTTTGTCCTTTACTACTCAACTCCTGGCATTAGATTATAAATATAGTGCAGATAGGAGCACCATTTACCAGCTGGATTCCTGAGACTGGTGAAGAATTTAGCACTGGCAAAGCTCATCCTTCAATGACTGCCTTCTATTATAATTAGTGGTGTAGTGTACCTGCTCCTTGAGGGCAGCAACTGTGCTTTATTCTTACTGACTTTCTAAACGTGTAAATCACTAGGGATTCCTCTTCTACTGAAAGTCCTACAATGAGTTTAAGATAATTCAAAATAAATTTGAGCTCCTTCTCAGGGCCCTTCACAAGGAGCTAAAATCTGGCCCTGATCACTTCTTTGGCTTACTTCACACTGTTCTCTCTTTACATACTTGCTCCAGCCACTGTGGCCATCTTCCTTGTCCTCCAGCAGGCCAAGCTTGCCAGTGCCCTTGTATGCTGTTCCCTCTGCCTGGAATGCTGTGCTCTAAGGACTTCAAATGATGATTTCTTCTCATAACTAAGGTCTCAGTTCAAATACCTCTGCCAAGAGGTCTTCAAGGCACACTCCGTCATACTCACCCTATTTTATTTCTTCTACAACACATCTCAATAACTGAAGTTATCTTGTATATTTATTTTTTATTTCCTTGTTGTCTGTCTTGTGCCTCTAGAATATAAGCTCTTTAAGAATATAGATCTCATCTTGTTCACTGCTATATTCCCAGTTCCTAGAAGAGTACGTGGCACATAGCAGGTGCTTAGTAAATAGTCATTTACTGCATCCCCTATAGTGCCTCATACCACAGTGTCACAGGTGGAGAGGCCAAAATCATATGATAAAGAGAAAAGAGGGCCATCTAATTTATAGTTAAGATTATATAGTCCAGGCATGGTGGCTCACGCCTGCAATCCCAGCACTTTGGGAGGCCAAGGTGGGCAGATCACCTGAGGTCAGGAGTTCAAGACCAGGCTGACCAACATGGAGAAACCCCATCTCTACTAAAAATACAAAATTAGGTGGGTGGTGGTACATGACTGTAATCCCAGCTACTTGGGAGGCTGAGGCAGGAGAATCTCTTGAACCCAGGAGGCGGAGGTTGCGGTGACCCGAGATCGTGCCATTGCACTCCAGCCTAGGCAACAAGAGCGAAACTCCATCTCAAAAAACAAAACAAAAGAAAACAAAGCAAAAAAAACTATATAAACACGATGGTCACCAATACAGGGCTGATGGAAAGACAGATTATTTGGCTAGTTACTGTATCTGTGTCCTTAAGTACCACTGCTGTTTTTAAAATGGTAATAGAAAAATTTTATGCAGGGCTTCAAATAGTTTCTTCTCAAAATCTGTTGTTCCTTTCCATTTGGATATATCAGTAGTTTATGGTAGAAAAAATACTGGACTAGTTAGAAATGGCAAATTGGTTTATCTCATGTGGCCAATTTGAATTGATAGCTGCCTAGAGGACCTAGGTAGGTGGTATCATGAGGTGATAGCTGCCTGGGGGAGCTAGGTAGAGGTATTCTGAGAATAAATGCAAATTTGCATGTCTGCTCTGGCCCTGTTTGGGAAGTGGCTATGTGATGATGAATTATAAGTCTTTCCAATTGCAGTGACTGCCTTTTGTCACATAAAAGCAAAGTACTGTAGATAGATGCTCTGGAAAAGTAGTTTAATTGAATTATACAACTATCTAGGTTAATGAAATCAAATGGGATTTTCACTTTCTCCTTGGTGCAATAATGAAGAAATCAAGAGGGCTGCATCATTTTTAGCATGTGACTTTGGACAGATCATAACCTTTTAGCTTTAGTTCTCTTGATTCTAAAGTGGCTCAAATAATTTTAATCCACCTAAGATTATTAAGGGATCAAATAAAAAATATCTAATCAAAACCAATATTATTATGCTATACAAATGTATGGTACTTTGTGGGAATCTGCGAACCTCCATACCATACTCACTCCCTATGTGTCCTGAATTTTCTTGGCCTTACTCAACTTTTGGGTGCCACCATGTGGCCCCTTGCCTCCCCCAGCAGTCATGGATGTCATTTTAAAATAGGCTCTAAGCTTTGATGTGCAGCTAAGGCAGAGCCTCTCAGATGCTGCTTGATACCACCCATGCAACGGATCCCGGGCATTGCTTTGCCGATATCTTGCCTCATCTAGGAATTTGTTTTGGAATATGTCTTGGACTACAAATTGTTATCTGGGAAGCTGGTAGATTTATTAACTTAATTAATGCTGGGAAAGTAAACAATAGCTTTTCAGGGATTAAACTTTTAGGCTGGAGACTGTTTTTTTAGAGGGACCACGTGCATTGTTCTGTTCCCAAGTCTATGTGCTTTTTATCTTCTGGCCAGTGTTCAGACTTGTTGCCAGTTTCTCATAGAACGTTTGGCAGAAAAATGAGGAGGAAGGCACCAGGGAAACAGAAATGGAGCAAAGTGGTAAGAAATTCTTTAAGAAGTCTGGGAGCCACGAGGGAGAGGGAACCAGAAGAAAGTGTGCTGACTGACAAGTGATGGAAAATCACTGAACCATAATAGACCTCACTTGTATTGACATGCGCTAACTGAAGTGAACAGCTGGGGTAAAGTTACTGAGCATCTTATTTCGGAGTTTGGCAGTGGACCGAACTCTATTTGCAAAGGAGACAGCTACGACAGGATTTTACAGGTCTAATGCAGAACAAAAATGTAGTCAGCTCAGCCCAGCAACTGAAGTATAGCAAGAGGCCTTTACTTTTGTTAGACACAGTTTTTATAGAAGAGATACCCCGCTGGCTCTCCTTTCATGTATAGCATTTGAGATAGCTTGAGCCTGTTGTTTGATTCCCTTCAGTATAGTCAGGATTGTAATTTAGCAGCATGCTTGTGCAGGTGATACACTATATCAGGTGCTTTAACCATGTAACCGAAAAACAACAACAAACAACAACAACAAACACAGAAAAGAAATTACATAGTAGTGTGACTTCTAAAAGCTAACAACATTAACTGAACACTTACTCTGTGTCAATCACTGTGCCAAATCCTTTTATATGCTTACCTTATTTAATCCTCACAGTAACCCTATGTGGTTGGTACTATAATTATCTCTGTTTTGCAGGTGGGGAACCTGAGGCTTGGAGATATGAAGTTATATGCTCCGATGCAGAGTTAGCAAGTGACAGAGCAAGAACTGCAATGTAAATGCATCTGACACTCAAGCCTGTGTTCTTCACCATGAGGTCCTACTGTCACCACAGTCTACACACACCTAAGATGTGTGGGAATTCATGGGACCACTTCTGCTCTGACTGTTTCAGTCTTTTGCCTTGGTGTTTAATATTGTATCATGTTATTCTCTTTTGTCTCCCAGTGTTTTGGTATCATGTTACTGCAACTCTGGAGGTTTTGCTGGCTGGTAGCTGGGTCACTTAGAGTCTTCAAATGATTCTTATTCCTTTGGAAGCGCTTTATAGAGCAAAGAAAGTTGGTGGAAGTGGGAAAAGATAGGTGGCTGATTTCCTCTCCTTGATCTTAGGAGGACAACTGGGCTTAGGGGCCCCAGAGGAGACGGTGAGCTCAATGGAGTATTGTTTTATGCTGCATTCTGCAGGCAGGGACTACATGCCCAGCTCACTAAGGAAGTTCCACCATTTCTTTTTTTTTTTTTAATTTCTTCTAAAAAATAAAACAAAACAAAAATGGGATACATGCACAGAAAATGCAGGTTTGTTACATAGGTGTACGTGTGTCATGGTGGTTTGCTGCACCTATTGACCCGTCCTTTAAGTCCTTTAAGTTCCCTCACCTCACCTCCCATCCCCTAATGGGCCCTGGTGTGTGTTGTTCCCCTCTCTGTGTCTATGCGTTCTCATTGTTCGACTCCTACTTATAAGTGAGAACATGCAGTGTTTGGTTTTCTGTTCCTGTGTTAGTTTGCTAAGGGTAATGGCTTTCAGCTTCATCTATGTCCCTGCAAAGGGCATGATCTCATTCCTTTTTATGGCTGCATAGTATTCCATGGTATGTATGTACCACATTTTCTTTATCCAGTTAAACATTGATGGGCATTCGGGTTGGTTCCATGTCTTTGCTATTGTAAATAGCACTGCAATAAACATATGTGTGCATCTGTCTTTATAGTAGAATGATTTATATTCCTCTGGGTATATACCCAGTAATGGGACTGCTGGGTCAAATGGTGTTTCTGGTTCTAGATCTTTGAGGAATCACCATACTTCAACCATCCTCCACAACGGTTGAACTAATTTACATTCCCACCAACAGTGTAAAAGCGATCCTATTTCTCCACAGCCTCGCCAACACCTATTGTTTCCTGACTTTTTAATAATTACCATTCTGACTGGCATAAGATGGTATCTCATTGTGGTTTTGATTTGTGTTTCTCTGATAATCAGAAACATTGAGCTTTTTTTCATACATTTGTTGTCCGCATAAACATCAATTTCTATTGGAAGCACTGCTGTCTCTAATTCTGTGGTGTTGGCTTGTGAACATAGATGGAAAAAATAATTATACCCTTTTCACCTTCACTTTAGTGAAATTTAACATTCCGTTTAATTATAGATGTAGATAACAAACCATAGTAGTATATGCAGGACCTATGGCTTCGTCACCAACAGAATTCAGATATTTTCATATCATATTTCTGATGTTGTAGATACCTTAGAATATCACTATACCAAATGCCACTTCCAAATTATGGTTGCTGTTAGACTTGCTGCTAGATTTTGTAACTTAATGAGTATGTGTGAATTACTATATCACAATTAAACATATTTTGACAATTGTATTTAAATGTAATTGATTTCCTTTGAACCATTTTTATTATCTTTAATTTCAAACTTTTTTTCTGGGAAGAGGATCTATAGGCTTCACCAGACAAGTAAGAACACCTGTTCTTCTTCACTCATTTAGAAATATCTTATATGCATTACTCATTTACTCTGCACACCAGCACTATGAGGTGGGTACTATTTACTGTTATCATCCCCCATTTTAAGGATTAGAAACTGAGATGCCAGAGATGGGGGAACTTTTCCAAGGTGAACCCAAATATTGATTGAGTGCTCATTGTATGGATTCTTTATACAGCTCAGCATCAGCATCATCCTCTCCCTTTCTGATGGCAAGGAGGAAGCCCAGGAATCAATAAAATCTCCCAAATTCCTAGAAAGCAGGGTTCCAGGTGAGAGCCTGCCAAAGAGAAGGGCTGTGTGCGATATGGAAGATGAAGGAGTAGGGAAGCTGCCTGTCTTCTGCTGCAGCGGCGAGTGTGCGCACAGGCAGTCAGCAGGCTTGAGGTTTGTGTTGGCTTTTGGGCATTCTACCTTCCCTGAGATACAGCAGCCAGTGGTGTGAGATGAAAATGCTCATGTGACACAGGATTTGGAGTTTGGGTCTCCCTTCTTATTGTACATGTCCAGAAACCAAAAATAGAAATCAAACCGTTTTCCTTTCTCCAGTGGTTTATATCTGTCCCTTCTTATCCTTATTACCAATCCCTATAAACATATAGATGATTTTCGAACTCACTAACACAAACTAAAATACTCCCAAATACATTTAAAATCCCATATTCTTAATTTATTTCCCCCCTAACACATACACTAAGGTTCTTAAATATTAATTTGGTTTAATTTCTCTCTTTTCTTTCCTTCCCTTATTAATTATTCTACTCTTCGGTATGTATCCTGGTTATATAACTGAAGTCCTAAAATTATACAGACAGGAAGGACATGGAAAAGAGGGGATGCTATGATGGATGAGGATGCAAATGAATACACACTGATACATTCAATCCAAGTAAGAAGTGAATGCTCCTGGGCATGGCATTAACTTAGCAAGCTTTAAGAGCCCACGTCCAATAGACCAAGATTTGAAATCCAAATGTATTATCATTAGTTGTGCAAGTTACTTAATCTTGCTGTGCCTTGAATAACTCATTATCAAATCATAATACCTAGTAAGGTTGTTGTGAGGATTAGATATTATCTGAAGCTCCTAGCACAGAGACTGGTATATAATGAATATTTAATAAATAACCTTAAATTTGAAAATAAGTACAACATAGTGACTAAGTACTTGGGCTCCCCATTCAGAAAAAATGTGTGTTTGAATCCTAACCTCACCGATTTCTAGCTATATAATCTTGGACAAAATACTTAAATTCAGTCCCCTCATCTATAAAATCATTATATATAAAACAAAATAGTTATAATATTCACGTTAGCGGGAAAAGAAACTTTGTTTAAGAAAACACCTTATGAAGGGGAATGTAGCTCCAGCTAAGGGCTGGATCTGGCCTAGAAAGAGCAGAACAAAAGGAAGCCTGGACTCATCTGAGTAGGAAGAAAACAGAGGAGAATTTTGTTTTTTTTTTTTTTTTGAGTCGGAGTCTCGCTCTGTCGCCCAGGCTGGAGTGCTGTGGCACGATCTTGGCTCACTGCAAGCTCTGTCTCCCGGGTTCACGCCAGGAGAATGTTTTAAGTTTTCTTTTTATTTCTCCTGAGATGGATGCAGATTGGAGTCCAAGTTGGTGAATATGAAGGGGAATATTTTAAGAGCAATTTGTTATAATTTTGAAATGTAAATGCACTGTACCTTCCTACCTTTTGTACTCTCAGCTATACACACAAAGGTCTTGATGAACTCCTTGTGTATGTGTATGTAAATTCAGACATAGAATCCGAATAGTTCATGTCTGGGTTGTCCAGCCAGGGACAGAACTGTGGGAAAATGAGGTGATACCTAAACAGGTAACTGACACAGTAGGATCTCGGAGCCAAAGCAGACCATGAAAACTTGAACCTCTGGCATTGAGGGAAACAGAATGTAGGACACTGACCTGGGATAGGATAGAATGGGAATAGGGTCAACATTTCTAGATCTTCAAAAGCTCAGTAACATCCCCCACAATATCTGGATTACATGTGGACACTAGACTGGGCCTGATCTGTTCAACAACTCTATAGGACATTATCATTATTCTTTTCTTTTTCAGAAAGGAAACAAATATTTAACAATGTGCTAAAGGTCACACAACTGTAAGTAAAAAAGGCTTGGCTTGAATGCAGCTTGCTCTGGTTACAGAGCCTATGTGTTTAACTCCAAATTCTCTGCTTCCCTTGTGGCCATGGCCTCTAAAATCTTAATCTTACATTTTCCTTTTTATAGGATATTATTCCTTACAAAAAGCCAAAGTCATACAAGATCAGAGTTAACTTACTAGCACCAGAAGATGTGGAGCCAGCTTATCTAGAAGATGTTTTTGGCATCTCTGGATTTAAATAAAAAAGATTACTTCCAAGGAATCTCAACAAGACACACAAAAAGGTTGATATCAGAACTATCTCCCGCCATAAAAGGGTGAAGAGTTTCACTCTCTCTTAGGGCCAGCATCATGGGCATGTGACTTGGACAGTCACACAGGGCCCCATGCTCAGAAGAATCCACACTTGGTTTCATGCTCTACTGTTACTATCTTGAAATTCTTAATAATCATTGAGCTTGTGTTTTGTAAACAAAGACTCATGAGGCAATGGAGTGTTCTTGAGAGCAGAGGAGATTAGTGCAATATGCATGTCTGTCATTCATTTTGCACTAGCCTCCACAAATTATATAGCTAGTCCCACCCTCTCCAAATGAAAGGTAGGCTCTAATGAATAATTAGCAATTAATTATCCTTCTACCCACCTACCCAATGGATTAAAATGGTCAGGAAAGAAAGAGTTCCCTTTTACCAGTATTTGACTTTCTGTGATTAATTGAATGTAATGCAAGATCTTATAGTCCATGCTCAGAGGTTCTTTAAAACAGTGAAATGTATAGGAGGCCATTGTTTTAAACTGAGCTCCTGCACTGGGCGCCAACAGACCCAATCACAATGAAGTTACCTATGCTGAGTGTTGAAACTGCCTTTGTAAAGATTATGACAGTGAGAAATCTCGCATGGCTGACTCCATCTTGCTCCTAGCCTCACAAGCTGGCTGTCCTTCATTTGTGAGCATAGACCAGGCTAACCATGGGAAGAATTTAGTTTACAGTTTAACTTTGAAGAAGGGATGATAATAGCCCTTCCTAAAACTAAACTAAACTAAAACTAAAGTTCACAAGGATAGAATTATGAGAGTGGCTGTATTCTGTTAAAATATAGGCATAGTGAAAGGATAACTAGTCATTGTTCTGGAGGTCACAAAATTTATAACTTCCCTAATTACTCCTGTAGATAACATCACTATTGTAGAACCTAAGGTTGGCCTTTTGAAATGTTTCTCAGACGTTTGCATTTCTGGCAACTGACTGACTCCACCTGAACCTGCGATTTGTGACTCAATCAACCCTGTGGCCCCCACCCAGAGGCTGATTCAGAACCTCTGACAAGGGCTGTTTTCCACACCCCTATGATTTCATCCCCAAACAATCCGCATTCCCCATTTCCTAGCCCCCTACCCAACAAACTGTCCTTGAAAAACCCTAACCTCTGAGTTTCCCAGGAAACTAATTTGAGTGATGACTCCAGTTCTCCCACATAACTAGCCTTGTGTTAATCAAACTTCGGTTAAGGCAGTACCATGGTCTTGGTGAACTGGTTTTGTTGATGCAGCAGGCAAGAAGAAGCCATTGATTAATTAGTGTCACAAAATCAACTGAAATTTTAAGGAACCAGGCAAAACTCCCAAAAGACCAGTTTTTGTTTTTTTTTTCTTCTGAAAACAGGAGATTCACAGCAACCATTTGGAGAGAGCTCAATCAACCAGATTCAGCATGATAAAAAAAAAGTCCCCTCCCCTTTAACCCTTACAAGGGAAGTAGCCTGAGAAACCCGATGTTAACCAATCTGCTTTAAAAAAAATTCTGTTTCCTTGTTTGCAACTTACAAAAAACAACTGTTCTAACATGCACAGCAAAGCAAAAATCTTAGATGAGATGGTCCCCAGTTCGTGAATTGCTAATAAAAGATTATTAGATTTTTAAGCTAAATTTTTTGTAATTTTGTCTTTTGACAGTGACAATGCACTAATTTTTAATATTTGATGCAATTCAACCAACGAATTTGATGATGGCCTTGGAAAAGAAAAAAAAAAAAAGATTTGCATGACCTTCAGACCAGTGGGTGCGTCTACAAAGTTGCTGGTCTTTGGTTTTTCAAAGATAGGAACTGCCAAGAGCACAGGAATCCCTGGCTGCCGGTGATTTCTAACCAATTCTAGCCTTGCCCATGTGCGATTCCTTTGTAGTGCTTGGGCAAGGAGAATAATACATTTTTACTTGACAAAATAAATTATTTGATTGGCCTTGCCAATCAAAAGTTCAACACTTGAACTTCATCATCAAGGGGCAGTTTTAATGAGGTAGATTGGGCTGGATGTTTCAGGTCATGGTTTTCAGTTTCTTGCATCTGTGATTAAACATGATAATCACTTAAAATGGAATAAACCTGAGCTCAAAAACTAAACACATGTAGATGTTTAGGCCATGGGGAATCAATCTGGCCATTAAAATGCTAATAAATGCAGATCTCCTCATCCTTAATTAATTGGGTAACTAAACAGAGGGGCTGGGGTGAAACACAAGTATGATTATTTAACATGAAAAATCAAGAAGCTTGGATGAATAACAATTACATAATTAACAAACAATAAAGAACATTTGAGTTTCAATTAATCCTTATTGGCAGTTCAGTAATATCCACCAGAATCTGTTTCATTTCATTGCAAACTGGGCCTTTTCGAGTTTAAACAATTTTGACATTTGGTCTCTAATATAAATCTACTTATTAAAAATGTTCAAGATCAACATGATACATTTAACTAAGAGCAAGGCCAATCAAAGAATTTATTTTGTCAAGTAAAAATGTATTATTCTCCTTGTCCAAATATAAAGGATGCTATTATTTGAATTTAGTATGTTACTTTGCAAAAACAGTCATTCTACTCATGAGTTATAATGAAAAATACAAATGCAGCAGAAGGTTAGAGAGGCCATGCGCCTGGTAAAGGTAGGTGATCAAATCCAAGACTGAATTACTCAGAGTTCTCTAGAGAAGTAGAACCAATAAAATCAATAGAAGGCATGAATAATATGTATATATGTATCTACTTATCTAGCTATCAAGGATTTATTTTGAAGAATTGGCTGGCATAATTGTAGAGGCTGTCAAGTCCAAAATCTACAGGGCAGCTCGGCAGGCTAAAGAGCTGGGATAGAGTAGATGCTGCAACTCCAGGCTGATGGCAGGCTAAAGGCAGAATTCCTTCTTCCTCTGGGGACCTCAACTCTTAAGGCCTTCAACTGATTGGATGTGGCCTATCCACATTATGGAGGGTAATCTGCTTTACTCAAAGTCTACTGATTTAAATGTTAATCACATCTTTAAAAAAAGACACACACTTTCACTGCAACATCTAGACTGGTGTTTGAACAAAAATGGGGTACCATGGCCTAGACAAGTTGACAAAAATTGGAACCATCACAGAGACCTAAGTGTGTAGAAACTGATTTTAGAGTCCCAATCCCTTCATTCCTGGTTTGATGTAATTGATCTAGGATGTAGACTGGACATCAGAATTTTTAAACAACCATCTCCAACTACCTTCCCCAACCACCCTCTTCAGTCTTCCTCCCTACTCCACCTAAGCCTCCAACATACCTAAGCCAGGTGTAGAATTTAACTCCAAAGTGGTGCTTTTCTCTTAGCTCCAACTAGATTTTTAAATTCTATCATGCCTGAGTACCCAAAACTAAATGCCACTGCCCATCTCATGGAATTAATTACTACCCTTTAGTGAAATCAAACTTTCCAGATGTCATTCAGTTTGATTCCATACTATGATGATTGAAAAGAAAATCTCATGATGAATGTGCTGGTTATCCAGGAATTTGGGGGAAACATAGAAGCGATTCTGGAAGGCAATGCTTCGAACAATGTTTCCTAGAGTGGGTTCCATGGAACACAAGCCCTGGAAGAACTGTACTTTGAAGGAGGTTTCATGGCCACATCTGTTTGGGAATGTGGCATGTTACAGCCTTCTCTCTTTGGAGATTCATAATTTGTTTTTGCATAATAAAGTCTTCAATAAATCTTGCTGTAAGGAAACCTGTTAAATTGTATTAATCTAGCATTTCTCAAATCCACTGTACACAACTTTTTACCCATGGAATGCATATTAGCATCCCAAGGAGCATAATTTAGAAAATGCATTTGTATAATTAAAGACTGAAAACAAAAGTCTATACAATCAAGAAAAAATAACCACATGATTTACACTGCCCTTAGTGAACCAAACAACACAGTCACGGTTGGATGCCTTCTTAATGCAGGCTGGGCACATACCCAACTTGCTGGGTCACTGAGCTAAATTCCTAGGGCTCAGGCCACTGCTGCTGCCCTCACCCCACACTTGAAATTACACAAAACTTGCAGATGACCCCACAAACCGGTGGTCAAATTGTTGTCTGCTTTGCTAAGCAGAAATGGTTTCTTTACTCAAATTGCCACTGGAAAAAATGCTGAGGTGTCACATTTTCACGGAGGAGGAGGTAACACTTTAACCCATATTCAAAACGCTTAACTGGGACTGATTTAAATGTGTTGAAACAGCAAGGCTTCTTAGTGGTCAACTAGATCAATCTTTTGGAACATGTGCATTGGAAACCAGGTTAGAAAAGCCAGTTTGGAGATAACTGGTTTTTGATTATTTTCATGATTCAAGATAAATTGTGAACTGGAACTTCAAGAAATTAGGGGCAGAATGGCATATGGCCATTGGCTAACACTTTGGGTAGTTTTTGTGTAAACTGCAAAAAGATATCCTCTAGGCACACAAACTACAAAAAGGCACCTCTTCCTCTGGATTCTCTGCAGCCTTGTACCAGGGCCAGGGTGTAGGGCTGTATTTGTACCCTCAGTGACCATGCTGGCTGGAAGCTTTTTATAGAGCAGAGTACACCCAGCTATGATGTGGCAGTTGAGGATTACAGGTGGGTCCCAGCAGGAAGAGATGATATGCCAGACAGAGAGGAAGAGTGAGAAAATGAGTATACACTGGGCACTCAAACTTGTTTCAGACCTTATGGGCCCTTGTAGAGTGTGGTATATACATGGTTGGTAGGAGATATGAGAGGCTTATGACATGTTTGTTTGAGCTAAAGATAATTCTAAACCAAAGTTTTTCTCAAAAATGAGGAAATAGTTCCATCATTTTATTTTGTAGCAGAATGATTTGGACCAAAAGCCATTGTTCCATAAGCAAATAATTTTTAGTACATTCATTTATGTACCTGTTATTAAACAATTTGAACAACATCAATGAATATGACACGGTTCTAGTCTCGGGGATACTTTGGAAAATAAGTTAAACATTCTTTTTGCCTTCTCTGAGCTTATATTCCAGTAAAGATGAGAAAATTAAATAATGACAATAAATGTAGTGAGAACAATGGCAGCACATGGAGGTGAGTAGAGAAAGATAGCCTAAGGAGTAAATCCTCATCTGACTTCTTACAGGGACCAGTGGAGGTATCCTGGAGGAAGGGGCCCTAAGGAACAATAAGAGGCCAAAAGAGAAAAGCTAGAGGGAGCTTAGGGAATCCCAGGACAGAGATAACTTCAAAATAGTGTAATTACTGAACAAAGGGGAGAATGGCATAAGTTTAGGGTGGATATCTGGACAGGGTGCAGATTTTAAAAGGCTTTTAGCTGTGTCATGGGTTGTAGTATGATGAATTATCAAGCAGGAAGTCTGGAAGGAGGGAAAGTGCTGTTGTGGTCTAGGAGAAAGGTAGTGGTGATGATGGAAGTGGAGGAAAGCAGTTGGATTAGAAAACTACTTAGCAGTTAGAGGAAACTGGGTTGAACGGACATCTATTAAGGACAAAGCATTTGGACAGAGAGAGTTGAGAAAGGTGTCCAGGATGACTCCCAGGTTTCTGGATAGGTCAACTTGTGGAACAATGGTGCCATTGAATGAGATATGGAAGCAATTCAGGAAGAGAAGCTGCTTGATTGGAAAGATAATGGAGTTCAGTTTGGACATATTGTGTATGAGACACTCCAATGGAGATGTCTGGCAGGTAGGAATATCTAAGTCTGAAATCATTGGAATAGACAACAAGATCAGTCAGAGAGAAAGTGAACAGAGAATGAAGAGAAGGGGCTTGGATGGCCTTGATAGAAAGAGAGAAGTCTGCATAGGAACTAAGAATTATCAGAGGGATAAGAAACAAACCAGGGTTTTGATGGTACAGAGTCCAAAGAAGGGAAGACTTTCAAGAAAGAATTATGATCAGAGTTTAATGACATAAAGATATTAATAAGGACTGAAGAATGCTCATCATATTTGGCAATTAGGAGTCACTGGTGACTTGAGCAGATTGTGCTTCCAGTGAGCATTAAGGATGGGAATCAGAGGTAACTGAATGAGCAGAAGTGAACTGGAGAAGTGAGAAGATAACTCTAAAAGAGTATAGTAATGTAAAGAGGAAGGCTAGGAAGAAAGCCTGGAGGTGTAGCATGGTAGGACCATTCGGCAGTTCGACTGAGAAAAGAGTTGGGGAAAACTTGGATATGTTGGCATCAAATAAAGAAAAAGAGGAGGCTAAAGATAAAAGAGAATGGAAAAACCAGTGAAGGGGCAAAATCCTTGACGAAGTTTGAATGGAATGGATCGAGGAGTTAGCCTGGAGTAGAAGGATGGCAGTTCTTCTTCTGGGGCAGAGTGGAAGGAGGAGAGTCTGGGTGTGGGTATAAATTGAGAGGCAGGAGTTGGGAAGGCTAAGGTAGTTCATCCTTGACAACTTCCAGTTTTTCTATGAAATAGGCAACAGGATAATCAGCTAAGAGGGATGACCTTATTCATAGCTACTCACTACTTATTCTATACTCTTTGTTATTCCTCACCATACTCATTTGTTGTCTTGATTATTGTTTGAATGCATGTGTCCCCAAAAACCTCTTTCTTTCTCACTCTGAACATTAGAAATTTCAGCTGAAGTATGTGGGCTGGTTAGTGATTAGAGGAATGTTTCTTATAGAAAAGATGTGTCTTAGATGGAAGAACTGACATAACCAGAGAGAACATTTTCCTTCATTTTGCACTGAATAAAGTTTTAGAGAAAATACTTTCAGGCATTTCACTAAAAGAAAAAAAATTCTACTACTAAGCACCACCGCCACCCCACACACACTTTTTTGTCTCATCTTTTAAAAGATCCAGCAGTTGCCAAGTTTACAAGGCTGTCTTTCATTTCTGATCTCAAAAGGTTTTTTTGTTTTCTTTTTTTCCTCCAAACATGCATACAGCAAAACATTTTTTTCAAGTTGTCCTAGGAGACTGACAATATACCAACTGTTTTCAACTATGCAAAAGACCCTTTTAAAACATGCCTTAAGATAGTAGGTTCTTTCTGCTTATCTTTACATCTTCTTTCGCCAATTAGGTTTATGGACAAAGTCCAATATTTAGGCCTGAGTGAGAGATCCCATCTCATTCAGAGCTAGGCTACTCTTGAAGTTGAGCAGGGAGGTTACAATGATTGGCTAAGGGGATGCTGTTGGCTTACCTCATTAGCATGCTCTTTTGGGGTGTACCTTATTAAGATTATATTTCAAGGCTATCGCAATAATGCAAAACCAGCCTAGAGTTTCAGAAACCATCCTTGAAATGACAAGTTGGTCTGGAGAAATCTATATATAACTAGTAAAAATGTAAACTGTAGAATGATTACTGTAATTTGGGCGAGAAGTTTTTATATATCAGGTCCCATTCTCTCTTTTTATCCTGCTCTTCCTATTTTCCTGTCAGTGAAAAGACTTTTGAAGAAGAGCTTTGGTGATGGAATGGTAAAATGGGAGTCAAATGTGAAGAATTAAGTGTTGATGTTTGTTTATTTATTTATTTATTTATTTATTTTTACTTTGGCTGCTTTTGTTTGGCTACAAAATCTTGTGAGGCGGGAAAATAGGGTCTGGAGGCAGGGAACTTGAGGCCAATTCATGCTGATTCAAGGAAAACCACCAAGGTTTGTGGATGGGAATTAAGGCCAATTTGTGCTGTCTTCCTAAAAGAGAAAACACCAAGGTCTGGGGGCAGGGAATCTAAGACCAATTCGTGCTGACCTCCTAAAGCTGGAGCAAAAGAAAAACACTTGGGTCTGGGGACGGAAATCCTAAGGCCAATTAATGTCAACTTCCTAAAGCTAAGCCAAAACGAAAAACCCCATCTCCCCACCACACCCCAATAGAAAGGGATCAAAGGTGACTCTCCCTACAACCTGCCCACTCCACCAAGTCTCAGATGGAAAGGGAGAGTGCCTTGGATTGGCTGCGGACCAAGCATGGCCATCCCTTCATCTGCATAGGGCGCCAATTCACCGCAGGCTTTAATTAGCCATGGACCAAATCCTTCATCCAGATAAGGGGTAAGAAATAGAAACCTCAAAAAGAGTACTTAAAATCCAGAAAATTTTGTAACTGGGCCCTTGAGCCACTTGCTTGCGTCCACTCCCACTCTGTGGAGTGCTTTCTCACTTTAATAAATCCCTGCTTTTGCTGCCTTGTTCCTGTGTTTCGTTCCTTTATTACTTTGTGCATTTTGTTCAATTGTTTATTCAAAACGCCAAGAACCTGAACAACTTACACTCAAGGCCCTCTTTCCAGTAACACCTGTGTAAAACATTTACACTTATGAAACAACCTTCTTGGAAGTATAGTTTATAATTGCTGTCTCCACTTTTTCACCTTTCATTCATTCTTTTATCTGAGTTCTTTAAAGTTATAAAAGTAACCAGTATCAAATAATAAATTTTTTAAAGTTAATATTTTCTGCTACCTTCCTTTGCATTTCTTTCCTTCTCCTTTGAAAGCTGCTAATAATAATATTTTGGGATAGTCTCTTGTACTCCTTTCTTTACCCTCACATCCAATCACTCTTCATCCAACTTATTGGACAGTAAATTGAGTATCATTTCTTGTAGTCTTTATATTCTTTGAGCTCTTAGGAATATTGGACACCGTTAATTAACCTTTCTTTTTGAAGACCCTCTCTTTTCTTGCTTTCTATGACCTTCTACTTTTCTAGTTTCTCTCTTGCCTTAATGATCATTCTTCCTAGTATTTGTTACTAGGGGTGATTCCTCCGCCTGCCTATCAACTTCAGGGCTGTGTCCTACATGGGGTGATCATGTCTCATGACACTCCCTACCCAGAATTATGGGAACTTTTGGACACATAAGAATTTATCCAATCTCTTTATGTTTATGGGTAAGAAAATCAAAGCAGAGAGAGTGAGGAAGTAACGTGTCAAAGATCATCTCAGAGCCTGAACCTGAAGTAATAACTTCCTGACCTAAAATCCTAAAATCAATTATTGCCAATTTTCTGTTCAGTTTCTTTTACTTATGCTACTTTTCTTATACTTTTCCTTTTGGCTTGGTAAAAACCAAATGAAAAGTAAGCCCAATCTTGAAAGATGCCTTTTATGACCCCAATGATAGTCATATAAACCTGTGGAAATTTGTCTGAGGAAGTCAGCAGAAAGAACTAAAGAAAACAGTTTGATTTGTTTTATTTTTCCTGAGAGCAAAAGGGGAAAAGGGGTAACAGGCTCCCCTAAAGATTGGGATAATTATAATTAGCACAAAAAGAGAGCTGAAGCTGCTTTTGATGAAGCTCCTCCCAAAAGCATTCAGGAAGCCGCAGGCACTGAAAACAGCCCTAATTCAAACTCAATAACAGTTTCTAAGGTAAATAGACACTGAGTCAGCACAAAGGGTCGAGGGCCTAGTGCTTATGTGCCCAGAGTTGTCCTAAGCCTTTGTGTATAGTGACTATATTTTCCAAACCAAAAACTAGGTGTACCGTGTGACTGCTAAGAAGATTATTTGATATTTGGATCATTTTATAACTGCTGTGCTATGGATTGTTATAGGAAGACAAGTCATGATCTTTTACACCCAGCTATTGCAATATAGATAGTTTAACAACTTACCATATGTAGCAGTGCGGTAAAGTGGAACTCCGTGTATTAGCTTTAGCTGAGCCCTCAAAACCTGAAAACAACAAAAATAAATTAACAAAAAGTTTAATTAAGCCCTTCTATGAGACACACGAAGAAGTCCTAAAACCAGATCCACCTGCAATATCAATCACTCCCTCCATCTCTGAAAGCAGTTGAAGCTGGAGAGACTGGAGCAGGGAGAGAAAATTTCTTTGAATTGGCTTAGCTGCAAAGAACGGCCTTGTCCAAGGTCACATTCCTTCCCAGGTGGCTCATGTTCAGTGATTGATCCACGAGGTTGTATGAAGAATGAGTCATCTTGGGACCACTTTAAGAGGTATTAGAGCTCTAGAACTCCCTGCAGGCTTGGCTGAGGCTGTCACTGTGTTCCACGGCCTATGTCTCCCATTGCCTACCTGCTTCCATTGCGCCCCTTCCACAGTTGCTGATCCCACAGGTGCTCCTTCAGAATGATCCTACACAACGAACTCAGAGTCAGCTTCCCAGGAAATGCAGCCTATGACGGGAAGGGGTGGGTGCTTTCCCGTCATCTTAAGCCAATCAAGCTGTGGCTCTAAGAGAACCATTGAAAAGCTTGATACATGTCTCCTGGATTTAGGAAACATAATGGACTCGGGTTCCTCATGCCAGAGAAAGCTAAGAACCAGAGATAGCAGAACTCAGTGATAAAACAAAATGAGAGGAGAGGAATCTTGCTGTGCTGGAAGTGAGTTGCCTTCCACTGAGGACAGGGCAAGTGTATTAGGAAGACAGAGATCAGAATGGCACACAGACTGATGTGACCCTGCCAGTAACCGGCCAGGGATGGAGAACAAGTTTCAACTCAATGCCAAATCCAATGACTTGGTGGCGAATGCCTGAGTATTAGGATTAAAGAAGGAGTTGTGGTCTGAATATGGATTTAGTGAGAAAGATGCTAAAAGTGGTTAGTAATATCTCTCACAGTTGCAGGATAAAGGGGCCATTGTAGCATATGTCTTCCATCTCTGAAATACATTAATTAAGAGAAGCCAGATAAAAGTTACTAATTATTCTACATAGAAAGCAAATACGATGTGATTTGTAATCCTCCATACCAGAGACAGAAGTACATTTTGAAAAGACTCCTCTAATGGAAAACCTTCAGTGGCTCCACAATTTAGAATGATCTATTAGGTCCTGCATGATTTATTTGATTTTCCTCAAGCTGCCACATGCTTCATCTCCTTGGCCCTTCTAAACTACTCAGAGTTCCCATTTGTATTTTTCTTTCATATCTCGATGTCTTTGCACATGGTGGTTTCTGTGTCTGGAATTTCGCCCTCTCACCTTCCTACTTATTCCTCAATCCCCAGGCTCCGGTATCTCCTGAGAAGCCTTCCGGAAACAAGCCTCTCCATTAAAGATTGACCCTATTCCTCTTTTTGGGTATCATTCCATCTTGTATCACAAAGCACATATCATACTGTGTTGAAATAGTATCCGCTTTTCACTTTGACTGCAAACTTCCTGAAGGCAGGTGTTGGTTCTTATTCATCTTTGTTCCCCTCACATTCAGCACTGTGACAGGCACACAATAAACACCTAATATTTTTGAATAAGTGAGCAATGGCCAGAATTATTAAGAGACCCTTCACTGAATGACTCATAATTAAACATGATGCTAAAAGTTTTGGGCCAGTGGCTTAGAGAGGCCTGTCCATTGTTTCCCATGAAAACCCAGAATCCAAATTCTCAGAGGACAATTTTATAGTGTAGACACTAACTCATACCACTTGGGATCTTTGCTAGTTAAAGAAGGAAATCTCATCTGACAAATGGATTAATGATCAGTCCGACTGTATTTGCACAGCTGCAGAATCTTCTCAAACAAGATGTTTGAGAACCCCTCTGTTTATGCAGAAAATTTGGTGACCAGGTGATAACATTAAACCATTTAGGCACAGCCTAGAGAACTGCGGGAATGGCTACCTCCATTGAATAACATTATTTATAGAAATCCCTTGAAAGTCTTCCCTTTCTTTTCTGGGGTGTGTAGGGTGTGTGTATGTGCAAGAGATAAAAAGAGACAGGGTGAGAGAGAGTGCTTTTCTGGATTATAAATAAAGCCCTTCAGAATCCACCATGAATCAGGTAAAATGACAACCTGGATGGCCAGGTGTATAGATAAGTTGCCAGCAGCCTGACTACATGATGGACCCCATGAACAACTCCTGAGCTATCAAAACAGTATTGTGGAGTTTGTCCCAGAATTTGTCCTTTCTGGCCGTGTGCGGTGGCTCACACCTGTAATCCCAGCACTTTGGGAGGCTCAGGTGGGTGGATCACCTGAGGTCGGGAGTTCGAGACCAGCCTGACCAACATGGAGAAACCCCATCTCTACTAAAAATACAAAATTAGCTGGGAGTGGTGGTGCACACCTGTAATCCCAGCTACTCGAGAGGCTGAGGCAGGAGCATCACTTGAATCCAGGAGGCGGAGGTTGCGGTGAGCCAAGATTGCGCCATTGCACTCCAGCCTGGGCAACAAGAGTGAAACTCCACCTCAAAAAAAAAAAAAAATTTCCTTCATTTCAGCTTCTCTTTGCTCTGCAACCACCCAATGAGTGGAGAACTGTAATGATGCAATCAGGAGAAATCAGTTTTAACCAGATGCCTAGAGTGCTTATTCAATACCATGCTCATAGAGGTAACTGAATTCACATGTGTAAGTGCCAGGGTCTCATGTGGCCATAGGATAGACATTAGAAATCTTCTCTACAAGCTGAAAGGAGTTGCAAAATTTACACAGGGCATCATACATTCAAGTGAGATTGCTAGGGACGATTTTACTTGCTAAGCCCATGGCTTAGAGTCTTTGGGTTTGTAGGTCCTTCCCTTTGCAGATTCACATGGGAAGGGTGCTTGGTCCCGCAAATAGTTAAATCTGAATACTTGAAGTTTAGAATAGTGATAAAGGGGGTCTTGAATGGGCAGAAAATGAAGCTTTGGGACTTAATGGCATCTTAAATTCATACCGTCAAATGAATACTGTCAAGCAGGGCGGAGGCAGGGATAGAACACCTAACGGCTCCAGCCTGGGGGCCAAAGCACTTTTAAATAACAATTATAATAGAAAGCCAGGTGACAATTAAGGGTTATGGTGTGCTCCACTCTTTGAAGCTTTACATGGTATCTAGCATCCTTTTGAACAGATGTGCTGACTGAAGAATCAAAATATAAAAGAAAAATATTGGGCACATAGAGAAAAGCTGAAAACACTTGCAAATATTCTCTTACAAAAGGACTAAAAGTCTATGTGTCCTAGAATCTTTGGATCTGGTTTGGGGGACATTCTTTGCCTCTACGTAAATATGTAAACACATCTTTGTTTAGAGGTAGGGAAGGGGAGAGTTTAAGAGGGAGAGAGAGAGATCAAACTCCAAGTCAGTGTTCCCAGTGCTCAACGTTTCAATAATCCACCATGATTACCCTGCAGTAGAAATATCTCAGCAGGTCCAAACTGATGCAACCTTAAGGATCCAAAGTGATGTATTGAGGACCTCAAATCATACATGGCCTCTGCTATTTTAGGTAGAGTGGAAACTTCTTTGTGGAATATATTTTCCCAAATTTATTTTTTCTTGACTATGAAACTATCTATAAAAATCAAGGACAAGAGGTGTACAAATAAATTGAAAGGCTGGAAATGAAGAAAAATGGAGAATAAAATAGCTTTAAAATTCAAGAGGATTCAATTTATGTTGAGAGTAATGAAAGATCCATAGTTGAGTTGATTGGCTTTACACATATGACTTTTTTCCCCTTCCATCTCCTTACCTTCTTCTCTCTGCCTTCCTCCTTTGGAGCACGCTGTAATAGAGAAAAGATTTTCTAGGCTCATCATCCATTTATAGAACCACTACTCCCCATCTTTCATTTAGTTTGTGCATCACTGACTTTACCCAATGGCTTCCAGGCTCTGCAAAGCCCGGCATGACCAATGAGACACTCCATTTTACTGGTTACAGTTGTTAAAAATACAATGGCAAGTTTTGCAGGAGCCTACTGTCAAAGAGGGACTCTCTGGGTGGGGAGGGGTGGCCGCTAAACTGGGAAGAGCCTGCCTGTGAAAAAATGCTAACAGGAAGAAGAGAACCATGAGTACATGAGTGTCTAGTTTGAGGCCCTAGATTGGCCTTAAGCTAGAAACATCTTGGATTTCCAGTTAAGTGAGATAATTTTTTAAGGTAATTTGAGTAGGTTTCTGGGTTTCTGTTACTTGCCAAAAAACAAGTCTTACTTATACAGAAATGCAGAGAAGAGCTAGAAGTTCTTAGCTTGGAACCCAGATATCCTTAGCTAATTAAATTTCAGAGAACAAGGATTACCCGGAACCCTGCAGTTGTAGTTGGCAAAAAGGAAGAACACAGTATCTCTGATCATATTAAAGCACCTCTCAAACAATCTTTAAACTTTTTACAATTTTGCCTTTCATGTTCACCAGAATCTGGGTTCTTTTAAGATATCATGATGGCTTAGTGGATCAATAAATGGTACCTTTACCCAGCTTGCTCCGTGGCCTCTTGAGATCCTCATTCTGTCATCCCAGGGAGAATCCACTGCTCCCATCTTTCTTACCTAGCTTCCCTTTGTGGCCTGCCTTTCTCCAGTGTAACACCCAGTACACTGTCTCAGTTAAATACTTCCTAACTCATGTATCCTTTAGCTACACTGCCTTCTCAGAAACCAGGTACTGCCTACATTCACCTGTATATTCACAGAACCCAGTACTAGGCCTGCTACAGTAAAGTTTGCATTGAATTGAATTTGTGGCTCAGCTCAGACTTTCTGACCACCACTAACCACCCAGCCTCTACCTCCTTGGAACCCTCAGGGACTTTCCTGCTTCTGATGCTTGCTGTTTTTTGCTTGACTTTGTCATTAATAAGCCCATGTCTATAAATGTACTTGTATATCTATTGAATACTTACCAATTAATCACTTTATGTGCTTTAACTTGTCCAGTCTTCACAACAGCCTTTCCATCTTACAGATGAAGAGACCAGACCTAAGAGGTTAAGTGGCTTGCCCTGGGTCACCCAGCTAGTAAGTAGAGTGGTCAGAGTTGAAGCAAGCAATGTGTTCCTAATCACTAACCTGTTTTCAGCTGGAGCACTGCTAGTTCCTTGTAGGCTAAACATGCATCCTTTATATTGTTGAATTACCATCCCAACAGCCCTATTAGGTAGGTATGATTATTAGTTCTCTTTTCCAGATAAGAAAAATGAGGGTCAGTGAGGTTAAACCATTTGTCCAAGGTTACCTTAGTGATAAGTGACAGGACAGAGATTAAATCCCAAGCTGTTTGACCCCAGAGCCCATGTTCATCAACCATTATGCCAATCAGTTTTCTGTTAATTGATTGATGATTATATCAGAAGCAACTACCAGGGTCATCTGATCTTTAATTACCATCTGTGATTCTTATTATTTAAGAGGTATAACAACAGCCACTTCGTAGGATTATCATAAGAGCTTCAAGCTATGTTGTAAAGTTCCAAGAGTATTTGGCATTCTAGAGCAAGTGCTCAACAAATGGTAATTATCATTACTATTTTGTTGTTTTTTGAGTGCTCCTTGTGCCAGATAAGTGCTTTACATGTATTATCTGATTTAATTCTCACATCACCCTCATGAGATAAGTACCATTATCATGCTGATTTTATAGATGTGGGAACTGAGGCTCAGAAAAGTAACTTGCCCCAAATTACACAACTGGTTAGTGGATAGGGCTGCACAATTAGTTGTCTGATGGAGTAGCATGGTACTAGCACTCTTTATTACTTAGAAAGTTCTGGTAAAGAGATCAGACAGTCCAATTATCACTGGGTGTATTGACCTCTTCTTGGGTTCTGTTAGTTTCTGGTTTTTTGAGTGGTTCCTTAGCCACATGAGTCTCAGCTTTGTAGATAAAAAATTGGAGCCTTTGTAGTCACAACTTTACATAGACAAACTCTGGGGAACAGCAGCTGCTGAAGGGAGAATGAAAATGGACAGTATTCAGAGCACAAAGGGCTGAACACATGAAGTTATCCCATTTGAAACCTCTTTCCACCTGGCCAGCTGAAGGATCCAACAGCTACAGGTGCAAACCCCTTCCTTGTCCCACGCTTTTCCTGATGCTCCTCACGGGGCCCTGGCACAACATGAGAGAGAGAGAGAGCTGGCAATTCTCTTGTTAATTTGGGCCTTGTACATTATTCAGACTGTTAAAAAAAAAAATCCATGTTGAGTCTAAAAGTATCTGGACCAGCTGTCTGTATAGATTAAATAATCCAGATGGCTTCATGAAACACTATAGCAGAAAAGAAAGTAGTTTCACCATAGAACGAGTCAATCCAGAAAGCACAGGGGACAATAGATTTCTTTACCTCGTATAACCCAATTTCTTCTCTTCTTAGCTCGGCTGGCTTAAATGTAGAGTGCTGTCGCCAAATCTTCAGTCTACCTGGGCTATTTAAGTAGAGTCACAATGTTTCCTTTTTCTAGAAAAGATTAAAAAATAAACAACCAAAATTTGGTGGTAGAGAATGGCATTTGGAATAAAGGATTAATCAGTTCTGTCACTCTCACTTGGGCAGCAAAATCAAGCTTCTTGTGTTGGGAAATACTGCTGGATGGGATAATTTCCACATTGCCAGGCTGTTTTTCTTTTTAATATCACAGCTGATTTGCTGTGGCGGAGGCTGCTGCAAACTGCTGGCACCATTTCTGGTTACAAAATGTGTCTGCCAAACAGCTCAGTGTAGAAAGAGCCATACTGTATTCTTTGATGGTGGGCTCATTTGGCAGGGAACAGATCTGCATAGAAAGAGACTCAATTCATCATCTCCCCTGCACCTCGTTGTGGGCTGAACAAAGTGAATGTATCAAATTGTCCTTGTGGAAATCAGTGACATAAATTTCTACTCTCTTCACCAATACTGCAGTTGGAAACTTTCAGCTGTTTTAGCGATGTGTTTCCTTTTACCCTTATTCCCTGGTACACATGGCAGCAGAAACCCAGGAAAATGCAGATGGTTCACCTCTGCTGCCTCTGTGCTTGAGAGACACAAATGAGAGTGGGTGCCGAAAGCTGTTTGAATTCATCATTAATTGTCAAACAATTCTGCCAGTTCTCTTCTGAGCATGAAAAAATGTAAAATTAGAAAAACTTAGATGAAGTTATAGAATGTAATTCTCTCTCCTGAAAACTCTCAGATCAGTGTACTGTACTCTGCCGATGATGACTACACTGTCTTTTTTTTTCTGTCTCCATTCACAGATGTCAATACATGGTGAGTGGTTTCCAGAAATTTACTTCATCTGCAACTAAAAGCAAGGGGGGAAGGCAGCATGAACCACACTGGCACACTGCCAGCTCAGCACTCTCCACCAGGAACTCAGCCCCATGCCAAGCCACTCCTGGAAGACAAGGCAAGAGAGCGAGGGCACATTTTTTAAGGACACATTTTAAAACAAGAATTACACTGTCACAGCACCTACCTTCTCTCTCTTTCAAAATTCTAGCTCAAAGAATTAACCTCTCACATTAGGGGAAATAGATAATGATTCAGTCAAAGGTGAATGAAAATACAATATTTACATTCATTTCAGACTTGTTTTAGGCAATGCCTATTTTTAAGTGAAACAAATGAAGCATTTTTTTCTCGATATTGGCTACTGATATTAGCATCTAACTAGACAGGAAGCGAGGAACTAAGAGAAGGGAATAGATAATTAAGGCCATCATGCATTTTTACTCTGAGCTCTGCGAGTCATTTAATCCCATTTTTCATTTATCCATGTATATATTCAATGCTGAGAATTTATAGTGGCCTCAGAAAGAAATTCTAGATAATTTTTATTGAGCTCTTACCACGTGGCAGACACTATTCAAAGTGCTTTGCTGTATTCCCGCATTCCATCCTCACAAAATGCTATGAGGTCAGTGTTATTTTTAGCCCCTTTTTACAGAGGGAAAAATAAAAACATAAAGAGGTTAAGTAGTTTTCCCAAGGTAACACAGCTGCTGAGTGTGGAGTGAGGGTGTGAATTGAGGTAGTCAGACTTTAGAGCTGACATTCTAACCAAGTTTACTCCATGACGGTGATGGTGGGGTGGTCCTAGCAGAGGGCTTTGGAGCCATTTCTGCTTCCGAAGGGTTTATTTTTATACCCTTACTGCCTTCTTTACAGGGATGATTTGGGAATGAACAAGAGAAGTGTCCTACTGGCAGGAAGAAATAAATGACTCAGAGTGAAGAAGGAGGAGGGGGAAAAACTCTTTTAAGCCACAAAGATACCATTTTTTGCACCAGAGGAGGTCACTGAATAAATCAAAGGAGAGAAATGGATCTTGGGAGGTCACATGGATAATAGTCCTGCCTTTGGGGAGGACACCCTGCTGCCAGAAAAATGATTCAAGGGAATTCTTGCTGCAGCAAGGGGTTGGGTTACTCATGTTAAACAGTGCCCGAGAGTGTGTGCTTTATGAAGTTGACCAGATGTCCTGTTTGGTTAGGACTCTCCAGGTTTCTTAATGGCTTTGAAGAGTGTCCTGGGAGTCACCCGGAGCAGGCAGGCTTGGTTCTAGGTCCCCCATTGACACATTGTAAAGGGCTTTGGGTTACTTTGTGTGTTACCACTTTGCAATTGTTCAGGTCACCAAATAAATCAGAGAATTTGCTAGCCTGGCAATAGTTCAAAGCTCTGTGTTCCTTTTCTTGTTTTAGGTTTATTTATTCTTGAGTGTTTCTCTGGGCCAGCCTTGAGGATAAACAAGTCATGGTCCCTTGCTTCCAGGAGATCATGGTGAGGAGAGCTGAAGCCCAGTGAACTCTGAGAGATCTAGTGCTCTGCTACTCACCACTAAGGCTCTGCAAGATGAGGAGTAAACAGGATGTCCGTTTTTCTCTCTTCTCGGATGCTCTGTCCCCCATGTCCCATCTTTCCCTTCTATTTGACTGGTGGATGACTTTATGCTGATCCAGCATTAGACAATTCTCAGATACTGATTAAAAAATAAGAGCTCATGCTTATAAAAGTTCTGCATGTGGCACTAATTTAATTCTTATGACAACATTGTGAGATAGTTCATGTTACTAGCTCCATTTTCTACATCAGGACATCGAGGCATGAGAAATTTTAAAATGTGCCCACAGCAAAATGATAATCAGCCATAGAGACAGAGTTTGGATCTGGGCAGTTTGCCTCCAGAGTGCCTCATCACCACCACCAGCATACACCATCTTTGTGATAAGGGCTGCCATTAAAAAGAATATTTCAAGAGGATACAAGGAAGAAGCTGATGCAGAGATGAGGGAAGACTAACCCAGTAAGTCATACGACAGTCAGCATTTAGCGTGTATAGAGATTAGCTGGACTCCTTCGGGCTTCTCTGCTGGATGGATCTTGTTTTGCAGATGAGGAAACTGAGACTGCAGGATTAGCTAATCATCAAATAATGAGGGTGTAGCAGAACCAGGATTTGATCTCCTTGGGTTCTTTTCCCTGGACTCCTATTGGTATACAGAGTGGCACAGAGCATGAAGACAAATTCTGCCTCAAAATGAAAGAGGCCATCACTAAGATGAATAAGATGGAACAACAATTTAAAAGAGAATGCCAGCACAAGACTGTCTTAGAGATCGCTCAGACTAACCTTTTGCTGGATGAATTAAACCTCTGTCAATAATCTTATTAAAAAGATTGGAGACAAATTTGGGAATTAGAATGACTGATGTCTGCCCCCATCTCCTCTACCCGAAACACAACAGGAGAAAATTTTGCTTGAAAGCCTAGATGCTGATCCAAGCAATGAAAAGACTCTGGAGTAAACACGTCATGTGCTTCTTCGTTAAATGAGCCCTCTGCCTAGGAAATAACCTCAATGGCTTGACACTGGCATTTTGCATTGCTTGCTTATGCCACTTAAATTATAATTTGTTCCATCAGGGGACTTTCTCAGAGTTGGAAACAGCTCCTGGAACACAGAACCAGCATTGGTGGATTCTTGCTGCCTCCTTGATGTTGCAAGCTTGTCAATGTCATCAGAAAGCTAGCTGTGGTTTACTGAAAATAATTTAGCTGCCTAGGCTTATGCAGACACGCACACACACACACAGAGACAGAGAGAGAGAGACATAGACACAGATACGTTATGTAGAAAAATCTCATGGTCTGCTCTTGTTCTAAATCTTGTACAGACTTGCCAGCACTCTTACGTATCATTATTTGATTTGCTTATTCTATCTCTTCACTTGTCAGTAAGTCTTTCTCATCTTTTTATTCATTTCTTTTGTAAAGAGAGTTTAGACTTAAACAGAGCTGAGCTCCTCTAGCCCGTTCTTTAAAGGCAAGGCAACAAAATAATAAGAATGGATAATAATAACAGTGTACTCTCCGATATGCACTAAACTAAGCACTTCACACAACTTAGCTCATTTTGTCCACACAGAAACCCTAATGAGATAGGTACTCTAATCGACTCCATATGACAGGTGATAGAACCAAGACAGAGGTTATACAACTTGCCCAAACATGCAGTGCCTCAGATGGGGCCCAGCTCTGGCCGATAGAGCCCTCTGCCTGTATTATTGACCCTGCAGCTGCCTCCTTGTGATTCTTGAAAGTATGCCAGGCTCTGTTAAGCTGAGGATAAGTGTTCTTAATTCCCTTTGAATTTAGTTATTTTTGAATGGATAAAAAAGAAAATATTTGGCATAACCCTTATTCCCCATAGCAGGGGGATTCTGAGGCATGATTTTAATTTCCCAAGTGACTTAAATAACAAGTTTATAATCTGCCACTCACATTTCTTTGCCTACTTAATGGGAGCATTTTTATTAGAAAGAAATATGTTTAAAAAGATACATAAGCTCTGTGAGAGATGGGTACTCATTGGTTTTGTTAATTACAATATCTTCAGAGCCAGGAACATGTGCCTGAGACTTGGTGAGTAGTCAGTAAATATTTATTGATTAAACGAATGAATAAGAGTTGTAGAGAAAATCCAAATATCAATCCATATTCAGTCACACAGGTGCCTGTCCCCCTGATAAGATCATAATAAACTCCTTCAAGGCACCACTAAATGTTGACCTCCAGCTTCCTGAGGCAGATTATTCTGAAATCTGGGAACAGTGTCATATTTATTGAAAAGGTCCCTTACCCCGCCTGAGAAAACAAAGTCACATGTCTTTGTGCTTCTGTGTTAAGTTTCTTTGTCCCTTTGGAAATAGAGGGGAAAGGCATAGCAAACAGGCAAACTCATTGACAGTCATAACCCTATTAAAGCTATGACCCATGTGCTTCAGTTCATGAGAAACTTGACATGTAAACACTATCCAAACAGGAATTCTGATGAGTTGTGGTATTCTCAAGCAACATAAATGAGAATAGGATTAAAATAAGCTGTTTTCTCCCGTGGACTTAGAAGTTCCTGGAACCCTCTCACTCTCTACTCCAGAACCACCTCCCTGGTCTCACCCATTCAACCTCTGTCATCCCACTTGAAGGCCATCTCCTGTCGCTCTTCCTCCTCTGCCTTCCCACACAATGGACTCTCAGCATGTTATTTCCCCTGTGACCTAGGGTTCTCCAGAGAGCAATATTTCCTCTGTGCTGTCTGTCTTTCTCTGCATCTAGTCTCTTAACTTAGCATGGCCAATGGAAGAACCCTCCAGGTAGGATGAGGAAGGAAAAGAGTAGGCAAAATCCAAACTTTCTTCACAGACAGGGAAGAGGGGAAAAGGTTGTGGATAGTCATAGACTGATACCTTTGTCCCTTTTACTCATAAAATCACTGCTGTACATTTCAAGGGTATTTCTCCCAATTCTACAGATTTTTTAAGGATCTAGTAAAATCCTATTTCTCAAATAGTATTTATCAATCACCAAAGAACCCTTAACTTTCCAAAAAGAAATGGCATTTATAAATCCCATAGGCCAGGCTTAGAGTATGTTTTGTCATAGCTCTTAGTTTTCTACATTATTTTGTAGCTTATTTGCTGATTCAAACCAGCATTTAGTTATTTTTTGCAAAATAGACTTAAGATTCCTTTTTCTCCTGTGTACAGCACAGCCCACTTGGTTGGTACTATATTAAACTGCTCGCTTGCTATAGCCATCCTCCTGTGTGCATCAAAACTTCTCACTGTCACATTTCTGCCCAGATATTAATAAACATGAGTGGGAAGGGGAATAAATGCACGAAGTGCTGCTGCTTAGCCTTTCTCAGCCTGTGGATCTTCCCTCATCTGTTTTGAAGACAGGGTGAAGATTAGGCAGGCAGTGAGCCCAGCTGTCTTAGGGAGAATCCCTAAGGGGAGATGCCTGTCAATTGAAACAAACAAATTTTTGGATACCAATATGGAAACCTGGATGGAGCCAATTTCCATGCTACAACACTGCCATTATGACTGAGCACATCAGGATAACAGGAAGCAGATGGCTTTCAGAAAAAAATGAAAAATTCAAGGGCACCACACATATGGTCTTATTTCCCAAACTTTGAAGGAATTCTGCCTGTGAAAGTGTACCTGTTTAATCTCTCCCAAGTAAAAGGCAAGTAACCCCTAAAGGGCACCATATATTTCTTTTAATAAAAAGTTGGCTCTATAACTTTGTACATGCAAATGTTTGTCAGTCTTGGGCCCAGAGCAGTGGAAGGTTGCTCCCGGGAAGATAGTTCTGGGAATGATGTTATATTTATTGAAGCTATATACTGAACCTCTGCCTTTGCCAACTTGTGTCTGTCTTGCTCTGCATTTCTTTCTACCTTGCTGTTTCTGTTAGCTCTGAGAACCAAGGAGGAAGATGAAGCCATAGATCTAAGAATGACAGACCTGGAAAGGACTATTCACAAAGGTGACCTAAGGAGACGCTGGAGCTCCAATAGCCTGAGGGCCAAGAGCACAGGCTCTAAATCAGAAGTGGCATCCAGGAAGCCTAGGACCACACTCTGCCTACAGATGTGTTTATTGGGTTCTTGAAATGTTTAAAGAAACACATTTGGATTAAATGGATGCCAACGTTTATAAATTAGGAGATTTTACATCCAGTCAGATATTACAAAACATCAGAAGACTGGGGCCTACAATTGCCACACAGCCTCAAAATGCTGGCACTGAGTAGCCATTCTTGAAAACATACATGTGCTCTGACATTTGCCATGGCCCCTTCCTGACTGTGTTTACTCATTTGTGTTACCTGGCTTGCCTAGAATGCCATGGACCCCTTTGTCCTAGTTTCCAATCCTGGCTTGGCCACTTAGAGTTTATGAGTCATTGGTGACATCAATTAGAGCTTTTGAATCTTTATCTGTTTAGCTTTATGATAGAGGTAATACCTCATCACAGTGTCAGGTGAGTTAAATACGATATTGCATGTAAAGTGCTTAGCCTGATGCCTGGTGCATAAATACTTAGTATATCTTAATCATTATTACCATTAACATTGTTCATATCATTGAACAAGCTTGTTAAAATATTTTTCTCACTCTCCTTTGTAATATAAATGAGAAAATACAAAATATGGCCACAGATATAAGCCTCCTGTTGCCTTTATCTTTAGGGTCATTAGACGTACTTTAGAACAATTAGATTATGTAATTTGCCCAAAGCCATGTAGAAACTGGGCAACTGTCTATTTTAATTAATCATCATGGGGAGACAGAGCTGAAAGCTAAAGGTTCTATGGAGGAATGCCATGGTGTGGGGCAGGCCAGCTGTGGCACAGAGGTCACTGGTTCCACTTGGCTAGCTAGGTAAGGACACGCACTAATCACCACCAAGAGTCAGTGAGTATTGTGAAAGGACAGCTTGGCTGGGAGACAGCTGGGTTTCAATCACATCTCAGTCACTTCTAGTTCACATTGGTCATATAACCCTCTGAGTTTTATTCATAATTTATAAAATGAAGATGGTGACAACTGTCTGGCAGTGTTGTTGTAAATGATAAGCATCAAATGCTTAGCACTCAGTAAGTGCTCAATAAATGGTAATTATAAATAAAAGCCAGAATAAATTATAATAGGTCATCTGTTGAAAATGGCTAAAGTCTTTATTGAAAAATAGCAATCCCTAAGAGTTTATTATGAACTGCTGCAAAATCTGAGACACATAACCCCAAATTAGTGTCATGTGCTTTTTGAACCACTGTAATTATTGTTATTTACCAATCACTATTTTCATTAATGCCTCATTACTCCCAATGATATTCCCAATAATACTCCAGGGGATTTTTTTAAATTTTAAATTTGTGATTCATGGTTTCTTTCTAATATGAATGGTATTATGCCTCCTTTTAGTTTTAATTTGGATATAAAAATTCTGCTTTAGCCCTCTTCACTACTTCAGTCTAGTCTTTGCTGATTCCAGCAGAGAGTTACAAATTATATTTTCACATTATATTCAAAATACTTTGCCACTCACTGATGTTTTGAAGTTGCTTGGAACGAGCACATCTTGGTTCTTAAAGCAATGTATTTGCTCAGTTCGGTGTCTTCTCTCTCGAGTAGCCTTACTTCTAAAGCCCCCAAAAGCAGCCTCTTTCTCTTTTTGGCCCTTTCTTATACAAGTTGGGCATCCCCAATTCAAAAATTTGAAATCCAAAATGCTCCAAAATCTGAAACTTTTTGAACGCTGATATGATGCTGCAAGTGACATTGTTAACACTGCAGAAAATGCCTATAGACAATACAGTGAAAATGTGTGATGGGCTTATTGAAGGACTAGAGGAGCATGCATTCAAAACAGAACAAGAAATCAGGGCAGTTTATAAAATCAAAGAGAGAATTCTAAAACAAGAAACATTGTTAATGAGGCAGAAGAGCCTGGAGGAAACACCCAGCAGAATGCCTCCTCATCCCTTGAGGACCCACTTCCTGGTCCTCATCAGCTCCTGATGTTTCTTCTCACCTAAAATAAAATACAGTGTACAGTAATCTTTTAATCAAAACACAGCATTGCAGGTGGGGACTGCAAGCCTGGCGTTGTTTGTTGTTGCATTTGTTGAACAGCTGATGCAGGCATTCTGGTGGTGCCACTGTGCTGCTTAGTTACCCTGAACATATTAATTTTTCACTGTATGAATGTATGTCATATTTTTTGCTGTTAAGTTCTTATGTGTGAATCAGTGTATAAAAATGACTGCTTATAAGTAGCATATAAATTCAGAGTCAGGAATGATGATGCCAAATGACCAAAGATTGTCCCCGTAGGTGGCTGAGAGAGTAACACCTTTGCTTTCTGATGGTTCAATGTACACAAACTTTGTTTCATGCACATAATTATTAAACAATACTGTATAAAATTACCTTCAAGCTATGTGTATAAGGTATATATGAAACATAAATGAATTTCATGTTCAGATGTGGTTCCCATCCCCAAGATATCTCATTATATATATGCAAATATTCAGAAAATCTGAACAAAATCCCAAATTCGAAACACTTTTCATCCCAAACATTTTGGATAAGGGATGCTCAACCTGTAATGGAGGCTTAGGAGAGCATTTGATCTACCTGCAAAGTTGTCTCTGTTAATATAATTTATTTTCATTCACAGTCTGCAAATATTTATTAGTGCCTACTAGTGCCAATCCCTGTTCTGATAGTAAACTGTTATGAGCATTTATATGTCACCTGGCACTGTGCCTCACTGATTTAATAGTCTCATTGATTTAACCTAATGACCTTGTGAGATAGAAACTGCTAACATCCCTATCTTAGAGAAGAGAAAACTAAAGCATATAAAAGTTAAGTAATTGGCTCAACATGCTCAGCTAGTTAGATACGAAGCCAGAAATTAACCCGGATCTGCTGATTGCTGAACCCTAAACTCTTAATCATTGTACCAGAGTGTCTCAAAGTGAGGGCCTGAATTTGTGACCTGCTGCATTAGAATCACTTAGGTTGACTGCTAAAATTATAGAATGCATAAGAGGCATAAAATGCTTAGTGCACAGTAAGTGCTTAATAAATGGTTAATGATAAATAAAGACCAGAGTAATTATATAAAAATTATAATAGGTCATCTACTGAAAATAGCTGAAGTCTTTATTGAAAAATAGTAATCCCTAAGAGCTTAATTATGAAATGCTGCAAAATCTGAGACACATAACCCCAAATCAGTGTCATGGCCTTTTTGAACCATTATAATTATTGTTATTAAGTAATCAGTATTTTCATTAATGCCTCATTACTCCCAATGACATTCCCAATAATGCTTCAGGGGATTTTTTTAAAATTTAAATTTGTGATTAAAAACTAGCCCTAGACCTACTAAGTTTGCATTTTTAGCAAATTCTGTGGAGAATTTCTGTACACAGGTTAAGAATTTTGAGAGCCACTGACCAGAGTTTTTGAATACCAGATCTAAGGAAATGGGTCTAAGATGGGGAAGCTTCTTCAAAGTGAAGGTGAACTTCCATGAAAGAAAGTAAATAAGGGTTCACACTAAGAATCACTTGTGAAAGATGCTCTCTAGGGCTAAAGAAATGCTATATAATTAAAATGCGCTGACATTCTGCCTCTGCTTCCTTTCAAGGCTATAGTCACAAGGAATATGACTCCAAAACCCAGTTGTAGGCAGGGTAGTACTGAGTCACTTTCTAAAATTTCAAAAAAACATACAGCATGCTTCCAACTCTAGAATTTCCAAATAAGAGGATTCGAAGGCAGCAATGTGGTTGGGGCAGAGGGTGGGGTGGAGGTGGGGGTGGATCTAAAAAACCCAATCATTTGGGTTGGTTTTGGAGTGGGTTAGGAGAGCTCTCCTAAGCCATTCTTTGTGCCATGATTGTTGAGGGCTTATCTTTGATCAGACTGACTCTTCAGCCTCAGATAATGGCAGCCAGGAGGTGAATTAACTCATGTAGGACTGACATTTATAAACTTGTATAATGGAGGTGAAAGGGGGCAAATTGCAAACATGATTCCCATACAATCAATTATTTCTGTGATGAAAACACCCTCTCCTAGATGATCTATGTCATGGACAAGTTCCCTTAGTTCTGGGGAGGCTGGGCTGGTTATTTCTCTGCTGCTCAAAAAACAGCTCTGAGCCTCTGGCCTGCTGGTGGTGAGTCACCACTGTCAGCTTTGTGCACAAAAGTTCAACTTTTCCTTTCCCATGACCATATCTTAATGTGCAGAAGAACATTATCTAAATGTAAATGCTCTATTAAAACAGAGACAAAACTGCTTCAATATTGCAGGGGAAGGAAACAGAATTCTTTTAAACAAATAGAAAAGCAAAACTCAATAAAGAAAAGTAATTCATAGACACAGAATAATCAGCAGTCTACTATTTCATGAACTTACTGTTTTGGGCCTTTCTTTTTTTTAATGTAAAATTAGTCAAAGTTTAATAACAAGGGACAAAACATGCTTTTCTGAGCACTAGTATTTCTTATTAGGTTCCTAAAAGATTGAAGAGAATATATTTTAATTGCTTGCTTAACACCAAAGCCCCTCTGATTTTTCTTCCCATATCCATAAAGTTTTATAAGATTCCTTATTTCGGAGCCCTGCAAAGTAAAAATATTCGTCATAAAGCAGAACTGAGCTTTTTATTGCTCCTCTGCCGAATAAGAACTTCCCAAGGGAATGAACCTATAGATCTCAGGCCTCATTCCCTAGTTTCCTGCAAGGCAGACAGTTGGTCAAGCTTTGGTGGGTCTCTTCACATTGCCTCCTTCCCTGACCACCATTTACTCATTTTCTCCTTCAGCCCTTCTGCCTTGCTCTTGGTGACTTCTCAAACCCCGTCTTCTTTCAGTGGTAATCATGATGATGATGATGTTGATGATAAGCATTGGCTAATAACAGGTCACAGTTGTTCTGAAAAGAGACCTGAGACCAGAGACCTGCCTGAGCTCGAAAGCTTGCCTGCAGCCAAGGACTGATGTGGGGTGTGAATGTCCAGCCCCCACGCCACAAATCAGGTAAGCCTGTGGTGTTATTCACAACCTAGAATTCTAGTAGGATTCCCTGCTTCTCCCACTTCCTCAGTAAATGGCTTGCACAAGAAAACCCATCTGAGGCTGTCTCTAGGGAAAGTGACCTAAGACACTTGACCTCCTCTGTATCATGGGGCTGCTTTAAGGATAAAATAGTAAAATAAATAATAAGTAAAAAATAGCTCATATAAGTACAATTTAATAGACGTTAACAAAAGTAAAACACTTAGAACAGTGACTGGCACATAGAAATTGCTGAATAGGTATTTGTTTTTATTAACGTTATAATGTTATTCCTTCAAATAGCTCATGAATCTGTTTGCTCCTCTCTGATCCCACTGCCCTTGCTCCAGGCTAGACTTTCCTCATTTGTTATTTTGATGACAATAAATGTCTCCTTATCTGATCTCCCTTCCCTCTCTTCCTCTCTCTTTTCCTTCCTTCTACAAATATTTGAGTGTTTATTGTATGCCAGGCACTGTTCTACAGGTGAATTTGGGTAAGTGACCTGAGTCTCAATTTCCTTGCTTGTAAAACAGGCTACTGTAAATCTACCACATCCTCCGGTAGTGGTGGGATGAAATGAGAATATGCACATAAAGCACTTATCTCATGCTTAGGAAACACTCTATAACCTTTTTCTTTTCATTTCTCATCTCTCCTTGCTAATCATTTCCAGGACTGAAATAGATAACAGAGATACCCAAAGGGTTCTTGTTTACTGACCATGCTCTCCATTTGACAGATATATTCTTCTATTTAAAGGCCTTGTAATAGAGCTTTTCTACCAATGATAACCTTGTTTTCCCCAACAAAAGCACTATGTTCTTGGCATGTATTATTGTAATATGCATGCTACAGTATAAATCTTTTCAAACCATGAGTTGATGTTAAGGGCTACGCCATGAATTTCCAGCAAGGGGTCACCTTGAGCAGGTTAGCAATCTCCTTTATGTCAAAGGCCCCACACTTCACCCCACATGTGGCCACTCCAGTTAATGAGAATACGGCCCATGATGAAAGCCTGCGTGCTGCATGCAAGCCGAGATAGCAGGGTGAACAGAGAATAAAGCAGAGCTTGAACCCAGTTATGTAAACAGTTCTTTCCGTTTCTTGATCTTTGTGGAAAGAAGTTTTTTCATCCTGCTTCCTTCAGTTCAAGTTCAGGGGTTTCACAGTTTCCTGGGTTCCTTTTGAGGTCTGCCATAGTTTAAATGAATAAAACAGAAAAGTAAACTTCATCCAGGACTTCTGCTGGGTTCCAGCAGAATGCAGGAGGACTGCTTGGTGCTTTTATTGTGTGTGGTTTGAAGATCAAATCTTATCTACAGTTTCTGGATACTGGAGGTGTGTGTGTGTGTGTGTGTGTGTGTGTGGTGTGTGTGTGCTCACACTGAATTACTTTACATTTTCATTTTATTTTTGCATATTTTTTCCTTCCAAGTTTAGTTCACGTTTCATTCTTCACTTTGAAAAATGGCTCTATAGGAGTTTTGCTCAGTTGAAAACTTAGATTTTTTTCTGTCAAATACAAGATGGTAACTGAAGCTTAAAATGCACTGTTTTGTTTGGTTTTAGACATGACTATTCACAGTAATTTGCTAAGACAGCACATATTTCTTTTGATTTATAGAATCCCACTTAAATGCTGTCTATCATCACAGTAATTATGGGTATTTAGATAGGCAGAAGACATATATGTTTTAACCTTGATTTCTTTCTTAATATTTGAGCTTCTAACTGGTTTTATGATCTTTCATGTGATTAGGTGGCTTAGTTGAGAAAGGAGTGCCTCCAACTGAATTAAAACATAAATATGAATACAAGATGGAATAGTTAGGAATGAATGAGGAATTGTCTTGAAACTAACAGATTTTGAAATTTATTTTTAATATTCTTACAATATTTGCTCTAAGAATCTATATTCAAAGAGATGTGAAAGAAAGTCCATACTATTTATAATAATTGTGTCTTTATAAACTTTCTGTTTCTTTCCAAGCACTAAAAGTGCTTCAGATACATTGTAGTTGCATCAATAGAAGGAAGGGAGAGGGTCTGTTGCATGCCTAGCTTGAAAGGGGGATAAAATGAGTTAGTGATGGGGAAACTGAAACATGAATAGTTCAGCGCCAAGAGGCTGTTATATCCTTCACCAGGGTACAGAAGAAACAACTATCTGTGTATTTTTAAAATATATTTATCAAACATTTTCATGTACCTACTATGTGCAAGGCTGGGCTAGGTATGATGCAGGAAAAAAGTGATCTTTCATAGTCCCTGGTCTCAAGGGAGGTGAGATCTCCTGGTGTGACAAGGGTGCTTACACTTGTAAGAGTATAGCTAGGGGGCAGGGGTGGGATCTGTGAGACCCCCCAGCTTCCACGCTGCATGTGCAAGCACTGGATTATAATGCAGGCTGTCACTTTTCAATCTCAGTCATCAAGTCCGTGCTTGCTGAGCCTGGATATGAGAGAGACTGGTCAGATGGAGGCTTCTCTCCGTATTCACTGTTCATCCTTCCATCCATTCATTACTTCATTTGTGCACTTAGTTAATTCTCGTTGAGCATGGTAAGAAGTCTTGTGCTGGGTGTTGAACCAAATAGGAGCTGTGCTAGGAGCTGAGAACAGAGAAGGGAACTGGAGAACACTGTGGTGCTTACATTCCGTTGGGAAAGACAGATATTTAGTAATTTCTTAACTCATTAATTGTATTTGTGATAAAGGTTTCAGAAGAGGTATAGAGTGCTAAGGGTGATCCTAATCTGATCTGCCGGAATCAGGAAAGCTTTTTAATGAAAGTAAAAGTGACTAAACTGAGGCCTATAGAAGGTAGCTGGGTGACAGAAAATTTGGGGTGCGGGGAAGGAAAAGCTCCTGGGTAGAGAAAATGGACTGTGAATGCCCTGAGGGGGTTGATAACCTAGAAATTGGGCAGTGCGCCTTCACACTAGAGGTGAGCAGAGCGGAGGCTCTGTCGACGGGCGGGCTTTAGAGAAGGAAGCGCCTGGGGTCTGCTTGTGGAAGTTTGATCTGGATCCTGAGAGTCAGAGGAGGCCACTGAGGGATTGGAAACAGAAGAATGAACCTGATAACATTTGCATTTTAAATGTCCTCTTGGGCTGCAATGTGGAGAATAGATTGCAGGGGCATGGATCAGGGAGGTGGTGATGGAGATGGAGAGAAGAGGCTGTGAGACGTAGACATCGGAAAGATTCTTAAAATGGGGATTCAGGCAGCACTGAGGGCTGCCTTCCCCTCATTCAGCCCACTTTTAGGACAGCGTTCTTGAGCTGCCCTCAGGAGCCACTGACCCTTGGGAGGAATGCAGGGAGGTAGCACTTGTGCTTGTGTCCTCCCCAGCAAAGACGGTCTAGGACTCCCTGCACCAGTTCTACAGAGGCAGGGGCTGCCATTATTGTTGCCCATATTTCTATGTACTTTGACCCAGCTATTAAATGGACTTCCTCACAGATACCCCAAGGAGAGAGGCAAGAATAAATTCACGCATTACACAGTATAGTTACAAGCCACCATGTCTTTAGGCATGGATGCATTTTGAAGATGGTTTGATATATTCCACAGAATTGGATATATTCCATAGAATCTAAGAGTGGAATATAAAGCCAACATGTTATAGATGCCCAGATTTGTCTGTCAAAAGGAGAAACAGAGATGTTTCTACTTCGGGTATGAGATAAAACAAAAAACCGTGTGGCATTTTCAGTCTAGCCAGTCAGAGGACTGCTGAGACCAAGTTTTACTGCCCAGTTTAGTTAAGTTTCTAATTTTGTTTTGAAATAAACTTACCATTTGGATCATCAAATTAATCAATTTGAGTAGTTATTTTGGTGCAATATGGGCACGAATACTCTTACAGCCTTAATGGCTCATGGGTTTTTCTTGGTTTAAACTACCAATGACATGATTCAAAATGGTATAGAGTAGAAGGAAAAAACTCAGGTAAATGATTAACTGACTGGCTCTGTGACTTACAAATGTGCCTTTGGATTACGGAATTGCATCCCACACTCTGAAACTAAGGAGATATTGGAATGGTTGGGGTATATGGTATAATAATAAAAATAATAGCTACTGTGTATTGAATACAGACATTGCTACATGTGCTTTCTAAGAACCAACTTTTTCTATACACCTGATATTATAAATGCTTTTATTATAGTAATTTTGCCAAGATAAAACAAGGCTTAGAAAGAATAGGTAAATTTGCTCCAGATCATAGCTAATAATTCTCAGGGTTAGGATTTGGCCTCAGGTCTTTCTAAGCCTAGAGTTTACATCTAAACTATTACTTGTGCCCTCTGCTTCTGTGAAAAACAAAACAAAATCCCATGAATCATTTCTTAGTGTTACCACCAAAATTTCCTATTAGTAAAATGGGGCCAATTTCAGCTAGCAGATAATATTATTTAATTTTTTGTACCATTTTTATTATACTAGTAAATTCCTTAGGTAATGATTTTCTTTAAATTTGCGTATTTGTCTTAGGTTATCTGAAAGTTATGTAAATGTACTTGGCTTAGATCAGAACTAAAATGTCTTATAACTGTTTTTTTCCATAGTATGATAGAAACGGAGGAAACTTGGAGATGGCCTTAACCAAACTCAGAGCCTTTGATAATCATTAACACGTGTCATAGTAATTTAAGAAATGGAGATAATTTAGAATTCCGGAGAAAAATGTCAGTATGATTGAAGATCTAAAAGACTTAAATTTCCACTGGAAAATTTAATATTATTGTTTTACCACAGACGATTCTATTATGCATAAAGAAAAATCTCACAGGAGTAAAAGAAAGAGAAAGTTGATTGACAACTTTCCTGGAAACAAGTAGAAGGGGTGTGAGAAGAGAAAGGTTGGTATTGCAAAAGGCTTAGACTTTGGAGGCAATTTAGGTCCTGGGTCAAATCTCAAGTTTGCCACTTAAGCATCTTGAGCTTAGGAAAGTTTCCTAAACTCTCTGAGCTTTAACTTTCTCGTGTATAAACTGGGAAAACTATACCTCCATAAGGGGACTTATGTGAGGATTTAATGAGGTAGCAATAACATTATTGCTATTTGCTGATATTTCATTATGTACCAGGCATTATTTATCTCAATTAATCATACAAGAAGAAGAATAGACAGAAAAAGTATTATCATCCTCACAGATGAGTGAACTGAAGCTTACAGAGGCTATGTTATTTGTCCAAGGTCATTTCCTTTGGGGAAAGGAGCTGCAATTCGCCTGCATCTGTTCTGATTGCCAAGGCCAGGCTCTTCAACCCTGGATGATAAACTGCTTCAGTGTCACAGTGAAAGCTGTCATTTACTAAACATTTTGTACAAGGCCTATGCTGAATGCTTTGTGTACATTATTTCCTTTAACAGTTTGACGAGAGGTACATTATCATCCCTACTTCACAGATAAATCAATTTTGAGGCTGGGAAACTGAAGTCATTTGCCCAAGGTTGCCATGGTAGGTGATGGAGCTGAGATCTGAATCCAGATTAGTCTAGTTTTAAAGCTATTGCATTTGTCTTCCATGATGTCTGTCATAGAGCTGGGCCAGAGTTTACCATATTGTAGGTGGTGTTGGTGATTTTTATTGAAATGTTTTTGTTATGTCATCAACCTCCAACTCCACAGAATAGCTTGACAGTAGTTCCAGTGAAACTGAGAAGGTGAGAAAAACTCCACTGGTTATTCTGGGCCAGAGGAATCCAGGTCCATCCTTCATTTCTTGTTTTCTTTTTGTTTTTTTGTTTTTTTATATTTTTTAAATTTAACTTTTGTTTTAAGTTTAGGGGTACATGTGCAGGTTTGTTACATAGGTAAATATGTGTCATGGGGGTTTGTTGTTCAGATTATTTAATCACCCAGGTATTAAGCCTAGCACCCATTAGTTATTTTTCCTGATCCTTTCCCTCCTCCCACCCCCCACCCTCTTATAGGCCCCAGTGTGTGTTGTTCCCCTCTATGAGTCCATGTGTTCTCATCATTTAGCTCCCACTTATAAGTGAGAACATGCGGTATTTGGTTTTCTGTTCCTATGTTAGTTTGCTAAGGATAATGGCTTCCAGCTCCATACACGTCCCTGCAAAGCTCATGATCTCATTCTTTTTTATGACTGCATAGTATTCCACGGTGTATATGTACCAAATTTTTTTAATCCAGTCTACCATAGATGGACATTTAGGTTGATTCCATGTCTTTGCTGTTGTGAGTAGTGTTGCAATGAACATGTGCATATGTCATTAGGATATAACAGGTTATATTTCTTTGTGTATATACTCAGTAATAGGATTGCCGGGCCAACTGGTGTTTCTGTTTTTAGGTCTTGGAGGAATTGCCACACTGTCTTCCACAAGGGTTGAACTAATTTACACTCCTACCAACAGTGTATAAGTGTTCCCTTGTCTCCACAACTTCGCCAGCATCTGTTATATTTTGATTTTTTTTTTTAGACGGAGTCTCGCTGTCACCCAGGCTGGAGTGCAGTGGTGCAATCTCCACTCACTGCAGGCTCCGCCCCCCGGGGTTCACGCCATTCTCCTGCCTCAGCCTCCGGAGTAGCTGGGACTACTGGCACCCGCCACCTCTCCCGGCTAATTTTTTGTATTTTTAGTAGAGGCGGGGTTTCACCCTGTTAGCCAGGATGGTCTGGATCTCCTGACCTCGCGATCCGCCCGCCTCGGCCTCAGCCTCCCAAAGTGCTGGGATTACAGGCGTGAGCCACTGTGCCCGGTCATACTCTGATTTTTAATAATAACCATAGTGACTGGTGTGAGATGGTATCTCATTGTTGTTTTGGTTTGCATTTCTCTAATTATCAGTGATGTTGAGCTTTTTTAAAATATGATTGTTGGCCACATGTATGTCTTCTTTATAGAAGTGTCTGTTCATTCCTTTTTCCCACTTCATAATGGGGTGTTTTTTGTTGTTGTTGTTCTTGTAAATTTGTTTAGGTTCCTTAAGATGCTGAATATTAGACCTTTGTCAGACGCATAGTTTGCAAAAATTTTCTCCCATTCTGTCGGTTCACTCTGTTGGTAGTTTCTTTTGCTGTGCAGAAGCTCTTTAGTTTAATTAGGTCCCATTTGTCAATTTTTGCTTTTCTTGAACTTTCTTTTGGCACCTTCATCATGAAATTTTTGCCCATTCCTATGTCCAGAATGGTATTGCCTAGGTTGCCTTCCAGAGTTTTTATAGTTTTGGGTCACTTTAAATCTTTAGTCCATCTTGAGTTAATTTTTGTATATGGTGTAAGGAAGGGGTCCAGTTTCAATCTTCTGCATATAGCTAGCCAGTTATCCCAGCACCATTTATTGAATAGGGTGCTCTTCCCCATTGCTTGTTTTTGTCAGGTTTGTTGAAGATCAAATAGTTGTAGGTATGCAGCCTTATTTCTGGGTTCTGTATTCTGTTTCATTGGTCTATGTGTTTGCTTTTGTACCAGTACCATGCTGTTTCTACTATTGTAAAAGTTTGAAGTTGGATAGTGTGGTATAGTTTGAAGTTGGGTAGTGTGATATAGTTTGAGGTTGGGTGGTGTGATGCTTCCAGCTTTGTTTTTGGCTTTAGAATCGCCTTGGCTATTTCTGCTCTTTTTTTTTGTTTCATATGAATTTTAAAATAGCTTTTACTAGTTCTCTGAAGAATGTCATTGGTAGTTTAATAAGAATAGCATTGAATCTGTAAATTGCTTTGGACTGTATGGCTATTTTCATGACATTGATTCTTTCTATCCAAGAGCATGGCCATTCTTCACTTCTGAAACCCAAACATTCTCCTTCCATAATCTTTAGTGGCAGTCAAACTTCAGGATTAGAATATCTGATTATAAAGGAGCATAAAATGCTCAAAAATGTTGCCAACAAAGCCTGGAATGTGTATCAATCATTTATGCATGTTATGATTCTAGGCCCTCTGGGAAAAAACAAAATAGAAGGCCTGATCCTTGCCTTGGAGAAGTTTGCATGCAACATATTTACCCTCGGCTTGGGCCTCCTTCCAAAGGATGGCTGTGTTAGAAAATATTGTTTTCAACAGGATGACAGGATGGATGTTCTTGGGGCCAGAGTGCGGCTGATACAGCAGATACGTTTGATATATTATGTCATAAAGATGATCTTCTATTTTGCTAGCTCATTTTATGAAGTTTTCTGGGGAACTTAGGAAAGGAAAACTCCACCCTATGTCATTTGTTAAGGATAATTGTCCTCATTTGGTAACTGTGAAGTAGAAAATGTGTTGAACTGGGAGAGTGAAGACTTGGGTCTTAGCTCTAATCCGTCTCTAACCAGCTGTGGGACTTGGGACAAGTAATTTCACCTCCTTGGGCCTCAGTTTTGTTAACGTCAAAACGAAGCGATGACCTGAATGACTTCTAAAGTTATTTTCAGAACTAATGAGAAACTTGAACTTGCTTCTTTCTTCCATGAAGAGGCTCTTCCTGTCATTCATGTGAAGTTGAATCCTTGCTATGAGTTAAAATGTGCACATAGCCTGAATCTCCTTCTTTTTGATTCCCTCCTGCCCAAGTGTACTCGTCTGTTTTCACACTGCTGTAAAGGACTGCCTGAGACTGGGTAATTTATAAAGAAAAAAGGTTTAATTTTCTCACAGTTCTGCATTGTTGGGGAGGCCTCAGGAAACTTACAATCATGGCTGAAGGTGAAGGGGAAGCAAGGCACGTGTTACATGGCAGCAGGAGGGAGAGAGTGCAGGGAAAATTGCCACTTTAAACATCAGATCTCATGAGAACTCACTATCATGAGAACAGCATGTGGGAACCACCGCCATGATCCAATCACCTCCCACCAGGTCCCTCTCTCAACACCTGGGGATTACAATTCAAGATGAGATTTGGATGGGGTCACAGAGCCAAACCATATCACCAAGAGTATCCTGAATTACTGTCAGCACCAATATTGATGTCAGTTGCTCTCTGTTTAACTCTGTCTGGTTTAGTCATGTGGACAGGCTGCTTTAAAAGCAAAGTATGTTTGTCTAAATTTAAGTTTATCAGAAATTATGTCTATCCTCTTTTTACTTAAGAGTTATTGCTGGATTGTGACAATCAGGACTTGCAAATAGAAAGTGAATTTATAGAGAGAATTGAGGTAAGGATAAGAAACGTAAAACAACAGGAACTATATTGTATTATTTCAAATGAAATTGATATTTTAAAGGTGAGGTAACACTAACTTAAAATAATGCTTTGAGAGAACAGGGAGTATATAAAGAATCACAATCAGAATAGAAGTTCTTTGGCATACTTTTGTTCATAGTATTCAAGTTTCGAGTGAGGGAAACAAAACCCATTCAATAATTTAAAGAGAAATGTTAAAAATAGTTTGTTTTTTTTTCTGACATCTTTTTCATAACTCAAAAGAACTAAAGGCAATTTATCTTTTTGACAAATTGTTTCCATAAATGATCATCTTTCATTTTTTATTTTTCTTCAAGGAGAAAAAAATGATTATTTTAATTGTTAATGTCTAACAGGTGTGGGTTTACTGCTGGCCAGGCTCTTTACCGTGCTATTGGATGTAGAATTCCTTATATGCCATATTCACCATACTTCATTATGTCTCAAAAACTCATCTTCAAAGAAGACATACTCCCAATACAAAGGCCCATTTTGTTCCCTGTCTTTCCTTAGCACTTGTTTCTGGATTTTGAAAATGTGTCATTTCAGCACAGATCATCTCTACAAGCACTACATGAGTAGATTTTGATTTCTCTAGCCCATTTAATTGAGAGCATTTTTTTTTTCCTGAGATGGAGTCTCATTCTGTCGCCCAGGCTGGAGTACAGTGGCCATGATCTTGGCTCACTGTCACCTCTGCTTCCCATGTTCAAGCAATTCTCCTGCCTCGGCCTCCCAAGTAGCTGAGATTACAGGTGCATGCCACTATGTGCAGATAATTTTTTGTATTTTTGGTAGAGACGGGCTTTTGCCATGTTGGCCAGGGTGGTCTGGAACTCCTGACCTGAACTCCACTTGCCTCGGCCTCTGAAAGTGCTGGGATTACAGGCATGAGCCACTGCTTCTGGCCTAATTGACAGCATCTTAATAGCTACTGGTGATCATAGGCTTTGAGAAATGCCATAATGGTTATACAATGTTAAAGTTAGTTCAAATTTCCATGGATAAGAACATAATATTAATTCAGCAGACTGAGGGACTTTTAGTGGGTCTTGGTGGGTGAGCTCTTTCTGATTCTGTCAATTTTGTAAATGATTCATAGAGAAGAATTAACATGCTATTTAAAAAGTGTATAGACACTGTATTGCAAGATGACATCAATATTACTAAAGGCAGAAAATAAAATAAAAAAATGATTTGGAGCTTTTAGAGGTGTTACAAGTACTATTGAAACTAAATAATGTTCATCATAGAAAATAAAAGCTCATAAACTTATAAAAGCTAAGACTTACTAGCATAAATACTGCTGTTTGAGAAATATAAGAAAGACTTAATTAAATATAAATGGTTAATGCACCAGGATGGGAAATAGAGAAGTGAGAAGAGCCTTTTGTTTAGATCAGTAAAAGAGAATCACCTTACAATAGCAAAGACCTTTTTGACACTTGTTTGCCTTTTGTTGCTGGTCACAGCCAAATATTTTCAACTGTCTTACACTGGAAGTCTCTGTCTTCTTTGAAGATCAGTCTTTGAGACATAAATAAGTATGGGGAATACAACATTGAAAGAATTCTAGTTTCAATACCGTGTGTGTGTGTGTGTGTGTGTGTGTGTGTGTGTGCGTGCTCGCGTATGTGTGTAGTCCAGGAGAGTGGATTCTAAAGGTTGAGAGAATATGTTAACACAGCACTTCCTAAGGCTTCCAATCTAAGTGAGGTGATAATTTTTTGAAATACTTTTACCTGATCACCTTAGTCCAGTACAACTATGTGCAGTCAACAGGCAGTAGACATGAATCTATCATAAATCACACCCTGAGGCAGGAAATATCTTCAATCATTTTACCTCAAAACCTTAATCATTTAGGTTAAAAATCTCCCTTCACTGTGGCAGAAGACTCATGTGAATGTAAATATTTTCTAGGAATTTTGCAAGGTAGACATAATTTCTTCTTTAAGAAAATAACTTCTAAGTCATATGTGGTTCACTATTTATTCCCCATGCATTTGTTTTAATCATGCGTAGTTTATGGTTATGTCCAAACATAAGAAGTTAATGGAAGAATTGAAACCATTGCCTCCACAAGAGAAAGGGGTATCCAGAGTCTTTCATAAATATTTGTTGAGTACTCAACTGTGCATAAGGCCTACTTTCAATGTCAATAGAGATGCAAAGATAAGTTGGTTAATCATGCTACTGTACTTTGCACTAGGCAAATCACATCTGGAGAAATGCATAGTTTTATGTTTCTTGTTTTAAATGTTTGACCTGGGGTAAGAAATATGTTATGTGGGGGAAATAAAAATAATTAGTGATGTCAAACCTGAAGAAGAGGCTGGTGAAAACAACATGGTAAACTCCCAAATCCCAAGAGGTCAAAGACTAGTTCTATCTTATTCTTCCAGCTTCTTGCATCCTGGCATAAAGTAAATATTCAATAATTATCTATGAATTGAATTTTTCAGGGAAAATCAAGTTAGAGAGGGAAGAGATGTGTTTTGTGCAGCTCAGAGGTGCAGAAATAGGTGTAAGAATAGAAGTTGTATAGCTACAGATTCTGCCTTAGTATAAGGAAGAACTTTTTGACACTGGCTTATAAGGGTAGATGCTGCTCATAAAGTGTTGAGTTTATTAAAAGTAGAAATAAATGTTCAACCAAATAAATGTGAGGTAGTTATTACAGAGGTAATTTCTGCTCTGGGTGGAAGATTTAACCAAATAATTGCCAATATTCTATAATAGTATAATTAAGTTACCTTGACAAGTTTTACATCGATTGTCTTAATGGTTTATAAAAAAAATACATAATTACTTCCATTTTTCTTTCCAATATATCTAGGAGAAGAAAGTATGGTCCCCCACACAAAGAATCATAACTTGAACACTTGATTTGTATTTCAGCTGATTTTCATCTTACTGGTGAAAAGAGTTCATTGGTAGACTCAAGCACAGAAATCCAGCCTCTATGCCTAGCCATAAAATCACAGGATTAGTGGCCGGGCGCGGGGGCTCACGCCTGTAATCCCAGCACTTTGGGAGGCCGAGGCGGGTGGATCACGAGATCAGGAAATCGAGACCATCCTGGCTAACACGGTGAAACCCGTCTCTACTAAAAATACAAAACATTAGCCAGCGTGGTGGTGGCGGGTGCCTGTGGTCCCAGCTGCTCGGGAGGCAGAGCTTGCAGTGAACGGAGATCGTGCCACTGCACTCCAGCATGGGCGACAGAGCGAGACTCCGTCTCAAAAAAAAAAAAAAAAAATCACAGGATTAGTATATCTACACTACATGGGTAGAAATATCCTTTAACATGTAGCTACTTTGGGGTAAAACCCACTCTCCCTAAACTGTGATTCACTTTTCAGCTTCAACCCTCATTCTGATTTTCCACTGCCACCTTGTGTAGACAGGTCCTCAGAAAGCAATTGAGGCCATGATGCTTCCTTGTGCCGCCAACCCAATGGGCAACATATCTCCTGCTGCTCTCTCAGCCACTTCCAGAGCAGTGAGAAAGGTTCAGGGATTCTGCAAGTCGGCAAACACGGCTGCAACTGCCTGCTGGACCCGGAAAAGTGACAGGCACAGAATTAGGAAAGGACTTGGTGAACTGACCAAATTCTACAGTGTCAAATCCGGCTGGTTAAGATCAGACAGAATCAACCTATTTTCATGACAGAAAAAAAAGAAAAACCAGACCAATTAATAAAACCAACACATTTTCAACCCTGGAAATTACATGCCTGTATGTAAGTCATACATCTTTCTCTAAAACATCTTTCTCAGAATTGTTTTATGAGTTTCATATCATTTAATAATTTAAATCGATGACCTTAATATGTTATTCCATTGTGCTTATCCAAATCACATTAATCACAAGGAGTTCTCAGTTATATGCTTTACCATTTTTCGATCTGAACTTAATACACAGGATCTCATACTGGGTTAACTGATATGTAGGATAAAACTCTCTGAGCCCAATTAAAATATTTTAAGTGGTCCACATTTGAGCAAAAGCTCTGAGCCCACAGACTGATGATATTAATGATGGTAACCACCACAACCACTACCACCACCACCACCGATATTTGAGCAATCGTTCTGAGGTAGAGTACTTTTAGATACTTCAACAAGTTAGATTTTAATCCTGTTATTAAAATAAGAGAAAACCTCTGCAACATTGAGAAGTTAAGCATCCCACAAGGTCACAAAGGTACTCAGTGGTAGAGGCGGGATGTGAACCTATATCATCTGACTCTAGAGTCCTTGCTCTACAACCATCTCCCGTCTGTCCACAGTCAGACAATGGAAGCACCAAAAGATTACTTAGCATAGCCCTTTAATTTTATTGAAAAGAGGACCAGATGGAGCCCCAGAAAGAGGGTATGATTTCAAAATTCCTAATGATTCTCAATGACAGAGCAGTTTTGTCCCCCCTCTGGCATTAGCCCGTCTACTTGGGCACTGGCTAAATGACACTAAGTGTCTAGACATGTGGATGCAATGACGATGCATCTTTCCTGCTGTTTCTGACTTTCTCCTCTCTGAGAATGGAAACCATACATGCAGTTCACTGTCTAAAATTATTAACATAACTGTACTATTCCACTACCTTCATCAACATAATTTTACTATTCGAGAAGATTCTTGCTCAGAAAGAGAACAGTTGTAACAAACTTAATTATTCATCCCAGGAACTTCCTAAAAGTCCTATACATTTTTTAACAGAAAGCATCAGGCTGGGCATGTTGGCTTATGCCTGTAATCCCAGCACTTTGGGAGGCCAAGGCAGGAAGACTATTTGAGGCCTGTCTGGCCAAAATAGTGATATCTGATCGCTACAAATAATAAAAAAATTAGCAGGGTGTGGAGGCACGCATATGCGGTAGTTCTAGCTACTCAGGAGGCTGAGGCAAGAGGATCACTTGAGGCCAGGAGTTAGAAGTTACAGTAAGCTATGATGGTGCCACTTCACCTCAGCCTGGGCAACACAGTGAGACCCTGTCTCAAAAAAAAAAATAAGCATAAAATAAGGTTTTATATCTCAAGACTCTGAAATTCTTGCCTGAAAATTCTCACCTTGCTATTTCCACCAATCTTTAACTATTCTATCATGATACTTACCCAATGCTAGCTAAACCCCCTGCATTGAAAGTCTTATCTTAAACCAGATGTCAGGATCTTAATACATATCCCAAATTTACTCTTCTCTGAGATGCTACTAAGGTTCTACTGAGGGATGTCATACCTCACTGCACCAGGTAGTAAACTCAGTTTTGTCAACAGGAAGTTTTGGTGTTTTGTGGGGGTCAGCATTTGAGACCTCTCAAGGGGAAGTTGGCCACTTCTAGAAAGCTTTCCTTGACAACCCTTCTTCGGCCCAAAAGAAAACAAAAGCAGCTAGGACTTGTTCAAATGCTGAATATTCAAAACGTTTTGACATTGTTAGTATGCTCACCATTTTTCTTGTCATTATCTAAGTCCAAGCAAAATATTCTCACAGATAAATACTAGAGGATTCATGATGTATGAACTCATTTTCACGCTTAATGTTTGGTCTTTGTTTACATTTTCTCTACAACTTCATCAAAAATCATGCTTTGCTTACTTAAATGAATTATTGCAGGTAGAAACAGCATAATTTAGTGGGAAAAAATGAAAAAATTGTGTATCTTTACCAGATGTCATTAAGAAGAATTGATATACAAATTAAATTGGCACATTATGGAAATGTTAATTTTTTCTCAAAGATAATTTACTTTTCTGTTGTTTTTTTTTATGTGTGATGTTACAAAAAGTGATTGAAATGTATATGTATAGTTGAAAAAAAATAAAAGAAGCACTCATGTACTTACTCTCTAAACAGAGAAAGAAAATGTTACCAGAACATCCAATGTCCCTATTTTATATTTTACAATGTATTATCATGGTTTCTAGATACACTTTTTACAAGGATGTTTCTTGAACTTACTGGGCAGTGGCTAATGTAAACTTGTCATTCTAGTGTCATTCCCTACAATCTGATTCATAGTAAGTGTCTTATCTGTTTAGAAAGGGGGTTGATAATGAATCTTTCAGGTGAAGAAAACCTATTAAATTAGAAAAATCCTTGGCAATTTACTCAATATAGTGATTTCTTTTTCTATTTCTGTCCCTTGGTCCATAATGAAATTGTTCTTGTATGCTTCCCTGCTCCCATGACAATTTGTACCAGTGCCCAGACCCCATTCAGAGCCCTGTCTCTGCACTATCATCTCTAGACCCAGTGATGACTGTGTGTTTGTTCACCATCCTATCCCCAAGCACTCCATAGTACCTTGTACAGGATGCGTGCTCAGTTCATGTTGATTAAATGAATCACTGGCATACTTGGAAGAGCTAGCTGAGGGACTAGCAGCCTATGAGGCTAAAGAAATCTTTTGTTGTTCTTTAACATTGTCATTCACTTCTTGCCTTCTTTCCCTTTGCCTTTCCTACCCTCTTGATGACTATGCCTTAGGTATATATTGCTGACATCAATCACAAGCACACCCACTCACATTGGGAGAGTACAGAATGAGTAGATTGATAGTCTTGATTAATCCTGGCTTCCCTTCATAATACTTTTCTTTTTGATCATGCATTTTCTTTTTAAATTATTATTATTGTTATTTTTTGAGACAGAGTCTCACTCTTTTGCCCAGGCTGGAGTGCAGTGGTGCGATCTTGGCTCACTGCAACCTCCGCCTCCTGGGTTCAAGTGATTCACCTGCCTCAGCCTCCCGAGTAGCTGAGATTACAGGCACCTGCCACCACGCCTGGCTAATTTTTTGTATTTTTAGTAGAGACGGGGTTTCACCATATTGACCAGGCTGGTCTTGCAACTCCTGACCTCATGATCCACCTGCCTCGGCCTCCCAAAGTGCTGGGATTACAGGTGTGAACCACCGTGCCCGGGCTTTAATCATTTATTTTTCATTAAAATTTTTCATTACATTTTTTTGTTTCAAACAGAAATCATATTGTTTATAAGAAAGGAAATAGTCCAGATGTGTAAAGAAATGCCTTTTCCAACTCTACCTTCCCCAACAACTAATGTTAACAGTTATCTATCTATCTATCTGTCTGTCTGTCTGTCTGTCTGTCTGTCTATCTATCATCTATCATCTATGTGTCTACAGAGATGCATAGGATATTCACCAACTTGCCATGCTGCTCTCAGAAAGAATTGTATTATACACATTATTCTTCAGCTTTATTTTTTCGCTCAACAACAAGTCACAGTTTGTAGATGTTAATCTAACTTGTTTTTAGTGACTACATATGTTTCATAATATAGATGTTCTGTAATATATCTATTCCTTTTTTAATGGTTTTTAGTTGTTTGCTATTTCTAGCAATGCTGCAGTAAATATCCTTGTGAGTGTATGTCTGTAAATTTTCTATCATTTGCTCCATTAACTGCCAGAACAAAACAGAAATAAGAATTGCTGGGACTTCTTTTTATTGAAGGTGCTACAAGAATTTCTTTATTCAGGACAAAATAAGGCAACCAATAAGGGGATGAGGCATTTCAACTCATTTTTAACAGGGCATGGAATTTTGCTACAATGTAAGCTGAAATGAGACTTTTAAAAAAGTTTCTAATTTTATCTTGTGGTACTGGCACAACATCAAAGAAAAGTAATCAAACGAAAGCTTTCTGTTCAAGGAAAATATAAATAGAGACCTAGAATGAGTTGGATGGCAACTGCATCTTGTTAGAAAAATATCATTTTACTACAAAATAAATGAAACATTTACTGGTCCAATTCCATTGGGGAATGATGTATGTTTCAAGGCACAATTCCTCTTGGTAATCACAAACTCAGAACTCCTTGGATCTTCATGATATAAGAGAGAGTTCAAACATCCAGCTGCCTCCCACAGAAAGCCTGTAATTGGAGTGGAAAGAGTGCAGATAATGCATAGCTCTTACCCTGTGTAAGGAAAGCCCACAAGGCATATAGAATTGTTTGCACTGTATTCAAAATGTTTGTATGACAGAAAGGATTCTTAAAACTAGTTTGGAAACTAACATTTGAATCAGAATGCATGCTCATGAAAAATATTTACATCATGAACATGTCCTATAAAAGTATTACAGGATTACATCAAACTGCTTTTCCCTATACATACACCTCATTACACATAAAAATGGCAATCATAATTTTTCACAAGTTATTCCTTTCATTTTCAGAGATGAAGCTCTTCTTATAGACCCCATTATTTGCTATTCTCTGAGCCTGCAAAGAAAAGCAAGACAAATATAGTTATTCCTTCCCGTCCACCCTATCCCAGCCTACAGTGGGGAGACAAGTGATGACAATGCAGCGTGGTGAATGTTGCAAAGCGGGGAGCTCCAGATGCCTTGAGAGGCTGCATCTTGCCTGGATTTGGGGTTCTTCTGGATCCAGGAAAGGAAGACCTTCGGGAGCCAGGAATGTCTGAACTGAGGGACAAGTCAGATTTGGGTGGAAAGTATTTCTGGTAGAGGATACATTCTCAAAAGTCAGGGAGCAATAAAAAACACAAATTCATTAAGGCATTAAAAATGTTTGAAATGGACAGAACATAGTAAATATAGGGTAATGGGGATGCTGAGGGATCAGGCTATATCCACAAGGGAAAAAAAGCAAACAGCATGGGATTTTTGCTTCTGCAAGATCACACTGGCTGCAATGTGGAGGATAGGATAGGAGTGTGGCAAAAACAGAGCCCTAGAGACCATATAAGAAGGTGTTGCCAATTTTTGAGGTAAGATGATGGTGGCCTGAAATAGTGGAGATGCAGAAAAAGGAATAGAATCATTTTTTTCAAGTTTATGCTGGGAGCTTACTTATTTGGAAGTAGAACATCTGACAGCCCTCTCCTTGGTTTGTGACAATTTCTTTTCTCAAGAAGTAGAGGAAGCAAGGAGGGGTGCTGTTCCTTTGGATTTAATTCTAACCAATATAGAAGAAACAATTGATGCTATGGTGACTGCTCCTGTGGAAAGCTGTAGTGGTTTAGCTAACTAGCCAGCCAAAAAAAGCTAGCCAAGACTCAATATGCATGCTTAGAAACCTATCCAGAAATAGAGAATTTCCTCTATTATTGAATAACTTTGGTTCTAGAAGTGTGTATGTAAGTCTGTTTATTATTCTCATATTTGAAATAACACTATGCAATGTTTGTTGTTGTTGGAGCTCAGAGGTGACACAGTTTTGGTGTGACCTTTGTTTTTGTATAGGGAGATTAATAAATGTCATACAGGGGTACTATCATTTAATAAAAGGTAAACTGGACAAATGGAGTATGCTTAGAACTGGACAACCATGATAATAAAAGAATGCTAAAACATGTCATCAATTAAAATATTTTCGAGTAGGGGCTGTGAGTAAGGCACTGTTCAAGGAGAGGAAGACAGTGGTGAATCAGATAGACTTAATTCTATAGTCACGGAATTATATGGGGATCAGTTAAAGAAAGTGGAGCATGGATAAGAGACAAGCATAAGATTCAATTTTGATGAGCTACAATGCTGTCATGTGGAACAGGGATCCAATAAATTCTGTAAGACTTTATAAAGTAAAATTAGAGCCAATGAGCAGAATCTGGAAGAAGAGAATTCCAACTCTCAAGGAGGAACAACTTTCTAAAAGCTCTGATTGTATAGTTGTGAGATAAACTGAATGAGGAGGTGTGGTAGTAGGTTCTTTGTTTCAAGTAACTGGATGCACGTTTGCAATGCATTATTTCATTTAAACTTTAAACCACTTTATGAGATCATTATGATTATTAATCTCATTTTACATTTGGGGCAGCTGAGGTTTAGTGACTGCACAGTTAGAACATAGCAGAGCTACGACATGACTTAACTGTGCTCTAGTCTCCTGTGAACTCTGCCACCTCCCTTGCTTAATAAAAAGGCTGAATAAATGGTGGTCAAACGATTCCTTCAAGTAAAGAAAGGGAGGGTGAACTACAGAGCTGTAAGGGTCTTCCTAAACTTTACATTGAATTATTCTAGTTATTTCTAGAATATGAGAAATGTAAACTAAAAATATCCTTCAAATAACAAAATTATAGAGATGGTAGCACAGATCAGCTGCTGCCAGGGCTTGGAGGATGGGTGGTAGGTGCATGTGCTTATAAAGGGGATTTTTGTGGTGATGGAATTGTTCTGTATTTTGATTGTGGTTGTCACAAGAATCCACACATGTGATAAAATTGCACAGAACTTAATACACACACATGAGTGCATGTAAAACTGGAGATACCAAATTAAGGTGGATGAATGTCAATGTTTGGTTGTGATATTGTATAATTATGCAAGATGTTGCTATTGAGTGAGATGACATAAGGGTATATATACCTCTATGTATTATTTCTTACAACTATATGTAAAGCTATAATTATCTCAAAATATAAAGTTAAAAATGTAAAGATATATTTGACTCAAGCACACAAGAAGGACTATGTGAGCACTGGCTCTTTTCTTTCTTTTCCAACTTTCCTCCACCCTAGGATCCTCCAATGGGGGAAACCAGGATTTAGTGCATAATGCTGTCCCTGTATATTCCCAGGATCAAATCTGACTAAGGTATTTATCCCAAATTTCTGTGTCCTGGAGACAATAATTCCACTTGGTGCTTTTATTCACATTCTTCCACAACACAGGAAAATGACCTCTGGAAAATGTATGCTGGGGGATCACAAAAGCCCCAGTATTTGCTGATTTTAGTAAGTGGAACTAAGGAGAAAAAATATGCATAATCAAACCATAAAATTAGATTCTTCAACATTTTATAAATCCAGTATTTGTGTGGTAGCTTGACTAATATCTCCAAAGAGAATTGACTCAGACATCCAACTTTTTGAAGAGCATCAGAAGAATGTTACATTTTTTATTTTATTCCTCTAATTATAAAGGTAATGCATCTACCTTATTTTAAGAAAGAAAATATAAAAATTATCTATAGTTCCATGACTCAAATATACATACTGATTTTTTTCATCCTCTTATTTTTCTTAATCAGGACATTTTTGATTATAAACGATAGATACTCATTCACACTGGACATGCTTCAGGTATAACAAAACACAGGACTCAGATGATGTACTTAGGGCTCATTTTCAGGCCCTTCAACTCCGGGCTCTGTTTGCTTGTGTGTAGGTTCCATCCACAGGCAGGTTCTTCCCTCTTGGTTGCAAGAATGGTTGCGCAGGTCCAGGCTTCTTTTTTACATTTAGGCGATGTTACATAGAAAGAAAACTTCTTCCCGACAGCTCTAATAAAGTCCCCAAAATGAAGTAACTAACTTGGCTTGGCTGAGTCCATTTTTAAACCAATCACTAACCAAATAGTTAAATTGTACTTATTTTCCAGGACTGGGTCACACACATGAAATCAGGGCAGGGGATGAGGGTGTGGCATCAGAGAGCTTTTACCAATATAATCCTATTATTAGAATTTGGGAGAATGTATGCCGAGTAGAGAAAAATAAGATGTCCATTTATCTTTTGTGTGTGTATATTTGTATATACAAACACACATGTATATTTTTGTGAATAATGTAAGGATAAAATTGAAACTTATTTCTCCACCCCTCTGGGTTGTAATGATAAACCATAAAGATGTATATGGAAATGTCAGGGATCTAGAATAGCCGAAACAGTCTTGAAAAAGAACAGGTTTGAAGGATTCATACTTCCTGATTTCAAAATGTATTACAAAACTACAGTAAATAAGATTGTATGGTACTGGCATAAAAATAGAGATATAAATCAGTGGAATAAAATGGAAAGTCCAAAAATGAACTCATACATTTGTGGTCAGTTGATTTTCAACAAAGGAGACCAAGACAGCTTAATGGAGGTGGTGGGGGAGTGGGGGAAAGGCTGGGGGTGGAGGGGGAAAATTAGTTTTTTCAAAAAGTAGTGCTGAGACAACTGGATGTCTGCATGTAAAAGGATAAAGCTGGACCCCTCCCTCACATCATATGCAAAATTAACTCAAAATGGATCATAGACCTAAATATAACAGTGAAAACTGTACAGCTTTTAGAAGAAACTATAGGAATAAATCTTCATGACCTTCTATTATGCAAATCTTTCTTAAAACAATACGAAAAGTGCAAGCAACAAATGAAAAAAATAGATAAATTGGACTTTATGGAAATTAAAAACTTTACAGAAATATAAAAATTTATATTAAAATATAAATTATGAAACTTAACATATTTTCTGTTGCATCACTACAAGCATCAATATATTTGGCCAATGAAGGCAACTACTGCAGAAACATAAATTGGAAAACAAAGAACAAGTACCAAATAGAAAAATAACTAAACTCGTTTTCTTTTTTTCTGGTTTTTGAGACGGAATCTCACCCTGTCTCCCAGGCTGGAGTGCGGTGGCGCAATCTCAGCTCACTGCAACCTCTGCCTCCTGAGTTCAAGCAATTCTCCTGCCTCAGCCTCCCCAGTACCTGGGACTACAGATGCGTGCCACCACACCCAGCTAATTTTTTTTTTTTTTAGTAGAAATGGGGTGTCACCGTGTTAGCCAGGATGGTCTCGATTTCCTGACCTCGTGATCCGCCTGCCTCGCGCCCCTAATGCGGGATTACAGGCATGAGCCACCGCGCCCGGCTAAACTTTTTTTCTTGAATTAATGGTGCAGAATTTTCCATTTCTGGTAAAACTCTTTTGAATACATTAAAGGTGAATTTTCTAAAAAAAAACAAAAAAGGGGGTAAAATGAGTTTCAGACAATGTGAAATGGTGCTAAAGATTTTATTTAACGCTTTATTAATAAAGGAACCAATAAAATGATGTAATCTGTTCAAAGTAGAATCCAAAGGGCAGATATACCTAGATATCAGGAGTATTAGAATGCATTTACCAATTTTCACTCACACAACTGGCTTTGGGGAGAGGCAGGAATGAAAAAGGAGGATTATCCCGCCACTGGATGGAATTCATGTATATACACAAGAATTATTTTCGTTGCTATCAGTTAGTTACAATGTACAGATCTATAAAATAGCTCAAAATTAATAAAAAGCTAGCATCAGATAACCTGGAAGGGTATATGCTAAACAATGCATAGTTTTGCATTGAAGATACACAGTATTCTTTTCTGACTATTCCATATTTCCTTACGAATATTTTAGCAATCACTATATCATCAGGTTTCTCTGTTTTCCAGTCTTTTGTCCTAACTCCATTGTAGTAAGGATATCACTTTAAATTTTTTTAAATGCAAATAAATCTAAGACCACTATTGTCAAGTTAATATCCACTTGGTACTTGTATGATGAATTATTATAGTTGTGAAGGTAATATAGTTTCTTATATGCTGAGACTATGGACCAGAGTTGGCTGTTAGTGCTGAGTACATAAGACATTAACAAAAAAGGATAATGAAAATGACCATAAATAGGAAAACGCTACCATGCCGCTTAATATTTTCCGAACTTTGAGTCATGATTTACTTGTGGGTCATGAAATCAAAGAGTGATAACAAAATTAAGAACAGAAAATATGAAAGTGTAGTATATATGGTGAAGTTAAGAATTGGTTCATAAAACCTTGGTTGCAGGATGTGCTCTGGGTCACAATGTGAAATCTACTTCTGCTATAGGTCAGAGTCAGTGGAAAGTCACTATTGTAGCCGGTACCTAACATGTTAAAGAGAAAGTCTATATAGTCTTACTCAGTATGAGTCACCACTGGACAATATTCAATATTCACCACCTCCTCAATATTCAAATCCTGGATAGCCTGAGAAAGTCAATGACATGCATTGTGCTGAGATCATGTGGTTCAGGTTAGAACAGTTTTTCTGGGCTTTGACTGAATCTCACAGATCTAAATGTGTTTTTATTGCCATGTTTGCTAAATGTCCTTGGTAAAGAGTGGAGACTCCAAGGAACACTGGTCAAGGTATGTCACCTTTTCACTAAAATAAACACAACTTTATTTCTCAACTAGGAATAGTGTCAACATAACTGAAAAATTCAAATAAATTTTGAATTGCTTGAACTGCCTTTATTATATATTTTATAGATTATCTAACATCAAATTATGCTATGATCACTTTTATTCAGTAACTTACTGATTTTGTATGTTTTTATACAGAAATGGATTATCATTCTAGTAGAGCCTGGAGAGTTCAAACTGTCTGAAAGTTCTACCTAATCTTTTCTACCTAATCAATGCATAAGACACTGGTAACTTCTTAGGCACTCTCTCATAATCTCTGCAATTTCCCTTCTGTATTCTGAAAGTAAACATCTATTTTTTCAATCTGTTGTAAGCTGCCATATATACAACAAGCTTATTACATCTTACAACCAGACTTCCACTTGTAAATTGCCTCCTCCTCCTCATATAGAAATTCTGGAGCTGCCACTCATATTTCTTCAGAATCCCAGTGACTCACTGTAGAATCAGCTCTGCCTTTTCTCAATTTCTGGCATCCTTCAAATATCTTTCAGATGAGAAATGGGGTTGAAATTGGACAACATTTCTTTCTACCATCCCTTGAGGACAAGATTTCAAAATCTTTACCCCCAGGCTTTCAAAGGCCAGGCCTGTAATGCCAAATACATGTGAGATGTTCTCCATTATGAAGTCCCTTGAATTCTAAATTTAAATCTCAAAAAAATCTAAATCTGAACTTTTTTTTTCCTGTCTCCCAGAACAGCTGCTTTCTCCTACTGACTTTCTGTGTTTATGAAGATCCCTTGTTTTCCCAGACTTCAAGACTCAAAACTTCAAGATCATATTGGACTCCTTTTTTGGTTCTCACCTTCTCCATTTAATCCATCATGAAAGTTTACATCACTCAACCAATTCGAAATCTGTCTGGCTGGGCTCTAAACCTACTTCACAGTGTTCATTCTGGCAAGAAGGTGTCATGAGAGTGTCTCTTGATTGACTCAATTGATGAGACCAGAAATAAATACAACATGACATCATGGTAGGAACAGTTTTCTATCTCTAGCTTAAAATAAATCTAAAACATAATAGGAACTTATTAGGAAGAACAATGGCTTTGTAATTTTCTGTCATTTAAAAAATAAAGAAAATTCTCCTTTCACAGGATTATTAAATGCTCATTCCAAAGTTTAAAAAATATTACTTGTATATGACTATATTTTATTTCACTTTATAGTAAGTTCCTTCTATAGTCCTGAATATATGGGTTGCTAGTTAAAATTAAAGCAGCCTGTAATCCTACTACTTAGGGAGGCTGAGGTGAGAAAATTGCTTGAGCTCAGGTTCAACACCGGCCTGGGCAACACGGCGAAACCCTGTCTCTACACGAATTACAAAAATTAGCTGGGTGTGGTGGTGTGTGCCTGTGGATCCAGCTACTCAGGAGGCTGAGGTGGAAGAATTGCTTGAGCCCAGGAGGTTGAGCCTCAATGAGCTATGATCACGCCACTGCACTCCAGCCTGAGTGACAGAGTGAGACCCTATCTCAGTAAGTAAATAAATATGTAAATAAAACTAAAGCAGAGACCATGATTTCCTTTCTATTGTTTTCTAATTCTTCTTTAAATGAGTCACTTTGCACTTTTCTTTTCTACAACTGGAAAATCAACAAATACATTTTAAGCTACTGAGGGCCAATAGGTTTCAATTTCCTTATTGGCTAAGATTGACGGTTACTACTTGGAGTGCTGTGTCAGGAAGAATTGTGAGTCACAACCAGGTCCTGCCAGAAGGAATACTGTGCTCAATTAGTGAGGTCCTCTGTGGGCTTGAGAAGGGAACATGATGGCTCGCATGTCACATGAAGCAAGAATCAAGGCCAATCTGAAAGTAGAACAGAAGAGTTTGACACTTAGATGGCATACTTGAATGCTATGTAATTAAGGCTTTTGTCACAAAAGTGGCTATTTTGCCATCCTGTCACAATACTGAAATTCTAGGATTAGCAACTTTTAAAGACTTTTTGAAACCTTTCACTAGTAAAAAAGTTTTTGAAAACTTTCACTATTAAAATACTACCTTTATTGTTCTTATTCTGGGAAAGTGAATGGGTTTAAGTCATTATCAGCAAACAGTTAAGGAGGAAGTAGTCTATGAGATTGATTTTCAACCTTGAGTGTGGATGAAAGAAATGATCTTTGTAATGAAATATGGGGTGCATTTATTAGAAGGAGAAAGTGAGAACCAGGAGGATGAAACTGTGAGTAGAAAGAGAACTGAAATTGGAATTGGATGGCAACAACGATGTCTTTGTCTCCTTAAGAAATAGCTTCCCATCTCCTCTTTGAAAAAAGCTTTAAAAAAAAGTAAAAGAAAAACTAATGAAACTAAACAAAAAATAAAAAGAAAAATAAATCAAACCTTGGTGAGGTTCATCCTTAATATTCTCTAAAAAGGCTCCAAATTTTCCTCGTTCTTTATCCCTTACTAGGTCAGCAGCAGCATATCAAAGAAGCACAAACAACTTGCTGAATTCGATTCTAAGTGGGCATAGCTTTGTGCCTGCTAAAAGGAAATAAGGATTTAGGCCCTTTAGATATAATGGCGACAGCAACAACAGCAATAAATACAATGGCCACCACTCCTGAGTGTACCATGTCTTGGTTTTGCTCTGAAATGCATGTACATGCTGGATCTCCTTTAATTCTCATCCAATCCATGATGCATCACTCTAATTATCTCTGATTTACAGCTGGGCTTCAGTAGTCTGCTTAAAGTCATGCAATGAGCAAATGACAGAGCCAGAATTTAAACCCAAGTCTTTCTTAGGCCAAACCTTATTTCTACCTTTCTCCCTTGCCTGTGTTCTCTTTCAGTTTCTTACTGAGACCTAGGTAACTATCCATGTCAGCTCTAGGGCTCAGACAAGATGAGTCACACTTGCAGGAAATATGAGAGAGAAAAAGCTACAACTCTATAGCATGAAAAGTGATTTTCATATTGTTTATACTTAAATGAGACGCTCTGCACTAAAATTCTCTCGTTTCCACACTTTGTACGGATATATAAATTCTCCCAAAATAGGATCCAGGTGCCATTTATATAGCAACATTAACCCTGAATCTCTCAGTGGGAAAAATCCTGTAAACTGATGATAATACTCATGTTGGCACAGGATAATATTAGAAAACCAAAGAAAACATTTTCTGGTTTGTGTACCTTGAATAAACAGATGTTTAAAATTCTACTTTCCCTACATTTACCAAGCATATAAATGAGAACTAATTAGACTGAAATTCCATGGACCGTGTTCCAACGCCCTAGTTTAGTCATCCAGTATAAACACTGTAAATGAATAAAATGCAGTATATTTAACAATTTAGAGTCACGGTTCCTTAAATTCAACTGATACAGTATTACAGTGCACTGAGTAACAAAAAGTGACTGAAGTTTTGTTATTTTATTTGGAAAAACAATTACCACAGAAAAGTACATAGTATGAAAATATTCATGTGTCCTCATCCCAGAATTAATTAACATTTTGCCATATATGCTTCTAAAATTGTGTTTAATAAAGACAAAATAAAACATTACAAAGAAAGCTGCAGTATTTTTGTATCCCTTCCAGATGGAATATCCCCTTCTCTTTCTCTCCCTCTCCAGAGTCAGCATCTCTTTGGAACTTGTTGAATATCCTCCAATTCATGATTTCATATTTTACTAGTTAGGCAGACACAAAATGTTATAGCATTATTTGTGACTCGAAATTTTATAAAAATGGTCTATTTTATATTTTGCATTCTGTTATTTGCATTGTTTTTTTTTTTTTTTTTTTTTTTGAGCAAAAAGGCTGTTTATTTCACCTGGGTGCAGGCTGGCTGAGTCTGAAAAGACAGTCAGCGAAGGGAGATGGGGTGGGGCTGTTTTATAGGATTTGGGTAGGTAAAGGAAAATTACTGTCAAAGGGGGGGTTGTTCTCTGGCGGGCAGGTGTAGGGGTCACAAGGTGCTCAGTAGGGGAGCTTTTGAGCCAGGATGAGACAGGAGAAGGAATTTCACAAGATAATGTCATCAGTTAAGGCAGGAACAGGCCATTTTCACTTCTTTTGTGGTGGAATGTCATCAGTTAAGGCAGGAACTGGCCATCTGGATGTGTACGTGCAGGTCACAGGGGATATGATGGCTTAGCTTGGGCTCAGAGGCCTGACATTCCTGTCTTCTTAAATTAATAAGAAAAATAAAATGAAATAGTGGTAAAGTGTTAGGATGGCGAAAATTTTTGGGGGTGGTAGGGAGAGATAATGGGCGATGTTTCTCAGGGCTGCTTCGAGCGGGATTAAGGGCGGCGTGGGAACCTAGAGTGGGAGAGATTAAGCTGAAGGAAGATTTTGTGGTAAGGGGTGATATTGTGGGGTTGTTAGAAGAAACATTTGTTCTGTAGAATTATTGGTGATGGCCTGGATATGGTTTTGTATGAATTGATAGCACCAGGAGATATCAGCTGTGATGGTTTGGAGAAACAGTGTAAACTGGCAGTGTAAACAAGAGCAGGGCATTTATGAGTACTTGAGAACGGTGAATAGGAGTATGACTAGACAGAAGACAGTAGGGATGACAAGTTTTTTGGGGTGAGTCTAAGTTGGTCTGGTGTCTGGGATGAGACTGGGGCTTAATAAAAAGGAGCATCTATACAGGAGCTCAAATGGGCTGTACCTTGTAGCATCCCGAGGACAGGCCTGAATTCTGAGAAGGGAAAGTGGTAAAAGTATTGTCCAGTCCTTTTTAATTTGGTGGCTGAGCTTGGTGAGGTGTGTTTTTAAAAGACTTTTAGTCCATTCTACTTTTCCTGAAGACTGAGGACTGTAAGGGATATAAAGGTTTCGCTAAATACTAACAGCCTGAAAAACTGCTTGGCTGATTTGACTAATAAAGGATGGTCCGTTTTCAGACTGTATAGAGGTGGGAAGGCGAAACTGAGGAATTATGACTGACAGAAGGGAAGAAATGACTGCGGCGGCCTTTTTAGACCCTGTAGGAAAGGCCTCCGAAGACAGCTTTAAAGATTGCCCCCATGCTAGCTCTCCCTGACTGATCCCAACCCTTTTCATTACACACAGCCGAAGTGCAGGGCTGTGCAGTCAGAATTCTTACACAAGAACCGGGACCGCTATTTGCATTTTTTAACTAAATGTGGTATCTGTCCAACTTAATACATATATGTATACCTATTTATGTTAACTGCTATGTAGTATTCCAGTTTATAACTACATCAGAGTTTATCCAACCATTTATCAAGGACATTTAGTGCTGTCCAGCACTCCCCATTTTTGTTCCTATTACAAAAGACTTCTTGTGTACATGTACACGTGTGGTTTCTAGGCTATATATCTAGCAGTGAAATTTCTGGGTTGGAGGTGTTTGCATTTTGAACTTTACTAGATAATTGCCAAATTGCTCTCCAAAGTGATTGTAGCATTTTATACTCCCACCGGCAGTGTACTAGAGTTCCCATTTCCAATAGACTTAAAAACACTTCAAATTGTCTGACTTTTGAATTTAGGAGCTCTGATTTTGATTTCTTATTTTGCCAGCTCTTAGATTGCATACATGGTATGCCATAGAAGTGCTTGGCATGCATTTTTATTATCATTAATATAGAGCCCACATAAACAGCACTAATACCTTAAAATCACATTTGAAGCAGATATGTATTGGATGTATTTGGTTACAAGACAATATAATAGAACAAAACCAGGATTTTTTTTTTTTGGGTAGAGATTTATTGAATTAAGCAACCACTAGGCAATACACACAGACTGGGAAAAGTATAAGGTTTTATATTAGTTTCCTTTGCTTGCATATCAATCACTTGTTTATTTTATTTTAATTAATTTTTTTTTTGAGGTGGAGTCTTGCTCTGTCACCAGGCTGGAGTGCAGTGGCGTGATCTCGGCTCACTGCAACCTCTGCCTCCCGGGTTCAAACGATTCTCCTGCCTCAGCCTCCCGAGTAGCTGGGACTACAGGTGAGCACCACTACGCCCAGCTTATTTTTGTATTTTTAGTAGAGATGGGGTTTCACCATGTTGTCCAGGATGGTCTCAATCTCTTGACCTCGTGATCCGCCCACTTCAGCCTCCCAAAGTGCTGGGATTACAGGTGTGAGCCACCTCGTCTGGCCCCACTTGTTTTTTATCAGTGTTTGGCACCACACTGACATTGACTGTTTCTCTTTTATTTGTGCTTAGAAAATCTTTACTTGGTACAGAGGCACAGCAATTGTTTCATCTAATAACCCCTGAGGGATTGTATTAATGTTATAGAATTAATAGTTACTATACATAGTCTTGCAAAACTTGTTTATATAAAGCTAAAATGTCAAGCCCAGAGAAAGAAAAAGAGGGTGAAAGGATGAAATAGCAAAAAAAGATGTTATAAAATAGGCTTCCCCTCTTTAAACTTAGCATTTAAAATATTTTCCATAAAATATTTTCCATTACTTCTGGTTGTGATGATGAAATACATGATAGCATCTCAGCTGTTAACAGCTGAGTGGCTGATCCATAAAAATATACTTCTGTGGTTTGATATTGATTGTACTTTTCCTTCTCCTTTAGACTTATGAATGGGTCTGCAAGTTCATAAAAAGAGAAAGAAACAATGGCATAGCATTTACAGTTGTTACTCAAAAGACAAATGTTACACTTAGAAGCTTAAGAAAGGAAGAAGAAATACCATGATTGTTTGCTTCCTTACTTTTTCCATTTTGTGGATGTGAGAATGATGGTAGACCAAAAAAACCCAAGAGTTCATGCACAACAGAATTTTAGAGATTCAGGGGCCATTGGAGAGCATCCAACTGAAGGCCTTCATTTTATAGTTGGAAAAATTGAGGCATTAAAATAACTTGTCCAGGCAGGCTGGGCATGGTGGGTCATGCCCATAACCCCAGCATTTTGGGAGGCTGAAGCAGGTGGATCACCTGAGGTCAGGAGTTTGAGACCAGCCTGGTCAACATGGCAAAACCCTGTTTCTACTAAAAATACAAAAGTTAGTCAGGTGTGGTGGTATGTGCCTGTAGTCCCAGCTACTTGGGAGGCTGAGGCAGGAGAATTGCTTGAACCTGGGAGGTGGAGGCTGCAGTCAGCCGAGGTCACACCACTGCAGAGGCTGCAGTGAGCCAAGATAGAGCTACTGCACTCCAGTCTTGGCAAGACAGTGTGAGACTCTGTCTCAAAAAAAAAAAAAACAAACAAAAAAAAACGAACAAACAAACAAACAAAAATCTTGTCCAGGGCACACTTTCCTCTTCATTACTTTGGCTATTCTTGTTTTCTCCATGGAAGGCAGAAATCACATCTCTTTTCATGATGAAATATCTTAGCTTGGTTGGCTTCAATTAGCTGATCTTTGGAACAACACACTCAAACCCACCACATCAATGTGTCATTACTTTTTTCTCCAAAATAGCATTAATGGTGGAGGAAACTAAGCATGACACCTGGGAGATGTTTTCAATTTTTTCTTGAAAATTCATGTGAATTTTGTAATTTTACTCTGATATTTGGTGTTTGTAATCATGATACTGTTCTTATTTTAATTTAAAAACACCAAATCTGTGAGTAAAATTGGTACTCCAGGAAGATGTATTATGTCTATCCTGTTCTTATATTTAACAAATATTTAATGAGAACTTTTTTTTTCTGCTGAGAACATAGCAGAGGTCACTGCTCCTCTTGGCATTGACAGTATAACCACACAACACATATAACACATAATTACAAATAATTATACAGAGAAGTGAAAGGTGTTACGGTGTGTCCAGAAGGGAGAACTAAACCGGCTCAAAGGATTAGGAAAAGTGATGTTTAAACAAAAAATTGAGTAGGAGGTATGTTTGACTACTGCCTGGCTTACATTTATTAAAGAAAGAGAACCGGCTGGGCGTGGTGGCTCATGCCTGTAATCCCAGCAGTTCGTGAGGCCAAGGTGGGCGGATCACGAGGTCAGGAGTTCAAGACCAGTCTGGCAAACATAGTGAAACCCATCTCCTCTAAAAATACAAAAAATTAGCCGGGCGTGGTAGCGCGTGCCTGTAATCCCAGCTACTCGGGAGGCTGAGGCAGGAGAATCCGGTGAACCCGGGAGGCGGAGCTTGCAGTGAGCCGAGATGGTGCCACTGCACTCCAGCCTGGGCGACAGAGTGAGACTCCGTCCCCAAAAAAAATAAAATAAAAAAAGAACCATAAAATAATTTTCCACCTTGGTCTTTGCCAAAAGATGAGTTATGATGCTTTTGCAATGCATTGGACTTTTCCTTTTATTTTTTGTGCATATAATTTGAAAACAAATCAAAAACATATTGTTTTAGTTATTTGTTGTTCTATATTTTTGGTATTTTTTCCTCCTCATTAGCATATTGGTTGCTTATGTGTGAGCTTCTCAATCCTGGTATTTGCAAATGTTGAGGGTAATACTGTATTCTAAGAAAGGCACAGAAATAACCTGGAAGAAAGAATGTCAGGAATGCCCTTGAAAAAAAGAACTTAATTTCCTAAGCAACAAACAAACTCTTGAAATAGTGACCTCTGGTTCTAATTCCTTAAGGCTCTTTAAAATCTATACTTTGCCCACCTTTTTCCTTCTCTGCAAAATAGGAATGGCACAATGGAGTTGACTAACAATTAATTTTCTTAGTTACAAATTTTGCTGGGATCTTTAGCCCTGTTCTATTTAGTTAAAGAAACCAAGTTGTTGACTAATGGTGAAGATTGTTTGCTAAAGGCCCTAGATATTATCTTAAGAAAATGAGTTAAGAATAATGAATAAACATAGATGACAATTAGTGGATTCTGTGTTAGGTCCTCACATGGAACCAGATGGTCTAGTGATGCATGTAAATAGATAATTTATTTCATTTGTAGATCTGAAAGTTAAATAAAGAATTAGATGTTTGTTATTAAAGTGCATTTGCCAATGTGCTCTAATTTAATACATTGCTAAAATAAATGCAGGGTGAAGTTAAGGGGACTAATTATTTTTGGTCAGCTGGGGATAAAGTGAAAAGATTCTTCAGGATTTGCAGCTTGCAATCTAACTATTACAAACTGAATGTTTGTGTTCTCCTCAAATTCGCATGTTGAGGCTCTAACCCCCATTGTAATGGCATTTGGAGGTAGGGCCTTTGGGAGGTAATTAGATTTTGATGAAGTCAAGTGCATAGGACCCCCATACTAGGATTAGTGTCCTTATAAGAAGAGGAAGAGCTGGGTGCAGTGGCTCATGCCTGTAATCCCAGCACTTTGGGAGGCTGAGGTGGGAGGATCGCTTGAGGTTAGGAGTTCAAAACCAGCTTGGTCAACGTAGTGGGACCCCATCTCTTAAAAAAAAAACTAAAAATTAGCTGAGTGTTGTGGTATGTATCTGTAGTCCCAACTACTTGGAAGACTAAGGAAAGAGGATCACTTGAGCACAGGAATTTGAGGCTACCTTGATTGCACCACATGAAAGGGGACTTTCTTTTCTACCCTAGGTACTAGCACTCCAACTTGGGTGACAAAGCAAGACTCCATCACAAAAAATAAATAAATAAATAAATAAATAAATAAATAAATAAAGGAGAAGAGGAGGAAGAGACCAGAGCTCTCTGTATTTCTACCTGTTCTGCCATGTAGGAACACAGCAACAAGGTGGTTGTCTCTAAGCCAGGAAGAGGGCCTTCATCAGGAACTGAATCTCCTGGCACATTGATCTTGGACTTCCCAACTTCCAGAATTGTGAGAAGCAATGTCCATTGTTTAAGCCACCCAGTATGTGGTATTTTGTTAGAGCAGTCTAAGTTGACTAAGATAGTGCCTATTTATTTTTTCTTTTCTTTAGAAAGTGAAAATAATAGCTATAAGTGTTCAATATATTGGTCCACAGAATAATTAGCTTTCTGAAAATTTGTGCATATGCAATTAGGAAAAATAGCATGACATTGTTTTTGACAGGATTACTCCATGCTTTATTAAAAGTTATGAATCAATTTACCATTGAAAATGACAGCAGGGAGCAGAACAAGATGGCAGAATATAAGTGTACACTTTCCACCTTCCCAGCTAGAAGATCAAATTTTAACAACTATCTGCACACAGAAAAATATCATCACAAGAACAAAAAATCAGGTGAGCAATTACGGTATGTGTTTTTAACTTCTTATAGTGGAAAGAGACATTGATAGGCGGCAGGGGAGACAGTCTTGAATCATTGATGCCACCCCTCCCCCATTCCCCAGCAGTGGTGTTGCAGCACAGTGAGAGAATCTGTGCACTTTGGAAAGGGAGAGCACAGAGACTGGAGGACTTTACATTGATCTCAGTGCTGCCTTGTGACAGCGGAGAATAAAGCTGTGCTGGTCTGAGCCAGCACTCGTGCACAGAGGGAGCACTTGGATCAGCTCTAGCCAGAGGAATCACCTATCCCAGCAGTCAGAATTTGAGTTTCTTGGCAAGCCTTACCATCATAAGCTGAAGTGTTCTGGGGTCCTAAATAAATTCAAAAGGTAGCCTAGGACATGAAGACTGCAGTTCCTACGCAACTCCTAGCGCTAGGCTGGGCTTAGAGCCAGTGAATTAGGGCAGCACATGACCTAAGGAGACAGCAGCTGGCACAGCTAAGGAGCACTTGTGCCATCCCTTCTTCAATCCCAGGCAGTGCAGTTAATAGTCACAAAAAGTGACTCCTTCCTTTTGCTTCAGGAGAGGAGAGCAAAGAGTAAAGAGTACTGTGTCTTGCCTCTTGGATACCAGCTCAGCCACAGTATGATAAATCATTGAGCAGAGTAATGAGGCCCTCATTCCAGGCCCTGTCTCCCAGATTTCAGACACACTCTTTGAGAAAAGGGAACCTGCTGCCTTGAAGAGAAGGATCCAGTCCTGGCAGAATTAACTACCTGCTGACTTAAGAGCAGGTCCTTGGTCTCTGAATAACTACCAGCAACACCCAGGAAGTACATGTGGGCCTTGGGCTCTGAGATATGCTGGCTTCAGGGGAGAGCCAGCACATTCTCAGCTGTGGTGGCTATGGTGAAATACTCCTCCTGTTCGAGAAAAGGAGAGGGAAAAGTAAAGGGGACTTTCTTTTGCACCCTAGGTACTAGTTCAGTCACAGTGGAGTAAAGCAACAAGCAGGTTCTTAGGGTCCCCAAGTCCAAGCTTAGGCTCTTAGATTGCATTTGTGGAACTACCCTGGGCTAGAGGGGAGCCCACTACTCTGAAGAGTGAGTTCTAGGCCTGGCAACATTTACCACAAGCTGACAGAAGAGCCCTTGGGCTTTAAGTGAACACTGGTGATGGCCAGGTAGAAGCACCTGTGGACCAGTGATTATGACCGCAACAGGGAGAGGTTCCTCTGCCTGTGTAAAGGGAAAGGAAAGTAGGAAGGATTTTGTATTGTGGTTTGAGTACCAGCTTAGTTGCCGTAGAATAGAACATCAGGTAAATTGCTAAGGTTTTTGACTGCAGTTTCTGGTTCCCAGACAGAATCTCTGGACACACTTGGGGCCTGGAGAAACTTGCTACACTAAAGGGAAAGGCACTGGGAAAAGCCCAGGGCTGTGCTAGATTCAGGTCTGAGTCAATGCCATTCCAGTGGTGGTGGCCACAGAGATGCTTGCATCACCATACCCCAAGTTCCAGGTGGCTCAGCATAGACAGACTCTGTGTGTTTGGGAGAAAGTAAGGAAAAAGAGCAAGAGTGCCTGGTGATAAAGAGAATTCATCTGGAAATTATTCAAGACCACCAAAACAATACCTCCAGAAGTCTGCAAAACCCACAGTATTATTGGGCATAGGGCTTAAGTCCTTTCAAATACCTAGAAAGCCTTCCCAAGAAGAACAGACTGTGAAGTTTACAATAAACACCTAACTCTTCAATGCCCAGACATCAAAGAACATATATAAGTATCAACATCATCCAGGAAAACATGACCTCACCAAATGAACTATGTAAGGGACCAGAGACCAGGCCTGGAGAAATGAAGATATGTGACCTTTCAAATAGAGAATTCAAAATGGTTGTTTTAAGGAAATTCAAAGAAATTCAAGATGATACACAGAAGGAATTTAGAATACTATCAGATAAATTTAACAAAGAGATTGAAATAATTAAAAAGAATCAAGCAGAAATTCTAGGGGTGAAAAATGCAGTTGACATGCTGAAGAATACATCAGAGTCTCTTAATAGCAGAATTGATCAAGCAGAATAAATAATTAGTGAGCTTGAAGATAGGCTATTTGAAAATATACATCCAGAAGAGATAAAAGAAAAAAAGAATAAAAAACAATGAGGCAGCAGCCAGGCACAATGGCTCACACCTGTAATCTCAGCACTTTGGGAGGCTGAGGCAAGTGGATCACTTGAGGTTAGGTATTTAAGACCAGCCTTAGCAACGTGGTGAAACCCTGTCTCTCCTGAAAATACAAAATTTAGCTGGGCGTGGTGGAATGTGCCTGTAGTCTCAGTGACTCAGAAGGCTGAGGCAAGAGAATTGCTTTAACCTGGGAGGTGGAGGTCGCAGTAAGCCAAGATTATGCCACTGCACTCCAGCCTGGGCAACAGAGCAAGGCTCTATCTCATAAAAACAACAAACAAACAACAACAACAACAAACAATGAAGCATCCCTATAGGATCTAAAAAATAGCATCAAAGGGGCAAATCTAAGAGTTACTGGCCTTAGAGAGGAAGTAGAGAGAGAGAGGGTTAGAAAGTTTGTTGAAAGGGATCAGAGCACTTCCCAACAGATAGATTGGGAAGATCTCAATACAGTAATAGCTGGAAACTTCAACACCTCACTTTTTCCCTAATCTAGAGAAACATATCAACATTCAAGTACAAGAAGGTTATAGAACACCAAGCAGCTTTAACCCAAGGAAGACTACTCAAGGCATGTAATAATCGAACACCCAAAGGTCAAGGGTAAAGAATGGATCTTAAAAGCAGCAAGAGAAAAGAAACAAATAATATACAATGGAGCTCCAAAACATCTGGCATCAGACTTTTTAGTGGAAACTTTACAGGCTGAGAGGGATTAATATGACATATCTAAAGTGTGGAAAGAAAGAAAACTTTTACTCTAGAATAGTATATCTGGTGAAAATACTCTTTAAGCATAAAGGAGAAATAAAGACATTCACAGACAAAAGCTGAGGAATTTTGTCAATACTAGACCTGTCCTACAAGAAATGATAAAGGAAGTTCTTAAATCTGGAAGAAAAGGATATTAATGAAAAAGAAGAAATTATCTGAAGATATTAATACAAAACTCACTGGCAATAGTAAGCACACAGAAAACATGGAATAGTGTAACAATGTAGTTGTGGTGTGAAAACTTCTCAAGTAGAAAGACTAAATGATGAACCAATAAAAAATAACTACAACGTTTCAAGACAGAAAGTACAATAAGATATAAATAGCAACAATAAAAAGTTTAAAAGTAGGGATACAAAGTTACAGTGTAGCGTTTTTACTAGTTTTCTTTTTGTTTGTTTGTTTGCTTGCTTATGCAATCATTGTTAAGTCATCATCAGTTTAAAATGATGGGTTGTAAGATAGTATTTGCAAGCCTCATGGTAACCTCAAATAGAAAAACATACAATGGGTACACAAAAAGTAAAAAGAAAGAAATTAAAGCATATCCACCAGAGAAAATCACTTTCACTAAATGGATGACAGGAAGGAAGGAAAGCAGAAAAAGACCACAAAAACCACCAAAAAACAAATAACAAAATGGTAGAAGTAAGTCCCTACTTATAAATAGAAACATTGAATGTAAATGGACTAAACTCTAATTAAAAAAAAAAAAAACAGAATGGCTGAATGGATAAAAAAACAAGACTTGGTGATCTGTTGCCTACAAGAAACACACTTCACCTATAAAGAAACATAGACTGAAAATAAAGGTGTTGAGAATGGTGGCTCACACCCATTATCCCAACACTCTGGGAGGCCGAGGTAGGTGGATTACCTGAGGTCAGGAGTTCGAGACCAGCCTGACCAACATGGTGAAACCCATCTCTACTAAAAATATAAAATTAGCTGGGCATGGTGGCACACTTCTGTAATCCCAGCTACTTGGAAGGCTGAGGCAGGAGAATTGCTCAAACCTGGGAGGCAGAGGTTGCTGTGAGCTGAGATTGCACCATTGCACTCCATCCTGAGCAACAGAGTGAGACTCTGTCTCAAAAGAAGAAAAAAAATGTAAAGAAAATAAAAGAAAGGAATGGAAAAAACTATTCCATGTCAATGGAAACCAAAAAATACGTTTTAAAACAAAAGCTGTAAGAAGAGGCAAAGAAGGTTATTTATTATGTAACGATAAAGAGGTCAATTCATCAACAGGATATAATTATTGTAAATATATATGCACCCAACACTAGAGCACCCAGATGTTTAAAGCAAATGTTATTACAGCTAAAGAAAGAGATAGGTCTCAATATAGTAATAGCTGGAAACTTCAACACCCCACTTTCAGCAACTGACAGATCACCCAGACAAAAAATCAACAAAGAAACATTGGACTTAATCTGTACTATAGACTAAATGGACCTAATAGATATTTACAGAACATTTCATCAAAGGCTACAGAACATACATTCTTCTCTTCAGCATATGGGTCATTCTCAAGGATAGACCATATTTTAGGTCATAAAACAAGACAAGTCTTAAAACATTGAAATGATATCAAGCATTTTTTCTGAACACAGTGGAAGAAAACTAGAAATCAATAACAAGAGGAATTTTGGAAATATATAAACACATGGAAATTAAACAATATGCTTCTGAATGACCAGTGGGTCAATGAAGAAATTAAGAAGAAAACTAAAAAATTTATTGGAGTGAATGATAATGGAAACACAACATATCAAAACCTGTAAGATGCAGAGAAAGCAGTACTAAGAGGGAAATGTATAGCGATTAAGTGCCTAAAACAAAAACAAAGGAAAAACCTCAAATAAATAATCTAACTCATCTTAAAGGATTAGAAAAGCAAGAGCAAGCCAAACCCAAATTTAGTGGAAGAAAAGAAATGATAAATATCAGTGCATAAATCAATGAATTTGAAGTTAAGAAAACAATACAAAAGATCAATAAAACAAAAAGCTGTTTTTTTTGGAAAGATAAACAAAATTGACAAATCTTTAGCCAGACTAACAAAGCAAAGACAACAACCAACAAAGTGCAGAGACAACCCACAGAATGGGACAAAATATTTGCAAACTACCCATCTGACAAGGGATTAAGAACCAGAATATAAAAGAAGCTTATATATATATATATATATATATATATATATGGGAAAAATGTAATAATCTGATTAAAAAATGGGCAGAAGATCTGAATGGATATTTCTCAAAAGAAGACATATGAATGAGGGCATATGAAAATATGCTCAACATCATTAATCATCAGAGAATTGCAAACCAAAACTGCAATGAAATATCATCTCACTCCAGTTAAAATGGACTTTATTCAAAAGATAGGCAATAATAAATGCTGGTGAGGATGTGGAGAAAAGGGAATCCTCATGCACTGTTGGTAATGTGTATTATTAATGGTACAACCACTATGGAGAACAGTCTGGAGATTCCTCAAAACACTAAAATAGAGCTACCATACAATCCAGCAATGCTACTGTTGGGTATATACCTCAAAGAAAGGAAATCAGTATACCATGCACTTCCATGTTTGCTGCAGCCCGGTTCACAATAGCCAAGATTTGAAAGTAACCTAAGTGTCCATCAACAGATGGATGGATAAAGAACATGTGGTACATATACACAATAGAGTACTATTCAGCCATAAAAAGAATGAGATTCTGTCATTTGCACAGCATGGATGGAACTGGAGTTCATTATGTTAAGCTAAATTAGCCAGATACAGAAAGACAAACATCACGTGTTGTCACTTATTTGTGGGATCTAAAAATTAAGACAATTGAAGTCATGGACATAGAGAGTAGAAGGATGGTTACCAGAGGCTGTGATGGGTAGTGTGAAGGTGAAAAGGGGTGGCTGTGGGGGAGTGGGGTGAAATGGGGATGGTTAATGAGTAAAACAAAAAAAAAAAAAATAGAAAGAATGAATAAGACCTAGTATTTGATAGAACAACAGGGGGGAAATAATTTTAAAATGTTCAATAAAAATTGTACATTTTAAAGTAACTAAAAGAATATAATTGGATTGTTTGTAACCCAAAGGATAAATGCTTGAGGGATAAATAGCTAATTTTCCATGATGTGATTATTATGCATTGCAGGCCTGTACCAAAATATCTCATGTACCCCATAAATGTATACACCTGCTATGTATCCACAAATTTTTTTAAAAAAGAAAGTGGCAGGTTTCTGCCCCCACAGAATAATGAACAGTGCTTCCTAATTTGCATACCAACATATTTCAACTCGTTGCACACTTTGTAAATATCTATTGTATTGGTAGAAAGTTATCAAAAGTAGAAAGAATCTCAAACCGTGTTCTTCAATATTTAATCATACAATTCCATGCCAATGTATTTATTATAAATTTTTATTTGATACATAAAACAGAGAAGAGTTAGAATTCCTTATAAATGATTTTTGAAAAAAATATTTCCCTGAAAACTCTAAGGATGGGGGCAAATCCCTTGTATCATAGATAAAAGGAAGGTTTGCATATACACTTTTTAATATAACAAAAATGAAAATTACGATACCTAAGGGATTTCAGGTAATCGCCTTAGCTCTAAATGAATTATTCAGAATGTTTTGATGATAACAATACTAGTAAAGGAATGACATAAAAAGGGGTGGAGAAATTGTAGATTTACCATTTTGTCCCTATGCAAAACAATGCTCCTGATAATACTACATCTAGATACAGCTTCTTCTAAAGGATGTGAAAAGTCATTGTTTATATCTGAGTAATAAAATTAACTGCCTACAAGATTGCCAAAAATTTGAAAGATATTGTTTGCTAAGGTTTTTGTGAATCTATCAGAGTTCTTAGTTGCAGACAAAAGCATCTATTTTAGTTAATTTAAGCAGAAATGAGGCTTGTTAAAAATTATTTGATGATCAGAAAATTAGGATAGTTGGAGAAACAGGCTGTAAGCTAAGTATTCCAGAATACCTCTCACAGCAATGCTTCAGACCTGCCCTGGTGAGGGACTGCTGCCATCTGGGAACATACTGCCTCTGCCACCCCCAGTGCCAGCAGAAACCATGACTTGTGTCTAGCCACTCCCTCATGGAATTCTTTTTTGATTATTTTCAGTGAATGATTCTAACTGGTGCTTTCCTAGCTGGAGAGGTATGTGGGAAATGTAGTTTTTTGAATTCTACTTTGAAAAAGAGGGATTCTAATGTGTAAAATTATTAAAACATAGAAAAGGTGTTCAAAATGTTTGAGGAGCCTCAAAAACTAATGTCCTTCTCAGTAAAGATATTGGGACAGGAGTTCTCTCATAGAATACTGATAGAAGTATCAACTGGAGAGTAATTTTTGAAAGGCAATTTGGTGGTGCCAGTGATAATTTCAGAGGCATAATCACTATGATTAGCTTTTTTCACTTCTACAAATCTACCCTGGAAAAATAATTATATATCTACCAAAAAATATGTAAAGATGCTTGCTTAGGCATTGTTTGTAACACTAAAAATAGTCAACATTAACTTCTTACTATATGCTCTAAGTGTTTTGCATGTTCTACCTACTTACAACATACTCAAACCGGTGAGGTAAGTAAAATTTACCATTACTGTTTTACTGTAGGAAAACAAAGGTCCAGGGGAGTTAAGTAACTAACCTATGGTCACACATCTAGTAAAAAGGAAGATGATCCTAATTGCCCATCAATATGAAAATGTTCAGTACATAGTGTTTTATCCAGACTGGAGAAGCACACCATAGTTTAGAAGAATAAAGTAAAATTATTTACGCTGACATGAATAGATATCCAAGACATTATTTCATGAAAAAGAAAGTATGACCTGAGCTATATAAAAAATAAATTTGTGTGTATGCATATATATATGGACAAGAATATAAAGGAAGAAGGAAGGATGTTCTCCAAACCTCTAACAATCTGTTACCTTTGTGATGGATATGAAGGTGTATTAGTCTGTTCTCATGCTGCTAATAAAGACATACCCAAGACTGCGTAATTATAAAGAAAAAAGAAGTTTAATGGACTCACAGTTCCACATGGCTGGGGAGGCCTCATAATCATGGCAGAAAGCAAAGGAGGAGCAAAGGCACTTCTTACATGGCAGCAGGCAAGAGAGAATGAATGCCAAACAAAATGAGAAACTCCTTATAAAACCATCAGATCTCACGAGCACTCACTCACTCTCACGAGAACAGTATGGGGTAAACTGTCCCCATGATTCAATTATCTCCATCTGACATATGGGGATTATTACAATTCAAGGTGAGATTTGGGTGGGGACACAGAGCCAAACCATATCAGAAGGTAAATATTAATGTTTTGTTCTCTGTTTCTGAATCCAACTTTTTATGAGGAAATGCATTTTCCTATTTCATGTATAACAAACATTTAGGAATCAAATGTTGAAGTTTGAATTCCTGTAAAAAAAAAATTCTTAGTTTGAAGCTTCCAAACTTAAAAATGTCCTTGAAGTCAACTTGAGGAAAAAAATCCAGAAGTTTGGAGATTTAAGCATTCCTGTGTTAAAGTTACTCATCATTCACACCTATGCTGGGTGTGAAAAGTTTCATTTTCATTTTATTTTAGTGTAGTTTTATAATCATATCACATGGCTTGGGAACTTCTCTAATGTTTATGAAGAGAAATACCCAGGTCCTAATATCTTTGCCCCTAAAGGAAGTACCTGCAGTAGAATGTCACTTCTGTTCACAACCACCTCAACTAGTTCCTTTGTGAGTTAACCTTGATAAAAGAGTTCTCCAACACTTCTGCTTTTGGGTTGCATGAAAAAAAGGAGTCATACTGCTGTGTAACATGACCAGGAGTGGTGACCTTGAGAGGGTTGCTGACACACATAGTGTCACCCTGTCCACAGGGACCAGAGTCTTGGTGAAGTAGGACCAAATTCTCACTAATCTCCTTTTATCACCACCTGTGTTCATCACCAAGCCAATGGAGCACATAGGAATTACCTAGGGAGCTTCCTGGGAACCATTCAACAGAGACTGATTCAGTAGGTCAAGGGTCGAAGGTGGAGCCCAGGATTCTGCATTATTAATAGGCTTCTACACTGTTGTAGGTGGAATAATGTCTTCTTCCATCCTCCCCTCCAAAAAAAAAAAGATGGCCACATCCACATCCTAATCCCTGGAATTTGTGAATATATTACTTTACACAGCAAAAGGAACCTCATATATGTGATTAAATTAAGGCTTTTCAAATGCAGAGATTTTACTGGCTTATCTGGATAGGCCTGATGTAATCACAGGGTCATTAATGTGGAAGAGAGAAGCTAATGAATCAGTGTCCGAGTGATGTGATGTGAGAAGACTTGGCTGGTCATTGCCTTCTTTGAAGATGGAAGGGGAGACAAGCCAAGGTATGTGAGGTATGTGAGCAGCCACTAGGTGCTGGAAAGGACAAGAAAATGAGTCTCTCTTAGAGCCTCCAGAAAGGAATACAGGCCTGCCCATATTTTGACTTTAGCCCAATGAGATCCATTTAGGATTTTTGAGCTCTAGAACTGTACAATTATAGTTTTGTGCTGTTTTAAGATGCTAAATGTATGGTAATTCGTTACAACAGCAACAGGAAACTAATATGCATGAATTTCAAATTTTTTTTTATTTTCTAACTTCTGTTTTAGGTTTGGAAGTAAGTGTGCACATTTGTGACATGGGTAAATTGCATATCACTGGGGTTTGGTGTACAAATGATTTCATCACCCAGATAGTGAGCATAGTACCAAAGGTGTTTTCTTCAACCCTCACCCTTCTCTCACCATACACCCTCAAGTAGGGCCCAGTGTCTATTATTTCGATCTTTGTGTTCATATGTACTCAATGTTTAACTCCCCCTTATAAGCAAGAACATATGCAATTTGGTTTTCTCTTCCTGCATTAATTTGCTTAGTCTAATACCCTCCAGCTGCATCCTTGTGGCTGCAAAGGACATTATTTTCATTCGTTTTATGGCTGTGTAGTATTCCTTCGTGTATATGTACCACATTTTCTTTATCCAGTCCACCACTAATGGGCATCTAGATTGATTCCATGTCTTTATTACTGTAAATAGTGCTGTGATAAATATATGTGTGCATGTGACTTCTTGGTAGAACAATTTATATTCCTTTTAATATATACCCAGTAATGGAATGTTGGGTTGAATGGGAATCCTGTTTTAAGATTTTTGAGAAATTTCCAAAGTGCTTTATATGGTGGCTGAATTAATTTACCTTGCCACAACCAGTATAATAAACATTCCCTTTTCTCTGCAACCTCACCAACATATGTTATTTTTTTTTAACATTTCGAGCAAATTTTTATTGCTATGACTATATGAAATCTACTTCTATCCTGAGTGAGGGTGAGCACCTAATTCTCCAGGTGGAGTAAGCTGTGAAAGATGTGACTTTAAAAAAAATTTTTTTTTAAATTTTTACTTCCATGGATTATTGCAGAACAAGTGGTATTTGGTTATATGAGTAAGTTCTTTAGTGGTGATTTATGAGATTTTGGTGCACCCATCACCTGAGCAGTAAACACTACACCAAATTTGTAGTCTTTTTATCCCTGACTCCCTTCCCACCCTTTTCCCCTTGAGTCCCCAAAGTCCATCGTGTCATTCTTATGCCTTTGCATCTTCATAGCTTAGCTCCCACTTATGAGTGAGAACATATGATGTTTGATTTTCCATTCCTGAGTTACTTCACTTAGAATAATAGTCTCCACTCATGGACACAGGAAGGGGAACATCACACACCGGGGACTGTTGTGGGGTGGGGGGAGGGGGGAGGGATACCATTAGGAGATATAACTAATGCTAAATGACGAGTTAATGGGTGCAGCACACCAACATGGCCCATGCATACATATGTAACAAACCTGCACGTTGTGCACATGTACCCTAAAACTTAAAGTATAATAATAACAAAATTAAAAAAAAAAGAATAATAGTCTCCACTCTCATCCAGGTGGCTACAAATGCTATTAATTCATTCCTTTTTATGGCTGAATAGTATTCCATCGCATATATATATACCACCTTTTTTTATCCACTCGTTGATTGATGGGCATTTGTGTTGGTTCCACATTTTTGCAGTTGCAAGTTGTGCTGCTATAAACATGGGTGTGCATGTGCATGTATCTTTTTCATATAATGACATCTTTTCCTCTGGGTAGATACCCAGTAGCAGGATTGCTGGATCAAATGATAGTTCAACCTTTAGTTCTTTAAGGAATCTCCATACTGTTTTCCATAGTGGTTGTACCAGTTTATATTCCCATCAGCAGTGTAGAAGTGTTCCCTGTTCACTGCATCCATACCAACATCTAATATTTTTTGATTCTTTGATTATGGCCATTCTTGCAGGAGTAAGGTGGTATTGCATTGTGGTTTTGATTTGCATGTCCCCAATCATTAGTGATGTTGAGGTTTTTTCATATGTTTTTTAGCCATTTGTATATCTTCTTTTGAGAATTGTCAATTCATGCCTTAGCCCACTTTTGGATGGGATTTTTTTTTCTTGTTGATTTGCTTTTATTGCATTTGCTTTTGGGTTCTTGGTCATGAAATCCTTGCCTAAGCCAATGCCTAGAAGGGTTTTTCTGATGTTATCTTTAAGAATTTTTATAGTTTCAGGTCTTAGATTTAAGTCCTTAATCCATCTTGAGTTGATTTTTGTATAAGGTGAGAGGTGAGGAGCCAGTTTCATTCTCTTACATGTGGCTTGCCAATTATCCCAGAACCATTTGTTGAATAGGGTGTCCTTTCCCCACTTTAGGTTCTTGTTTGCTTTGTCAAAGATCATTTGGCTGTAAGTATTTAGGTTTATTTCTGGTTCTTTGTTATGTTCTATTGGTCTATGTGCCTATTTTTATACCAATACCATTCTGTTTTAGTGACTATGGCCTTATAGTATAGTTTAAAATCAGGTAATGTGATGCCTCCAGATTTATTCCCTTTGCTTAGTCTTGCTTTGGCTATGTGGGCTCTTTTTTGGTTCCATATGAATTTTAAGATTGTTTTTTCTAGTTCTGTGAAGAATGATGGTGGTATTTTCATGGGAATTGCATTGAATTTGTAGATTGCTTTTGGTGGTATGGTGATTTTCACAATATTGATTCTACCCATCCATGGGCATGGGATGTGTTTCCATTTGTTTATGTCATCTATGATTTCTTTCAGTAGTGTTTTGTAGTTTTCCTTGTAGAGGTCTTTCACCTCCTTGTTTATGTATATTCTTAAGTATTTTAGTTTCTTGCAGCTATTGTAAAAGGGGTTGAGTTCTTGGCTTGATTCTCAGCTTGGTAGTTGTTGGTGTATAGGAGAGCCACTGATTTGTGTACATTAATTTTGTATCCAGAAACTTTGCTGAATTCTTTTATCAGTTCTAGGAGTTTTTTGGAGGAGACTTTAGGGTTCTCTAGGTATACAATCATATCATTTGCAAACAGTGACAGTTTGACTTCCTCTTTACCAATTTGGATGCCCTTTATTTCTTTCTCTTGTCTGATTACTCTGGCTAGGACTTCCAGTACTATGTTGAACAGAAGTGGTGAGAGTGGGCGTTCTTGTCTTTTCCAGTTCTCAGTGGAAATGCTTTCAACTTTTCGCTATTCAGTATTAGGTTGGCTGTGGGTTTGTTACAGATGGCTTTTATTACATGGAGCCATATCCCTTGTATGCCAATTTTGCTGAGAGTTTTAATCATAAGAGGATGTTGGATTCTGTCAAATGCTTTTTCTGTGTCTATTGAGATGATCATGTGATTTTTGTTTCTAATTCTGTTTATATGGTATATCACATTTATTGAATTGCGTATGTTAAACCATCTCTGCATCCTTGTTATGAAACCCACTTGATCATGGTGGATTATCTTTCTGATACAACATACGTTGTTTTCTGACTTTTTAGTAATAGCCATTTTGACATGTGTAAGATGGTATCTCATTGTGATTTTGATTTGCATTTCTCTAATGATTAGTGATGTTGAGCATTTTTTCATATGCTTGTTGACCATGTGTATGTCTTCCTTTCAGAAGTGTCTGTTCATGTCATTTACACGTTTTTTATTAGGGGGAAGTGGGAATGGTTAATGGGTACAAAAAATTGAAAGGAATGAATAAGACATACTTTTTGATAACAAAACAGCATTGTTTGTTTTTTGCTTGTTGATTTAAGTTCCTTATAGATTCTGGATATTAGACCTTTGTTGGATACATAGTTGGCAGATATTTTCTCCCATTCTGTAGGTTGGCTGTTTACTCTGTTGACAGTTTCTTTTTAGTTTACTGGGTTCCAGTTGTCAATTTTTATCTTTGTTGCAATTGCTTTTGGAGATGTTATCATAAAATCTTTGCCAAGGTCTATGTCCAGAATGATATGTCCTAGGTTTTCTTGTGGGTATTTATAGTTTTATATCTTACATTTAAGTCTTTGATTCATCTTCAATTGGGTCTTATATATGGTGAAATGAAGGGGTCCAGTTTCAATCTTCTGCATAAGGCTAGCCAGTTATCCCAGCATCATTTATTCAACAGGAGGTCCTTTCCACATTACTTGTATTGTAGACTTTGTCAAAGATTAGATGGTTGTATGCGTGCAGCTTTCCTTTTGGGTTCTCTTACCTGTTCCATTGGTCTACATGTCCGTTTTTCTACCAGTACCTTGCTGTTTTGGTTCCTGTAGCCTTGGAGTATAGTTTGAAATGGGGAAGTGCGATGCTTCTGGCTTTGCTCTTTTTGCTTAGGATTACTTTGGTTATTTAGACTCTTTTTTGGTTCCATATAAATTTTAGAATAGTTTTTTCTAATTCTGTGAAAAATGGTGTTTGTAGTTTGATAGGAATAACATTGAATCTGTAAATTGCTTTGGGCAGTATGAACATTTAAACAATGTTGATTCTTCCTATCCATAAGCATGGAATATTTTTTTCATTTGTTTGTGTTATCTCTGATTGCTTTCAGCAAGGTTTCATAATTCTAACTGTAGAGGTCTTTCACCTTCCTGATTACCTGTATTCCTAGGCATTATATTCTTTTTGTGGCTATTGTGAATGAGATTGTGTTCTTGATTTGGCTCATAGCTTGGACATTATTGGTATACAGAAATGCTGATTTTTGTATATTGATTTTGTATTTTGAGACTTTACTGAAGTTGCTTATCAGTTCTAGGAGCCTTTGGACAGAGACTATCGGGTTTTGTAGGTATAGAGTCATATTGTCTGTGAAGAAAGATAGTTTGATTTCCTCTCTCCCTATTTAGATGTCTTTTATTTCTTTCTCTTGCCTGATTACTCTGGCTAGGACTTCCAATACTAAGTTGAATAGGAGTGGTGACAGTGGGCATCCTTGTCTTTTTCTGATTCTCAAGGGGGATACTTCCAACTTTTGCCTGTTCAGTATGATGTTTGCTGTGGGTTTGTCATAGATGGCTCTTATTATTTTAAATAAGTTCCTTTGAAGGGTTTTATAGCATGAATGAATATTTAATTTTATCAAAAGCCTTTTGTGTGTCTATTGAGAAGATCATGAAGTTTTTGTTTTTAATTCTACTTATGTGATGATAAATCACATTTATTGATTTGTGTATGTTTAATCAATCTTGCATTCCCAGAATTAATAATACTTGATCATGGCAGATTGATTTTTTGATGTGCTATTGGATTCAAGTTGCTAGTATTTTGTTGATGGTTTTTGCGTCTATGTTCATCAGTGATATTGGCCTAAAGTTTTCTTTTTTCATTATGTGTCTACCAGATTTGGTATCAAAATGATGCTGGTGCCAAAGAATGAGTTAGAGAGGAGTTTTTCCTCCTCATTTTAAAAAGTAATTACAGTAGGATTGGTATCAGTTCTTATTTATATGTCTGGTAGAATTTGGCTGTTCATCTATCTGGTCTATGGCTTTTTCTGATTCACTGGTGGAACTCATTATTGATCATTCAGGTATTCATTTTCTTTTTGTTCAATCTTTGGAGGTTGTATGTTTCCAGGAATTTACTTATTTCTTCTAGGTTTTCTAGTTTACGTGCATAAAGGTGTTCATAATAGTCTCTGAGGGTTTTTTGTATTTCTCTGGGGTCAGTGGTAATGTCAACTTTGTCATTTCTGATTGTGTTTATTTGGATCTTCTTTTTTTTTCTTTATTAATCTAGCTAGTGATCTATAGGTCTCTTTTATTCTTTCAAGAAACCAATTTTGGTTTTCTTAATCTTTTGCATGGATTTTTGCATTTCAATTTCATTCAGTTTAGCTCTGATTTTGCTTATTTCTTTTCTTTTGCTAGCTCCAGCGTTGTTTTGCTCTTCTTTTTCTAGCTCCTCTAGCTGTGATATTAGGTTGTTAATTTGAGACATTTCTAACTTCTTGATGTAGGTGTTTAGTGCTATAAACTATTCTTTTAGCCATGCTTTAGCAGAGTCCTAGAGATTCTGGTATGTTGTATTTTTGTTTTTACTAGTTTCAAAGAATTTTTTGATTTCTGCCTTAATTTTATTTTTTTACTCAAAAGTCATTCAGGAGAAGGTTGTTTAATTTCCATGTAATTATATGGGTTTGAGAGAACTTTTTGGTGTTGATATCTATGTTTATTGTGCTGTGGTCTGAGACTATGCTTGGTATGATTTTGTTTTTTTGGAATTTCTTGAGAATTGCTTTATGGCCAAGCATGTGGTCAATCTTAGAGTATGTGTCATGTGCAGATGAGAAGAATGCATATTCTATTGTTGTTGGGTGGAGTATGCTGTAGATGTCTCCTAGGTCTATTTGATCAAGTGTCAAGTTTAGGTCCCGAATATCTTCATTAGTTTTCTGTCTCAATGATCTATCTAACAATGTCAGTGGAGTGTTGAAGTCTCCAACTATTATTGTGTAGTTAAGTTTCTTCTTAAGTCTCTAAGAACTTGTTTTATGAATCTGGGTGCTCCAGTGTTGGGTGCATATATATTTAGTATAGTTAAGTCTTCTTGTTGAATTGACCCCCTTATCATTATAATGCCCTTCTTTGTCCATTTTGATCATTGTTAGTTTAAAGTGTTTTTTTTTTTGTCTGAAATAAGAATAGCAATCTCTTCTCTTTTTTGTTTTCTGTTTGCTTGATAGATCTTTCTCCATCTCTCTACTTTGAGCCTATGGGTGTCACTGCATATGAGATGAGTCTCTTGAAGACAGCATACAGTTGGGTCTTGCTTCTTTATCCAACTTGTCACTCAGTGTCTTTAAGTGGAGCATTTAGCCCATTAACATTCAAAATTAATATTTATATTTCAGGATTTGACCCTGTCGTTGTGTTGTTAGCTGGTTGTTACGTCTACTTGACTATATAGTTGCATTATAGTGTCAGTGGACTATGTACTTAAGGGTATTTTTGTGGTGGCAGATACTAGTCTTTTATGTCCATGTTTAGTACTCTGTTAAGGACCTCTAGCTCATGTCTAGTGGTAACAAATTCCCTTAGCATTTGTTTGTCTGAAAAGGATTTTATTTCTCCTCTTATGAAGCTTACTTTGGCTCTATATGAAATTCTCAGTTGGAATTTTTTTCTTTAAGGATGCTGAATATAGGCCCTCAGTCTCCTATGTCTTGCAAGGTTTCTGTTGAAAGGTCCACCATTAGCCTGATGGAATTCCCTTTGTATCTGACCTACCCCTTCTCTCAAGCTGCTTTTAAGATTCTTTCTTTCACAATGACTTTGGAGAATCTGATGACTATATGTCTTGGGGATGGTCATCCTGTATAGCATCTCACTGGGGTTCTCTGAATTTCCTGAATTTTCATGTCAACTTCTCTATGTTGGGAAAATTTTTATGGACAATATCCTCAAATATGTTTTCCAAGTTGCTTGCTCTCTTTGTCTTTCAGAAATGCTAATGAGTCATAAATTTGGTCTCTTTATATTATCTCATATTTCTTGAAGGTTTTGTTCATTTTTTAAAAATTTTTTCCCTTTATTTTTGTGTGCCTGTGTTGATTGGAAGGAGTGATCTTTGAATGCTGAGATTCTTTCCTCAGCTTGGTATATTCTGTTACTAATGCTTCCAATTGCATTCTGAAATTCCTGTAGTGAATTTTTTATTTCCAAAAGTTTAGTTTGATTTTCATAAAATGGCTCTGTCATATTTATACTCTTGGACCATTTTACTGTGTTCTTGGGTTAGGTTTCAACCTTCTTCTGTAGGTCAATGAGCTTCCTTGCCATCCAGATTCCAAATTCTATGTCTGTTATTCCAGTCATTTCATTCTGGTTAAGAACCATTGCTAGGGAGCTAGTGTGTTTACTTGTAGATAAGAAGACACTCTGGCTTTTAATTGCCAGAGTTCTTGCACTGGTTCTCATTTGTGTAGGCTGATGTTCCTTCCTTTAATCTTTGAAGTTCCTGTCTTTTGAATGGGGCTTTTTGCTTTAATATTCTTTGCTGCCTTTGAATGTTTGACTGTGGTATAAGTTGGATTTAGTTGATTGATTTCCTTTATGGTTGCTTTGAGGGGGCTAAGGCTCAGCTCAGCACTCCTGGGCTATGTGCTCTAACCCTGGGTGGCTGGGACCAGGCCCATTGCCTCTGTTCATTCTCAATGCCCTCTTTCTGAAAATCTGTACAGAGTGTGCTGGTTTACTTGATGGTCTGGTCTTTCTCTTGGTGGAAGAAGAAGCTCTTCCTGGCTGCACCTAGTTGGCAAGGTTGGCTCATTATCCACATGAATTTCTGATGCAAAACCTTGGTTCTTTTCTTTCTCTCTACCCCTTATTTTTCTCATTTTTTCCAATATCATAGCTTTAAGTGCCATTTTTGTGCCAAACATATCCAAATTTAAACTCTTACCTAACCTCTCTCTTGAATTCCAGGCTGCCTAATTTACATCTGCATTTGGAGGTTTAATAGACATCACAAGCTTGACCTATTCCAAACCCAAACTACTAATGCTCCCCATCCCTCCCTCCCAAATCTCTCCTGCTCACAGACTTCCCCATCTCAACTGAAGGCATATCAATTCCAGTGTTTCAGGACAAAACCATAGAGTTATCTTTGACACTCTTTTTTTTTCTTACCTCTCTCACATCCTGTATTTAATCCATCACCAAATTGCATTGATAGTATTTCCAAACTATCCTGAGAATTCAACCATTTTTAATTACCCATATCTTACCCTAGCTGAGTCATCATCAATGGGATTCTTGGATTACTGCAATAGCATCCTCACTGGTCTATCTGCTTTCACTTTGCCCTTCATAGTCTATTCTCAACTCAGAAACCAGAGTCATCCTTTAAAACACATCACATCTCTCAATCTTTACTCAAAACCCACCATTAGCTCCTCATTCCTCTTATAAGACTGCAATCCCTAAATAATCTGCCCCCACTTTGCCATTACCTCCCAACCTCATCTCCTCCTACTCCCACATTACTTCTGCCTTGGCCACATTGTTTCTGCCTTAGGACTGTTCCCTCTCCCTTGAATGCTCCTCCTGGAGATATCTGCACCTCTGTCACTTCCTTTGTTTGAACACTACCTTCTCAATAAAGCTTATTCCAATTAACATTGAAAATTGCAGCCCTCACCCCCACACCCTTGGCATTCTTATTCTCCTTTTCTTGCTATTTCTAAAAAAAAATTGTTTTCTTATTTATAACGTCTATCCTTTTTTGTTTATCTCTCTCTACTAGAATGTGAGCTCTATGAGAGCAGGGGTCTTGTCTGTATGGTTCATTGATGTATCTCATGCTCCTATTACAGTGCCTGTGATGAACTAAATAAATAGTTGTGAACTTTGTTGAAATAAAGCCACAGACTACTTTTTGAGAAACAGAATTAAGCATCTCCTGCAAGATGTATTTATCACATCATCATGATGGAGTTAGAATAAAATTCACATTAACTGGTATTATTGAATGTCAGAATTGTGTTCTCTGAACAAATCGTTTCTCTTTAATTTGTGACTTTGGGATCACAAAGTCTCTACTTCTTGTACAAAATTTCCTGCTAAAAGGTCAACTGACTTTTGATGGTTTAATGAAGCATTTTAATGTGTGGCCCACACAGACCTCTCTCAGGAATTGTCACCAGTACATTGTGTTACTTGGACCCCTCAAAACTAAGTTGTGGATATAAGGAAATACTTTGGGCCTTATTGTAAAATACTTTTCTGAACAACTGAAATGTTCTAGAGTCTTACATTGTTTATGCTTCTACCCATGGAAAGGAATCAAGCAGCAAAGTAATTATTGATCACACAGTGTTTCTCGACTTATGCCTAAAGCTGAAGAAAACTGTCCTATTGAGAGAAACTTCTCAGAAAACAGTTTCATGCATCTTTGAAGATCAGTCATAGATGTTCCAAATATGTAATTGCATCTGTATTTTAAATGATTGAATAATCAAATCATTACAATTTTCCAGGTGGCTTTTCTTTTCTATATGGTCCAGCTTGATTTTCTCTAAATAAATTGGCAACATAAAAATAAAACCTACATTTAACTTTGCTCTATAGAGGCACAACTTCTGATTCCTTCCAGGATGTTTTGCAATGTGACAATTACTGGTTGGCAGGAATCCTCTTCAGAAAGGACGATTGTACCTTTGCCACTTGGCATTTGAGCTTTGCAAAATGTCTATTGTGCCACATACTAATCGCGGCCTCTCTTGTCTCAGCATTCTACATATTTCCTTCTTCTTTTTTTTTTTCATCTTTCAAGTCTGAGCTTCAGAGCCAACTTCTGTGACCTTTGTCCTCTTAATCCCATAGTTTCCTTTCCATCCTATGCTGTAATCATCTCAAGCTCTACCATCCTATGTTGCATGTATTCCTTGACTATTTTCTGTGGGGCCACTGCAACCATTTCTGTGCCAAATCCTGTTTCCTTTCTCTGTCCCTGTTTCGAGTGTAGTTATGGCACATAATTCTAAGTAGGCAATTGGCAATGAATTCTTTGATGGATGGATGGAAGGGAGGAGAGCACAATTGCAGGTTGGGCCATCAGCAAATACATTTTTATGCAGCTTGATTCATAGATATTAGATAACAGAGAACTATTCTGTTCCCTGTATAAGTTTATGATGACCAGTGTACTCTTCCTTTCCTGGTCTACCCTTAAATGAGAAATGAGAGAAAAATTACATTTAATGAGATCTTCATTCAAAGAATAAGTCATTTTAAACATAGATTAACTGAAGCTCAAGAAGTTAAAGAGTTTTTCTAGTCATACACAAATATTGAATCACTGACAAAAGTAGAACAGGATAAGTTTTGGCCTAGTACTCTATGCAAGTTATTCTTCCTTATGTAGCATTATTAGAAAAATGTACCCTTAAAAGGAGAATTAGATAGGATTCAGTAACAACCCCCACTCCCATCCCCACATTGGGTGCTAGGCACTGCATGAACATCATCTCATTTCACCCTACCAATCCCCTGTAGAAGACTGATGTTAAGAGAGACAAAGCAATGCACCCTAGGTCACATAGCTACCAAGGTCACATGCTACCAAAATGTGTAGACTTGGAATCCAACTTCAGGTTTTTCTGGCTCCAACCTGGGAGCCTTTCATAATAATGTGTTTCTTCCATTAAATGGAGAAATCACCAAAGTCCTGGCTGTGAAAGAGCATGATTTGCATCACCAGTCACAAAAAAGAACAAAAGTTTCCTATGAGATGCGAAAAACAGAAGAAGTATAATGACAGTTGTACAAAGACCATTGGCTAATTTAGCTAGTAACAACTCCAGCTTATCCATAGATGGACTTTTTGTTCTGGGGAAAAAATTATCTTTCAGCCTTGGGATGGAATTAATCGATTCCCTTTTCCTCTTCACAACTGCATCACACTTTTTGTCAATAGTATGAAAAAGAAAACCATCCAGGAAGAATAGCAATATAACTTTTACTGTTTGAGCCTTTCTCCATGTCTGGCATCTAGTGTCTCGTAGCCAGTACCTCACTCAATCTGCCCATCAACTCCAGGAAGTAAATACCCCATTTTATGGATGAGAAAACTGACAGTAAGTTCATTAGTCTAAGGTTCCACAGATAGCGCAGAGCAGCCCCTGGGTTTCAACCATTTCCACCTGGCCCTGAAGTGCATTCTTTGAACCACTATACTTTATTGCCTCTACCTTGAAGTGGGCAGCTAAACGTAACCACAAAGGAGGGTCACTTATAGATAGCTGGCATATTTAAACCAGTATCTATTAATCTTATGCAATTCCTATTTAGAAAGGGGGTGTAGGTTGTATGGAGTGTACGGCAGACTTTGTTTTGCACACATTTGGCAAGAGGAAAAAGTCTTAGACTTTACATTTATCTCTCCTGCAAATAAGAACTGTTCCTCTAGGGGAAGCCATCTTTTGAGGCAAGTAATATTTTAAAAGAAATCAATCTCCAAAAGGCAATTTATTGATTGAGGAGCTGAGCAAGGAGCAAAGGACCATTTCCACTTGATATCAGGGAAGGGATTATTTCCCACCTCTCTGAGGACTCAATAATTCCTCTGAGATAACCTGTTTTGATTAAATAAACTGATGAATCCAGTCTCTAATCTCAATAGATATCATCCCTTGTTCTCTCTATCCATCCAATTATCCGGTATTTATTTAGCATATACTATGTGTTAGGCTCTGCATTAGGTCCCTAAGAGGAAGGAAAAGAAATGACTAAACTTCCTTGGATTGTGTGCACATGAGGTTTACAGTCAAGTGAGGGAGTCCATTATTTAAGAATCACACTGACAAACACATATTAACAAATTGTGATGCCGACCTCTAAAGCAAAAGACTAGTGTGATATGATATTGTGCAGGAACATAAACAGCCCTGGACTTGGGGTCAAGAAAGGCTTTTCTAGGGAAGTGAAGCTTGAGGTGAGTTGTGAACGTGGTAGAAGGGAAGTTACTCCATGTGGCCAGGATGGCAGGTGCAAAGGCCACATAGCAGGAGGCAGCATGGTGCATCTATGGAACACAAAATAGGAGATGAGAAGGATTCAGGCAACCTAAGCAGTCCTTGCTGCCCTCATTAAAGATTCTGGTCACCTTTCCCAGAGCCCTGCACAGGACTTGAAGATTTAACACAGGAGTCTGGAAGAAATAACATATACATACCTTTGTTCTGGGGCCCTCACGGACTTTATGTCTAAGATGATGGGGTTATGTCCTACCTCTGGGGTTTAGCTTGGGGGTCTGATAGAAGCTGTCTTTCCATTTGATTTAGTTTTCCCTACCTTTTTGGACCTTCAGGGAGCCAAAGACATGACTATATTCTTTTTTCTTTTACCGTATCACCAAAGCACTTGAGAATCCAGAAATAAGTTCAGACAATAATAACAGCAAAAATAGAAACTAATGCTTACTGGGACTTTATTAGATTCTGATCAGCTTCTGTGTGAAGCATTTTGCATGAATTATCTTATTGCATCTACACAATAAACTTGGAACAAAGGAATTATCAAGGCATTGGTGTAGGATTCAGAAAGCTTAAACTGTGGCTAGTGAACACCGACACACACAAATTTACATTGTGGGCATCTGAGAAAAGCCTTTAAAGTGCTTGATCAGTTACTGCAGGGGTACTGAGAAATGGTTGGCTGTCGATGTTAATTATGCATATGGAAAGGGCTTTCTGAAGCCAGTAGGAACATCCACCCACAGAGCTTTCTCTTTTTGATGTCAGGGGCAGGTTCTATCCTACTCAGGGTGAGTGTGGAGCTCGCATATTAGGATGATCATAATGCTCAGCATTTGTACAGAACACGTTGTTTCCAAATGGCTTTGCATTCAATGATGAGGTCAGGGACCATCCTCTCTTGGGCAGTATGATTTGCTGCCTCCTCACCATTAGTCAGGCGTCTTGATTCAAAGATAGAAAACCAGCCCAAATAAGTAAGGGGGAAAAGGGAATTAATTGGCTTATGTAACCAAAAGCTCAGGTGGAGTCAGGCACTAGGCTCAGCCTGTCCCACCTTACCAGCTTACCTTTCTAGTCTCATCCTCCATAACTCTTTTCTTTCTATGTGACAGTTGAATTGAGCCTCCTCCCCGTTTTCATTCTTTTTTTTTTTTTTTTTTTTTTTTTCCGAAACAGAGCCTCCCACTGTCGCCCAGGCTGGAGTGCACCTGACGGTGAAACCCCGTCTCTACTAAAAAAAATACAAAAATTAGCTGGGCGTGGTGGTGGGCGCCTGTAGTCCCAGCTACTTGGGAGGCTGAGGCAGGAGAATGGCACGAACACGGGAGACGCAGTTTGCAGTGAGTCGAGATGGCGCCACTGCACTCCAGTCTTGGGTGACAGAGCGAGACTCCGTCTAAAAAAAAAAAAATCCCTAGCCGGTCACAGTGGCTCACACCTGTAATCCTAGCACTTTGGGAGGTCGAGGTAGGTAGATTGTTTGCGGTCAGAAGTTCGAGACCAGCCTGGCCAACATGATGAAACCTCACCTCTACTAAAAATACAAAAATTAGCCAGGCGCGGTGGCGGGTGCCTGTAGTCCTGGCTACTTGGGAGGCTGAGGCAGCAGAATCGCTTGAACCTGGGAGGTGGAGGTTGCAGTGAGCCAAGATCGCATTGCTGCACTCCAGCCTGGGCAACAGAGTGAGACTCCATCAAAAAAAAAAAAAAAAAAAATCCCCATATCTCAAGAAACTTTTTTCTTATTTTCACTTGGAAATTTTATGCATAGGTGTTGCCTATTTTGCTTGATGTTTTTAAAAATTTATTTCATCGACTTCTTTCAATACATATTAACCTATTAGCACCTTTTCTTTCCCACCCCTGATACCTTCAAAGGCCTGGTTGTTATAGAGGAGGAAGATAAAAGAGAAGAGGAGGAGAAAAGTTTTTGTAGGTTTAGAGAAATTAGAAAGTAGAATGATTTTCAGAGAAACACAGATCATGGTCCCTGGAGTCAGCTAGTCTGGCATAAAATAAGGCTAAAGCCTTTGCTTTCTGTTGTGGGAACTGAATTCTTCTCTGTTTTACATCAGCATACTCCTCTGGGGTTGAAGCACTTCCTGTCAGCCAGCTCCAAATCAGCCATTCCTCTGGCCCAGACTCATTTCTGCTCTGATGGGAGACTTAATGGAACTTTGTGGAAGCTGTTCTAGCAGTATGCTTAATAGACAGCCTTATCAACAAAAAACATTTACGTGCAGTTTGGGTTTAACGTATGTGCTGGATTAAAAATTTTTTTTACTGGTTGATGGGTCATGAAGCCTTCTACTTTTTGCTAAAGCTAAGGCCTATTTGTATAGACATTTCTTAATTGCAGGGCAATTAAGGCAGCTAAGGAATTCACAAACTATGTGACATAATCTGATATCAGAACAAGGATAATAAAATTAATCTTTCACATAATGGCAATATGAAAGGTCTTGCATGATATAGTGAAAAGATAATGCATCAGGAAAAATGCAGCATGTTGATTCCAATCAGTGTTATTTTATACTAGCAACACGATCTTGGGCAAGTAAGTTACTACTCTTTGAATCTCAATATCCTCATCTTCAAAATGGAGGCAATAATTCCTATCTCATGAAGTTCTTGTAAGAATAAGAAAGAGTGCCTTGTTCATTCATTATCCATCCATCAGCAAATTTACCAATTGTCTACTACATAACAGGTATTGTTGTAATCACAAATCCCTACCCTTGAGGGATGGGTAGGGTAGGGATTTTTGTTGGCTCTACACACACACACACACACACACACATTTTGCACGCGTGCAAAAAAAAATTAACAAATCAAGGTCTATTCAGGAAATAGATGGCTCAGTCAAGCAGGGTAATTGATTGAAGAGAGCTTAATTAAGGAACTAATTATAAATGTGCTACAGGATTATAGGAACCCAGAAGGGTGTGGTGAAATACCTTGTGGCTAGCAATAGCAGAGAACTGTTACCACTCTAGACCTCAAGGGTTAGGGGAAGAGAACAATCACCTGAACTAAGTTAGAAAGATCTATAGCTATGGGAAGGCACTGTCCTGTAAGAGTTGTAGCCATGAGAGAAGAAATGACCGCTATCCAAGAGCAGCACAGCAGGAAGGCAGAAGAGGGGTACTCTAACCTCATCAATTTCCCATTTGGAAAGCCATGGAAATAATCCAGAGGAGAGATGATGGCAGCTTGAATCAGGTGACAGATGAAGTGTGAGAAATGACTGGGTTCTAGATATATTTTGAAAACAAAGAAGACAAGACTTTATGATGAATTTGATAAAGATTATGAGAGAAATAGAAGAGTTAGGAATGACTTTGAGGCTTTTGGCATAAGCAGTTAGAAAGATGGGGCTGCCAATTACCAAAATCAAGAAGGCTAAAGAAGGAACAGGTTTGAGGTACATAAAACACTCAATAAATGATCACTGCTCCACCATCATCATTTTGTGATAATAAACAGATGAAGCATGAGTCAAATACCTTCATGCTTCCTTATTGGAAGCTTTTTTCCAGCTTTTAACAATCAGATGATTTAGTTCTATCTCATTTGTCCAGTCTGATAGTTCTTGTTCTTCAAATTTATCATGCTGCCCTAGTTGGGAAACCTATTTTATCCCTTCACATTTTAAGTGTACATTTTTTTTTCTTTACATGGATGCCTTACTTTTGACCTGTAGAGATTCTTCTCAGCTTTCAAAGTCTAACTCAGATACTGTTTAATACATGGAAATTTTTCTAATTATATCATTGCTGTTCAGCCAACAAGGCTACAAGAAAGATTTATAAATTATACATGTTTGTAATATTTCTTATCCAAAGGTGAAGATTCTTGTTTGCTGAGCTAGGACCAGGAATTTTTTTGGAGGGTCAGACACCAAGTAATTGGCAGAACAAAAAAGAAAAGTATGGAATCCAGAGAGGCTAAACTTATTTATGTAATAAAGAGCAGAGATAGATTGAAGCGGGAGTGGAAATGATTGAGAGAGTGTACATGAGAGTGGAATTAATTTTTTGGGAGGAGGAGAGAGGATAGAATGGGGTGGAGAGAGAGAGAGAGAGAGACTGGAACAGCCATCATGCTTGTGAGAGCAATAGAAACTGAGAGGATAGGAAAAGGGAATTCTTAAAAAGTATTGCTGATGTTTAAGAGTGTGTTTCCATGGTTCTTTTTTTTTTCAGCTGAAGATACTGAGTGAAGATTGAAATACTTTCATTTATTTGCAGGATATCTGTCTCGTTAAGTAAAACTCTGTAAGTAGACTAACTATGTGGAGTCCTAATTTTAATATTACCAGGTCATCAGGGTGAGTCTCAGTAAAAAGGTCATTGCAGAAAAAATTTAAATTTAAAAGTGGTGAAAGAGTAGCCACCCAGTGGACATCTTGGGATAGAGCATTCTGGGTGGAGGTAAAGGGCTGTATAAAGACCCTAAGTTGGGAGTATGCCAATGTTTTTGAAAAATATTAAAGAGGAATAGGAGTGAGGTAGTGCCTCAGCATGAGCAAGAATTGGAGAAGTTATAGATGAGTTAGAGATGTAATGGGGTCAGATCATATAGGTCCCTGTAGGTCATTGTACAGATTTTGGCTTTTAATTTGAATGGGAAGTCATCAAGGTTTTGAGTAGAGGGGTGACATAGTCTGATTCATGTTCTCAGAGCATCACTCAGATGAATTGAGAATAGACTATGAAGTGAGAATAAGGCTAAAACCTGAAAGAACAGTTAAGAGACTGTTGTAGAATGTTGTCGTTGTTGTAGAATCAACTGGATGATTGCTCAGACCTTAGTGGTAACAGTGGACTTAATGAAAAGTGGTTGGCTTCTGGACAAATTTTGAAAGTAAATCCGGCAGTTTCGATGACAAACTAGTTTGGGCGTCTGGAAAAAAGAGGAGAATTGAGGACAATTCCAAGGTTTTCGGTCCTAGTAATTGGAAAGATGTAGATACTTTTAACTAAAAGTGGGAGGCTGCTAGTGGAATGGATTTTTGCTATAGATGATGGGGTTGGAGAGAAGGGGGAACATTTGCAGTCTTTTAGGGTCAAAATCCATCTCAGATTTGAGATCCCTTAGTAAACATGTGTAGTAGGCAAGTGGACATATGAATCTGGGGTTTAGGAGAGAGGCCTAGATGGAGATGTAAGTAATTTTGGAGTCATTGACATAATTTTAAGTAATTGATATTTAAAGCCATGAGACTCGATGGGATTACCAAATGTGTGTGTATGGATAAAGAAGAAAGAAAACAGAACTAAAGCTGAACTCTGAAGCATTCCAATGATAAGAGGTCAGGTCAATGTGGAGGAAGCAACATGCCATATATTTGCATTCCTACCGAATACACGGTTGGTACTCAATACTATATGCTGTTTGTTTAGAATTTGGTACAATAAAAATGAGTTCTCCAACAGTCAGATAGAATTGCCAGAGATTTCAAATGACCGCTTTTATCCTATCTGCTTTTTTCTTTTTCCTTCTTTATTTTGAGACAGGGTCTCACTCTGTTGCCCAGGCTAGAGTGCAGTGTGTGATCATAGCTCACTGCAGCCTCAAACTCCTGGGCTCAAGTGATCCTCCCACCTCAGCCTCTTGAGTAGGTAGGACTAAAAGCATGCACCACACCCAGCTAATTTTTAAAATTTTTGGTAAAGCCAGAGTCTCATGTTGCCTAGACTAGTCTCAAACTCCTGGCCTCAGGTGATCCTCCCACCCCAGCCTCCCAAAGTGCTGGGATTATAGGCAGGAGCCACCATGCCCAGCTCTCTCTGCCTCTTTTTTTTAATTGCCTTTCTCCACCCTTTTTGATTCTACTTTAACAAAGAAAATGTTTACTACAAATGCAAGTGAGGTCAGCACTGGTTCCATATTCCTCTTGAGTAATACCTTCTACATTAAAAATATGATTGTTGGGTGGGTGCAATGGCTCATGCCTGTAGTCCTAGCACCTTGGAATGCAGAGGCAGGCGGATCACGAGGTCCAGAATTTGAGACCAACCTGGCCAATATGGTGAAACCCCATCTCTACTAAAAATACAAAAATTAGCCCAGTGTGGTGGCGCTTGCCTATAGTCCCAGCTACTTGGGAGGCTGAGGCACAAGAATTGCTTGAACCTGGAAGGCAGAGGTTGCAGTGAACAGAGATCATGCCACTGCACTCCAGCCTGGGTGACAGAGCAAGACTCCGTCTCCAAAAAAAAAAAAAAAAAAAAAATATATATATATATATATATACACACATATATATATATATTATTTATATATATATACACACATATATATATTATTTATATATATATATACACACACACATATATATATATTATATATATATATGTATATAATATATATATAATTGTTTTCAGTCTACTTCCTATTGTCCCCATTAGTCCTGGTAAAACTTGGGGGAAATTCAAAGTAGTTCCACCTGACAAAAGATTTGTATAACCTACTCTAAATCATTTCAACTGTGTCCTCCATTGGAAGGGAAAAAAAGTAATGCACAAACACCAAAATGATACTTGCAACTATGATTTAATGAGTACTTACCAGGTGCCCAGCACTGGGCTAAGTGCTTTCTTGCTTAATTCTTTCCTTTACCAAATGAGGTAGGCAATATTGGAACAGTAATGGACTTCAGGAATGTACAAGGGAAAATGGCCTATCTAATATAATAAACACTTATGAATGTACTAGGATTGTTATACACCCATGATTTGTGTCTGGTGGGCAGGCATACACAACCAGGGCAGAAAACTCAAGTGGGAAGGTATAAAAACACTCAAGAGAACAGCAGAAGCAAGCTTCACACTTTGCAGAATTTTCTCATGGTGGCAGCGGGAGTTGTGCAATTCTTTGGCAATTTTTATGACCTCATGGGGACACAAAGACCTGAGAAGCCAATATTCTCAACTGGGAGCCTCCTGCCTTGTCTTCTATTTTGTATAATGTGTCCATAATTTATGTTTCCATTTCCATAAAGAAAGTTTATGTCCTTTCAGTGTTCTTGTTGGCATTTTTTCATCAACCATACCATCATCTTGTTGTGACAACCAAGCAATTTCAATCCCCATTCTTCTATGATGGAATAGAGGCTCAAAGTGCATAAAAACTTTGCTGAAGATCACACAGGTACTAAGTAGGGGAGCCAGGTTTGACTCAGGTCTGCATGATTCCAGAGTCCAAGCTCTGAACCTCTGCTTATATTTCCCTTCTAAAAATGGACTGTGAACTTGGTATATGCTTGCAGATCCTGTAGAATTCTTCAGTTTCTGTTAGTCAGTTACCAAATGAACAGAAAAACAACATGGAGCCATTTTCACCTTCAAGACAGAGTGAATTCACAATGTTCTTGTCTGCACAATGTACTAGTCATACCTGTTCCATAAAGATGAACATCACATGGGATCACAGGTAAAGAACCTCTACAGTTATTGTTGGGGAAGCAAGACATAGGAGTTGCTATGTCTGAGAGGTAAGATTTTATAAGTATTTAAATTTAGAAAAGATGTAGGTAGAGAGAAATGGGGGTTTCCTACTTACAGGAGAAAGAACATATGTGGAGGCAGGAAGAATATGTAGTGTAGTTAAAAAAAGCAAATGATCCCCTACTTATAGGTTATCCTCAAAGAAGCAGACACCTGGGTAGCATGATTAACCCCTTCATCAAGTGAGGGCATTGATGCAAATGAAAAAAGTAGAAGAGCAATGGCAAACAGGGCTGAGAGTTGGATTGTGGTCATATCCCACAGGAGCTTGAATGTTAGGCTGAGGGCTGTAGTGTTCCCAGGTGGGTGATGCAACATCATTAAGGGACTAAGTACCTGAATGATATGATCAGTATTGTTCTATAATCATAACATATAGAATGGATCCAGACTGGGAGAGAGGAGGTGACCAGGAAGACCAATGGGAAGGCTGTTACAATAGTTCATATGGAGTTATACAGTGTTGGGATAAAATTTTGCATAGTAGGTAACTGGAAAATGACTACCGAGGGAAGGAAGCACCTTTATGCCCATAAATATAAATGTCCCAAATTGAACACATTCTAGGAAAATTACGTAATATTCTACAACATAGAATATAATGTTATTTAATTTGAAAGTTATAAAATTATAACTTCTTTCCTCTATGCCAGACATAAAGTGGAATCTAGTGCCTTTTCCTCTGCTTCAGAATCATGTTGAACACATCACTGGTCCTCAAAGCTGTCACTATGAAATCTTACCCTAAACAGTTCAGTGTCCCTTTAAGATTTAACTCTCATTATAAATTAGTATCAATATCTTCACGCTGTTTACACTAATTGGAAATTGCCTCCAACATGAATCAATGTTTAGAACGTCCTTTTTAGTGTTTGCACAACAAATGGAAAGTAACGTGTTCCCGGGGAAAATTTTTATTTACAAAGTGCTAAAGTTAAGTTTTATTTATCTAAAATGTAGTAAAAAAAATCACAGGACAGTAAGGCTTATGAACTGAAACAATCTATCATCTAGTTCTGTTTAATGACAAATTGCTTAAGAACATCGAATGTGTTTTCTCTGAAAAAAAAGGAAAGAAGGAATAAAAGAAATATTTATTTGAAAAGGAGAAGAAGAAAAATATGAACATGGACCATTGCTTTAGAATTCTCTTTCAGATTTAATATTTCCCATTATCAGCTTATACAGGCTAATTTCAAACAGCTATCTTCCTGTCTATAGTACCGGGATGGTGCATTTGTAACATAGCAACATGTCTTTAGAAATACACAGGCCTCCTACTATAGGCAGAGACCAAATGTGCCCTTACTGAAGAGCATTTTTCAACAGCTCTGATGAAAATGACTGAAAAGATTGATTACTTTGGAAATAGAAGTCTGGAAGTTTAGGTCATGGTAAATAAATGTTTTCAAGCTTAAGGATTTGTAGTGAGTATATATATATTTAAAAAAGTCCAACATTTATTGAGGGACCATATATAGAAGAAAACTCAAATTTGTTCTGTCTTAAAAGGATTTTTTTCCTAAGCAGAATATTTTATTTTGCATTAACCCTGGCAACCACAGTTATGTTTACTTTATTGACAAATGAGATCAAACCATTGGATATGCACATATTGTTCCCAAATGCGCTTAATTTAGGGTACTCATTTAATGAATATTCAGCTTTCATTCAAGAGACTGAATTCCTTAGAGCAGTTAAGATAAACTCTCATTTCAAGGCTTTTCTTTATCCCTAAGGCACATATGAATACACTCTAATACACTCTAATAATACAGCTCATTCTTCTGAAACTAAACCTCTTGAAACATATATATATAGATAGTTATAAAATTACCTGAGAAGCCTAAGCCAGAAGTCTTAAAGCCGTCTCTAACTCCTTGGCCTTAACATACACTTGGTCACTGAGGCCTATCTATTTTGATTTCTGTAGCAGACAAACAGTAGTGATTTTCTACCCAATAGCTGTTTTTGGCTTTCTTTCTTTCTTCTAAGAAAATTCCATTTTTCTTCAAGTACTTAGTGGCCATGCACTTCAGGAGAGACTGGATGAATCTTGATTAGTCTAAGCCAATCATATTCTTTCCACTCCCCTTGCAAGGGATTGGTCCAGAAATGGGCATGTGATAAAATTCTGGCTTATCAAATGAGGGGACATTTGTTAATAAAAGCATGTGGAATTAAATAGCTTCTTATCTTTGGATCAATGTTGATGAATCTGCATGTGATGACCGTATTAACAGCAGCCACATTGGGACCAGGAGGGAAGTAGGTCCAAGGGAACAAGTTAGACCACAGAGAGAAAAATCAGTAAGATAACTGAGCCACTAATTTAACCAACCTAAGAATTTCTATACCTCATAACGTTTTCTTATTGTTTAAGCAGTTTTAATTGGATCTTCTCTAACTTGCAGTGGAAAGTATCTTAAGAGTTTCTTGACTATCTCCCTTCAGTCTTCTCTTTCTTTTCCCTCATACTGCTTGAGCTCACCTTTCCTCTTTTGGATGTGTGCAATGTCCTCCTGATCTTCCTGCCTCCAAATCTTCTTCCAACTCCTTCTCCCCACTCCCACCAGAAACATTATTCTAACATGTAGCAATCTATGTCTTTTCCCTAAATTCCAAACTTTACATACAGTTCTCTGTGCCAGGGTCCCAGCCTCAAGTCCTATATTCTCCTGCATGCGTGGTGTTAACATGTTTACAAAACTACTCATGGTTTCTCAAATGTACCATGTAGCATACCCATAGCACCTTTATGCCTGTTTTCTTCTCCACTGAAATGGTCTTCCCATCGTGCCTATTAGGCACTCATTTTTCTTGACCTCTGATCATTCTTTCCCTATTAGATTTATTCATTGCTTCTTTCATGCTACCATTTTACACTGTGCATCTAGTATTGTAATTATCGCAATGCATTATGAATTTATGTGTCTCTCTACTTGTCTATGACCTCTTGGAGAAGAGATGTGTAGTTCATGATTGCATCCTTAGCACCTAATATACATCTTGGCCAGATTATCAGCATATGATTTTTGAATGAAGGTAAAAAAAGAAGGGAGGAAGGAAGAAGAGCATTCATGTATGAAGCCTGCCATCAAGTGAAAAAAGTCTTCAGCATCTGAATGCCCTTTATAGGCTGTTGTCTATGATTATGGAATAACAACAGAGTGGTAGCAGCAGTATCAGCGTTGACATTGTGCTTACTGAACATTTTATCAGCACAATGCTAAATGTTTTATACATGAGATTTTTTTCATTTAGGTTTTATAACACAATGAAGAATATTCTATTTTTTAAAATCATCCTCGGATGACAGAAAAAGCCCTGAGGCTTAATGATTCACTTCAAAGTAAGTGAGCTGCAGAGCCAGGATTCAAACTCACGTCTGACTCTGGAACTCTTAACCAAGATGCTCTTTCAGTGATCTGTAAGTATGTTATCCTCTATTTGTTTGAGACACATGTTGTTCATACCAAAGAGTGGCCGGTGGGGACGGCGGGGTGGGTATCTAAGCCTGAACCCCTTAGCTGGTGGTCTCTCTGTAATCTTGACTGTCTCTATCAAAATCGCCATTAGAGAGAACTGGGATTTCTGAAAGATTAGGTACTATTATGTGGTTTTACATGGCAGCAATTTCTTCTGGCTGTCAACATGAAATTCCCTGTTCAGTATTATAGTACACTAGGGTCAGCTAAGCAAATAACCCCATGAAACATATATGTATATATGCTTATCTACCATCCAGGTAACTAATAGTGTGGGTGCAGGGAATTGTAAGATGGAACAAAATGAACAGCATGCTGGACTAGCCAACCACAACTCACTGTTAAAGCTTTCCTTGAGAATGAGCCCAACAGCTCTGAAAGACTTCCAGAAAAATACACCAGAAAGAATTCAACCTCCTTAGAGAAGATAACATCACCTCTATAGAAGGACTTCTCCAATATTCTCAGGCTTTAAATGGACCCATCACTTCTACTAGAACCTAACCCCATTCCGAGACAGAGCTTAATGTTCTGGCTACTCCACAATGAGGACAGTCCTTCTCACAGTCTCCAGGGACTTCATTCATCAGTTCTGAGTTGCTGCTCATTATCACATGCAGGTACTGTGCAAGAGCTGTTTAGAGCTAATGCAAACACTGTCTGTACCCCAAGGAGCTGGAAGTCTGGAATACGCTTTTGTCTTTCCAAAGGTGGGGAAAGTGTCATTTAAAAATTGTCAGAAGTGCTCACTCATTGGACATGGAAACACCTATGAAGCTCACTTTGCGTTGAGGAATCCCCCATAACATAATGGGTACTTATATTAACCCAAGACAATTTCATGGTTCTTGCGAAAACCTGCAAGATCATCACTGACCTGAATGCAGATCCTTCTGCATTCTGCAGACTGAGATAGTGACTCATCTGTTTACTGAGCTAAATTGGGCCTGTTTATAAGAAATGTACACTTACAGAGTTAAAGGACTGTGTAAGTTTCTTACAGGTATGGATTTCAGTTAGTTTGTCCATGATCATTTGTATTTATTTTTGGGAAATAAGAGGTTTAAAAAGATAACCAGAAAACCACAAAAAATATAGTGAGCACTTTATGAGAGAGACTTTTATAATTTCATGGGAATTTAGAGGGATAAATCGCTTCTAACTGATGGAATCACTCAGACTAATTTATAGGGAGGTTGCCATACTGGCAACCTGAGGTTTTTTATCTGTATCTATCTGATGGATACTAGGTAGAGAAAATTACGTGAGTAAGGCATGGAAATATGGAAGCACGAGTGTTTAGGTAATGTCATCAGAGTTGTAGTTCAGCTTGGATATTCAGAACCGGAAAAGGAGATGAAAAAGAGAGGTTCTGCCAGGGTGTGTTTGGTCAGTATCATTTCCCATGCGTATAAACCTAGCCCATTCTGTAAGTCAGCGGTGGAAGAGAAAACAGCTAAAGTGGCTGGGTCCTCTGGCTTTTATTTAGCATCTGGCTCTTTTCTGGATCAGCATTTCACACAATTTGTTCAAGGTTTATGATTTTATAATATTCTTGCGCTATTGTCACTGTTGATGAATTTCCTCCAAACTCTAGTTATTCAATACCTCTCTGATCTTAAAAAATTCCTCTTTATCCTCACTCTGTAATTATATGTGAGTTCAGAACACCTAGTTTATGACCTAATCAATGGAAATTTGAATATGCTGGGACTGAGAGGGTCCTGACAAGAGCAGGTAAAAGCCAACAATCTTCTTATGTGGTTCTCCATCAACGTGGTGCTTTGAAAAAAAAATTCTATTCCACTCCTCTCCGCTAGCCATTTTCCATTAGCCATTTTTGCTCTGTCTAAAGCTTCAGTGGTTCCCCACCTTGAAGTGGGTATTTGTTGCTTTCAGGACACTCAACAACCTTTTCCTCTTCCTTACAATACTTCCATTTTCATTAGGAATTTAACTCTTTTCCATTGGGTATTGTGATGAAATGGTAAATCTATGGGCCTACTACAAACTAAGGAAGCAAAAGAGGTTCCTGGAAGTTCTCTCTGAGGAATTTTTTCTTTTACTACCCTGGTTTGACTAGGAGACAGATAGGTGACTAGAGTTCAGCCAATCAGTCGCTTCCTTCTAAAATCAACTCTTGAGTTCTTACTGTAAAGACAGAAAAAAAAAAAAAAGGCTAGAGATCATTGACTGCAGGAAGTGGCCTCCTGTTAGAATACCATGACTGTATTCCCTACTTCCTTCCCATTTCCAAGTGTAAGTCTTCAATTTCCCATCAGTAGCTTTTTTTGTTTGTTTTTGTTTTTGATTCCTTAAGCATACTTAAGGCCTTTGCACTTACTCTTCCTTCTAGTTGACACCCTCCCCCTAAAATCTTTGGCAATGCATAAGTTAACTAAAAAGGTTTCTCACTTTCCCAGGCAATTATTTAGAATTATTCTAAGAAGTTAAATTATTGGAAGTATGAGAGAAATTTCAAAGCTAGTAACATAGTGCCATCTAAAATATTAAATTATAACACTGTAAAACATGGAATATTATATATCCAGTTCTTTAGATGTTATTTTTCCTGATTCAAGCTCAATATTCCCTACTATCTACATAAATTATGCCTGCAGGACCTAAGTTTTATTATATTTATTTATTTATTTTACCTAATTAAGGTGTTATTCAAATAAATACTCTATGTATCTTCTAGGCTTCCCTGTCCCTATGCCTCAGCTCTGCTATTTGTTTCATGCCAAATATTTTTATCTCCTTCTTTCCCTCTCTTTTCTATATATATATATTTCTAAATTAAAGCCCGTTTTTTTTCCTGCAAACCTTTCATGGCCAGCCACTCAGAGACGTTTTCTGAGTTCCCTGTGCACTTTATTGCTACAGGACTTAATACAAGATTGGAAGTCCTATTTGCATGCATATTTTACATCCCCTGCTAGACTATAAGCATTTCACTATGGGTGCAGAGAAGGGGTCTTTGTTTTTCCATCACTGAAATGCCTAACATTAAAATTTTTTTTTGGCTACCTCTTCTATGCCAGGCATTATTCTTGGTGTTTCAATTACAAAAGGAAATCAAGCAATGCTGGCTACTCTCATAAGCCACATGTGAAATGGAGAGGTTCTGTGGGTAGAACATATCCAATATTTTTACCTTTTAAAAAAATTTAGAACTGACAATCTAGCAGTAGAAAAATACATATACACCAAACTACACAAGAGAACTATTGAGAGAAAATAAATATTAAAGACAGAGGAATTTTATATAAGAAAATTCTCTAAAAGAGAAGGGGGTTGAGGTAAGCCTCATGGAGAAAGCATGGTAGTTTGTATATAATAATATTTAGTGTATATTTGTAAAGGAAAGGGATATGCATAAATGTATTTAACAAATTGCCTTTTGTTTAGTTTTGTGTTGAAAGAGAGAACAGTGCCTCAGATGATGCAGAGTCAGAGATCATCTCTCCCCAAAGTTACATTTTGGTTTTGAAGTATACTACATGATTTATTTACTGATTATTTCTGGTACATATTTCTCTGAAATCAACTTTAATGTCTGAGGAATATATCAAATGAGGAAAATCATTCTGGGGCTAAAATATACCATGGAAGATTCCCTTAGTGGTCAATTAGGATTGACTATTCCTAGCTATAAAGAGAAAAGAAAAAGAATATAGAAAATAAGGCTCTAAGTAAGTCTCAGAGCATTGGTCCTGGAGTGAAACCATGAGGACCATCTCTTCAACTCCATTTTCACAAGACCTCTACATGCCTTGTATCTGCAGATAGGCGGTGATGAAGAAATATACATGCTTTTGAGAGCTCAGCTGTTTACAAGGAATTCAGTGGATCTGAGCAATAGTAGTTTAACTTGAAATGCCAAGTTAATTTTTTTTTTTTTCTAATCAGAGGTAGATCTATCTTTATCTTGGTAGGTCTACCATGTTTATTTTCAATTGATCAATAGTGACACCTGCTGGCTCAGGAAGAGACACTTGCCTAATGTGACTATAGGACTGAAATAACTGTGGGAAATAGTGGATATAGTTAGCTCATCAATCCTAAAAACCAAAATGGAACAACCTTAAGACCAAGCTGATTATTGTGTGGAAATTCTCAAGATGATCACAAAAATGAGTCATTATTGGGATGTAGACTTGATGGTGGTGAAATATGATCTAAGACTTGAGTAATCCTTGGAGGAGAGGCAAAGTAATCCTATTCTAGCTGCCTCTCCTAGCCTCACTTCTGGATTAGGGACAGCACTTTCCAATCTCTTTTCCTACCTTTAGTCTGATTTCGCTTCAACACATCTTACGAAAGACCTAGAGTAATTTCATAATCACATTCATGCTCCAAAGCCTGAATGAAATTTATAAGAGGACAGGGAGATAATTGGTGCACAGTCACACTGTGACACACACTCAAATCCAGTGGCAGGAGCCAAGAAGCCAAAGCAAATGGCTCATCACCAGATATGCTCTGACAGGTAGAGATGCAGGTGCTCAGGATCAGAACTGACATGCTGCACAGTATAGCGCCTCTGAGGTGGCCTGGCAGATCTGTGGAGAGGGGCTCCCTCTCAAAACCCTACCCCCATGTTCCTATCCCCCTCAGTCTTTGTTGCTATTTTGAGTGCCTTTCAGGCTGCAAAGATGCCCTTGATTCCTCCAACTTTGCCTCCTTGATCTGTTTTTCCTGAGGAGAAGTGGATGCTCTGAAAGTACTTGTCCCAGTCCCCCTATTTTCCATTTCTTTTTAGTCATCTTGGAAGGCAAATGATATCAAAGTTAAGCTAAGAAGCCAATAATTCACATGTAAATTTGCATTTTAAATGGGAGCACCTTAGCAAAGTATGTACTTAACCCAAAGCATGCACATCTAATGTTCATTGTGCCAAGGAACAAGAAGGAGACATTCGGAGCAGGAGCAGGACCTTCTGGATGCACTGAAAATAAGTACATATAAATAAGAACAATAATCATAAGTCATTCTTAATACTTACTGGGCACTCACATGTAGGAGACATAGTGCTATTCGTTTGATTCCTCTTGCTGTGTAGAAGCATCACAACAATTCTAATAGGTAGAAATTATTATGCCTAGTTTATAGATGACAATACAAATGTTCAGAAAATATAAGTAACTTGTCCAAGGTTATACAGCAAATATTGATGAGTCTGAGACGTCAACCAGGGTCTTTCTGACTTAGACTCTATATACTTAATTATGCTCTACTACACTTTTTTTTCAAAGGCTGGCCTGGATCATCAATGACATCTAACTGTTTAGACTAAGAGAACAAAGATATGGTCTCCATAAGTAACAGTCCAAAGGAAACATTTTACAAAACAGGTAAGCTGCAAAGCACTGCATACATGCCAGTTATTATTACAAGAGGAAGAATGTGGCATCAAGTTTGAGCTTCTCTTTATAATTCTATAAGACAAATGAATGAGAGAGAGAGGTTTGGCATGACAGGGAGGTGAGAAAAGGTTATATCAACAAACATAACGACTTCCTTTTGTGGAAGCATGTTCACATGAACACAAAGTATCCAGGTTGGGTTTAGCTCACTGAAACACAGTGACCCTGTTGCTCCACCTGTAATGAATCAACACAACTTATTGGGTATTTGGAGTAACCAGCATTTTATTAGGTCCTGCATGTATATGACATCACAGTTCTTTTGTAAAACATCAACAAAAAGTTGAGTAGGTTATACATTTCCCTGCTTCAAATATAATTTTAAAATAATATGAAAAGGTATACACTAAGAACCTCACTCCTGTATTATTTCATTTCTCCCTGTTCCCCCTCAGCTCTCCAGATAGACATTTCAACTTCTTGTTTATTTTTCTAATGCTTCTTAATGCAAGTATAAGCAAATATAAATATACATTCTTATTTTCCCACTTGTCTAGCACAAAAGGTAGCATATACAATGATAAAATTTCCTCATATTAACTTTTTATATGTAAACTTAGCCTAGAGATCTCTCCCTATCTAACTAATCATTGATCTACTGCATAGTATTCCAAATTCCTTTTATTATAATTGTATCTGGGCAGCATGCTAAAAATAACAGCATACTAGTATATATTTCTGAGTGTTATGAGTGATTATATAAACATGAGAAAATTTCAGAGAGTGAAGAGAGATTGGATGTGATGGGCATCGATAAAACCTCTTGGGGATTGATAAGGCAAGGGAAATCATTCCTCGAAGAAAGAGGTAGCTAAATTATCACACCGCTTCCTTAATCTGCAGGCAGGTGAGTTTCTTGCTAGCATCAGTGCAGCTTCTTTTTATATTGTCTCAGTTAGCTTCCTCCAATTTCCGTTTAGATTCAAGCCAAGAAACAAACACTGTGTTAATTGGTGCATTTTCCTGTAGAAACTAATTATAGCCCCATGCTGTCAAAACAAGACAAATTGTTAATGATACTTCATCTGACAAAATAGAAATAAAGCTATTTTGCCATAAAGGAGGATGTTGGGATTATGTCACAAGAGCTATTTTAATCACAATTATAAAAGTGAAGAGAATTGCTGGAGAGGACCCATCCTGGGTGCCTCATGCCCAACTGGCTCTCTGGGTTGAGGGGAGAGGGGAGAATGGGAGAAACGGAGCATCTGGGCTTCAATGTTCCAGATGAGAGCACTGAAAATGACAGTTCCTATGGCATGTGGTCCGCTCAGGACTCTTCTCTGGCTGTTTCTGTAGATGTACATATAGCCTTCGTGTAAGCTATTTGAAAACATTAATTCATTCATTTGTTTAACAAATGTTCACTGAATGTTTATTACATGGCAGGCACTGTTCTCAGTGCTGGGATCACAGCAAGTGACAAAACAGAAAAAAACTAAAGCAAAGCAAAACAAAACAAAAACAACAAAAACCCTGCCCTTATGGAGCTTACATTCTATTAACAAAATAGGCAATCGATAAATAAGGAAGACATACAGGTCAGATGACAACAAAGTTCATAGAGAAACAGAAGTGGAAATGTTGAATAAGGAGCGTGGGGATACTAAATAGGGTGGTTAGAATGGAACTCACCAAGAGGGTGGTGTTGGGCAAAGACCTGATGGAGTTAAGGGAAACCCTTTAAGTCCCTGGGAAAGGAGAAAATTTAGCAGAGCCGAAGCTGACATTCATCCAGGAAGGTTCATAAGGCCAAGTGAGTTGCTAAAATATTGAGGTATGTCAGCACTATTTGGTACAGCCCATTCCCCAGGCAGCAGACAACTAAAGGACGGACTCCTTAAACAGCAAAAGGCCCCCAGAACTCATTCTGATTGACCTGTGCCTGAGTGGTAACTGGTGGTTAAATAGCCTTTGGACCAAAGAACAGCAAGTGCAAAGAACCTGAGGCAGAGCACCTGGGTGTTTGAGACCTGGAGGCAAAAAGATGGGCGGCTGGAGCAAGTGAATGATGGGGGTAGCAGGTGGGGAGACAGATGAGAGTTTGGGAGTGGCAGAGTCTACAGAACCTATTGGAACCACAATGGATAAGAAGCCATTGGAGGGCTCCAAACTGAGGAGGGACATGATCTTATTTACATTTACACTTTTAAAAGATCCCCGGATGTTATGTTGAGAACACACTTAGGAAACGCAGGTGGAGAAAGAGGGTCGGTCTAGTTAAAGAGGCTACCGCCATTATCCAGGCACAATGTGATGGTGGCCGAATTAGTTTCCAAGGGCCGCTGTAACAAATTACCACAAACTCGGTAGCTTAAACAACAAACATTTATGCTTTCACAGTTTAGAGGATAGATTCAAAATCAAGGTGTCAGCAGCACTGTGCTGCCTCTGATGGCTCTAGAAAAGAACCCTTCCTTGCCTTTCCCAGCTTACCTCGTGGCAGCATCACTCTCATTTCTGCTTTTGCCTTCACATTGCTGTCCTCCTTGTGTCTGTGTCTCTATATCCAAATCTCCCTCTCCTTTCTCTTATAAAGATGCCAGTCATGGATTTAGGGACCACCCTAATCCAGTATGACCTCATCTTAACTTGATGACCTATGCAAAACTGTACCTCCAAGTAAGTCACACTTGCAGGTACCAGAGATTAGAACCTGAGTATGTCTTTTGTGGGGACACAATTCGACCTATTCTAGTGACTTAGACAAGGGTAGCAGCAGTGGTTATGGAAAGATGTGTTCTATTTCTCAACTCATTTCAAAGATAGAGCAGTAAGATTATCTGAAAGGTTAGATGTGGGTTACGAGAGAAAAATAGACGTTAAGGTTGGCTTTCAGGTTTTTGTTCTGTGTGCCTGGAAGGATGAAATAGCTATCAACTAAAATGGGGAAGAGTTGTGGGATTTGTGGGGTGGTGGTGGTGGTGAGCAGGTTTAGGGCAGAGATCAGGGGCTCAGTCCTGAATAAATTAAGTTGTGATGTCCATTAGATACCAAAGTAGAGGATGAACAAGCAGTTAGATTCTGCTTTGTAATTTTTATATATCTCTTATAACCTGTCTAAGATGGGGCATGACAGATATCTTGATAAGTGGTGGACAGATGAACAAATGAATGAATGGATGGATGAATGACTACAAGTAGAGAAAAACACAGTTAAAAGATATATTTTTTTAGGATGAAAATGGTACCTATTAAATATAGAAACTAACATTTGTATACCCTTTACAATTTGCAAATTGCTTTTCACATGCCTTATTTTAACTATATTCTTTAAATAAATGATCTATAAATGTTATAACTGTATCTATTCTACAGTGAGAAAACTGAGAATTAGAGAAGTGAAATTACTTAAGCAAGCTCACCCAGAGAGAAAAAGGAAGAATAGGACTTCAACCCCAAGCAATTTTTACCACACAGAGTTTTCAGGGATGTATATTCTGATTGGGAGACTGGTAGACCCATTCCCACTGATATTCAGAAATTTCTTACGTCAGACTACGCATAAGAAAATTAACTTACGTTGTGGCAAGTAGACTTCAGGTTACACTTTTTTTAACTGCCAGTTTCTTTCTTTCTTTCTTTCTTTCTTTCTTTCTTTCTTTCTTTCTTTCTTTCTTTCTTTCTTCCTTCCTTCCTTCCTTCCCTCCTTCCTTCCTTCCTTCCTTCCCTCCCTCCCTCCTTTCTTCCTTCCTTCCTTTCTTTCTTTCTCTTTCTTTCTTTCTTTCTCTTTCTTTCTTTCTTTCTTTCTTTCTTTCTTTCTTTCTTTCTTTCTTTTTCCTTCCCTTCCTTCCTCCCTCCCTCCCTCCCTCCCTCCCTCCCTCCCTCCCTCCCTCCCTCCCTCCCTTCTTTCTTTCTTTCTTTCTTTCTTTCTTTCTTTCTTTCTTTCTTTCTTTCTTTCTTTCTTTCTTTCTTTCTTTTCTATGAGACTGAGTCTGGCTCTGTCGCCCAGGCTGGAGTGCAGTGGCGCAATCTTGGCTCACTACAAGCTCTGCCTCCCAGGTTCATGCCATTCTCCTGTCTCAGCCTTCCAAGTAGCTGGGACTATAGGCACCTGCCACTACGCCTGGCTAATTTTTTGTATTTTTATTAGAGACGGGGGTTTCACCACGTTAGCCAGGATGGTCTTGATTTCCTGACCTCCTGATCCACCCGCCTCTGCCTCCCAAAGTGCTGGGATTACAGGCATGAGCCACCGCGCCCAGCCAACTGCCAGTCTCTTTCAACTTGATAGGTGACAAAGTTTGGAAGCAACTTTCTTAATTACATAGACTTTACATATCTTTTGTAAAAATGCTAGACATGCTGTGCTTCTACTCTGACAGTCAGTAAAACAGTGCTGATTGGAGCCCTTGTCTACGACAAAAAAATAAATGTTCCTGCTTCTTCTTAGCAAATAGAATCATGGCCTGGACAGGAGAATGGCGTGAACCCGGGAAGCGGAGCTTGCAGTGAGCCGAGATTGCGCCACTGCAGTCCGCAGTCCGACCTGGGCGACAGAGCGAGACTCCGTCTCAAAAAAAAAAAAAAAAAAAAAAAAAAAAAAAAAAAAAAAAAAAAAAAAAAGAAAAAAAGAATCATGGCCTGGAAATCGAGAAATTTGCATTTTTAGCTTCTGCTGTCTCGCCAACCATTTGTGAGACACAGAGTGAACCACAGTTGCTCTGGGTCACAGATTTGGCAAAAATAAACTGAGAGGTTTAGCCTGGATAGTCTCACGGCAGCACACATGGTGGTTTAGACTGAGCATGGGCTCCGAAGTCAGACATAGTTGGATTCTAATCCCACTCACTCTACCACATACTAGTTACATTACCTTGGACAATAACCATCTATCTTCAACTTTCATTTCTTCACCAGTAAAATGAAAATGACATCTATTTTACAGCATTTTTGTATGGATTAAATGAGATAATGTACATAAAAGCACTTAGCACAGTTCTTGGCAAATTGTAAGAGGTCAATCTAGTTAACTATTAGTGTCACCAACAGAATATTTTGCATCTTTGCTTTTTAGAAAGTGCATGGTACCTATAACACAGGTGGAAATCAGGTAATGCAGCTGAAAGTATGAAATCAAAGACACGATGCCTACTTTCTCTAATTCACTGACTCACTTGTGATCTGTACTTTTCTGCTTTTGTCTTTGTTTACTGATATTTAAAATAGGCATCCACTTTCTGCTTCCCTTATAATCATGCAGTATGATTAAAAACTTTTAATATTATTTGCAAGTCTTCTTTCCCCAATATTGAAAACTCTTTAATCTTTTCATTGGAAGGAAATAAATATCAAAAATTAAATGTTAAGCAAGGCAAATGTAGCATCAGAAAATAAGCAAAGCTATTTCCAGCAATGAAACTTTAGTTGTAACTAACATCGGCTTCAGAAAACAAAGGCTATTTCCAGTAGCATACAAATACAGATGTCCTAGGTGACACTTTAATTTCTCCTGTAATGAATAACACTATTGCTAAGAAAAGAAAGGAAATTTTCTTAACTGAGTGGAAATCAGGAAGAGAACATCAAACACGTGAGATATAGTTAGGCTGACACCTAATCCCTGAACTGCCTACTGATGTATTGATGATCCAGGGTTAGAGGTTTCCCAGCAGTGGGTAACTACAAAGGAATGTGTGTGCTGCTCTCCATTATTTAGACAAATAAATGACAAGTTAAACATCTTTAATTTGAAATTTCAAAATTCAAAATACACCAAAATCTCAAACATTTTGAGCACCGACATGATGCCATAAGTGAAAAATTCCATACAACACAAACTTTGTTTTATCCACAAAACTATGAAAAATATTGTACAAAATTACCTTCAGGCTATGTGTATAAAATGTATATGAAATATAAATAAATGTAGTGTTTAGACTTTGGTCCCATCCCCAAGATGGCTCATTTTATATAATATATATCTATATCTATCTATCTATCTATCTATCTATCTATCTATCTATCTATCTATCATCTATCTATATCTATCTATCTATCTATCTATCTATCTATCTATCTATCTATCTATCTATCTCCAAATAGTCCAAAATTCAAAAAAATCGAAAATCTGAAACACTTCTGGTCCCGAGCATTTTGGAGAAGGGGTACTCAGCCTATTTGGGTTTTTGGTTCCTTTTGAGATGGTCTACATCTCATAATTAGGTGAATGTGTTATGTTTACATTGTTTTGGAGTTGGGCCTCAATCAATGTTTGTTGGGTTAGCTAATAAAACTAATCCAGTTCATTCGCATTCTGTGCTTTATTTAAATTGCCAATAAAGCATCACCATTGTCTGCCCTCTATCAGAGCTGCTCATGCATGGGCTGTTTTATATTCATATTGGAGAATGCAGCAGACAAGGCTTAGTTATCTTGAAATCCCAAGTACCTTGCAGATAGTGGGAACCCAATACATATTTCTGCAATTGCATGAGATCAAATGGCTTTTAAACCCCTTCAGAATGACTCTAGGGGCAGTGGAAACCTAACCTTTCCTTCTGCTATCACAAGCTGATCCATAAAGAGCCTCTCTGTGCTACCTTGTTATTACTCATCCAGAGATTTTCAGAGCTTTGTTCTCTGCAAGGCAGGCCAGTGGATGTGTGGATGACCCAGGAATGTTTGCTGCCCTCAAGGAACTCATTGTCTCATGTCAAAGAATTGATACTCAAGAAAAAAACAGGAGATGGAGTAAAAATGTGATAATGTGGCAGCAAAAAGGTAACTGCAAGAGCTAGAGGAGACTAAGGCAAGTCGTCATTTTTAAAAAAGTATTACATTTTGTATTGACCTATTAAAAGATAAACAGATGAGATTTTCACTTATGAAAAGTGTATGACCTTCAGTTCCTGATGCAACTTTACTGACTCCCTACTTCGATGGTACCTAAGAAGACAGAAAAAGATGAAAACTAGCCACAATGAAAACTAATATTGAAGTAAAGCCCATGCAGGAATCTAGGATCATTTACCACTGTATCCAAGATCAATGGAGCTGCTTTAGGAAACTCAATTAAGAAAATCTATATCCACACTTTACCTCCTAAAGCAGGTTTCTCAACTATGGATAGATGGTGGAAAAAAAATGTCATTCCATCACTGCCTATCATATGATTCAAAGACCCTGAATCTTCACTAAATAGAAAACTGGTGAGCTTTTAATGCATAACTACTTTTGAAGATCCTCTTTGCCCCCATATCTCTATATCCATATGAATAAAATATCTGACTGGAAAGGGATGGTTGGGACTGACTGTCACATTGCATCGTGGGAAATATGGCTCCCACAAAGGTAGGAAAACCCTGGGAACAATGCATGCTAGGAACTATGGTTTTCCAAATACTGCATTAGTTTAGAATATCAAAAATTTGGCAGTTCATGTGGGTGCATATGTTAATCCCATATAACAGAGCCACACTATATGCATAGCTAGTTGATACTGAGAACTGAGCTGCAAGTTAGAAACAACCACTAGAAGAATTTAGAAGAGAATTTGATCATCATTCAAAAGGATAATGATAGACAAGGGAGATCTATACAACCTGTTTATGGACATATACCAGGTTCCCAAAGATCTCTTTTTGCTTAGAGGATGAGTATAGAGGACCTAAAACCCACCAAGGGGACCATGAAGAAATACTACAGAATGACAGAAAGCAAAAATCATCCTAAAGTTTTGGAAGAACAGATTTCTGAAAAAGATTTTATGTAGAACTTAGAAAAAAATTTTAGAATATTATGTGACATCATTAATAGGATGCTAGAGGGTATGCTGTTAATGAAACAGGAGCAGAAAGTTATCAAGAGAATAAACCAAGATGAAAACAGGATGAAGTAAAAAGATAGTGAGCCGAGATGAAAAGGAAGCTGGATAATATAATTAAGAGTTGCAAGGAGACTAAAATTATAATAAGGTAATCAAAATTTTTACTGGAGACAGAAGAAAAGGCTTGTCTGTTCAGTATAAGAGGTGAATCACTAGGGTGAAGAACTCTCTTGGAAATACTCTCTGAGGATACAAGAGAAAAATATAAAGAGACAAAAGGATGAAAGAAAAGGTGGTATATAGGGAGAAGGAGGAGTTACAGAAATTCTTAAGGAGCAAGCTAGAACAATTGGAGCTGTGCATGAGGGTAAAAAATAATTTTGGGTGAAGGAAAAATGTTATAGGTGAGAGAAGAATGGATCAACATAATAGAAAATAATGGGTAATAGCAATAAGAAAGAGTTATTGGGCATTTACTATGTGGGCATTTGTCTAAATATTTTATTCATTAACACTCATAACCTTAGAAAATTATGATCTTCACTTTACAAATAAGGAAATTGACTCATGGAAAGCTTAGGTAACTTGCCTAAGGTCAAAGAAGCAAATAGCAGAGCGGGGACTCATTGCTAGGTAGTCTGGCTTCAGGCCAATGCTCTTAACCACCACCTTAGAATCATGAAAAAAGGACACATGTAGATAATATCAGCAAACATTTTAGTTACTCAGATGAAAAAAATCCAACAAAAATACTCAGGCAAAAATAAACAAAAACAAACAAAAGCAAGTCATTTACAAAATAACTAAAATTAAGCTGACCTAGCATTGCTGAAGTTTCAGGGAAAACAACTACACACAGCAAATCAGTTTGTAGTATTTGACACCTAGGAATTGCATTTCTAAGATTCCAGCTTAAGAAAATAGTCAATTATATATATATATATGTGTGTGTGTGTGTGTGTGTCTATATGCATATATATCTCATAAATACACATATACATATATACACATATATGTATATATGTATTTACACATATATATGATGTCTGTTATATATACATAGATACAACTTATGTAAAAATGGTATTTATCACTGTGATTTGTAATAGCAAAACTCCAGTGAGAAATACCATATAGATTTACATATAAAATATATAGTTAATAAATTATTATTGTTATATATAGTGAAATTATTATATAGTCATTTAAATTACGTTTTGGAAGACTTTTAATGACATGCAGAAAGTTCCCTGGTAACATGTTAAGACAGACACTTCATATAATTTGATCCCAATTTATATGATAAAAATATGTATTAGCAGTAGTTATTTCTGAGTGGTAATTTCAGGTGAATTTTTGTTTTACTCCCAAATTTTTCTGAATTTTATAAATTTTATTTAATAATGGTGAATAGCATTAAAATAGAAAAAAAAACAGTCTTTGTAAAAGATCAACAGCTAATGCTATCCTTACTAAGTAAGGAGAAGGCCCATGGTGATCAGTCAAGAACCTTTGACCCAGGAGGCTAAACACAGCTCTGCCCTCATTAGGTGGAGAAGCTTATGTCTGGTCCTTAATCTACATGGAGCTTCCACTCCTGAAAAATGGTTTCTCCTTCTGGGAAAATGGGAACTACTATCTTTTTCACTGTGGATTTTTCCCCTTCAAATAATCCAGTGAAAATAATATGAAAGTTATTTGTAATTTGTCAGCTCTATGCATGTGAAGCACTATATTTAGAAGATATTTGTCATTATTTGGGGAATTCCAGCACCCTCTGAACACACTGCCTGTGTTTAAAGAGTTTCTCACCTTCTGAATCTGCATTTCTCAAAGACAGACAGTGGAAATTCACTTTCTAAACATCTCTTACAGTAGGACCACAGGCAAGTGACCTAGGCTTGGTCAATCAGATGCTCCTATGTGAGACTTGGATTGGAAGCTAGTGACACAAAGAAGCAGGCACAGAGAGAAATTCCTTCCAGTGAGGCAGCTATGACTGAGGAGGCCAGCTTCCAGGCACAGCAGAGTGGGAGGGTCTAGGTAGGGCCTGTCAGCAAAACAGGTGACTAAGAATGTGCCTGACAATTAGAACAGTGAAGTGTCCGCTACAGTGGTCAAAAGCTTAATGGGGACTTTCTTTCCTCTTTATGTAGTCTCCATGCCCATGAATTACCCAACAATCTTAAATAAATACATCATTTTTTCTATTTAATAAATTAGTTAGAGTGGATTCTGTTGATTAGAGCTGAAAACCTGACTCAGACATAGGCCTTGGTCCCAGCAAATCTGGATTTGAGTTCTGCTTCAGCTCCCTATCAACAGAGTCACAAGTTCTTTCTAGGCCTCAGTTTCTGCATACAGCATCTTATTTAATGACCACAATAACCCTATAATCTTGGATCTGTCTTCTCCACTCATACTCAACTGAGACAATCCAAGCGCTTTACTTATTCTCAATTTAAAGTCATACTTACTAGCCTAACTGCCTCCCCTTCCATTTGCAAAAATGTGCAAGTTTACGCCATAGGGTTGCAATAAATCAGAATCCTAGAATTTGGGAGCTGAGTAGGATGTAAAAGATCTTCTAGCTCAACCATTCATCTGATATATGGGAATCAATATTGGGAACTTTTATGTTGACGATATATTTTCAAGCAACCCAAACAACTGAACTTCTCCTTGGCCTGCCACAAATGTGGAGCAAAAAGTGAAATTAACCAGTTGTTTTGTCTACATGTCACCTAGTTTGAGTGCTCCTTTGATAAATGAACTGAAGTGATTAGCAGTAGAGAAGCACACCCCAAACACCCATTCCCAAATATAGTAGACATAACAATCTTGTGGGTTATTTTCCTAAGAAAAGTTGGGCTGGTACTTTACGTCTGCCCTTGACTGACAAGGTGATACCTGACAGTTTGAACAGAATTGATAAAACCAAGCTTGGTGATAATACAAACCATATTATCCAGATTGTTCCTAATTGAACCTTTAAGCAGTTTCTCCAAAGTGAATTTTTGGCTAACTTTTCCAGAGTCTAGAAAGCCTCTACCCCAACTTTTCTTCGTGTATTTGGAAGTATATACTTCTCTGAATTATCCTTTGTGCTGGAAGCATTTCACACTAAGTGTAATACAGAGGCCCTGTCCCTCTCCTTACTTAAGAATTTTTACTGGGCTCTTATTTTCTGGTTGAAGGCTCCCAAGCAGTGACCACATCTTGCTTTTAGATCACCACGTTTTTTTCTTATTTCATGAATGTGGGTTGACACGGATGCCTCTTGGCACCATGCAAAGATGCTGACGGCAAAGAAATTTCTTTGCAGATGAAGGCCACAAGCTGGGCTCAGACTCAGAAACCCTCCAATGTTCAAATTCCGGCATCTGAGGAAGGCTGTTCTCGTCCATTTTTACCGTCTTTGGGGAACTGTACCATTGCTTTGAGGCAGAAGTTCTGAGGATGGGATTTTTGAATAAGCTCTTGCTATCTAGTGAACTATTGAGTTCCATCTTATGTGTTCTGCTATCTGTAGAAGTACCTTTGTGTGCTTGCATGCACACACACACACACACACACACACACACTGATTAAACTGTTCGTCTGCTGGTCCACAGAAATCCATTGAAATGTAGACAAGTTTGTTTTCTGTGACCTCTCCCCTCTCCTTCCTGCATTCTGACTTGACCCACAATCCTAAGTTGCACTCTCACACTACCCAGGTCTTTAGGGCCCTCATGTGCCCCTCTTACTCGCCAAATCAAGACCTTGTCTCAGTATTGAAAAGTCATGGCACCAAAACGTTCAGACTCCTCCTGTGAGCTCCTTAACTTCTTGTCACTCTTCCTTACCAGTCACCAGTGTCCTGCACACCTGATGTGTCTCTTCTTCTCCATAACTTCTCTGTTATCATGACTGATGACTTCAGCATCCACATGATGACCCACCTGACATTTTGGCTTCTCAGTTCATTAGGTTAAATGATCAATTCTCCACTTCACCTCAGCTACCCATCCACACAGCCACTTCTAGATGTTTCCATTACCAGAAACAGTACCACTTCTAAAATCTTTATTTAAAACTTTGAACTTGCTGGCCAGCCATCCAGTCCTTCCATGCTCATACTCCTCCAACAGTACTTTGCCCCATTGAGTTCTCTCTCCCAATATAACTACTGTTTTTTATAGCATATCCTACTATTCCTCTTTACCCAGCCCAAGTCCCATGATGCATCATCAGAATAATCACCTTTAAAATATCTTCACTTCTGTGCCCCACTCTCCTCATATCCTACTTGCCTAGAAAACCCCAACCACAATCGCACCCAAATAACCTATAAATGTATATTGGCTCCTATGAGGATAAATTTTACAGGAGAAAATTAGGCAACCATGTTAACTGGACTCACTTCACACTTATGATCACAAATCTCAGATAGGCACTCAACATGGCAAGACCATGGTATACATTTCCCAAGTAAGTTAACTTTTCCACTCTTCAAGACAGCTGTTTCACACATTCCCTTTTTCTCAACTCTTTACCACACCCTCCTCCCTCTCAGACTTCCTAGGGGAAAAAGAAGCAATAGGATCAGAACAGTCTCATCTTCCCACTACCAATTCTGCCAACTTACACTCTACATTCCAACCTGTGAAAATGGAAGCAATGTTCATGCTTCTATCGAAGATAACACTTCCCCTTGGGCATTAAATCCCATCCCATCTCACCTTCTCATGTACTTTGCAGCAAATATCTTCTTATCTGACACAGCTGGAAACTACAGTTGGTTCATAAATTAAAATTGAGTATCATTAAACTATTTTCTTTTCTTTTTTATTTTTTTGAGACAGGGTCTCACTCTGACACTCAGACTGGAGTGCAGTGGCATGATCATGGCTCACTGCAGCCTCGACCTCCCGGGCTCAAGTGATCCTCCCTGCTCAGCCTCCCCAGTTACTGGGACTACAGGCACATGCCACCATGCCTAGCTAATTGTTTCTATTTCTTGTAAAGACTGAGTTTTGCCAGGTTGCCCAAGCTGGTCTCAAACTCCTGGGCTCAAGTGTTCCACCTGCCTCAGCCTCCAAAAGTGCTGGGATTACAGGCGTGAGCTGCTCCACCCCACCTGGTGTCATTAAAATAGTTTAACTAGCATATATTATACATATTAATCCATTTGCCAATCTTTTGCAGGACAAAGATTAGAGTTTTGGTTTGTCTTTTGATATATTGTTTCATCTCTGAATTTTAGTTTTAGTTTCTTTAAAGCAGAGGAAGCTTAAAGATAATCTGAGGGTAGAGTCCTAGATTTTTATAAATTTAAAAAATCTTTTATAGTTATCTTGCTCATAACAATGGAATGGCAATTTATTTTTTATTTTATTTTTAATTCAATTTAATTTTTTTTTTTTACTTTAAGTTCTGGGATACATGTGCAGAACGTGCAGGTTTGTTACATATGCATATATGTGCCACGGTGGTTTGCTGCACCTATCAACCTATCATCTAGGTTTTAAGCCCCACATACATTAGGTATTTGTCCTAATGCTCTCCCCTCCTTTTCCCCCCACCCCCCAACAGGCCTCGGTGTGTGATGTTCCCTTCCCTGTGTCCATGTATTCTCATTGTCCAACTCCCACTTATGAGCGAGAACATGTGGTGTTTAGTTTTCTGTTCCTGTGTTAGTTTGCTGAGGATGATAGTTTGCAGCTTCATCCACGTCCCTGCAAAGGACATGAACACATCCTTTTTTATGGCTGCATAGTATTCCATAATGTATATGTGCCACATTTTCTTTATCCAGTCTGTCATTGATGGGCATTTGGGTTGGTTCCAAGTCTTTGCTATTGTAAATAGTGCTGCAATAAACATACGTGTGCATGTATCTTTATAGTAGAATGATTTATAATCCTCTGGGTATATACCCAGGAACAGGATTGCTGGGTCAGATGGTATTTCTGGTTCTAGATCCTTGAGGAATTGCCGCTGTCTTTCACAGTGTTTGAACTAATTTACACTTCCGCCAACAGTGTAAAGGCATTCCTATTTCTCCACATCCTTGCCAGCATCTGCTGTTTCCTGACTTTTTAATGATCACCTGGAATGGCAATTTTTAAAAGCAGTTTCTTAAAAGAACAAGTCTTCCCAAAGCATTCAGCTAAGTTTTCATTAAGAACAACTCTTTTGAACATGATTTCTTCATTTTACGTAATATTTTATTAAATGACACAATTACAATAGACTGTATTTGAATAGACTATTAATCTGCTGGGGCTGCTGTAATACAATACCACAAATGGGTGGCTTAAACAACAGAAATTTATTTCTCACAGTTCTGGAGGTGGAAAGTCCAAGATCAAGGGGTTGGTAGGTTAGATTTTTCCTAGGGCCTCTCTCTGGTTGCAGATGGCCATCTTCTCACTGTGGTGTCACATGGTCATTTCTCTCTGTGTGCAGTCTCCCTGTCTGTTCCTCTTCTTATAAGAACACTATCCTATTGGCTTAAGCCCCACTTTTGTGATCTAATTTTGCCTTAATTATCTCCTTAAAAGCCCTGTCTCCAAAGACAGTCACACTGGGGCTTAGAGCTTCAATATATGAATTTGGGGGAGAATATAATTCAGCCTATAACACAGGCACTAGCAGGTTTGGGGAGGGACAAAATTGCATCTTTGTCCCTTTCACAGATTAAGCTGGTGAACACAGAGTGCATAGCATTTCAGAGTGTGGAATACCAGCCATGGGAATCATCAATATGCTCTACAAAAGAAATGGAGAAGAGCAGTTAATCTAGTCTCAGGTTAAGTGGAAATTGATTAAGAGAATTTCAATTATATCTAGTTCATCTGCACTATCAACTTCTCCTTCTATGAAATGAGTTGCATCTCTGTACAAATATGGCTTAAAATAATAATTTTTAAAAGATTTTTTTAAATGAAGCCTTTCTGGTCCTGGTGTTTTCTACCTACTACTATATTTTTTCTTTTCTCTCCTCCCCTCCTCCTAAAAAAAATATAAAAATGCGTCCATACTTACTGTGTGCACTCCCATCTGCACTTCTCATTCTTTGCCATCCACTCGGACTGAGCATTTTTATCTTCTCACTTCCAACCCCATTGTACATAAATGGTCCCTCCAAAGGTTATTAATTACTTCCATCTTGCCAAATCCAATGTGATTTTCCTGTTCTATCTTGAAGTCTCATTAGATATCTACACCCAATTATTGTCCATTTTAAAAACATTTCATCTCTGGTTCTGTGACATCCTCCCTGGTTTTTCCCCTACTAACAAACTAGATCTGAAATCTTGGAGCATGCATGGCTCTCTCTGTAGCCCTCTTTTCGTCTTTGCTTACATTTTCTCCTTAAGAGGATTCTCATATCATCTCACGGCTTCAGAACACACTTGTACATTAGTAATTCTCCCATATCTCCTGGATAGACCTCTTTTCTTTTGACCATACTCACACATCTAGCTGCCTACCCAATATCTCCACCAAGATATCTAATAGTACCCTCAAAGGTAAAGGGACTGAAAAAGAATTCTTGCTTTCCACTCTCATCTCCAACACAGAAAAAAATCTTCTATGCAACCTTTATATCATCAGTGATGGGGTTGCAATCTACCAGCTACTCAGGCTAATCATATAAAAGCCACTCATGTTTCCTCTTTTGCTGTAGCAAAAGAGGGTTCAGGATAGATTCTAATGGATCTCACATAAATCCATCAGAATCTATCCTGACCCCTTCTGCAGAATTTATCCTGGATCCCACCACTTTTTCCTATCTCTATTGCTACCTCTCTTGTTGAAGTGACCAGCTCCCTCCCTTGGGTCACTTCCATGGGCTCTGAATCATTCCCCTGCCTCCATTCTTGCTGTACACTCCCTGCAGTCCATCCTCTACACAGGAGACAGAGTTTTTTTTCAAAAATGTAAATTAGATCATGTCACTCCCCAGCGATAAAATTTTTGAATGTTCCCTGTTATTTTTCAATAAAATCTAAATTCTTCCTCTGGACTGCAAAAAGATTCGACCCCTGCTGACTTTTTGGTCTCATGTTTCTTTATTCTCCTCATTATCCACTAGCTTTCAGTGAAATTGGCCTTCTCTTTGTCCCTCAAATACAAAAATAACTATTAGTAGATCTCTTCTCAGAGCCTTTGCATATGGTACTCCATCTTCTTGGAGCATTCATTCTCCAGATCTTCGCAGACTTGCCTTCTATTCACTCAGCTGTCAAGTCATGAGCCATCTCCCCAGAGGGGCAGCTCCAGGCCACCCCAGCTAAAGCAGCCTGTTCAGTTTCTACCTACCACTTCATTTTTATATAGCATATATCAGTACCACATATTATAGTTTTTATTATTTATGAGTTATATTTCCTGTCTCCCCACTAGAATGTAATGCCCTTGAGTACAAGGCTTCTGCATGCCTTACTCATCATCATATCCACAGTGCCTGGAAGAATGACTTACTGTAGGACATACAGGATAAATATTTCTTCCTTGATTGACTAAACATAACTGACTACTATGACTAATTATGTCCTGCATATATTTCCTAAGAGCAGGCAAAATGTGAAGCCAAAGGAATTTAATTTTGGGCATGACTGTAAGGTGTTGGTGTGTTGAATGGAGGAGGAAAGGAAGGGTAGAAGCTTTCCAGGCTGGGGCAATCAGACCCTGAGCACATTCCTTTCTTGCTCCTTGTCCTCCCTTTTCTGCTTGTAGGAATTCAGCCCTGGTGAGTTGATGACCTGGAGCTCGCATGCACTTCATAATCTCCTAGGAGACCTTTGGACTCTGTCTCCCTTTGGGCTTCCTTTCCTGTGGCTCTCAGGATCAGCTTTATAATTTGTGGAGGCCAATAAAAATGCAAATGTGAGGAGTATTGTTCAAAATGTTTGAGAATTTCAAGATGATGGCAGCAGACCATAAAGCCAAGGGTGGATCCCTTCTAAGCTCAGGGCCCTAGATGACTGCATAGGTCACAGGCTCATGAAGTCAGTCTGTTAGGCCCTTTTCCCAGCCTATAACCCCATTTTCTCTTCCATGCGCCTCCCACACACCCCATCCTCCCCTCAATCCTGTCTTCTCTCTCCTGATTCCTATCCCAAATGCAGCATTAATCCATTATGTGAAAGTCAAAACATTTAGTGGAGAGAATAATGGGCAGAGTGAGCTGGGAGCTTGAAAAATTGGGGAACGAAGGTGGAACACAAAGAAGTCTGGCAGGCAGGAAACCAAAAATGCTGGCTCACAGCATGGCAGATAACAATCACTCCTGGCTTAAAAGTCTCTGAATTTTTATAGCGTCTTTACCATTCTTCCAATTAGTTTTGTTTATAAAAGGGAGTAGATACATAAAGAAAAGTGGTGCTTTGTAGTAGTTAATTAGCTTGACATTTATTGTGATCATAAATTTTATCTTTTTAAAAATACTGCCAAAGGAGGAAAACCCATCTTTTATTCCAAATGCAATGAGTCCACCTTCCTCAATCTGTACAATAACCAAGCTGTACAAATTTCCACGTTTCTTTGCCTGTTTCTTTCCACTGGGAGAGATTCATCCCAACGCTGAGTTCATACATGAGGAATGAAGCACAGTTCATTGCCAGCAGGTCTGGAATTTGGCTCTTTTCAGTGCATTCAGGACTTCAGCAAAGCTTAGATAAAGCTAAAGAAATGAAGCGAAGAAATGGGACAACCAGAGGAAACTGTGGACTTAGTGACCTTTTATGTCAGTGTTTTCGTTCCAATGGTTACCACATATAATTGGCCAAATGTAATTTTCTCCTCTTCCCTTCTGACATTTCTTCAAATGACACATGTCACCACTGAGAAGTAGTCAGGGTACTGGATATAATATTTTCAAGTTTTTCAAGCTTTGAGTATATCACATTTTCATTTTCATATGAGAAAACATGGGCTCCTTCCTTCCTGCCTGCCTGCTTTCCTGCCTTCCTGCCTTCCTGCCTGCATTCCTTCCGCCTCACTCCCTCCCACCTTCCCACCTTCCCACCTTTCCTTCCTTCCCTTCCTTCCCCTCATTCCCTCCATTCCCTCCTTCCCTCCCTTCCCTTCTCTCCTTCCCTCCCTCCCTCTCTCCCTTCGTCCCTTCCTCCCTTCCTTCTTTCCTTCCTTCCTTCTTCCTTCCTTCCTTCCTTCCTTCCTTCCTTCCTTCCTTCCTTCCTTCCTTCCTCCCTTCCCTCCTTCCTTCCTTCCCTCCTTCCTGCCTTTCCTTCTTACTTACTTTATTTTCAGAACATCAAGGCCACCTCTCTCCTCTTCCCCTAACTTCAGGTGATTTTGTCTTTTGAAACATAGTCTAGCTCTGACCTATTTTGGTGACTTGGATTACCATGGAGATGTCTGATTTCTTAATTTAAAATATCTTCTGCCCAACTCAAACTACCTATTCACTTTAACTGTGAAAGCTGACACTGAGAAATATTTTTTTGAGAAGCCAAAAATCTAGAATGCAAATTACCTGAGATGACATCGAGATGCAGCAACCACATCCTGGTGCCATCTGTTCTTCAATAAACCTTAGTCCTGAAGTGGAGGAAACTATTTCATCCCATGTACAACAATTACCTGTGGCTCTTGTTCTTCCTGTGGCTGGGTAGATCCTGAACCAGACTTTCAAATCGTTGTTGGGTATGTGAACTCTTTCTCTAGCCTCTCATGTTGGTCAGGTCTATAGGAGCCTCAAAAACCATAAGTTGCAGTTCATTGTGAGAATAAGTACGGTGTTTTCTTGGTCATTTTAGACAATTTGCCACTAAACAGAAGGAAGTCTTAGTCATGAATCATAAAATAGCAGTAAACCATTCAAACTAAATAGAGCAGAAGGAGAAAATTTCTTGAAAAGTTAAAGAAGTATATCATTGAACCCATGAGTAGGAAGTGAGCCTTATGAGACATGTATTCAGGCAAACACAAGATCTCCTTTCTCTACATTCCTCTTTCCATTCCTCTTTCTCACTCATATACTTACTTACTCAATAGCAGTATATAGAGTGGGTATGAATGAGTATGGTCTCTGGAATTACACTTCCTAGGTTTGAATCCTAACCACTCTATGCCTCAATTTTCTCTTCTGTAAGATGGTGCCTAATAATAATATCTACTTCATGGTGTTGCTGTGAAGATTAAATGAGGTAATACATGTAAAATACATGTAAAGTGTTTTGTACAACATCTTACACCTATTTAGTTCCCTCAAAACTAAGCTTTCTCTGATTGCTTATCCATGCCCATGACTCAAACATGGTGACCTCTGTTCTGACTTTTATAAGTGATTTCAGTTCTAGAGCTCTCCAATAATTGACTCTGATATACTGATATTCCCTAGTTCCATATTCTTGGTAGGTAGCCACTCCTGGTCTAGTCATCTGTGGTTAAAAGGGACAGTGTTGGGGCCATATTAGTAGGAGCTAATACTCATTGCATGGCAGTACTGTTCTAAGCACAAAAACTTATTAATTCATAACAACCCCTAAATAGTTACTAGCTTTAATCTCATTTGTAAAATGAGCAAACATAAGATAAAGAAATTAAAATAATGGAGTTGATAACAGCAGAACCAGGATTTGAGCCAAGGACTCATGAACTTATTAGTCTATCATAGTGTTATTCTTAGTTATGAAGCTGACTCTCAGAAAGGAGGCAAAGACCTGTTCCACAAAAAAACGATTGTAGACAGGGAGAAACGATTAGCCTTGCTTGCACAAGAGAAACTTCAGGTCATCCATTTTTAAGAAGGCAGAGCCCTCTGTCTGTGTGAACTGATGCTAAACTCTAATATGACCTGAAATCCCAAGATACATAATTATTTGACTCTAAGTCTTAAGGGTCTTTGAATGAGATGCTGGAATCATACAGAAACACAGTATTACTGAATCACGTTCATGGAATTTGCATTTTGTTAACCTCTGAAATACAATTATCTATAGGCATTTATTTTTGTTTTTTTTTTTTTTTTGAAGATGGAGTCTCACTCTGTCACCCAGGCTGGAGTGCAGTGGTGTGATCTGAGCTCACTGCAACTTCCTCCTCCTGAGTTCAAGTGATTCTCCTGCCCCAGCCTCCTGAGTAGCTGGGACTACAGGCATGTGCCACCACACCCGGCTAATTTTTGTGTCTTTAGTAGAGACAGGGTTTTGCCATGTTGGCCAGGTTGGTCTCAAACTCCTGACCTCAGGTGATCCTCCACCCTCAGCCTACCAAAGTGCTGAGATTACAGGTGTGAGACACTGCACCTGGCCATCTGTAGGCATTAAAAAAAATTTCCTAAGTACATATGCATGCATTTATAGGAATATATTTATATGAATGGATATATATTATCTTATGCATATATAATTTTTCAATATAAATGCTTTAAATCATGAGTTCTGTGGGTACGCATACTACTCTGAGAACTCTTAAGTCCGAATATCACTTAAGTCAAACTTAATATTTCTTTGTTTTTGACTCAAATTTCAGTAAAGGTGAAAAATAAAATGAACTTCTAGTCATAGAGTTATGGTCTGAATTTCAGCTTTAGAATCATCCACTGGCCCTGATAAAAATAGAAAGAGAGATCTTTGACTTTTTATAGAGTGACATATTTCTCTCTTCCTCTCTGGCTTTCTAGCCTTCTTTATTTTTCCTGTCTCCAAAAAAAGAAATCTCATTATAATTTCTTTTCCTAACACTTCTCACCCCCACTAGCATCAAACAAATCTACCACTTCTAAAATGCTTCTTTGTTGCAGACACAAATCTCCCAGTGTACTAAGAACCAAATACTAAAAAATTAGCGGCAGCTTTTCCAGTTCCCAGTGGATAACTCAAAGCTTTGCAAATACAGTCCAGCCACCTAAAACATCCCAAGGATTTAATGACTGAAAAGAATTCATTTTTGGTGAAGTGTTTTTAAATCCTTCAATTCTGTAAGTAAGATTTCTATGCCCTAAGATGGTTCAGATTAATTTGTTTCAAAAATATTTTACTGCCACCCATGTCAATGGGTACATTTGATGTGGAAGGAGGACATAAGATAAGCAAATCTTCAATGTGCCCTTGAGGATCTTAAAATTCGGAGGGGAAAGTAAGGTCTGTACAGAAACTTCAAGGGAGAAAACATTAAGGGTCAAACTAATTATTCTTATCCTTTAATTGTCACAGTATACATTTGAAAACTAGAATCTTTTTTTTTTTGACAGGATCTTGCTCTGTTGCCCAGGCTGGAGGGCAGTGGTGTGATCATCACTCACTGCAGCCTCCAACTCCTGGGCTCAAGTGATCCTCCTGTCTCAGCCTCCAGAATAGCTAAGACTATGGGCATATCACAACACTCTAGAATTTTTAATGGCTTAATGAAAATATTCAAAACAGTAGCCTGCAGTGGCTCAGTCCTGTAATCCCAGCACTTTGGGAGGCCGAGGCAGGTGGATCACTTGAGGTTAGGTGTTCAAGACCAGCCTGGTCAACATGGCGAAAACCCATTTCCACTGAAAACACAACAATTAGCCAGGCATGGTGGTACACTCCTGTAATCCCAGTTACTCAGGAGCTTGAAGCAGGAGAATCACTTGATCCCAGGAGGCAGAGGTGGCAGTGAGCTGAGATCATGCCCCTGCACTCCAGCCTGGGTGACAGAGCAAGACTCTGTCTCATAAAAAAAAAAAAAAAGAGAAAGAAAAGAAAATATTCAAAACAACACTAAAATCATAAAAAAAAAGAAAAAGAAAATATTCAAAACAACACTAAAATCATAAAAAAAGAAAAAGAAAAGAAAATATTCAAACCAACACTAAAATAAGTTATCAGTAATTAGAATAAAATTGTACAGAAAAAAAGTCTACTAGTGTATGAGAACATTTACAGGACTAACATTATTCTTTGGTCAATACTTCAGCTCTTATTTATTGATTAGAACTCTTGTCTTCCCTGACCCCATCATTTTCCATACTCAGGGGTAAGGTTCCTGTGCAGAGGACATCTTTCTTTCATGCCTTGACTGTGTTCTACCCTCTTATTTTTCACATCAGTTGTGTCAAATCCTGTCTCATGTCAAATGAGGCACTTGGTTCAACATTTTATCAATACTGTAATATCATTTATCCTCAACGGTAAGGAAATATATACATTTTGCATTGAGTGTTGCCTTTTTATTGACAATGGATAGAGTGGCCAGCTGTCCCAGTTTTTCCAGAAATGAGGAGTTTCTTGGGATGTAAGACTTACAATGCTAAAATAGAAAAGTCCCTCACAATAGATAGGAAACCCAATCCTCAAATTGATTCAATTAAGAAAAAATATCCTTAGCTGATATATCAGGGAAGTCTGGTAGCTTCAGGCATGACTAGATCCAGAGGCTGGAAGGGCATCATCACAGTCTCTTTGTACTCTTGGTTCTGTTGCCTCCCTCCTCACATCCTGTGCTAGCTTTAATTCCAAACCCTACATAGTGACATATCAGCTGCAGGCTTAAATCCTCCCAGATTCAAATGTAGAAAAAAGGAGACATCTTTTCTCTTGTACTCCCAACAGTTTGAAGAAGCATCTAGATTTTATTGGCCCAAGTTGGGTCATATGCCCAGTCCTGACCCAATCCACAAGGCTTATGTGCCCATTCCCTAAGCCAAAGAAAAAGAAAGGCTGCTTAGTTTAGGCCTAGGTGTCATGCTGACTTGTGTATCTAGATTGAAATTGGACCCACTGAAACCATGGGAACTCAGATGGAATATACAAGAGGTTCTCCAAACGAAGCCCAAAAGAGAAAAAAAAAAATCAGTTCTAGGAAGCACACCCCTTTATCCCAGAATCCACACAGCAAAATTTGGTGGCATCCCTGTGAGATATTTCACATCACCAGTATGTGAAGTAGATCAGTTGAGAGCTATTGGCTTAAGAGAGGCCTGTAGAGAATGTTGATTAGGAGAAGCATTGACTTAAGGGAGAAGTTGACATGGCTGCACAGTAAGGGTGGGTTCATATCAATAATTCATAAACACTGATGCTGTTAATTTTAGGGTGACTTTTTAAAGACCTTCTATTGTTTTTACTATGCTTCATAGTAAATTTTTCTGACTTTTGAATTCTGTTGTTGCTTGTTCTTGTTCCTAGGCAAAGGAATTGTGTGTTTTGAAGCCACAGACATAGAGAAGGCAGAGGCTACATGGCTGTCAGAGGAAGCTTGAATTGGTTAGTTCCAGGTTAGCCCATATATGCATTGGACAGTGTTCAAATTGCCTCATCTGCTTTTCACTGGAGTTTCAAGAATAGAAACTTGGCTCTGTCATAAAGTAATAAAATTCATTTCATTCTGGTCTTGAAGCCAATGGAGGCCAGAAATTTTTAATAGAATAAATACTTGATTAAAAATGAGAGAAATGATTTTAAATCATACTTTAGCTAACTTCACGGACTCTCTGGGGGATTAAGCACTCAATTTCATTAAAAATAAAAATAAAAACAGGTGTGTCTACAAGACTGTACTTGTGGCCAGGCGCAGTGGCTCACGCCTGTAATCCCAGCACTTTGGGAAGCTAAGGCGGGTGGATCACGAAGTGAGGAGATCGAGGCCATCCTGGCTAACACGGTGAAATCCCGTCTCTACTAAAAAAAAAAAAAACACACACACACACAAAATTAGCCGGGCATGGCGGCGGATGCCTGTAGTCCCAGCTACTTGGGAGGCTGAGACAGGAGAATGGCGTGAACCTCAGAGGCAGTTTGCAGTGAGCTGAGATCGCGCCACTGTACTCCGGCCTGGGCAACAGAGTGAGACTCTGTCTCAAAAAAAAAAAAAAAAAGACTGTACTTTATCTAAATCATAGGCAGGAAAGAATAATAAAATAATCTTAAAATGCTTTTGTCCTCCCAGGAATGAAACAGCAGCCAAGCCTCAGTGTCCCACATGTGACTTATTCATTTTCAGACTTCTTGGGAATAAATAACATTTTGTACTTCTAGCATTCTTCTTGCTTTAACATAACCTGTTCTTATTTATTTCTCACAACAAATCTGTAAGGTTGGCAGATAATGTATTCTACTTTGTAGATTGAGTAAACTGATGTAGACTACATAAATAATTTGGCCAAGATTACACAACTAGTTTGTGAATTTAAGACCACCCTCTAGGAAATTGTGAGTTTTTATTATAACCACAAAATATCATCCCTGGTAACCTGCGTAATTTGGTAACTCTGCTTCTCCACAGGTTGACCTTCGTATGGAGTAATTCATTAATGTGTTCATTTACTGAATGCAGCTGTTCTAAGGACTATGTTGGATGACGGAGATAGAGAGATAAGTAAGGCATACCTCCTGCCCCCAATAAGCTCTCAGCCTAATGTGATTTCCTTTCTTCATTTATTACCAGAAAGAGTTAAATATAAACAGCTTTTTGACTGTGCATCATTTCTCCTTTGTATACTCCTAATTATTATAAATTTAGACTGCAAAATAAATCTTAGTTGTAACTATGTACTATGTTCCAATAACTATGCTAGGCAAAATTTTCATTCAGCTTTCAAATCAGACGTGCAGAGCAAATATGGATTATTCAGTTTGTTTATAAGTTATCTGATCTTCCCTCTAAGCCCAAGTACTTTGGTTAAAAACAAAAAATAATCAATTTTGTTCTAATTCCATTTAGAACTTAGTTCAGTCCATCTAATAATCTAAACAGTCCCTTAGGTAGTTGTTCAAACAACATTTAGGAAACAGGTCAAATTTTTGTAAATAGTTTCATTTTGAATGTCAGAGTTTGAATATCACTGCCCATTCTCTTTTTTTGTATTTTTTTTCTGAAACAAATTCTAACATTTACCTTCCCCAACCCATACCCCCTTATCATTATTACCCCAAGAAGGCTATCTCAGTCTAACCAAGGAAAGAATCTTGGACCCTGAATGGATGAAAGGGAAAACATAATAATTTAAAAATTGTAGCTCCTGTGAAACATACCTTATCTCCCAAAATTTCCAAAGAAGCTCCAAGAAAGAGGTCGTATTCACAGATGAGTTAGCTGAGGTTTTTAACATATTTAAGGCCATGGAACTAATTTATTTTGCCATGTACTTGATGATTTGGTCATACCACCGCAACTTCAGATGTGACCACACAGTCATCACAAGGACAGAGATGGCTCTGTGAGGATTCCACTCTATGTGAAAGGGCAGCTTGCAGTCTGCTCTGCAGAGAATGCCTCCTTTATGTTACATGGTGCCTGGTGCATAGTAGGTACTCAGTAAATGTTTGTTCACCTCAGTGGAGCTGAGAGTTAATTCTTGCAGTGGATAGGGGATGGTTTTGTTTTTATTTTCTCAGTGTTTGTTTCTCTGAAATCCCTTACACGTCTGGTCCCAGAATCACCTACTGTCTGAGCTAGAAGGTATTTAGAAGTCATCTAGTCCCAAACTGGTATCTTACAGCTAGAGAAACCAGAGCACAGGGACACGAAGCTGGGATGGCCAAGCTAGGGTTAGCCCAGGCTGCTGACTCCCAGGCCAGCTCTCTTCCCCTACCCCTCCCATCTGTAGGAAGCCTCCTGCTGCTGCTGCAGATGCTGATCATCACCACCACTGACATCATCATTATCTTCATCATCCCTCCTCAATTTTATTGAGCTGGACATTCACAGCCTTTCAGGATTATTTTAAGAGCTTTATACATATTAATTTGTTTAAATCTCACAGTCTTACGAGGTGCATATACTTACTATCCCCATTTCACTGATGAAGAAATGTCTTGCCTTACTCAAGGACATGCTGCTGGTGAGTGGCAGAGCTACAGTTTAGATCCAGGCAGTCTGGCTCCACGGCCTATTATGCTACCCTTTACAAAAACTATTCATATTCTCTGATTTGAGTCTCACTATTATCCTTTCAAGTAAGAAATATTCTTCTCATTTAATGGAGGAGGAAATTAAGTTCAGGGCTATGAAGTGCCAAAGGTCACCCAGCTGGCCAGTGGCAAAGCCAGGACTATGCCAGGTCTGTCTGACTTCAAGCCCAGCACTCCTTTTATCATACTATGCTACCAGGAACTGCCCAGGCCCCATCCCATCCTTCCTGCCATCCCCTTTCCACTGCAGACATCTCATATATGCTTTCTGTGAAGTATTTCCCTCCATACTTTCCTTCTATTCAAAACATCTCAACTATGGTCTTATTCTGGCCTCACATCCACCTAGTCTGTAGTTAGAAATCAACCTGAAAAACCAATTCATGTGTAGATGTTAAGTGTTAACCTGCTCAGAAAAAAAATAGATTTTTTTTTTTTTTTTGAGACAGAGTCTCGCTGTGTTGCCAGGCTGGAGTGCAGTGTTGCAATCTTGGCTCACTGCAACCTCCGCCTCCTGGTTTCAAGTGATTCTCCTGCCTCAGCCTCCCATGTAGCTGGGACTACTGGTGTGCACCACCATGCCCAGCTAATTTTTTGTATTTTTAGTAGAGACAGGGTTTCACCATGTTGGCCAGGATGGTCTCTATCTCCTGACCTTGTGATCTGCCTGCCTCAGACTCCCAAAGTGAAAAACAAAATTTAACATGGGGTATAAGCTTAAGAAATAACTCTTTAGAAGTAGGACCTCAAGCAAGTGCTAGTCCAGCAGAATAGATGTCCCAAAGTTTTTCCAATGCCTCTGTCAATGGTACCATATACCTGGTTGACCATAAAGGAAAACTGTTCTCTCCCTTCCCTGGGAAGGTGCTTGGCTTCAGGAAGCAGCTCAAAGCGTGATCTCAATCTACCTCACCTTAAATCAGCCATTCTCCTTTATCCTGAGAGGGAAGTGGCAGACAGGCCAGGGGCTCATGCACCATGCAAGAGAAGAGGAGTTTTTTCATTCTCTTCCCTGTTTCATAGCTATACTTCCTAGGGGAGAGCAGAGCTGCTGAGCTGGCTGGAAACAGCATCTTAGGCTGGAGGACAATAAAGCCACTTAAGGGCCAATTACTCCTTAAAATGGAGAGACTGTCTGACCTCAAGGAGAGAAGTCTGAGAACCCAACATCCTACATCTCCATATAAACCATAGTCAGAGTGAAACCAACTAAGAGAAAGAAAAGTATAAAAAATAATCATTCATCTCATCACTAATATTACCGTGTACCTACACACTGAATTTACAAAAGTTATATACTGTTACCTTGGTCATCACCTAGCAAGCATTTTAACTAGGTAAGTTTTTTGGGAAAAGATACTGTAATTTATTTTTTTTTTGAGGGGAGATCTTACACAGTGCCTGACAAATAGAAGAAATATTCAGGAAATATTTGTTGCTATTGAATCAATGATTCAATATGGTTTTCTTATTATACAGATTCTAAACTAGCCAAGTTAAACTTCTATTTTCATTCTCATCTTGCTAATTTGCAAATATTTGCCAAGTGCCTCCTGTGTGCCAGGTGCTAGGATATGCATTTAAGAGCACACACAGTTGCTGTGACATTTGAGATAATATAATCTAAGGAGAAGACTGCCAAAAAATAGTTATGAATGAGGTGAGTTATATAAAGGGGAAGCCATGATGTTGTGGGAGGGTAGGTTGGGCAGATTCAGCTTGTTTGGGGCATTCATGACATCCATCTTCCCTGAGCAAAGGAGGCTTAATCTCTGAGATGAGTGGGGTTTAACGAGTCAGAAAGGAAGGGAAAGTAGCATCCAGGAATATGCAAAGTTAAATGCCAGAGAAAGAATGCCGCTTTAGAAGGAAAGAAAGAACAAAAGAAAGCAAGTATGATAGAAGTAAAAAAGAGATCAGGGATATGACCTTGGATGACTTCCAGGCCATGATTAAGCCATTAGGCTTTTTCATAAGAGGATTTTTAAAAGACTGATATGGTTTAGCTCTGTGTCCCCACCCAAATCTCATCTTGAATTGAACTCCCATAATTCCCAGTTGTTGCGGGAGGGACCTGGTAGGAGATAATTTGAATCATGGGGGAAGTTTCCCCCATACTTTTCTCGTGGTAGCGAATGAGTCTCATGAAATCTGATGGTTTTATCAGGGGTTTCCGCTTTTGCATCTTCCTCATTTTTCTCTTGCCACTCCCATGTAAGAAGTGCCTTTCACCTCCTGCCATGATTCTGAGCTATGTGGAGCCGTAAGTCTAATTAAACCTTTTTTTTTCTTTCCAGTCTCTGATATGTCTTTATCAACAGCATGAAAATGGACCAATACAAAGACCTTCTGGCTGCCCCAGTGGAGGGCAGATGACCAAGGGTGGATAGCAGGAGGCTGCTGTACCACACAGAAGCAAAAGTGCGACAAGTGACTTTATTCACCAGCAAATAGAATTGCTCAGATGAACAACATATAAATTCCGGCAGCTACCAAGTCATTTTTGTAGCATTATCTCCAGAAATCTTTAGAATTTGAAAAGGGAAATAATAAAAGCCTAGTAAATAGACAGCAAGATCAGATGCTGAGGGGTGTGTAGGAAGAATGAAACAATTAGTCAGAGCTTGAATGCCCAGTGCCTTCTAAGTGACCATGAATATTCAGGTAAATGTGTCTGGCTGGAAGATTACTGAAACAGCAGGCAACCAGTGGACAAAATGTACTCAAGTAAATCTTTAATTAATAGACAACGTGGTATTGACTGATGCCCTGTTAGGTTCTAAGCCTCGGTGTACAGATGGGAGCCAACATCCAGGCAAAAGATTAAATATTCAGTAACCATCTGGATAGGCCTTGCCAACACACCAGACGTCTGGATTGTTAGAAACATCTGGAATACTGACCTGACCTGCTTTTTGTATGTAAGTCGGCAGCGTTGCAAGTCCAGCCACAGGGACTGGGAAGGGTTACAATTATCCACCTGCTCTAGTAGGAGCCCAGAGAAATCTATGTTCAGGTAATTTGGATAGATTTCAATGCCAACACTTCCATTACCAATAATCTAGTTTTTCTTTTTTTATGCAAAAGACTTGACCTTAGAGTGTTATGCTAAAATACCAATGCCTTTTTACGTCAGTTGTCTCTTCAAAGTACATCTAAATTTCTGTCTCCTTAAGTATGGTCAGCAGCTCATTATCTCACCATGTAAATTTTAGTGACTTCTGAAATTATCCTTCTTTGGACTGAGGCATCTAAGACAGGAACACCTGCCTTTGCTGAAGTCAGGGGCTTTCACAGTTCCTGGCAGAGTTGACTTTGCTTATTGCTTCCTCTTAGATGCCAGGAACGAGTGCTTCCCTGCCTGGTCTCCTCCAGCCTCAAAATAGGATTAGAACTAGAATTTTAAGGGTGATCACTAAGGCCTGATCAATAATCTTCTTAGAGACACTGAAAGCCAACTTGGAGGAAAGCTATGAAGATGATAGAAAATTCAGGAGCCTCAGAGTCTCACAGTTGAGACGGCCTCTGCCTATGCACTGAGTACATCTACAAGGCAGTGGAGTTCTATTTTTTGAAGTGAGTGGAGAAAGCAAATCAGAATAACTAACAAAAGGAACACATTTCCTCTGTTTTAAGACTTCTTTTCCAGTTAATCAAGTCACTCTTCAGTCTGCTAAATACAAGACTCTGTTGTAACTTAAAGGATGACATCCTCATCAAAATATTTGGGGATGTCACTCTGTATTGTATTGGCTTTAGATTTACGAGACATGAGTTCAAATCCTGATTCTGCTACTTCCTAACTGTTGGATGTTTTTAAGCCTAAAGTTTCTCATCTGTAAAGTGGAATTGGTAGAAGACACATCGTACAGGATTTTTCTGAGGATTAAATGTGATAATTAACGAAATGATTAACATACTACTTAGCACTTAAGGAAAATTAACTGTTGAGTTTTAAATAAAAGGAAACCTATCTTGAATTTTTTTGAAAATAAAATATCACCTCTAAATTATTATTTGTATGAATTTTTTTGATATTCACATATGAAAGTGTACTTAGGGTCATATAGACCTCTATAATATGATAACATTGCTCTTGAGTTTTTTGTGTTTTTTGGATTTTATTTCCTCTGGTAGTGATCTAGAATATTGATATATTTCTGTGACTTTTCAGAAGGCTCTCCAGTGAGATAACCAAATATTTTTTCAACAACTTGATAAAGTTAATTTAATAATCTTTAAGAAGCTAGTCACATAAATGTAATCTATTACAATCTTTTTTTCTGATTAGAGAAGTCATATACAATCATCATAAAGAATTAGGAAAAATATAGAAGGCGTACATAATATAATCATACATAATTACTTCACCAAGAGAAAAACATTAATAACAGTTAGATCTATGAAGGAACTTCAAAAAGGTCATGGAAAAATAGGATTAAAATATGAAAATAAAAAATACAAACTCTATTTCTCAACATAAACTTCATCAAGTTTAAGACACTTTTGTAAGCAATAATGCCAGCCATTTAGCTCATCCTTAAGGAACTGAGGGTCCCAGAAACTTAACTATGTCATTACAGTTTTTGCTACATTATTAGCTGAAAAAAATGCGTGCCCTTTATACACTTTTTTTTTTTTTTTTTTTTTTTTTTTTTTTTTTTTTTTTTTTTTTGTCAGAGTCTTGTTCTGTCGCCCAGGCTGGAATGCAGCGGCACGATCTCTGCTCACTGCAGCCTCTGCCTCTCAGGTTCTGGTGATTATCCTGCCTCAGCCTCCTGAGTAGTTGGGATTACAGGCACACACCACCATGCCCAGCTAATTTGTGTATTTTTAGTAGAGACGGGGTTTCACCATGTTGGCCAGGTCTCCAGCTCTTGACCTCAAGTGATCCACCTTCCTCGGCCTCCCAAAGTGCTGGGATTATAGGCATGAGTCACCGTGCCTGGACCCTTTATAGAGTTTTTAAGATTAAAAACAAAGAAGTCAGAAGAAGCCAAATCAGAAACATAGGTTGTGTGCCTAATGATTTCCCATCAAAACTTTCACAAAATTACCTTTGTTTGATGAGAAAAATAGCAGGAGGATTGTTGTGATGGAGAAGGCCTCTCTGGTGAAGCTTCCCTGGGCGTTTTTCTGCTAAAGCTTTGGCTAACATTCTCAAAATACTCTAATAACAAGTAGACATTATCAATCTTTGGCCCTTCAGAAAGTGAATAAGCAAAATGCCTTAAGCATCCCAAAAAACTGTTGCCATGACATTTGCTCTTGATCTATCAATTTTTGTTTGACTGAACCACTTTTACCACTTTTACAAAGCCATTGCTTTGTCTTCAGGATCATACTGGTAAAGCTATGTTTCATTTCCTGCTAAAATTCTTAGAAAAAAAATCCTTCTGGATCTTCATCCCACCTACTTAAAATTTTTATTGAAAGCTATGCTTTCATCTGCAGCTGATATGGACATAGAGATTTTTGGCACCCATCAAGTGGAAAGTTTGCTTGACTTTAATATTTCAGTCAGCATTGTGTAAGCTGAACCAAATAAAATGTGTGTGGTGTTGTCTATTGTTTCTGCTGTTAATCACCAGTTGTCTTAAATTAGGGCATGAACAAGATTAATTTTTCCTCACAAATTGATGTGGGTGGTCTGCCTCTGTGAGCTTCATCTTCAACATCATCTCATTCTTTCTAAAGACAAGTTATCCATTTGCAAGATGCTGATTCCTTTGGGGGCACTATCCCCATAAACTTTTCATGAAGCATTGATGATTTCACCATTCTTCTGCCCAAGCTTCACCATAAACTTGATGTTTGTTCTTGCTTCAGTTTTAGCAGAATTCATGTTGCTCGGATAAAAGCTAATTTAAAACTGATGTCTTATCCTTCTTAGTGCCTCAAACTAGATCCTGTTCAGATATGTTATGAGAAGTTAGCATGAGTTAATTTTGGTGCAAAAACTTTTTGAAATCCATGCATAATTTTTATACATAATGCATGTTTTATGTAAACTTTTTGAAGTCTCCTAATTCCTTGCTGTCTTTTTTCTTTTTGTGTGTGTGCACATGTGTACCCATGTGATTATTAATATTTAACACAATTGGTGTCACCATATATTGTGTTGCATCCCAATTTATAAAATTAGAAATATTTCCTGGTATCCTTGATTATTTTAAGTAAACTCGAATGTTCAAGACTGCCTAAGATTTTATCCTATTGGTCTGTCTTAATGTATTTAAGCATGGGAATTTATTCAAGATTAGAAATTGGGTAGAACTTTGAGATTTCCAATGGCCTAAGCCAAGGACTTCTGCTTTCTTATTCAAGGAGAAAAAATTGAGGATTTGTTAGAAGGCTATTGTCTAAGTGATAATAAATTTGGATCAGAGAGGTTCCTAGAAGATTTCAAACATGAGTAATTTAATTGGCTCTGTTATCAACTTATTTCTCCTGAGATGATGAAATTAGTGGCTATCTTCTTTTATCTTGAATTTTTAAAAAAGTTGCAAACTTTGTAGTTTTTCTTTTCAAAGGGAAAATTGTGACAATTGGGATCTCTGCCTGCTTTCATCTATTGGAATTCTAAGGCAAACTGAAGGTGCAAGAGATTTAGAAGGTCTAATAAAGAAGAACAACTTTTCACATTCCGGAAGTTTTGGAAGATGAAGTCTTTCTTTCTCTAGTTGATGCTAAATGTGGAGCTAGAAGGAGAAGATTCATGGAAGGGAACTTGAATTCACACCATGAATAAATTAAGCTTGATTCTTTTATCTGTAGACATATAAAAAAATCTTAAGAAATCAAAATGAAACATTGATGTGGCTGCTTTACAAAAATAGTAATAATTGCTGAAACCTACAAGTCCTAGAAATAGAGATTTCACAAAGTCCTTCCATTCCTCCTCCTGCCTGGTTCCTTTGCTGTAACTCTAGTTCAGAGCGGTCCCTCTAGGCTTACCTCCAAGCCTCTCTCTTTTGCCCGGTGTGTCCTGGAATAGCTGAGCACAACAAGGTAGGAGGTGAAACAGAGCAGAATATATGCAGCACTTGCATATTCACTTTCCGGCACATCTGTGGAGGTTCTGAAGTTTGAAGTAGCAAAAACACAACTGAAGTGCCATTATTACAGATTTCAAGAACCCAGCTTTCTTTCTTTCTTTTTTTGTTTTATTTCAATATGTCAACTTAATGGCTTCTAGTGAATCTCCAAATGGAATTTGGATTCGATCTTCCCAAGTATCATTACATTTCTCCAGAGTCTTGTGGATCCTGGAACATAGAAGCAAATGAATTAAATGAAAGGTAAAATCCCTTCCCTCCAAATCTCTCCTCTCAATAGTCCCTTTGTTTAATATTTTATTTATTCGTTCTTATGTGGTAGATTGAGTTATTGGCCCTAAACATTCACTTCCTTAATCCATACCCATTGAATCCAGCATCCAATTTCATTTACTCGTTTTGACCAATGGGATGTGGATAGAAGTTACAGTGTTGTACCGGCTTTGAGCGTAGGCTTTAAAAGGCATCATATGTTTCTGCTTGCCCTCTTATGCACCTATCTTTTACCATGAAAGGAACATGTTAGACTGCTAATCTAAGAAGGATGAGAGACATGCAGCAAAGTACACCTGCAATTCAAAGCCAAGCTCAAGCTAATTATGTCCAGAAGGCTTTCAGATGCATTGTGAAATAAGTGCTTATTGTTATATATCACTAGAAATTTATGACTGTTTCTTACACAAAAATCACTGACTGACACATTTATGTATGCATTTATTCTTCTTTCAACAACCACTTATATAGTATTTATGATCTGTGAGGCAATGTGCAATGTAGGTACTAGGAAAACAACAAAATGAAATATAGTCCTTGCCCTTATAGAGCACATTTTATAGCAAGGAAATGTCTTAGTCAGTTTGGGATGTTATAAAAAAAAATACCATAGACTTGTACTGGGTTGCTTAAACAACAAACATTCTGGAGAATAAGAAGCCCAAGATCAAGTCAGCAACAGATCTGGTGTCTGGTGAGGGCCCACTTCCTGGTTTGCATTTGGCTATGTTCTTCTTGTATTCTCACTTGCTAGAGGGCAGAGAGAGAAGTAAGCTCTCTCATGTCTCTTCTTATAAAAGTACTAATCACATTAACGAAACCCCACTCGCATAACCCTAATTACCTTCCAAAGGCCCCACCTTCACATATCATCACATTGGGGATTAGGCTTCAACATACAAATTTTGCAGGGGCACATTCAGTCCATAGCCAGGAGATAAGTAAATATCCTCGGTGTTATGAGAGTGGAAAGTACAGGGTATCATGGGAAAACAAAGGAAAGGTATCTAGCTTCAAGAAAGAAAAGTGATATCCTCTTGTCTAGCTCAGAGTAGACCCTATTTATGAAATAAATTTTGAATAAAAATAATGACTTCCCTAACACTGGAAGAATAAGTAGTGAGGTTTACAGAAATAGAATAATAGGGAAGGCAGAGGAATTCGGGAGAAGTGCTTTAGTCACAGGAAACACAGGGGCAAAGGCCATGACACCAGAAGTAATCAAATATGTATTCAACTCTCAGGCATCACTTTGAGATTGTTGCACTTAAACCTATAAATACTTGCTATGGTTGGAATATATCCCGCAAAGTCCATGTATTTGAAAGTTAATCCTCAATGCAATGGTACTGAGAGGTAGGATCTTTAAGAGGTGACTAGATCATGAAGACTCTACCCTCATGAATGAATTAATGCTCTTATCGTGGGGCTGAGTCTGTTTTACAGGAGTGGGTTCCTTATTAAGGGTGAGTTTGGCTTCCTTCTCACTGTCTCTCATTCATGTGATGTCTTCTGCTATGTCATGATGTAACAAGAAGGCCCTCACCAGATGCTGGCATCCTAATCTTGGGCTTCCAAGCCTCCAGAACTGTGGGAAATACGTTTCTGTTCTTTATAAATTACCTAGTCTGTGGTGTTCTATCACCAAAATTGGACTGAGACAATACTCAAACTACAGTATGCAAAATAATCATCTGAAATACATCTTTAAAATGTATGTTCCTAGTTCTTGTACCCAGAGATCATGACTCATTAGGTATGATGGATAGCCTGGGAATCTGAATCCCAGCAAGTTCTCTAGGTATATCTGAGAGAGCAAAAACCACAAAAGTAGACTAAATGACCACATAAATACAGAATGTTCTCCATGTCCTCAAGTTTGTAAAAAGCAAAATACAATACTTAATCCCCAATTGTCTGATTACTTTGGGTTAGTTTTTTGTGTTCTTTTGTGGGGGGCAGTGAAAGGCAATTTTAAGAAAAGAATACTATGACTTTGGTTTTAAGTAAAATTTCTAAGAAATGTTTTTCTGGGACTTCCATATTTCCTAAATGGGCAACATTGCCCTCTATACCCTAAGGTCTAGCCACACTAGATACTTCCTAATGTCTCTGTCATGCCAAATGTTTTTCCCCAAAATTGTTTTTTCTCCTTTATCCTCTTGGTGAAACCCTCTTCATTACTGCAAAACCAGGTTCAAATGCTGCCTTGGTATACCTTTCATGATTCCCTGCAGGATTAATGACTCATTCATTCATTAATTGTACCATTCATCAACTTGACTGATATGTTGAGAACTTACCATGTGCCGGGCACATGGTATAGCTTGAGAATAGCTTGAGAAACAAGACTTAATTCCTGCCATCAAGCTTGATTTACCATTTCTCAGATCCTTTTGTTCATAGCTAATAGTTGGTGCTAAATTGACCCAACACTTGGTTTGCTCCAGGCTCTGTGCTAAGCACTCTACTGGCATTGAAACCTATAAAATATCATCTTTTGCCAGTCCCATTTTAAGGATGAGTGAACTGAGGCACAGAGAAGCTAAACAAGTTGTCCAAGATGTCAATACCAACTTCTTACAGAAAATGGAGGTGAGCTATAGAAACAGCTGGATTGGTTACAGGTGGGTATTTGCCTTATTTAAACCAGGTTTGAACAGTTCGCTGGCTGAGATTGGCTAAGATTTAACTACTTGTTACAAGAGTAGGTTACAGTGTATTTCCACATGAAGTTAGATTACATTCACTAAGTGTGAAGAAATCTCTAGGCCAAACTTAAAATATTTAGGCACTGCTAGGTCAAGCTTAACAATTTTCTCCTTTTGGTCAAATTCTCAATTTTGAAAGATTGACAAAAACTTTAGGCATCAACATCACTATTATTATCATAAATGGGCTTATTCCATCTCAGTTTGGAGTTCACAAATATTTGGTGTTAGTTTCCATCAGTTTTGGAATCTATCTGCTTTTTTAAAGCTTCAGTTTGAATATGTGGCACTTAGCATGAGTGATTCTGATATGGTTTGGCTGTGTGTCCACCCAAATCTTATCTTGAATTGTAACTCTTACAATTCCCACCTGTTGTGGGAGGAACTTGGTAGGAGGTGATTGAATTATGGGAGTAGGTCTTTCCTGAGCCGTTCTCATGATAGTGAATGAGTGTCATGAGATCTGATGGTTTTAAAAATGGGAGTTTCCCTGTGCAAGCTCTCTTTTTGCCTGTTGCCATCCACGTAAGATGTGACTTGCTCCTCCCTGCCTTCTGTCATGATTGTGAGGCCTTCCCAGCCATATGGAACTACAAGTCCATTAAACCTCTTTCTTTTGTAAATTTCCCAGTCTCGGGTATGTCTTTATCAGCAGCATGAAAATGAACTAATACGGATTCCATGTCAGTTTGCTTTATTTTTTGGGGTCTAGTGAAGGAGCTCAATCCCAAACAACGGCCTCTCATAATTTTGTTTAATAATCCCCTCTTTAGGTCAAGTTTTTACCTATGTGAGAGTATGACAAAAATCTAGAGCTTCAGTACTACTCTCAGTTACCATAATTTTGGGATTCCAGTCTCAACATGTCATTCATAGGTTATGGTGTCCACATAATCATGCATTTAAGTTTGGGTTATTCCAGTCAAAGAGATCATTTGGTATTCTACAGATGGCTGCATACAAACATTTAAAACTTTTGAGAGAATATAAAACACCAGGGAGACTATTACTGTGATTAGTAGGAGAATAACAACAATAGTTTGAAGTATATTCCCTACCCAGGGTCTCTATAAATCGAACCAATCAAAATAAAATGATTCAAAGAATGAGCTGAATGAAGAGTCTACACATTTTAACCAGAGAGCCTATTGGTTAATCCTCTGCAACTGAGTCTCTATAATATCTGATATATTCAACCATATGGAGTAAGTGTCAGCAACTGCACATATTCCTCCCTGTTCAGCGAGTAGGTAATCTAGAGCAATTCTATTATAACTCAACTTCAGCAAAATAATTTTAACAAGTCTGTTGTACAACCATAATCTTTGTAGTAGAACCTGCTATGGAGCCTCTTAGGAGGGATAAATTTCTAATTATTGCCTTATTTGTAGTTACTCCAAGCAATGGAAAAAAGGACCTAACAAATGATACACATCCAGAAGAGTGAAGCCATCTGGAAATGTTCTTTTTAACCTATGATGTAGTTTAACAGGTGTGGGCCAACTTTCTGTTTCTGATTGATTATGGTGTCTGACTGATTATGGAGTAATAAAGTTACTATTAAAATTTCCCACCTACATTGACACTTCATCTTCCATTCATCAAGGCTTAAGATTACCCATGTATAAGACTGGCTGAAAAATCCTCTATAAGAAAGTACACCCTGTGGGTGGACACAAGGCCCGTTTTCAAGTTCTATTGTTCATAGAGGCATAAGCAAGTAAAAGATTAAGAGAGCTAAGAGTTTCATGATGGCAGAGGAGTCTTGATCTGTGATCTTGGGAAAGCTGTGTATGTCTAGGATGCCATCTGCTTTTGAAGAGAAACTTCCCTATTTAGCTTTACCTTAAGGTCTTGAAGGAGTGTACAGTTCCAAGAGTCTAAAAGGTCCTTCTGTTTTGTAAGATTATGAACCCAAGTTTTGAAGTTCCAAAGTCTCATTGCCATATGGGTGGCAAGGGCAATCTTTCTCTGATGCCATTTCCAGAAGATCCAGCATCCAGGTTCTAGATTATGAAGGGTTCAATTGTCCTTAGTAGGTGGAGCATGAAAAGATTCCTTCACCTGTTGAAAATATACTTTGGCATAATGCATTAAAACCTTGCAACATTTAGTCATATCAGTGTATAGGAGAGTGGGAGATACATGAGGATCTACTATTAGGAGTATAGGCCTTCTAGTGACTATTTAATAAGGGGTTAATTTATGCTTTCCACTGGAAGTGAATCAGATTGTCTTCCATCTGCAATATCTTTGACCAAGGCAATACAGTCAATTCAGTTATATTTGCTTAATGCTATAGTGTCTGTAATAACTCATTTAACTCTTTTACAATTTTTCCAGTGAAACAAGTACTGTGATCACTGAAGAATGTCCCATTAGGGAAATACATTTTCCTATAAATTTTTAGCTACTGTTGTACCACTAACTTTCCTACATGGGAAAGCTTTTGTGAAGCCAGAAAACATGCATTAAAAATGGCAATTGAATGATATCCCTCCATAAATGTTCAAACTGCCCATTCAGCAGTGGAAATGTACCTGAAGTTTGATTGTCTTCCCTGGATTATGTGTTTGAGAAAACAAACGTGCTCATAAACCATTTTGGCAACTTAAAATAGTCACCACACCAACATTTCTTTTTCAAAATTTGGATTATTTTCTCTCTTCTATGATGTGTCATGGAATGCAAAGCTTTTAATAGTGGAAATTTTAAGGATGCAGAAAGGATGACCAGATGGCCATCCAGGCTCTCCATGAGTGCATGCTTGACACTGAATTTAAATCCTCCTAAATACAATTTTTGTTTCTCCAATTCAGGTGTACAACATTGTTTATTAAGTGGGTTATCATAGGTTATGTGACTTGGATCATGGAGTTCATGCAAATTGCATATCTTAACAATTTCAGTACTGGTTGAATTAGCATGAAAATCTGCCAAAGAATTCCCTTGTATTTAATTAATTCTTTTTCTGCTTGGGGTAGTAGTTTTGTAAATGAGTCAGCCTCTTCATTAGAGTTCTGGAAATTCTTACCAAGTCCAAATGAGATGAACCTAAAGTTATCAGAAATCTGTATTCAATAGTACTTGTCATGGTCCTTCCCAAACTTTCCATGAACCTTTTGGAAGACTCAACTCTTCAAGATTATAATTGCTAGTAAAGAACTTTCAGAAAAAAGCATCAGAATTAAGCAATTAACTGTGGACAACAAGTCTTAAAATAGTCATGGTTAAAGACACAATTGGCAAGTAAATTTGGTTATTCCTGTAGCCCATAATAATTTAACATAATAACCATAATTATGACTGATAACATATACCAAGACATCTCAAAATTTTAGAAACTGCATACAATTTTTGACCACATATTTATAACATATCCATAAAAATATAACTCAAAGAAGGTTAAATGTAATTTCTTATTTAATAATGCTTCCCATATGATTTAATATATCAAATTATCTCTTGTTTGGATGCTTCAGAGGCCCTTTGGGATATCCCCAAATTAGATTGAAGTCAGAAAGACTTATTTTTAGAATTTGAAATTTGATTTTGGAAAGCATGTCAAATTTGTCAAAGGTTTATAACACTATCAAAATCAGTTCACAGGTCATTGTAAAATAATAGTCATTGATTTCATGAAACTGATAACTAAAAAAGCAAAAACCTTTACTCTTTGATAGAAAGAATACTGTTTTTCTAACAATCAAAAGACCTAATAAAGACAGCATGAAGCACAAAAAATATCTTTTTCTTTCTCCCCTGCCCCTCTTTTATTTCAGTTTACTCAAAAGATGAACAAAAATCTTTTACTATCTCTTCTCAGTGTTACACAAAAATCTTGTTTAAAAGAGAAAGCCAAATTCTAATTTTGTATTAGTGTACTTTTGTTATTAATCCTCAATTTTTAGAAAACCTTATAAATAGTTCCCATCTAATTTTAGCCACCTTGATCATACATACAATTTCTTTCACAAGATTCCTGTTTCACAAACCTTCTACAAACTTTTCTCTTCCTCATTTTGGAAGAGCCAGTCATTTTACTTTAGGACAAAGTTACTTTTTTTTTCTCTTATCTAAAACATATATTTTATGTAAGCTTCACTTACCAAAAATGTGTCTTACTTTCCTGATACAAGATGTTGTTTTAGTTACCTTATATTAATTAAATTTTTAAAAACTCTAGTACCTTAGTTTTTAGTGAAATCCTAGGAAGTTAGAATTTTTGAACTGTTGTATATCAATATTTTGTTGATGAGAACCATTTCATAATTTTTTGAAACATATTTCCTCATAAAATTATTTTTGGGTTTATTAACAATCCTAAATATATTTAGTTTCTCTGTATCATATAAAAACAAAGTGTTGAAATATATAAACTTAAGGTTATGCTTAATAATTGTTTCAGTATTTTAACTCACTTATAAACGAGTCAGACTTTCAATGAGTATCTATTATTTAGCTTAACATGACTTTAAGATTTTTAATTTCTAAAAAAAGATTTTTAAAAAAATAACAAGTTCATTTATAAAATTTCATGTCCTTTACTTTTGTATAATTTACTCATTTTTAACAATTATGCCTAATTTTTTTTTTTTTTGAGACAGAGTCTCACTTTGTCACCCAGGCTGGAGTACAGTGGCATGATCTCAGCTCACTGTAACCTCCACCTCCTGGATTCAAGCTATTCTCCTGCCTCAGCCTCCCTAATAGCTGGGACTACAGGCGTATGCCACCATGCCAGGCTAATTGTTGTGTTTTTATTAGAGACGGGGTTTCACCATACTGGCCAGGCTGGTCTTGAACTCCTGACCTCATGATCCACCCACCCCCCCACCTCGGCCTCCCAAAGTGCTGGGATTACAGGTGTGAGCCTGTCCCTTAAATTTCTTACTAAACAAAACTGTAGCAGGACGAGCTGCAGACAAAACCCCTCAGATACCAAGTTAAAGAAGGAAAAGGCTTTATTCGGCTCAGAGCATTGGCAGACTCACATCTCAAAAACTGCACTCCCGAGGGAGAAATTTCTGCCCCTTTTAAAGGCTTACAACTCTAAGTGGTCCGTGTGAAAGGGTCATGATTGATTGAGTAAGTAGGGGGTATGTGATTGGGGCTGCACGCACCAGTGATCAGAACAGAACTGAACCGAACAGGGAGTTACACAATGCTTCCTCAACAATGTCTGGAATCTATAGATAACATAAGTGATTAGGTCAGGGGTTGATCTTTAACTACCAGGCCCGGAGTGTGGCACCAGGCTGTCTTTCTATTGAATTTCACTTCTGCCTTTTCTTTAACTCCTACTTTCTCTTTCCTTAGAGGCAGAAATTAGGCAGAAGACAATATGAGAGGTGGTCTCCTCCCTTAAAACTAGCTAGTGGAATTTAGGAAATATCATCCCTAAATATAGTGACTTAGTAGATTATTGCTACCAATAGGGAAGAAGGAAAAGGCTTTAAAAATTCTCCTTATTTTTCTTAAAGATGAATTTTTCAAAGGAACACAAATGTCCTCAATCCTCTCCCCAGGGAGTTTCAGTAACCAGGAAAAATTAACTTTCATCACAGTAGAAGACACTTCGTCACATCAAGTAGACATTATCCCAAACCATTACTCATTCTTCTAAAGGGTCATTCAATTTTTCCCAAAACAATTTACTCTAAAGATTTTTCTCCACCCACTGACCATTGTACCCATTTTAGAAAGGGGTGAAGTGAAACAACTCTGGCCTTTTTCTTGATTGACCTGCATGATTATTCCCTAAGTGATTGTTAGTTAGGTTGCTCATTGTAATCTCTGTCTTTAGCTTTTTAAATTTCTCTCAACTGAAGTAAATAGGACAGACTGTGTGGAGTTCTATAATGCTGGGGGATTAGTAGGTATCTCTTTGACCAATCTAGCCTTCAGTAGATTCCATCTTTGTTTTAACCCTATTGCTGTCTGTTTTATTTATCCCATTTTTAATAACCATCTAAAATTATTACCCTCATATTGCATCCCATTTTTAATAACTATCTAAAAATTTTCACCCTACATTTGTATTTCAAAACAGATGGCTTAGGTAAAACAAGGTAGAAAATTTACATCTCAATGGCACAGAGGTGAGACATCAATGTAATATCATCATTTTCCCAAACCTAGGAAGGAGAGTGTAGGTAAAAGACCAGTTAAGACAAGATAGCCAAGAAAGCCACCTTAGACAAAGGTAAGATTTGTTATGTAAATTTAAGCCAATGCTGTTTTCATTGTTATTGTTTCTGGTGACATTCCTTTTTCTCTTCCTGTTGCACAGAGGCAGACACCTTACAAATGGAGATTTACTTTGTAAATGTAAATTTCTTTTGCAAAAGGCTTTCAAAATGGCTAAATAGTGAAAGTTGTATTTTGGAGACTGATTTATCTCAGTAGGAGGTCTTTTTAACTGAGTTTTTATTTCTTTTCAGACCATTAAAGAATAGAGCAAAGAAAGCATTCTCTCTGGGTGGACTCAGAGCAGATGGCTCTCAAAAAGAAACAAGCCTAATTTACCTGGAGCCATACCTTTTATAAACATTTTACCTAGCTTTCTTTCCGCCTTTGAGGTGGAATAGTAACTAAGTCAAAAGTTTAGCAGCTTCAATTTTTCCTATTAATTACTAGCTTAAGCTTTTTACTTGTCCTTTTAAAGGAGTCTTTTAAAAGAAGCAATACAGCTGGGTGCAGTGGCTCATGCCTGTAATTCCAGCACTTTGGGAGGCTGAGGTGGGTGGATCACCTGAGGTCAGGAGTTTGAGACTAGCCTGGACAACATGATGAAAACCCGTCTCTACAAAAAATACAAAAATTAGCTGGATATGGTGGCAGGCGCCTGTAATCCCAGCTACTCAGGAGGCTGAGGCAGGATAATCGCTTGAACCCAGTAGGCAAAGGTTGCAGTGAGCCGAGATTGTGCTACTGCACTGCACTCCAACCTGGGCGAGAGGGTGAGACTCTGTCTCAAAAAAAAAAAAAAAAAAAAAAAAGAAAGAAAGAAAAAAAACAGGCAATTCAAATACTGAACTTTTTCAGAAGTTTCTTCATATTGCTAGGCATCCTTGGGTGAGCCTAATTCGGGAGCCCTCATTTTTAAATGAACTTTTTAAATTGCAGTGTTAATTTGGAACATTCTATTGTAACTTTAAATTATCTTTCATAAGCTTTTGCCATTTATGTAAGTGTTTGCAGCTTCTGGGGCCTAATATTTCTACATTTAAAGGTAATAGTCAGAAGGTGGAGTTCTCAATTCTTCAGAAATTAAGGATCTCATTGTTTTGTTGAATCTAGGCTTTAGCTGTCAGATCCTCTTGCTCAACTTAGTCAAGAATTTTTCCTGACCTAAGTGTACAAGAAAAAGAAACAAATGAAATAGAATACAAAAATCCCTGCAAATTTCTGAATGCCAGAATTTGTACTTCCCTGCAGTCATTGCCATTTATTGCTGTTGCAGAATTTTGCTCCTTAGTTCAGCTAAAACCAGGTTCTTGTCACATGAGTAGGAAAGATTAGGTGGACAGACACACTGAAGGGTGAGAAGAGAATTTATTGGGTGAAAAGAAAAAAAAGTCTCAGCAAAGTAAGAGAGAGTCCTGCTAACAGGCCCTCCACCTCACAGATTGAATACCAGACCACCACACATTGCTGAAGAGACCAGCCTCTTCCCTGCTGCACAAAGCGTGAACTTCCCATGGCTACACCCTGTTCTCCCAGGACACAGGTGGGTCAGAGATTCTCTGGGGACCCTCTCCCTTATCTGCCTCCTTCATCTATCCCTGCCAGCTTCTGTCTGACTCAATCAGACATCTGAGGCCTCTAAACGGATCCAGTCCAGTTAACTGTTGGAACCAATCTGATCCTGGACTCAGTCTGATTCTGGACCCAGTCCAGTTTCTGTTGTGACTTCCAAACCCAGTTTAGATCCAATATTTGCTCAAACAAAGTCAGATAGCTCAAAATACAAATTCATAGAGCTTTTGAATCTGTGAGACAACTTACCTACAATCTCTAGTTGCTGTAAGAGAGCAATGGACATAATGGGCTTGGTATGTACCTCTTTTGATAACTCCATGTGCCTGGAAGTTGTTGGAAGTTCTACTTTGAATCCCACTTCTGACACCATCTGTCAAAACAAAAACTTTATGCAAATTAAATTTAACAGTGTCAACTAAGAAGAGACAAAAGACCAGATTGCAATGCAGTAACACAAGGCATTTGTTGGGGTCTTAGCAATTGCAATTGAAGAGACATAGATTTCGCTTAAAGCCAAATTGTATTCTGAGGAGATGAAGGGGAGTAGGGATTTTCAAAGGGATGCTGATGGTGATTACATGGTTGTTGTTTTAAAAGTTGTTTTGAAAGAATTATCATTGGTGGATGTGGCTGGCTTAGTACATGAGTCCATAGTTCATTGCTTGTTGCTATTTAGGAGTTGCTGCAGTAACAAAAGTCAGCTATTTTTCATGATATTCTGGGTGTGCGGGTTTGGCCCAATTCAAAGTTTCGAGGCGAATTTCTGTTTTTGCAAGGTGGAGATTGTGCAAATAGCCCTTCTTAGAATGGCTTCCTGATTCCACTTTAGACCTCTGAACCAGAGTAATTTTATTTTGTAGCTCATATTTCACAACTGAATTTGATTGAGCAAAGAATGATTTATGAATTGGGCAGCCCCCAGAACCAGAATAGGTTCAGAGTGATTTTGGGGCTGCTACATAGTCAGATAACCTTAATGGACAGAAAAAGAAAACTGATAGATAGAAAACAGAAGTAAGGTATATAAACAGTTGGACTGGCTATAGCTGGATGTTTGCCTTATTTAAACCAGGTTTGAACAGTTGGCTATCTGCAATTGCCTGAGACTGGGCTACTTGTTATGAGTATGTTACAATGTGTTTATACATCAAGTCAGATTACGGTTCACTATGTATGAAGAAACCTTTAGGCCACACTTAATACATGTAGGCAGGCAGCTTTAGGCAAAAGTTAATTTAACAAGATCTTGAAGGCAGAACTCCTTAAAAGGGTAGGTGTCAGGAAGATGAGCAAGTGGCTCCCAGGCCAAGGAAAGGATGTTGCATCAGATCTTTGGTGTTTCAGGGCATGAAAAGATACTCTGGCCAGTTCCTCGGGAAGCGACTGAGGGAAAGGAAAAAATCATCATTGCTATTGGCCCATAAAATGTAGAAATCTCAAGCTAGTCTGTCTGAAACCAGTGTCTAGGAGCTGGTGGGTAGCTTACTGAACACGAGCTTTTCTAATGCTAAACATGAGCCTGCACTGATGCCTGTGGTAGAAGCCAGAATAGAGGATACATACTGCCACCCTGTGCCTCTCGACCAGCTGGGTGATCCCTCAGCTCCACTACCACATCCCTCTAGAGCAGCTGCCATTCAGCAGCCAATACTTCTCCTCATGGTGACAGCTGAAGAGGACATAGCCTTATTCTCTTTCCAGCTAACTAAACTAAGGGGACTCTCCAATTTTAGCAGTGGTTTAAAATAGCTGTAGCGAGCTGAGGCCGTGCCACTGCACCTCCAGCCTGGGTGACAGAGGGAGACTCTGTCTCAAAAAAAAAAAAAAAAAAAAAAAAAGAAGGGTAAAAATGAAAAAAAAATCTGATGTAATCATATTAAAATGGCTTGCTTCATAATCAACTTTTTGGCTATGTCTATGTGATGTTTGATTTTTCTTTTAACTGATCTGACTGATTTCATTTAACAGAAACAGAGATGCATAATCTAGGGCATAATTTAGGCACAACGAGAGTCACCTATGCACAACCACTGAAGTAATTTTAGTAACTGTTGGTGGATTCCATATAAATGCAAGACACTCTCCTTAAGGAAACAGGAGATTCAAGGCTGGGGGAAAAGGGTTCGAAATATAGTAGAGTCACAACACACGTGGGCTCACACATACACAAAGCAGCATATTACAATGGTAAAGGAAAAGAAGAAAAGCTGCAAATAGTCAAGCCATCCAATCTTTAGGCTCTTCAAGAGACTTCTTAAATCACATTTCACCATTGACTAATGGTCCAATTTTGGTCAGATTGGATTTCAAGGCTGCTTTAATAACCTGCCTTGAGCCATTACTTCTGCAGTTGGATGACTTGCATCTTGTAGACATGGCCTTTGCCTCTGAATGTGCACTCAGAACTGCATCAGAATCAAATGCTGTTAAAAAGAATCGATATTTCTGAGTTGGGTTATGGAGGAAAAAACAAGGCTGGAAACTGCATGCTTTCCTATCTTGTTCCACTGACCAAGACATCTTCCTTAAACATGCTTATCTTATAAATACATTTTGGTAGATTTCACCATTTTCAATATCACCGAGGAAGATTAAAAGCCTCTAGCATATATCTAAACTCTGAGTTTGAAGTGTAAATACAAAAACGACTATACTGAAAGAATTAATTTGCCGAGGAATGCACTGTTACTTTGAGGGTCTAACTCTCTGAACACGTGTCAGAGTTCCTAAGGTGACCTGTACTTTAATGTAATATGGAAATGAGGACAAATGACAACAGTTTGGCTCCATTTATTTTTCTAATTCTGTGGGACTTAATTTCACACAGGACAAGCTAACGAATTTTTCCCAAGAGAAGTTGTAAGGGAAGTGAGTTGCTCCTGGGGTTATAGACCGTGGCTCCACAGAAAATGTTGAGCTTCATGTTTCTCACATCATCCATAGTTCGTCCTAGGACACATAACTGATAGTTAATCCTGGAGGATTCAAGATATGCCTGGTTCATTTCAGACTCCAAAGAGTCAACAACAACAACAGAAAGGTGGCTTTCAATTGAGTACACTCTTGTTTCCTAGCAACAAAGGCCACAGGAAGTTGAGGCCCATTAAGATGAAGAAGAAAACACAAAGCTGTTATTGCTCCGAGGCACTGAAATACCTCTTTAGACCACTGAACTTTCAATTAGTCTGTTTTATAAATTAATCATTGCTTTCATTGAAATTGTGTGTGTGTGTGTATATATACATATATAAAAGAAACAAGAAGGAAATCATAGTTCTATGTCATAAAGCAGCAGCACTGTAGGCTGAATTACAATCTTCATCTAGATTGAAGATTCTGAGAAATATCTGTGTATATTTAAATATCTTTTTGACAATGGTAGACCTCCTTTTGAGTCAACAATATAGGAGTCTTTGCTCTAAAAATGAGAACTTTTTAGTATGTCTAATTTTCTCATGAATGGCAAATTAGCAAATAAAATATTTGGGTGCTTAATCTCTAATCTGCATAATAATAAATACTCTCAAAACAAAATCATCTATTTTATATTCTTTGTAGAAAACAATTATATACAGATTTTGGAGGAAATGTAATTCTCTACATTGAGAAAGCCAATATTTACCTTCCAATTCTTAAAGAGCTGTGAATAATAATTCATCATCCTCCTCCAGTTCTGAGCTTTTTCTCCAAGTAAATTTAGGCAAAGATCTGGAAGCCCTCATTTTTCATGCTCATGCTGAAAAGATGTGGGCTCTTAGAACTTTGGCATTAGCTCATTTCATGTTGGGGGAAGATGAAAAATGAGGAGCAGGAGCAGGAGAAAGAGGAGCAGAGGGAGGAGGAAAAAAGAAGAAAGGAGAGGAGGAGAAAAGAGGAAAGGAAGAGAAAATGATTTCTGTCTTAGTTTAATTTAAAGTAATTGTAGACTTGTGGGCACAAGTAACCAGCATCAGCCATAGTATTAATACTTATGATAAGGGCAACCATGTCATGGTTTCTTATTATGTGGATACCTTGGGCTAAGAGCTTTATATTCATCACCTCGTTTAATCCTCACAACAATCCATGAGGTAGATTCTGTTATGATATCTGCTTGCAGAAGATAGAGCTGATGCTCAGGGTTAAATGACTTGCTTTAAGTTATCCAGCTGCCAAGTGGAAGAGCCCAATCTGGAGTCCTTCCCTGAGGGTTAAAAAAAACTGTGGGTTGCCATCTGTTCACACTGTGCTAATCATGTTTACTGGGTTATCTAATTTATTCCTAAAAACATGAAACCGAACGGCCGTCTCAGGGCCGAGTTAATGCTCCTTATCGCTATCCTACTGTCCTCCTGTAAGGGTCCTCTTCCAAAAATGGTTTGCGGATTTGCTTAGGAGGCCCTTAGAGCCCCAGAGAAGATGCTTCATGGATTCCACAAACAATGGTGTATTTTCAGCCTAACTGTGAAAATGTAAATTGCCTAAGAATTCCATTCACTTGTTTCCATTTTAAATATTGAGATTCCATGTCAGATTTTATTTGAAAGGGAAAAGAACAAACACAAAGCAGAACACTACGCTGCAATTTGAATTCATGCCCTGCATCATGCTGTTATATTGGCTGTGTCTGTGTGGCTCTTCCTCCTCTAGATGTAGTTGAACGCTTTCTCTTAATTTTTTTGGTTTACTTATAATCCAGATATTTTGGGCATGATTGAGACGATTTCCTCAAATGCAGCCTTTCTTTCCTAAATGACTCAATACTCTTCAAAAGAAAGCAATGCAAAGGCATATCTGTGAGGAATGACTAGACAAGAAAGTCACTGTGAAGCGAGGAATTAAATAACTTTGCCAGAGAATGCGGTATCATTGTTATTCCTTTGAACACCCATATATTCTGCATTGATAGGCTCACTCTGAAGAGGGAGGCAAATCTTCCTTTCCTGAGCCTCCATGTCTTCAACGGTAAAACAAATATAACACTAACTTTTCAGATGTTACCAAGTTTGATGAAATAAAACATGTATCTTGATATAAATTTGCAACCTCAAATTCTGTGGAAGAAATTGATTGACTTAAAACTGACTCCAAGTCTTCACCTACAGAGGGGTGTGAAATGTAAGTTCGGTCACTCTTGGAGATTTCTCCCCTCTTCTCTCCTCTCATCTACAAAATTCTACAGAACTCTCAGAGCCCTGCATGTGTCAAAATATCAGAGATAACTCCAGGCATCTGCCCACTCTGGGTTCCAAGGAGACATTCACTGTCGCTGCAGGTTCTGTGGCTCTGCTCTTTCTTGCTGGTCTTGGGGAACAGGTCTCTACAGAGAGTAGGAGTCCTATGTCTGAGGTCCATCCTTGTATATCTCCTTGGAGTCAAAACCAATTCCTGAGGCTGCCTATGCAGAGGGAACCACAATTGCTGGGCACTGACCTAGACAGCTTCCTAGCCTGGAGGGAGGTGTTGGAGGACAGTGAGCCTCATCTCTTCAAGGATTTTAGGCTTTTATAAAAATGAGGAAGAGCAGTTCCTGCTTCTGCCTGCCACAAAGCTCCCCTGGGCAAAGAGAACAAAATCCCTGCTAACTGCTAGAAAAGGGGCAGGGCAGGTAAAATTATAGACAGCAAAACATAAATTAGTGCTTCAATGAAATGCTCTGCCCCACATATATGTAAACCATGTAGTTCAGGAACTATCACAACAGGAGGAGCCCAAGAAGAGCCCCTGATTTCACTCAGCTATGGAGAGAGTCAATGTCTCTCGTCATTGATTTTCAAAATTCTGTTTGGTTTGGCAACACAGCTTCTCTCTTAAGGAAAGCTTATATAGAAGTCTCATTTGTTTAAAAAGAAAGAACAAAAGGACAGAGCTGCTGTCCTGGTGACCTACCTGTTTCCTTACCACAAGAAACTCTAGAGCACAAAATCGGTGTGGCACTTTGAAAGTCAACGTCCTAAGTTAGGGACAGCTTGTTTTAGCTCAGCAACTACATCCCTACAGTACCAATTATAACACAGCTCTCCCAGAAAATCATGCTGAATAAAAGGCTGTCACCATATTCCACTGGATTTAAGATCTATTGTAACATATACCATTATATTGTGTATCACCAGGAGATTAAACAGTGTGGCCAAACAAATTATGACATGACACTGATTATAAACCATGTGCATATTTGAGATGTGTGAAAAAAATGTGATTTAGAGTAGATAAAGTTCAATAATAAGATGACTATATAAGCAGTGATGAAAAATGCGATCCAAAGAAAGCAAAGTACTTAAGGAACATTGTTTGGATTTTTCTGTTTCAATTGGCAATCCTCTCCACGCTTTGACAACACCTTTTTGTAACTATTGAAGAAAGAAATGAAAAGAGTATGGGAGATTGCAGAAAGCTTGAAAAATTCATTTAGTTTAGGCAGACAGTCCATTTAAAAATGCCATCTCTAATAATTCAGGGCAAGAACAATGGAATTATTTTCAGTTACTAAGTTCTTGATACTGTATCCAATATTACACAAATAACTAGAGCACCATTAAAATGCGACTCAAGAAAATTAATTATAAATTGTTCATTTAATATCTATGGGAACCTTTGTACATTTGAAGAGCAAGATCATCTAAGTTACTTTGGGAATAGATATTATAAAGCCTCCTTTTTTAAGAATTAATTTTGAAAACTGAAACATTGCTGCATGCATTACAAATCTTCATTAAACACACCCTTAAATTAATAGGATCTGCTCTGACTACATGTTTATATTATGTTTCATCTCTATGAACTTAAAAGGTAATATTTTTTTCCCTTCAGAATCCAGATTTAGGAACTGTGGAAATAGCACAAGGAGAGGAAAGTGTAAAAGTCAACTGCTTCTCCCTAAATGTCCATCCCATCCATCATTTCCCACTGCCAGGTTGAGAGCAGAGGGTGTGGTGTTGAGGTCTGGGGCTCATTTGAAGGAGTGGAGGGAACAAAGGCGGAAACAGAGGAGTGGAGGAAACAGAGGTGCAAGAATTCAACCAACTTGCAGTTCAAGTCAATCTACTACCTACAGTAATATACTGTGGTTGAAGCAAGGCCTTGGCAATGTAGAAATACATGAAAACCACCCGAATTAAAACAAGCAAAGTCTATTTGTTTAGGGCCTGCTATGTCAATGGAGTTAGCCATCGCTACTTGTGTTTGGCAGAGACTCAAAGTAAGACAGGGGAGTGGAAAAGTTTTATAATGAGAGAAAAGGGAAGACTTCAGGAATGCCATGATTGGAGGTTGTTGGCATGGGGAAGCTTGTAGGTGGGCTAACTAGAAGAAGAGCATCCTACGTGATTGATTAGGAGAGTATATTTGGCTTCCTCCTGTTGGTCATAAATTGGAAACTGACAGCTTCCCTAATTCGGGGGAGCAAAAATTAGGGAAGCTGTCAATTAATGATCAAGTCCTGGTCATTTTGGACAGATGGCTACAGTGGTTGCTGTTTGGCTTCTGGACTGGTGGCTGCAGATTGCAGGTCAGTGTTCTATTTTTTTTTGAGATGGAGTCTCGCTCTGTTGCCCAGGCTAGAGTGCAGTGGCACAATCTCGGCTCACTGCAACCACCGCCTCCCGGGTTCAAGCGATTTTCCTGCCTCAGCCTCCCAAGTAACTGGGATTACAGGCACCTGCCACCGCACCTGGCTAATTTTTGTATTTTTAGTAGAGATGGGGTTTCACCATCTTGGCCAGTCTGGTCTCGAACTCCTGACCTTGTGATCCACCCATGTTGCGGGAAATCAGGGACCCCAAACGGAGGGACCGGCTGAGGCCATGGCAGAAGAACATGGATTGTGAAGATTTTATGGACATTTATTAGTTCCCCAAATTAATACTTTTGTAATTTCTTATGCCTGTCTTTACTGCAATCTCTAAACATAAATTGTAAAGATGTCATGGACACTTATCACTTCCCCAGTCAATACCCTTGTGATTTCCTATGTCTGTCTTTAATTTCATCTCTTAATCCTGTCAGTTGAGGAGGATGTATATCATCTCAGAACCCTTGCATTAACTACACAAATTGTACAGCATGTGTGTTTGAGCAATATGAAATGTGGGCACCCTGAAAAAAGAACAGGATAACAGCAATTGTTCAGGGAATAAGAGAGATAACCTTAAACTCTGACTGCTGGTGAGCTGGGCAGATCAGAGCCATATTTCTCTTCTTTCAAAAGCAAATGAGAGAAATATCGCTGAATTCTTTTTCTCAGCATGGGATATCCCTGAGAAAGAGAATGAGCACCTAGGGGTACGTCTCTGAACTGACCCCACTGCCCGCCCCGGGGCGTACCTGTCTCTTATGGTTGAGACTGTAGGGCTGAAATAAACTCCAGTCTCCCATAGCGCTCCCAGGCCTTATTAGGAAGAGGAAATTCCCGGCTAATAAATTTTGGTCAGACCAGTTGATCTCAAAAAGCTGTCTCCTGATAAGATGTTATCAGTGACAATGGTGCCCGAAACTTCATTAGCAATTTTAATTTTGCCTCGGTCCTGTGGTCCTGTGATCTCGCCCTGCCTCCACTTGCCTTGTGATATTCTATTACCCTGTTAAGTACTTGATGTCTGTCACCCACACCTATTCGCACACTCCCTCCCCTTTTGAAAATCCCTAATAAAAACTTGCTGGTTTTTGTGGCTTGTGGGGCATCACGGATCCTACCAATGTTTGATGTGTCCCCCGGACACCCAGCTTTAAAATTTCTCTCTTTTGTACTCTGTCCTTTTATTTCTCAAGCCAGCCAATGCTTAGGAAAATAGAAAAGAACCTACGAGATTTTCAGGGCAGGTCCCCCAAAACCCCCTCCTTGGCCTCCCAAAGTGCTTGGATCACAGGCGTGAGCCATGGCACCTGGCCTCTATTTTTATATATGGTTTGGCCAGCATCTATTTGTATTCAGTCTCTCAGCAGGTAGCCTGAAGGCCCAACAGACAAAGTCATCCTGGCCACAACTTGAGTTTTTCACATTTTAAGCTTTTAAAAATTAACAAAGCAGTTCATTCTCTTTAAAACAAATTCAAATTACACACAGGTAAAAATAAAGAAAAAAGTGAAAGAACTCTTTTCCTTAACAGGATTCCCTAGAAGTCAGTTCTTCTGACAAAGCAGGTGGATCAAATCATGAATTTTAGAAATAAAACATCTACTTGTGTGAACAAGGCATGAGGCAGGTGGAGAAAAAGGCCCGAGTATTAGCCAGAGTTCTTGGTTTTCAAGCAACAGAATCTGACCCAGGTAGAAAGAGTCCTTTTTTAAAGTGTTGATATGGTTTGGATCTGTCTCTCAGCCCAAATCTCGTTTTCAATTATAATCCCCAATGTTGGAGGCAGGGCCTGGTGGGATGTGATTGGATGGTGGAGGTGGATTTCTCATCAATGGCCTAGCGCCATCTGCTTGGTGCTGTTCTTGTGATAGTGAGTGAGCTCTCATGGGATCTGGTTGTTAAAAAGTGTGTAGCACATCCCCCTCACTCTCTCTTGTTCCTGCTCCTGCCATGTAAGATGCTTTCCTCCCACTTTGCCTTCCACCATGATTGGAAGCTTCCTGAGGCCCCGCCTAGAAGCAGATCCTGCTACACTTCCTGTACAGACTGCAGAACTGTGAACCAATTGAACCTCTTTTCTTTATAAATTAACAAGTAGAGACGAATTAATTGTCTCTACAGCAATGTGGGAATGAACTAACACAAATATTTATTTGGTAACTCATAGAATCATTGAAGGGCTCGGCTGCTGGACTTGAGATAAACTTTTAAAAACAACTCCTTTAGTGCTATGGTCTGAATGTGTCCCCCACAATTCATCTGCTGAAACCTAATGCAAATATGATAGTATTAACAGGTGGGCCTTGAGGAGGTGATTGTCATGAGGGCAATCAGGATGGAATTAGGGCTCTTCTAAAATGGCTTGAGGGGGTGGGTTCACACTCTTCTGCTCTTTCGCCATGTGAGGACACAGTGTTTGTCCCCTTTTGCCCTTCTATCCCTTCAACCATGTAAGGGCACTAAGACGGCACCATCTACGAGGAACTGGCTTTCACCAGACAACAAACCTGGCAGTAACTTTACTTGGACTTCCTAGCCTCCAGAACTGTGAGAAATAAATTTCTGCTTATTATAAATTACCCAGTCTCATGCATTTTATTATGGCAGCACAAATGGACTAAGACACCAAGCTGTGCAGCAGAGCTGGTCGAACAAGAAAACTACTACCACAGTTCTTGAGCCTTAGATGCTGGAATCTCTATTACTTCCACTTCTGTACCTGACAGGACTTAGTGCACTTGCTTCTCCTAGCATCACCAATGCCACCTCTGGACCAGGCACTGCTTTGTAGCCTCAGCCACAAACCTGGAAAGAAATAAGACAGATTCTCCATGGCATCTGCTTCCTCACCATTGCTGCTTCAGATTCAAAGCTTTCATCTATCTGGCAGGTAGAGCAAGCCTGGGTCAGATGAGCCATAAGGTAAGCAGGGAAGATGAGTTATATACTTTAGAAAGGCAAGATTCATAAGGCAGTAATTTCAAAAGCACTGAGTATTTTTTTAAATTAAAAAAAAAGAAGAGACAAAAATATAGTAAATGCTCACTTCTGAGCAGGACCCAACACTCTGATCCTTAATGCATTAGATAATGGGTGGCTTAGAGACAGACAATAGAATTGTGAAGGTCTTTTTGAAGGTCTTAGATGTCTGAAGGTGTCATCTGGCCATCTTTTGAAGAAACATGTAATTGTTCCTCTGTAGAAGGCTTTGTCTTAAACCATAATCTCATATGAGTTAGGGAATAAATTGAGATGTGCTGTCTGGCCATCCATTCTCTGGGTTCAAGCACAGATTAAATGCATCAGCTATTAGAACTTTAAGACTCTATTCCAAATTTTCTCTGTGTCATATATTATATATTTCAATTATCTTACCTTTATTTTCCCCTTTATATTTATTTGCCACATTTAATTTTATATCCTGTTGCAATATACATATTTCTGTCCTTATTGTTTCAAATACTTTTTAGAGTAAAGAGTTGCTATGGCATAAACAAGTAAACTAATAAGTAATTTGATTCAGTTCAAAATTCCCTTTCTCAGGCATGGCTTGAAACCTTTGTGTATGCTAACTTCTGCATGTGCAGAAGTTAACAGATATCTCAGTTATATCAGCACGCTTATGAATAATCAAATCATTCTCATCATGCCTGGGGGATGATATGTTTTAAAACACTTATTTTTATCTTCCCCAGTTGGAAAAGTAATGACAATAACTGCCAATTACAAAACACATTACATGCCAAGCACTGTGCTAAGTGCTCTATGGAGATGATCTTGTTTAATTTTTATAGCAATTTTAGAAGGTGAGTACTACTATTATTGCTACTTTGTTGATGAGTAAGCCAAGGCTCAGAAAGGTGAAATAACATCCACAGTTTCAGAGATATTAAGGGTAAGGGTGGTGTGTAACCAATTTCAATAGTTGACAATCACAGCAGAACCACCAAGATGAGATGGCCAAGATGAGGAGGAAGAGTCAGGGCCTGTGGTCTTTTTCTATATCTTAGCAACTCTCTCCAGCTGCAAGGGAACATTACATAGAGATATTGAGATAGAATCTGTCATAGAAGAATCTTTTGGTTGTGCTGTGTAATCATAAAACTGCTTCAGACAGTAAAGGGATAGGCTTTGATGCTTCAAAGGGAATTTGAAAGGATATTCATTCTCATCCAGAAAACAGTATGACTAACACTATTCCACACATGAGTACTCACAGCTGTACTTCACTTCTGGCCATGACAGTGTAGAGGCTATCAGAATAAACTTCTTGTGGATGAATAATTGAAATGCCAAACAAACAAACAAACAAACAGCTTTTTGAAGGCAAAGGAGAGTCAACAAGTCAGCCAGCACTTGAGGGCCAAGATTCTGGAGAAAAGGGAAATGCATAGGAGTGACCCCTCCCTTTGCCTTGCTTTTCCTTTCTGAGGTATCTGCTGATGGTTGGCATGGGGCATGGAGCCCAACAGGTGTCACCTAGAGCTTATGGCAGGTGCTCTAGAATGGTGAGATGAAATTAGGGTTTAGAGTTATCAGGCTGCAAGGATTTGAAGGGCCAAGATCCCCAAGAAAGAACTGCAGAGAAGACATTGCATGCCCAACATCCTCTTGAAGTATTTATCTGTTTCTAAATTGCACATGCACAGGGATGAGGGGTTCCAGATAAAATACAGAACGCCCAGATAAATTAGAACTTCAGGTACACCAGAAATAACTTTTTAGTGTAAGAATGTGCCAATATAAATGAAAATATGGAGAATTTTATCAGGTCCCTGGAGTCTATACAAAATAATCAAATGGAAATTCCAGAATTAAAAAATATAATGTATGCAATGAATTCAATAGATGGGTTTAAGCAGTTTAGACAGAGAAGAGAAAGGATTAAGTAAATGAGAAAGATCGGTAGAAAATTTCCAGATCAAAGAGAGAGAAGAAAATATAAAACACAATGAAAAGGAGAAACAAATTTCTGTTGTTTACAAGTCACTCAGCCCATGGTATTCTATTATAGCAGCCACAATGGACTAAGACATTTAGATTTGTCAGTTCACAAATCTTTCTTCAACTATGCCTAATTTGATGTTTAACCCATTACTTGAATTTATAATTATTTTGCTATTACCTTTTAAAAGGGCTTTATGTATATTTGATTCTTTTTCATTTGTATTTTACTTTTTATAGTATTTGTTTCCCGGGCCATATAAGTTCAATGCATTCTGTTATTTTTTTGAGACATATTTAAAATTCTTATTTTACATTCTTTGCCTAGTATTTCTGCTATTGTTAGATCTTCTGGGTCTGGTTCTCCTGTCTATTGTTTCTGCTGATTCTGACTTACAGCGGCTCGTTTCTTTATGTGTTTTGTTATTTTTTATGTGTGCTTATGTGAGCTTAAGCTATTTGGAGCTTTCTCTGTGGGAAATTTTTGAGATCAAATTTGAAGGTGAGTTTCCTTAGAAATCATTTTTATTTGCTTTTGACAGGCATCTGGGAATTCTTCCTGGGACTGCTTTAAACAAAATTATTGGCTTGGGTTTTGGGGAGATACAAAGACATTATGAATTCCAGCCCAAAATTTATTTGAGGATAGAGTTATGATTATAAATCTTCAAGAGGTATTATTAACTGCCTCTATCCCCAAGCCAAGACTATCTTGTTTTGTGAATTTTTATCTTTTCTAGTCCATTCACCAAGGTTAACATTTTTGAGGGATACCTATTTTATGGGAGTGACTTCTCATTTTGTGCAGGCTCTAGGCTTTGCTTTCTGTCTCCTGTGCAAAGTCAACTAAAACTGAAGATCCAGGCCACTAGACATTAATGGATTCCCTCAGGGAGTGTCTCTGGTATCAGCTTGGTGACTTGTCTGGAGTTGTGCTTTGCATCAGTTTGGCTTTTCCTTAACTTTCTAGTGCATTTATAATATGCTTTTATATTTCATTCAGCACTAAAAATTCGTGCCTGGAGGTTTTTTTTTTTTTTTTTTTTTTTTTTTTGTAATATCCAGTCTGCCATAGCAGAGGAAACATTAATATTACCAGGCTATGTTTCAAAACATTGATTTTATTATTATTTAGGTATGGCAAGGCTAACAGATCAAGAGACCATTAACTGACCATTAATAAGATATTATTAATGACCACCATTAATAAGATAGTGTGTTATACTCACAGATCCTAAGAGGAGGGAGCACTCCATGCCACAGAAATGTGGGGGAGCACATGGAGAAGTGCTGGGGTTGGTCATGAGGCAGAGGAAGAGAGGGAAATGGTGGTAAGAGCCTTTATTGTGGTTTTCATGGTAAGGAATGGGAATGGGAGAGGCAGGTTTTGTTAGGACTGGCTAGTTTGAATAATTTCAGTGGGCTTTGGAATGTCAGAGCTGCTCCTAATAGTTTAGTACCTGGCCCTGAGATGATTAGGGGAGGAAAATAGTGGCCTGTAAGAGCTCACTAGAGAAAATGTTTGAAGACATTGGTTCTAGAGTGGTCGGTTTGCATATGACAAGCATAATGACAGGTTAGTTTTTTGCTATCTCTAGAAATTAGCTAGCCCTAGGAGGTACAGTCCCTCCAGGGTTAACAAGGCTCTAAGATGTCAAAGCACTAAAAATACATAATAATAAAAAAGTGATGAGTACAGATTAATAAAAATGTATTAGTAAATAAGGTGTCATGTGTTTTTAAAATAATAGTTACCTATGTTTATTTCTATTTTACCTTCTAGATAGTTAAATGAGGACAAGAATTATGTATATCATAGTCTCTAAGAAATTGAGATGAAACTCATCTATGACCAATTTTTCCAACTTCATTTAGTGCCGATTCTACCTCTATTGAAATCATGAGCCACAATTTTAAGAAACCATTAGCACTAAGACCACAAAATACTTATGAATAAAATTTATTGCATACTTTCAAATACCTTAGTTAACTAACTTTCTTATATGTCCATTTTTCCATTAATCTCTTCTGTTTCCAGTCACCATTATTAAAATCTCTCTTGGCTAGGCATAGTGGCTCATGCCTGTAATCCCAGCACTTTGGGAGGCCAAGGGGGGGCAATTCACCTGAAGTCAGGAGTTCGAGACCAGCCTGGACAATATGGTGAAACCCCGTCTCTACGAAAAATACAAAAATTAGCTGGGCATGGGGCGGCCGCCTGTAATCCCAGCTACTTGGGAGGCTGAAGTAGGAGAATCACTTGAACCTGGGAGGCAGAGTTTGCAGTGAGCCGAGATCGTGCCATTGCACTCCAGCCTGGGCGACAATAGTGAAACTCCATCTAAAAAAAAATCAAAACAACAACAACAACAAAACTTTCTTAAATTTAAAACAAAAAATTTAAAACACAATTAAGATGTGTAATAACATATGGTCTCTATTGAGAATTTATCTGCAGGTATAGGTGATTATAACTTTAAATAATTCATGTAGTGGAACAAAGCAACTTTCTTCTTGGTCTTCTACTTCAATCAAATGACAGCTGAGTTTAATTATGAAGTTGAGTAAGTACTCTATTCCAGTCACATGTCAGATTTCCCTTCCACTGCATTTCTCCTGAGCAATGTCTTAGAAAAGCATTCTTGGAAGGCATGTTCTTTCTCATGTCTAGATTTAATCCATCCTAAGGATAAAAACAGCTTCTCTACGATTCTACTGGCTCTGCAAGGCACTGTGCCAAGTTCTCTGTCATCACTCAAGCAATCATTATGCAAATTTACATGCAGTCTAAGCGTGAGTCCTATTTGAGGACAGTCTCCACAAAAATGATGGAGACAATATTTCTGAATCCATAGAGGCATAACTTTAGAATCCAAAAATCAAGACCACGATTCCCATGCTTGCCTAAGTGCTTATGCCCAGTCAAATGCAATTTAACACAAAAGCCAGGACTGCTAATGTCATCGAAGTACCCTCCTTCTCTTTCTTCACCCAGTGTGCTTTTGAAGTTATAAACATTAATGTGGAAAAGGGTGAGCGGGACTTCATGTGCGTGGTAAAGCATCTTGGTGCTTTATTTGTACCTGATGCCAACAAACAGTCCCTTTCCATCTGCAAGTGGATATTTCCCAAAGCAGAGAAACATCTTACTAATGCTCGATTCTTCAGGGATATAGGCTCTCTCTCTCCTTTGTTTAAGGCAACACAGAGCAATGAGTGTTTGAACTGGCTCTATTTATCTACTCTCTGATAGTTTTATTACAGGCACCCTGTGACAGAGGGAAGCTTTCAGCCAAATGACTTCACAGAACAGATATTCAGGGAAGGCTATTCAGACGCATGTAGTTAAAACATTTCCTGAACAAAAGCCAAGGAATATTTTCTTATTTTCCCCTCCAGTACTGACCTGAATGTGCTACAAGCTGCCATAAAAAATGGAAGCAGTTGCATGACTTTGCTTTGGTCTAGCCTGTATTACGTCGAGAAGTGCGTGGGTGGGAATGAAGAGGTAAAACTATTATTATTATTATTATTATTATTTTTTTTTTTTTTTTGAGATAGAGTCTTGCTCTGCTGCCCAGGTCGGAGTGCAGTGGTGCCATCTCTGCTCACTGCAGCCTTGACTTCCCAGGCTCAAGTGATCCTCCCACCCCAGCCTTCAAGGTAGCTGGGACTACAGCTGTGTGCTGCCATGCCCTGCTAGTTTTTTGGCATTTTTTGTAGAGGTGGGGTTTCATCATGCTGCTCAGGCTGGTTTTGAACTCCTGAGCTCAAGCGATCCACCCACCTCAGCCTCCCAAAGTGTTGGGATTACAGGTGTGAGCCACCACACCCAGCTAGGGGTGTCAACTTTAAGCAGGAGAAAGCATGGCTTGAACTATGATCTATCTAGGAACCAAGGACTTCCAAAAATGTTTTTTGGATAGTTTTGATGGCACTCATTTGTTGAATGCTAGCTTTTCTTAAAAAAAAAAAAAGTCATCTGATAATACATATTATAGTTTTTCACAGTGAACAATCTCATTTTTTTGTTGTACTCCCCATTAGCAATAAGTTGCTGAGCACCTGCCTCCAGTATAAGCACATTTAATATATATTTTCACCATAAAACATTTAAATGATGAAATAAAGTTAAAATAACCAATATTTAAAATTCTTCCTAATTGCAATGGTTTTTATTAACCTACTCTTCAAAGTATTAAAACATCAAAATGGCAATAAAGTATGTTGGTACTCATTTTGTATATTATAAAAATAGGCATGTTAATTTAGATATTTTCTTAATTCATATGTTCAGATTTCATAGTATAAAAAGTCAGTAAAGATAATATTCACCATATTGTAAACATACAAATATATAAATGTAGTACAAAAGCAACAAGTTAAAGCAAATTTCTTAAAAGTGAAATAAAAAACATACATTATTCAAACAAATTTACAGATAAAATAAAGCATTATTTAAAAAGAATAAAGCACACATTAAATGCAAACTGATACAACACATTATGAACACTGAAAATGAAATATATTTGAATTTTTAGAATGTAATCTTGTAAAGTTTTAATTGTTAGAACAGATTTATTTCTGTTTCTGGAAAAGCCTTAAGACTCTAGTTGGGAAATTATAAGGAGAGAGTTATAAACTGACTTGAAGTGTTTTCCTTCAACTCTTTCCTTCTCAAATAATCCCTTTGTTGTTTTATTATTTTGAGGACATAGTAAACTATTTTTCTCCAAGAACCATAATTTTTCAAATGATGGTAAACTATACTTTTGTTTTAAAGAAATAATTTCAGGTTTATCTTAGTTTCATCATGCAGATTGACTTTCCAATGGATATTGTGTTTCTCATATCAGACTCAGTACTGTCAATTCTTTTTCCACTTGTTTGGAAAGTCTTTGAACTAGAAAAAAAATTATTTCAATATGAACTTTGGTCAATTACTATTTTCTTCTTTCTCAAGAGTTTTGAATATACTGAAGAACCCTTTTAAAACAACTATATCTTTTTTTTGCTCTGAAATTTTAATATAGTTTATAACTCTCAGGAATAGCTAAAGTCAGAAATAATTCAGATATTAAGTTTTTCAATATAAAAAGAGTTATATCAACACCTCATCCCCCAAAATTCTAGTGTTTTAGTACTTGAGAAAAACACTGTATAACCAGAATACTTGAGCAAGAAAACTTGCGTGGCAACATGCTTAGGGAAAAATTCACCATTAATATCAGTGAAATATATATCTATATATAGTGACTTTAACAATAGGATTCGGTCATGATTGACTGTGGGTGTAAAAAGACTCAGATCAAGGATAGAAATCCAGAGATGCAGGTTTCTTGTTTATGCTTAGATTTTTCATATCTTTAATCCAGAGATTTTTTAGAGCAGGAATCTTTCTAAGCCAGTGTTCTATTTTGTGAGAGATGATTTAGTTACAGCCAGATAACAGAATCTCAAACTCACCAAACTAAGTTGTAAAAACTGAAAGCCAACGCATTGAGGGCATCGGTCAACTTCCTTGTCGTTTGAAGTCTCCCTCTTCCCGTAGGATCCCTAGAGCACTACAAGTGACATGTAGCTGGTTAGGTTGATGTGTCAATGAATATGAAATACTGGTAAAGCTTCGCTTCCTTTTTGTTTTAGGTCAGAAGTAAATGGAAGTTAAATTTCTAATATTTCCTTCTGTTCTTTTAATATATTATTTTGCATATTCCATGGAGTGCAAGTTCCCTATCATTGTAGGAGAGACAGAATGAGTCACGTGTCTATCCTACTCATATGGGCAGGTACAACACAGAGCATAGGGACCCAGATGTGGAGAGGATTTAGGAATCATATAGGTGGGGGTGGAGTGAGAGAGGAGCTGTGGGCACCAAGGTGGATTCAAGAGCAAGGTGTGCTTACAGTTTAATTTATTTCATGCTCTCCTGCCAGTGTCATTAACTGTACCTTTGTAAATACAAAGGGCCACAGCCCAGCAAAGCACTTGGGCATTCAATCATAAGTTATTAAATTTAATTGAATTAAAGAGTTGGAACCATTACGTGACTAATTTAAGGCCCCAGGCTGGGTACATTCAACAGACAGCCAACATTTGGCAAGGGCTAAATTGATGCCTGCAGAGGTGGTGGCACTGCCCTAGTTCAGGGATTCAAAATTTCTCATTATTTGACAGGGAAGTGTAGGAGGAGGAAAAGTTAGAAATGGCTCCACTGAGGAACTAGATTCTAAGATGGAGTATAAGAACTGATAGAGGATTTTTGTTTCTTTTCTTTTAAATTGGCCTTTTAAAAAATATAAAGTCAAAAATATAACTGCAGCAAATTTAGAAAATGCAGACAAGCCTTCCCAAAAAGAAAACAAAACGAAAAAGAATAAAAACAAAAAAGAAATCACTCATGATTGCACTAACCAAAGACAACGTTAACTAAGCTTTGATGAGTATTAATTTAGCTGTGTGTGTGTTAAGAAAGCAATTATTTATACACATGAACACCCCCCAAATTCACTCCACCCCAGGATTGAGGGTAAAATCCTTCTAATTTAAGAGCCTTTTTGATTGCCAGCATCATCATGTGATGGTAAAATAATGAAGATAATGGTCAAATAATTGAAGATACAATGTCCAGATAATTGAAGATAATTTTAAGAGTTGGTGGAGGAAAAATCAGATTGAAGGAGTCAAGGCAGAGCCAACTTAAATTGCTTTGTACAAGGGAACTAAGCAGTTCGGGGAGATTGTTCCCCTCTAGTTGCCACCACTGCTGTATGGAGGGCGCCACAGCTATTCCCCAAAACTCCCTTGCAGCTCCTGGGGCTCCATGGGTGCTGCCGGTTCCTGTCCTGCACATGACCACTGCTGCTGCTCCTCTGGGTAAAACCGGGCCTCCTGGGGACTGACTCTGCTGCATGGGGCTCCGTGACAAAGGCCTTGGAACGCTCTGTGCAGCATTGGAACTGTCTCATGTAGTTGAGAGCACGGCTCTCTGCTGTGATTTACTGTCTGTCAGATAGGTGCCAGCAATGTCACTGGAGCACCTGCTGTTTTATACATCTTACTTACAGCTGTTTTGCTCTTTAAAAGATTCATATCTTCACCCAGGGAAAGTGGAACAGGAGGATGAATCCGAGGGACAAACTCCATTGTGCAGAAAGTCTCATCTCTCCACTAAGGCTTTGTTGCTGGTGCTGCAAAGGTCCTTTCCATATTGGCAGGAACTCTTTAGAGAAAATCATCAGCCCTGCTGAAGACTTCTCCCAAATACATCTTGGTATATATTTGCCCAGAAGTACATGCAATTTTAGTTTTGGGGATTTTTTTTTTTCTCACACCAGGAGGGACCTTAGCTTTCAGACAAATAGGCTTCTAATAGTCGTGCTACACTCACATCTTTGTGCCAAAAACACCCAGACATGTCAGAATTCTCCTAACCTATTCTTGATTTATTCATTTCTGACCAGGGCTCAGAAAAGCCCCAAATCCCAGTATTATAAACTACAAAGCAAGATTCAATATCTGAACCCAAACTATATGGAGTGATAGTTTCTAGCAGCTTAGGAAAAGCCATGAATGTCATATTGCAGTGTCTGGACATAATTACATAGACAGTAAAAGCCTTAGGTAGAAGTGTGCACCTGCGCGTGTGTGTGTGTGTGTGTACAAGTGGACTTATGTTTTAAGCAAAACATAGTCACTCATCTTTAGGAGCTTGTACTTTTTTTCAGTCTGCTTTATATGCCCAGCCAATACATCAATGTTCATGGTCAGATTCATTTGTAAGGCTGAAATAAGCACTGGCTGGACAACTTTTAGAAGATTTAATAAATCATCTTGAAGAAAGCCAAAGCCCTTTGCATACTACTATACTATGTGGCTATATTCTCACCTGCCCAGCATTCCATCTTGGGCTGCAGGGGGGAATCAACTCTTTCCTATTCCATGCATTTAAGGAATCAGGAGTTCGCCCAGTTATTGTTCCTGGTCTGTGTCTCAGGCTTAACCAATCAGGGTACTGCAACCTCCTGGCTACCGCTCAGGAAAGGACATGTGATCCTAGGCTTTATAAACATGTTTTAATACTAGAGTCATAAAGAAAGACTATATCTCTTGTCAAAGCTGTAAGACTGTTGTGAGCATGGAGATAGTGATAATCCTCCTTTTGCCATCACAAAGGCAGAGGCTTCTGAGATTAAGACCATGCAGAGGCTGAGTCGAGAGATGCAGAGAGACAGGACTCTGATGATATTATTGGAGCTCCTGGGAGTAACTAAGCCTGGCTTCCCACTTGTACCAGCAAATTAATTGCTTTTTCCCTTTTTTTGTACTTGTCAGTTTAGGTTGGTACCTGACTATCATATTTCATAACATAAAATAAGCTCAGGGAAAAAATAACAAAATTAATAAATTGATTAAAAAGTTCTGAAAAAAGACTTACATCTAAACAAGTAGGAAGTATTTTCATTCTGTCCTGTGTTGGATGCCAGAACCCAAACATTGAGAGCACCATATTTTCATCACTTAATCCTATACAAATGACAAAGCTGAGACTCAGAATAGCTTGCTATCTTGGCCAACAAAACACAGCAAATAATGGGGGAGGGCAGGACGTGAATCTAGGTTTTTCTTCAAAGTCCATGTGTTCTTCTTCAAATAAGGAAATGTCAGCTACTGTGGCAACATATTTTAATAAGATGAGACTAAAACGAGCATGCAGCTTCACAGCATTAAGAATTCATCATGAATTGTACGGTTCACTTTTTTGGTCAATGTTGATAAATTAAGTCTCTCAACATCCCTAGCCCCAAATTCTATCCAGGTTAGAACATGATATACTTTTACCTCTAAGCCAGGGAAATGCCTGATTAACAACAGGCATATTTGATGCCCATTGCAAAGTTGCTAAGTTCTTATTCTACTCTAAAGACGGAATTCCTTCAGCTCTTGAGAGGGGCATCTTGAAGAGCCTCTAATCTGCTCCCTCCTCTCCTTTTATTCTATCTAATTCTGATTTACTTCAACTCATCCTAATTGAACAAATATTTACTGGGAATCTACTATATGCCAGATGCCCTAGTGAGCAGATAACCTGTTTGATAAATGAATTGTAGCTTCTCGTCTCAAAAGAATGAGTTGTGTTTATTTTTCTTTTAAAGACAAGGTGTAGTTCTGTTGCCCAGGCTGAATTTCAGTGGCACGATCACAGCTCACTGCAGCCTCACCTCTCAGGCTCAAGTGATTCTCCCACCCTAACCCTCCAAGTAGATGGGAGTACTACTATTTTTTGTAGAGATGGAGTCTCACTATGTTGCCCAAGCTCGTATTGAACTCCTGGGCTTAAGCAAGGCTCTCACTTTGGCCTCCTATAATGTTTACCTTTTTTATTAATCTACTCTCCACCTCCCACCCCTAATAACCAATTCTTTGTGTAATATGAAGATTGGGCCTTCTGTTGATGCAGAGAGAACTAAGTTGTTTTAAAAAGTCCGTGTTGAGACCACTGTTATGGGTTCAATTATGTTCCTTAAAATTCATATGTTGACGTCCTAAGGCCCAGTACCTCAGAATGTAGCCTTATTTGGAAACAGAGTCATTGCTGATGTAATGAGTAAAGTTAACATGGGCCATTAGGGTGGAGCCTAATTCAATATGACTGGTGATGACTGGTGTCCTTACTAAAAGGGGAAGTTTGGATAGTTTGGACATAGACATGCACAGAGGGTAGATGATGAGGACATGCAGGGAGAATGCCATGTAAACATTAAGATGGCCATCTACCAGCCAAAGAGAAAGGCCGGGAGCAGATCCTTTCCTCACAGTGCTTAGAAGGAACAAACTCTACCAACACCTTGATTTCAGACTGCTAGCCCCCAGAAGTGTGAGACAATATTTTTGTTGTTTCAGCCACCTAGTCTGTGGTACTTTGTTATGACAGCTTTAGCAAACTGGCTAGCTTCACATGTGGTGTGTTTAGCCTGCGTGAGGTTTTTATTTTTTAACTACACCAACATTTTAAAGTCAGGAATTCTCACCTAAAATAATATGCTTTTCTTGAAACACTGGGAGACATACAGTTCTGAACTTTTGTTTCCATGTGATATGACCACTTGGAGCTGAGTAGCAACTTTCTCTTTTAGATGGACATGTGTTTGCTAGTTCACTATAGTCTTACCAGTTCATCTTGCATTCCAGAAGACTGGAATGATTGTTGACATTTGCCATCATGCTGAAGTCCACTCTGATCTCTAGTCTAGGTCCATAAATATATGGATATGGATTGATCCAAAGTGAAAAGTCGCCAAGGGTTGGAGGAGTGAGAAGTAGAATAACTAGAGGAGAGAGGTGAGAGTCCTTGAGATCTAATGGGGATAGGGCGATGGGGGAGTGATAGGAATCTGAAATCACACCTCATTAGCAGAGACAGGGACAGGATAAAGCATGGCTGCAGGGCTTCTGCCCCATGTTCTGTGGTATTGGGAGCCATGTTAAAGGTACTGAGAGCAAGGCAGGGCACAGAGAGGTGGATGCCACCATGAGCAGAGAAGCTGTCCACCTTGGGACAGTCCAGGTGGACAGTGGACACCTCAGTGGCCACCATAATGGACTGAAGAACAGAGGGTCTTCCCGACATTTTCCAGACAGTGTTAGCCCAGCAAAACTGCTGTCTGTAGCCCATGCCTCTCTTCCACTCCAATAACAACTGATATTGGATTTCTCATCAACTCTGACAATGAGATTTGTTTAGATTTAGAAAAATAATATAGGTAAGTTTCCTTACACTGTAATCATGTGGAACAAATTTTAAAAAGGAATGCTTCTTTTTACTTCATGTCCACTTTACCCAGGAGGCTCATTGAGGTCAGGTAACTTGCCCAAGGGCACACAACCATTGATTATTTTGAAAACAAATCTTGTTTCCTATCTTCTCCGTGGGTTCTTCATTAATAGTCTCCCAGCAGGCAGGTCCCAGGCAGCAGAAAGCTGAGATCACTGATGACTCCTTCCTTACCCACAGAGTTACTTTTCTTCCATATCCAGAGAACATGTGCCCTTTCAAACAGGTCTCCAAGGACTTTGCTGAATAAACATGAACACCAGCAATCACTCAGAACTGGAAAGCAGCATAAATGGTCCCAAATGCCAATGTTCTCATCCACAAAGCTTTTCCCCAGTGCTGGAGTTGGCATTTGTCGTCACCATGCTTTAGCTGAAATAACATCTGAGGAGACTTGCTGAGGACTGATGATTACAAAGATGGGTTTCATGTCGTATGGAGGAATAGAACAAGTAATAAGACATGGATATTAATAATAATGTTGCCTTCATTCTCTTCTAATTCTGGAAGTAATTTTTACCTTGTGCAGATTAATGAGAAGCTAACTTAATGAATATTTGGCAGATCCTGGGAGAATAGTCTTTTTTGCTAGATGGATTACTCCACCATTCACTTAGGCTCTCTTTAGCTCTCATAACCCTTAAGAAGTAGAAGCAAATATGAAGAGAACTACCAGTAGTGAAACTGGAGGAAACTGTTCCCACTGCTGCGCCTTGGATCTAGCTGTTGAATGCAAAGACACAAAGTTGCTTTTCTGATGCCAACAGCAACTTTTCCTATCTTTAACTTAGAACTTTCCAAAAGAGGAGAGTGAGAAGGCTCATGGGAACCTTGAGTTTGCATTCATTGTGCAGATGAGAAAAACAAGACCCAGAAAAATGGAAGGATATTCCTAAGATGCCTTGGCTAATTACAGGACTGGGAATGAGAGGCCAAGTTTGTTTCCTTTCTTGAAGCATGGATCGTTCCTCCTATAATAGGCTGGCAGTGTAGGATCTCAGGGTCTCTGTGGTAGATGAAAATTCCAGGACAGGCAAGCAGGGATTTCAATCAACACATTTGGTCTCTATGACAACATAAAAGTAGTTTGATATTTGCTCTATTTGAATGATTTGCTATTCAAGTATTTTTCAAAAATCCTGCTTTTACTTAAGAAACTGAAAAAAAATTGAAATGTTTCTTTTGAGGCAGGCAATTAGCAAGGGAACAGGGCATCATTTCTTGCAGGCGGCTAAAAGCAATACAAATGGGGCCAAACAGGTTAGCACAAGGACCCATCCCCTAGTAGAAAGGAACTGTTACAACAGGCTGCAACAATGAAGACAGATTGCAGACATCCTGCTTCAGGCACAGATAAGAATGTAAAAAAGAAGCAACTGGCACAACTGGTTAAATCCAAGATGGCTGAAAAACTTGACCAACTGCTGACCCTTGGCTTCATTATACCCCTATTACCATAAAATTTCCATGGGGGAACCCCTTACTCCCATCATGCACCTGATGCTATGACGGTTCTAGATTAACCATATTTAGCCAGTTGAGAAAAGGGTAGCACCCCAATTCCAGGAATTGCCTGCCCATTTCCCAGAAAACCCCTCTCCTTACTATGGATTATTTCATGCCTTCATTCTGCTTATCCATATAGTATGTAAGCCCTGGCCACCTTGATCATAGCTCATTCTTTTGAGCACAGCTGCATTCCTCTCTTGAGTGTGTGCTTGTTTTCACTCTGCAATAAAGCTTCTATACTATCACTGTGGTCTTGCTTTTAAATTCTTTTGTACTGTGAAGACAAGGACCTGACCCAGGCTTACCAGCTACAGGAGCTAATTTATTTAATGAATACTTAGCTATATGCTAGGCTAACTGTTCTACAATGTGCTATACCAGTTAATCCTCACAATACCTTTATGGGGTGGGTTATATTTATATACTCATTTTACCAATAAGGAAAGAAGTGTAAGGAATTTTCCCTAGATGGTAGAGAGAGCAAGTGGCAGGTTCTGGATGCAAACCCAAATTTGTCCGATTCCATAAAGCCCATGTATCCATTTTCTTATTGTTGCATAACAAATTATAACAAATTTTGTAGCTTAAAACCACACCCATTTATTACCTTACAGTTTTGTAGGCCTGGAGTCCTGTTGAAGCTGACTGGGCTCTATCCGAGGCCATCAATCACAAGGCCAAGATCAAGGTGTAAGCTGGCTGGGCTCTTATCTAAGGCTCTGCGAAGACATCTGCTTCCAAGATCATTCAGGTTGTTGGCAGAAACCAGTTCCTTGAAGTTGTAGGTTACTGTTTTATTACTGGCTTAAGTCTGACCTCTGCTCCTAGAGGCCACCTGCATCCCTTCTCACGTGTGCCCCTCCATCCTCAAAGTGCAACAGTACTGACTCCATGTTAGAGAAAAGCTTGCTTGCTTGAATACAATGATTATGCAAGTTTGTAGATTATTCCCTAAAAACAGCCTCAGAAAAAAGGACCTTCAAAAGAGGTAAAAGAAAGTATCCTAGGCTGGGTGCAGTGTCTCACACCTGTAATTCCAACACTTTGGGAGGCCGAGGTGGGTGGATTGCCTGAGGTCAGGAGTTTGAGACCTGCCTGGCCAGCATGGTGAAACCCTGTCTCTGATAAAAATACAAAAAAAAAAAAAATTAGCCGGGCATGGTGGCAGGTGCCTGTATTCCCAGCTAGTCCGGAGGTTGAGGTAGGAGAATCACTTGAACCTGGGAGACAGAGGTTGCGGTGAGCCAAGATCGTGCCATTGCACTCCAGCCTAGGCAACAGAGCGAGACTACATTTCAAGAAAAAAAAAAAAAAAAAAGAAAGTACCCTGACCAACAACCCTGGAAATGAGCTGACTGGCCTAATAAGAATAGACTGACAATGCCTGCAGAAGGCCACAGAACAGCAACTGAGAAAGCAATGATTAATTATCCACCTGAGACTGTGCACATTTTACAAGAATGTTTTGATCATCATTTCCTCTAATTTCCCTTAAAAATTCCTGATTCAGAGGCACAACTCAGAGACTTGGTCTTTGAACTCTAGTTCACTGCCTCCCCTGCGTTGCTGGCTTCTTGAATCAAGCTAACCTGCCTTTCATCAAAGCTCATCTCTTGAGCTTCAGGTGACAAGTGGCCTAGACCTGAGTTCAGTTACAAAGGCAGCAAGTGTGCATTGAGTCCTTCCTTCTCATGCAATTAGATCAGGCCCACTTGGGTAACCTCTGTGTCTTAAGGTCAACTGACGTGGAACTTTATTTGCATCTATAAAATCCCTTCACAGCTGTACCTGGATTAGTGTTTTATTGAAAATGACCAGGGACAGGAATTTGAAAGGGTTGGGGGTAACATAGGTTTAGGGTAAGAAAGTGAATGAGGTGAGAGACCACAGAACAGTGAGGACTAGAGAGAACCAGCTCCCGTGGTGCTCCAACTGTAGAGGCTGTCACTTGGCGGCTCACCCAGGTTGCTACTGCAAGGGAAAGTAAAAGGAGTGTTAACTGATCTTCCAATTTTTCCAAATCAGGAATCTGTTTTTTTATGTGACATCACTCAATTAGAAAAAGCTTACAATGAACTTAAACTTAAAATGCAGGATCTTCGGGACACCAGTCAGAAACTACCTATACAAATTCTGTGACCATGGCTGATTTTTCCCTGACTCCTTAATCCAGTCACTTGTCGTGTCTCCATGTTGATAGCTTTGTCTTTGCGCGCCAAGCCTGGTCTCTCCATCGTGAGCACCATACACCACAGAAGCTCACTAGCTGATCTTCAAAGATTAACAACGCATTTCTTAAGCATTGGTTTAGGGCTTCCCCGGACAGTCCCAATGACTTTGCTTCACTGTTCTCTTACAGAGAATCTGCCCAAACTGCCCCCCAAAATAGCCCTGTCTAGGCTATAGTAGGTCTACCTCCTTTATTAGATTGTAAGCACAAAGAAATCAGGAACCGACCATGCCTTATTTGAGTTAATGTTGCCTTCTTTGAAGTAATTGCCTGGCCATACTTAGTAATTATTTCTTGAATGAACAAGATGCATTCTGCAACACTAAGCAATCTCTACACACTCCTAAAAGTGCATTGGTCATCCTAAACCTGCTTCCAGAGTGTTTCTGAAAGCAGAGGAAAAGATTATTTACTTGAAAGTCTAAATACACACACACACAAAATCAAATAATGGAATTGTTTTTAAAAAGTCTTTTACATGGACATCTATTTTTAAAAGTCATTATTATAATAACAAATGGAAAACAATCCTCTCTGGGTAGAACCCTGGAAGGGTTGCTGATTGAGCTGCACATGAGCAGCTAGTGTTGTCACACAGCAGGAGGTATGGTACAGACTGGGTGATTGGAGTAGGGTGGGTGGAGTAGGGTGGATTGTTAAAGAAGACTGCTGGTAATGTGGTGACTCTGATAATGTTCTTTTGTTTTATATTTCAACAGGCAAGAATGGTTTAAAGGCACCGATTTACAATTATATATATAGACATTCTATATCCTACTCCTTAATCCTTGCAATAGAAGGAAACCTTAAGGAAATGTGCATAGAACAAAGCTGGGGCTAGACCATCTGTTTTCCATCACCTTGTGCCTTTGGAGAAAACTCCAGCAATATTGCTAATCCAAAACAGATCAGACCCCGGAAATCTCAGGGAACCCAACTGCTGCAGTTCCTTGTCCTTTTTTCTGGGATGTTATCTTGAGCCATGTCCATGAACTAGTCTCCCTCCTGTTGTTATCACTGCCATGGAAACCCTTCCCAGCACAATGGATGGCAGCAGACAGCTGCACTGGGCTTGGCCCTGCCAGAGATACTTCTCTTCACTTCTCCCTAGTTACATTCCTGTTCTTGTTTCCATATTACCCCTAAATGTAGCTGATGTCTATACTTGCCTGCCTAAATAAATATTACTAGAGTGTCCTTGCAGAAAGCACGCTGACCTGGGAATCAAGAGACTTTGTCCAGTCTCATCTGCCATTAACCAGCTCTGTGATCTGAGGGAATTACCTAAATTTTATGGGTCCCATTTTCTTCATCTACAAAATAATGTTCTTTCAACTAGAAAAATGTATGAATTACGTGTTTTTATGATGATAAGGAATAGTCTTAGTTATGGTTTTATAACTGAAGCAGGATATTTCCCTTACCCCTTTGTGGGACTTGTGAAGGGGGTGCCCCATTTACTCAGCCCACAGCTCTCAACTTCTTGCCGGAGGGAGCGTGGGAGCGAAAGAGGCAGGAACTGGAGTACACGATCACTGGAGTCAGCTGGCCACTCCGGTGCCGGCAGGTGTGAAATCTACTCACTGGGACCTGCTGCGTTCCACCTCTCACAGGAGGGGACATGCAGGTGAGTGGGTGCAGGATCTGGGATGAGTGCTTTTGGGTGCCAGCAGGAACCAACTCCGTGCCAGCCCCGCAGCAGCATTTTGGTTAGTGGGGGCGGCGGGGAGGCTGTAGGGGGTGCCTGCGACCCCTGAAGCCCCAGAGGTAGTGTTACAGTGCTCCTTTAACTTTGCCATCTGCAAATTGCTTAAGTGTTAACAGCTCAGGGGACCCTCTACCTTTTCAAATGAGGCGCTTCGTTCCGCCAGCAAGGGCAAAGGGTCAGTGCAACAGCCTTTTGCATCTGTACTCATGGTTACCGAGTTCTTGTCCAGCATCCAAGAGAAATCAGTGAATCTAGGTTTCAGGAATGAATTGAAAGATGGTAGATGTGGGGGATTTTATTGGCGAGGAAGGTGGCTCTTAGCAGGAAGGGGACTGAAAAGGGGACAGGGTGGGAAGGTAATTTGCTCCTGAAGTCTGGCCAGAGGTGGCTAGATCCTTCTCCAAAGTTACACCCTCAAACTGTCCCTCTGAAGTTAAGCTGCTTCTCTCTGCTGTCCAGCCATAGTCTCCAACGTCCAGCTGCTTCTCCTCTCTCTCAGCTGGCTGAGCCTGGGGTTTTCCTGCCCACAGGACTGGGAGCGGCACGGGCCACGGGTGGTTTTGGAAAAGGCAACATTTGAGCAGGCAAACAGGGATGTAAGTTCTCAGTTCGGGCCATGGTTTCAGGCTTTTTGGCCTGAGGGCGCAGCCCTCTATAGGAACCCTCCCTCTTCTGCCCAGAATTTCCCTTCCTCTTGTCCCTGTCATAACAAGTATAGTGTATCAGTATGGTATTATATTGATAGAAAATGTTCTTTCTTAGATCATTGGCACAGATTGTTCCTATATGAAGTCGTTTGTTGTTGTTGTTGTTGTTGTTTTCGTAAACAATTGGACTAGTACCCAGAATTCCTGAATCACTAAAGACCAAGTCCATCACAATGGAAACATAAAACTGCAGTTACTCTAACCATTATCTTAAACCCCAAAGGACAGTTTCTTTGGTATATGGGATTTGTTTTTCATGCTTCTCTTGATTTAAGAAAAATAGCTGCACAAATATGTAATGAAATTGACTGTTTCTAAACACTTTAATCAGGAACAGTGTTTTTTTGTTTTTGTATTTGTTTTATAAATCTTTAATGTTTAAACCCACGAAGCAAAAAGACAGCATCTCACTGGAAAAAAATATTGGAGATGTGCATCAAAGAACACTTCCCCACCTTCATCCCTGCCAAACTATGTCAATCTTATTCATCCTTCTGATCCCTCCCGGGAAGTGTTGAAGTTCAACTCTCCACTCTTTAAAAATGTTCATGTGATATGGACAACAAAGAAGTTATATGAACATCAGAAATATGATTTTATGAAACCAGAATCTTGATGTGGAACCAAATGTTTATGAAGAGTGAATAGTAATATTCTCAATCGAAGGGACCAAGTGGCAGGGGTGTGGCCAAGCTGGACAGGGAGAGCTGTGTGTGAAAAACAAGATGTACTCTTTAGTAGCATAGTCATCTACTCTAGTAGTTTCCAAACATGGGGGTGAGCAACTCCTTGGGGTATGCAGTATGATCCAAGAGGTATGAGGAGAAAAGTCTAGAAAGCACTAGAACTTCCACTTATATTTATTTTTACATAAAAATAAAGAGTAATGGAACATCACTAATACTTATCATATGGATTTACACCAAGACTTTCATTTGGTCAGTCCGATGTCACATGTAATGTTTATATTGGTCTGCTTAAGTGGATTTCTGGACCATATTAAGTATTTGAACCAAACTGACCTCACAAAATGGACAAATGGCCATATTGTAAAAAGACAGATTTTTAAAGAAAGCATCCATAATCCAAGTATCACAAATGGCAGAGGTGACATTTCTCCTACTCCTAGCATGAGTTCTTAAGAAGTAACATATTTAATTTGTCCCTTCAATGAATAATTTGATATTTTACTAATAACTGAGAAAAATCACTGCTTCCTAAAAGAAACTCATGCTATGGAGAGAGCATTTTGAAAATGAAAGTTTATAAGTGTTTTAATCATTATGTGGTTTCTCACTGAAAATATGTGTTGCCATGTCTTCTTTTAAAATTCTTATATCTGTACACTTAACACTGTTTACGCTTAACTTCTGCACAGCAAAAATATGGCTATTTCTGTTTTTTCTCTACACAGAATTTATCTGCCATTTAAAAAATCCATGCAACACTTTCCCACATTTTGTATTCCTGGTCTAAACAGTCTGATTCTTGCCATGTTTTCTAACCTGTTGTAAAAATCTCCCAACTGAAGAATTTATTTCAACTAATTCTTCTTATTATTTAGTAGACTAAATGATTGACATAAGAGATGACAAAAATTTGTCAGTGAAATTTCAATAAAAATGTTTACATAATTAGTAGATGGGTATGAGAAAACTGTGTATTATAAATCATTAATATCAGTTAATAGTATCTTTGCTCCATTTGATTTTGCAAATCTTTTGAAGCTATCATTTTCCACTATGACAGAAACTATAGAAAAAAGGCTTAACCACTCCATTGATTTACTTTATCATGAAGAATTAAAACAAGATTAAAAAAAAAATAAAGCATAGTTAATAACATTGTTCTCTTTAAAGTTATTATTAATATGTTTAGGGAGAGTAGGGTGGCTGTATTTAAATTAACAAATTAGTTAATATTAAATCCCATTCATTTCATTTTTTAACTCATTCTTTTAAATGTGTGCTTTGTTTTTTTTGGGTTATTGTTAATTATTATTTTTTTTTTTTTGAAGACAGAGTCTCGCTCTGTTGCCCAGGCTGGAGTGCAGTGGCGTGATCTCAGCTCACTGCAAGCTCTGCCTCCCGGGTTCACGCCATTCTCCTGCCTCAGCCTCCAGAGTAGCTGGGACTACAGACGCCCAACCCCACGCCCAGCTAATTTTTTGTATTTTTAGTACAGACGGGGTTTCATTGTGTTAGCCACGATGGTCTCAATCTCCTGACCTTGTGATCTGCCCGCCTCGGCCTCCCAAAGTGCTGGGATTACAAGCGTGAGCCACTGTGCCCAACCGGGTTATTGTTTATTTTGAGACAGGGTCTCCTCTGTTGCCCAGGCTGGAATGCAGTGGCGCCATTACAGCTCCCTGAAGCCTTGACCTCTCAGGTTCAAACTATCCTCCCACCTCAGCCTCCCAGGTAGCTGGGACCACAAGCACACACCACCATGCCTGGCTATTTTAATTTCTTTTTTTTTTTTTTATATCTAGAGGTAGGGTCTCCCTATGTTGCCCAGCCTGATTTTGAACTCCCGGGCTCAAGCAATCCTCCTGCCTTGGCCACATAAAATGCTAGTGAGAGACAGGACTAGCTAGATTTCCTAGGCTGACTAAGAATCCCTAAGCCTAGCTGGGAAGGTGACCGCTTCCACCTTTAAACACGGTGCTTGCAACTTAGCTCACACCTGACCAATCAGATAGTAAAGAGAGCTCACTAAAATGCTAATTAGGCAAAAACAAGAGGTAAAGAAATAGCCAATCATCTGTTACCTGAGAGCACAGCGGGAGGGACAAGGATTGGGATATAAACCCAGGCATTTGAGGAGGCAATGGCAACCCCCTTTGAGTCCCCTCCCATTGTATGGGAGCTCTGTTTTCACTCTATTTCACTCTATTAAATCTTGCAACTGCGCTTTTCTGGACTATGTTTGTTATGGCTCGAGCTGAGCTTTCCCTCGCCGTCCACCACTGCCTGCTGTTTGCCGCAGTCCCAGACCCGCCACTGACTTCCATCCCTCCAGATCCAGCAGGGTGTCCACTGTGCTCCTAATCCAGCCAGGTACCCATTGCCACTCATGATTGGGCTAAAGGCTTGCCATTGTTCCTGCACAGCTAAGTGCCTGGGTTCGTCCTAATTGAGCTGAACACTAGTCACTGGGTTCCACGGTTCTCTTCCATGACCCATGGCTTCTAATAGAGCTATAACACTCACCGCATGGCCCAAGATTCTATTCCTTGGAATCCGTGAGGCCAAGAACCCCAGGTCAGAGAACACCTTGCCACCATCTTGGAAGTGGCCTGCTGCCATTTTGGAAGCAGGCTGCCACCATCTTGGGAGCTCTGGGAGCAAGGACCCCCCCCAGTAACACTAGGAATACAGACATGAACCACCATGTTTGTACTTTGTTTTTAAATTACATAATATAGAGAAATATATACTGTACTATTATATCATAGTATATTAAATAATTTATAATTTATTGGTAAATATGATTGTGGCCTATTTTTTAAACTGATAGATGTATTACCAAAAGAATTTATAGAGACTGCAGTTCTTGATAACAAGAGTGGCATACCCGTTGTCACCTTTTTCCAGTAATTTGAAACTGAAGACTGCCTTATATTATAGTCCAAGTCCTAAAATTGTACCACTGGTACCTTCTGTGATAAGTAAGTTTATCTACGTTAAGACCATTTGAAAAATGCAGAATTTTTATGATGTTTGAAGTCTCCTTAGACATTAGTAGAAGTCCAGGCAATAATGGTTAATAAAGCCAGTTCCTTAGAGGTGCTCACAACGAATTTCCAAAATACTTCTTGCTCATGCATTAAGCTTGATCAGTTGTAGGTGAGCAAATCCTAATCTAGGCTCTCAGAGAAAATACTAAAGAGAGGATCTATAAAATAAGGCAGATTCTAAAATTAATTACTAGCAGAGAAGTTTCCTGTCTTTTGTAGCCTTCTGCGGTGCTTCCACCTCTTTTCCACCAAAATGATTTATTTGAAAAGTTGCTGATACTCGGTGTAGCCCACTGAGTGCAACAAGACCATCATATAAACCTGGGCGGGGTGGACCCCTAAAAGCCGCTTCCAGATCCGCCTCTACCACCTTGAATGCCACCAACTTTGCATTGTTGCCATTTTTTCCCCTTCACTTTTTTTGAAGCCAGAAGTAATTTTTTACTTGAGGAAAACCTAGCTAAAGAAAAGATATATCTCACCCTTGAGCTCAGATGTTGCCTAGAGCTCTAAAGAGGGGAGTCTTTAATATCATTTTGAGTGTTTAACCTGAGTGCATTTCTGAATAGTCTTTGATGGTTTGTGATTATAACAATAACTGCCATAAGCCTTTTTACAAATTCCCCATATGGCTGATGAGCACTTTTTGTGTATTTTCTCATTTAATTTTATTATCATACTATTATCATCCTCATCTTCAAATGAGGAGATTGACGCCTAGAGAGGTTAAGAAATTGCTAAAGTTACACAATTAGTAAGTGGAATATCCAGGATTTGAATCCAGGCTTGACTTGAGAGCTGGATTCTCAGTAACAATGCTCCTCTGACTTTTCTAGAATATGATTTCCTGCTTGACTAATGATTCACATGATGAGTGTTAGTTTAAGACCAGCTACACTTTTTTTCTGAATTCTTTCTACATTCAAAATGATTTAGAAAATCTATAGATAATTTTGATGTTATTATCAAGAAACTTTCTATAAAACAGGACTATTAAAAATCAATTTCTACTTAGAACATAGAGGATAATATTGTTGCAAAAGGAAGTCATGAATCTGAAAAAGCTACATACTGTATGATTCCAATTACAAGACCTTCTAGGAAAGGCAAAATTATGCAGACGGTAAAAAGATCAGTGGTTGTCAGGGTTTTGGGAGGTGTGAGGGATGAATACATGGATTTTTAAGACAGTGAAACTATTCTGTATAATACCACATGGTGAATACCTGTCATTATACATTTGTCAAAACCCATGGAATATATGACACAAAGAGTGAACTCATGTAAACTATGGACTTTGGTTGATTGCAAAACAAAAGAAAGAAAGAAAGTCGTGCTCCAAAAGTACTTGAGAAAATAAGTAAACAAGTCACATACTAGAAGAAAATATTCAAAACAAATACATTTGACAAAGGACTCCTACTCAGACTATATGAAGAACTCCTATAACTCAATCATAAGACAAAAATACAATAGGGGAAAGGCCAAGATGGCCAAATAGAAACATCTCCAGTCTGCAGCTCCCAGCAAGACCAATGCGGAGGGCAAGTGATTTCTGCATTTTCAACTGAGGTACTCAGTTTATGTCATTGGTACTGGTTAGGCAGTGGGTGCAACTCATGGAGAGTGACCAGAAGCAGGGTAGGGAGTTGCTTCACGTGGGAAGTGCATGGAGCCCAGGGACCTTCTTCTCCCAGCCAAGGGAAGCGGTGAAGGGTTGTGCTACCTGCCAGGGGTACTACGCTTTTCCTACAGATTTTTGCAACCCAAGCATCAGGAAATTCCCTGGTGAACCTATACCACCAAGGCCCCGAGTTTCAAGCACAAATCTTGGTGGCTGTTCTGGCAGGCACTAAGCCGCAAGAATTTTTTCATACTCCAGAGGTGCCTGGAACTCCAGTGAGACAGGAGAACTGTTCACTCCCCTGGAAAGGGTGCTGAAACCAGGGAGCCAAGCAGTCTCGCTCAGTAGGTCCCACTCCGACGGAGGCCAGCAAGCTAAGAACCACTGGCTTGAAATTCTCACTGCCAGCACAGCAGTCTGGAGCAGACCTGGGATGATCGAGTTTGGTGCAGGGAGAGGCAGCAGCCGTTACTGTGGCTTCAGTTGGCAGTTTTCCCCTGACAGTGCTAAGGAGACTGAGAGGTTTGGACTGGGTGGAATTCAACACAGCACAGCAAAGAGGCTGTGGCCAGATTGCTTCTCTAGATTCCTCCTCACTGGGCAAGGACTGTGCAGGAAATCCAGCAGCTCCAGTCAGGGGCTTATAGACAGGACTCTCATCACCCTGGGACACAGCACTTGCGGGGAGGGGCGGCTGTGGTTGCAGTTTCAGCGGATTTAATCTTTCCTGCCTGCTGGCTCTCAAGATACTGGCTGATCCTGACAAGGGAGATTCTCCCATCACAGCACACCAGCTCTGCTAAGGGACAGATTGCCTCCTCAAGCGGGTTCCTGACACTGTGCCTCCCAACAGAGAGATATCCCAGAAGGGGCCTACAGACACCTCACACAGGAGAGCTCTGGCTGCCACTAGGCCAGTGTCCCTCTAAGATGAAGCTTCTGGAGGAAGGAGCAGGCAGCAATCTTTGCTGTTCTGCAGCCTCAACTGGTGATACCAAGGCAAACAGGGTCTGGAGTGGACCCCCAGAAAACTGTAGCTGACCTGCAGAAGAGGGGCCTGACTATTAGAAGAAAAACTAGCAAACAGAAAACAACAACAACAACATCAACAAAAAAGACCCCCACCACCACAAAAACCCCATCCAAAGGCCATCAGCCTCAGAGATGAAAGGTAGATAAATCCATGAAGATGAGGAAAAACCCATGCAAAAACACTGAAAATCCCAAAAGCCAGAATGCCTCGTCTCTTCTAAATGATCACAACAAATCTCCAGCAAGGGCTCAGAAATGGATGAAGGATGAGATGGATGAATCGACAGAAGTAGGCTTCAGAAAGTGGGTAATAACAAACGCCTCTGAATTAAAGGAGCATCTTCTAACCCAATGCAAGGAAGCTAAGAACCTTGATAAAAGGTTACAGGAGCTGCTAACTAGAATAATCAGTTTAGAGAGGAACATAAATGACCCGATGGAGCTGAAGAACACAGCATGAGAACTTAGTGAAACATACATAAGTATCAATAGCCAAATTGACCAAGTGAAAAAAAAAGATATTAGAGTTTGTAAACCATCTTGCTGAAATAAGGCATGCAGACAAGATTAGATAAAAATGTAATGAAAAGGAAAGAATAAAACATCTGAGAAATATGGAGCTATGTAAAAAGACTGAACCTACAATTGATTGGAGTACCTTAAAATGATGAGCAGAATAAAACCAAGTTGGAAAACACACTTCAGGGTATTATCCAAGAGAACTTCCCCAACCTAGTGAGACAGTGAAACATTCAAATTCAGGAAACACAGAGAGCACCATTAAGCTACTCCATAAAGAGATTCACCCCAAGACACATAATCATTAGATTCTCCAAGGTCAAAATGGAGGAAAAAATGTTAAGGGCAGCCAGAGAGAAAGGTCAGGCCACCTAGAAAGGGAAGCCTATCAGACTAACAGCAGACCTCTCAGCAGAAACCCTGCAAGCCAGAAGAGAGTGGGGGCCAATATTCAACATTCCTTTTTTTTTATACTTTAAATTCTAGGGTACATGTGCACAACGTGCAAATTTGTCACATATGTATACATGTGCCATGTTGGTGTGCTGCACCCATTAACTCGTCATTGACATTAGGTATATCTCCTCATGCTATCCCTCCCCCCTCCCCCCATCCCACGACAGGCCCCGTTGTGTGATGTTTCCCTTCCTATGTCCAAGTGTTCTCATTGTTCAATTCCCACCTATGAGTGAGAACATGCAGTGTTTGGTTTTTTGTCCTTGTGATAGTTTGCTGAGAATGATGGTTTCCAGCTTCATCCATGTCCCTACAAAGGACATGAACTCATCCCTTTTTATGGCTGCATAGTATTCCGTGGTGTATATGTGCCACATTTTCTTAATCCAGTCTATCATTGATGGACATTTGGGTTCGTTCCAAGTCTTTGCTATTGTGCCGCAATAAACATATGTGTGCATGTGTCTTTATAGCAGCATGATTTATAATCCTTTGGGTATATACCCAGTAATGGGATGGCTGGGTCAAATGGCATTTCTAGTTCTAGATCCTTGAGGAATCGCCACACTGTCTTCCACAATGGTTGAACTAGTTTACAGTCCCACCAACAGTGTAAAAGTGTTCCTATTTCTTCACATCCTCGCCAGCACCTGTTGTTTCCTGACTTTTTAATGATCACCATTCTAACTGCTGTGAGATGGTATCTCATTGTGGTTTTGATTTGCATTTCTCTGATGGCCAGTGATCATGAGCATTTTTTTCATGTGTCTGTTGGCTGCATAAATGTCTTCTCTTGAGAAGTGTCTGTTCATATCCTTTGTCCACTTTTTGATGGGGTTGTTTGTTTTTTTCTTGTAAATTTGTTTGAGTTCTTTGTAGATTCTGGATATTAGCCCTTTGTCAGATGAGTAGATTGCAAAAATGTTCTCCCATTCTGTAGATTGCCTGTTCACTCTGATGGTAGTTTCTTTTGCTGTGCAGAAGCTCTTTAGTTTAATTAGATCCCATTTGTCAATTTTGGCTTTTGTTGCCATTGCTTTTGGTGTTTTAGACATGAAGTCCTTGCCCATGCCTATGTCCTGAATGGTATTGCCTAGGTTTTCTTCTAGGGTTTTTATGGTTTTAGGTCTAACATTTAAGTCTTTAATCCATCTTGAATTAATTTTTGTATAAGGTGTAAGGAAGGGATCCAGTTTCAGCTTTCTACATATGGCTAGCCAGTTTTCCCAGCACCATTTATTAAATAGGGAATCCTTTCCCCATTTCTTGTTTTTGTCAGGTTTGACAAAGATCAGATGGTTGTAGATGTGTGGTATTATTTCTGAGGGCTCTGTTCCGTTCCATTGGTCTATATCTCTATTTAGGTACCAGTACCATACTACTGTAGCCTTGTAGTATAGTTTGAAGTCAGGCAGCGTGATGCCTCCAGCTTCGTTCTTTTGGCTTAAGATTGTCTTGGCAACGTGGGCTCTTTTTTGGTTCCATATTAACTTTAAAGTAGTTTTTTCCAATTCTGTGAAGAAAGTCATTGGTAGCTTGATGGGGATGGCATTGAATCTATAAATTACCTTGGGCAGTATGGTCATTTTCATGATATTGATTCCTCCTATCCATGAGCATGGAATATTCTTCCATTTGTTTGTGTCCTCTTTTATTTCATTGAGAACTGGTTTGTAGTTCTCCTTGAAGAGGTCCTTCACATCCCTTGTAAGGTGGATTCCTAGGTATTTTATTCTCTTTGAAGCAATAGTGAATGGGAGTTCACTCATGATTTGGCTCTGTGTTTGTCTGTTATTTGTGTATAGGAATGCTTGTGATTTTTGCACATTTATTTTGTATCCTGAGACTTTGCTGAAGTTGCTTATCAGCTTAAGGAGATTTTGGGCTGAGATGATGGGGTTTTCTAAATATACAATCATGTCATCTGCAAACAGGGACTATTTGACTTCCTCTTTTCCTAATTGAATACCCTTTATTTCTTTCTCCTGCCTGATTGCCCTGGCCAGAACTTCCAACACTATGTTGAATAGGAGTGGTGAGAGACAGCATCCCTGTCTTGTGCCAGTTTTCAAAGGGAATACTTCCAGTTTTTTCCCATTCAGTATGATATTTTGTTGTAAATAGCTCTTATTATTTTGAGATATGTCCCATCAATACCTAGTTTATTGAGAGTTTTTAGCATGAAGGGCTGTCGATTTTGTCAAAGGCCTTTTCTGCATCTATTGAGATAATCATGTGGTTTTTGTCTTTGGTTCTGTTTATATGCTGGATTACGTATATTGATTTGCATATGTTGAACCAGTCTTGCATCCCAGGGATGAAGCCCACTTGATCATGGTGGATAAGCTTTTCGATGTGTTGCTGGATTTGGTTGGCCAGTATTTTATTGAGGATTTTTGCATCGATGTTCATCAGGGATATTGGTCTAAAATTCTCTTTTTTGTTGTTGTGTCTCTGCCAGGCTTTGGTATCAGGATGATGCTGGCCTCATAAAATAAGTTGGGGAGGATTCCCTCTTTTTCTATCGATTAGAATAGTTTCAGAAGGAATGGTACCAGCTCCTCTTTGTACCTCTGGTAGAATTCGGCTGTGAATCCATCTGGTCCTGGACTTTTGGGTGGTAGGCTATTAATTATTGCCTCAATTTCAGAGCCTGGTATTGGTCTATTAAGGGATTCAACTTCTTCCTGGTTTAGCCTTGGGAGGATGTATGTGCCCAGGAATTTATCCATTTCTTCTAGATTTTCTAGTTTATTTGCATAGTGGTGTTTATAGTAGTCTCTGATGGTAGATTGTATTTCTGTGGGATTGGTGGTGATATTCCCTTTATCATTTTTTATTGCATCCATTTGATTCTTCTCTCTTTTCTTCTTTATTAGTCTTGCTAATGGTCTATCAATTTTGTTGATCTTATCAAAAAACTATCTCCTGGATTCATTGATTTTTTGAAGGGTTTTTTGTGTCTCTATCTCCTTCAGTTCTGCTCTGATCTGAGTTATTTCTTGTCTTCTGCTAGCTTTTGAATGTGTTTGCTCTTGCTTCTCTAGTTCTTTTAATTGTGATGTTAGGGTGTCAATTTTAGATCTTTCCTGCTTTCTCTTGTGGGCATTTAGTGCTATAAATTTCCCTCTACACACTGCTTTGAATGTGTCCCAGAGATTCTGGTATGTTGTGTCTTTGTTCTCATTGGTTTCAAAGAACATCTTTATTTCTGCCTTCATTTCGTTATGTACCCAGTAGTCATTCAGGAGCAGGTTGTTCAGTTTCCATGTAGTTGAGCGGTTTTGAGTGAGTTTCTTAATCCTGAGTTCTAGTTTGATTGCACTGTGGTCTGAGAGATAGTTTGTTATAATTTCTGTTCTTTTACATTTGTTGAGGCATGCTTTACTTCCAACTATGTGGTCAATTTTGGAATAAGTGCAATGTGTTGCTGAGAAGAAAGTACATTCTGTTGATTTGGGGTGGAGAGTTCTGTAGATGTCTATTAGGTCTGCTTGGTGCAGACCTGAATTTAATTCCTGGATATCCTTGTTAACTTTCTGTCTCGTTGATCTGTCTAATGTTGACAGTGGGGTGTTAAAGTCTCTTGTTATTATTGTGTGGGAGTCTAAGTCTCCTTGTAGGTCTATAAGGACTTGATTTATGAATCTTGGTGCTCCTTTATTGGGTGCATATATATTTAGGATAGTTAGCTCTTCCTGTTGAATCGATCCCTTTACCATTATGTAATGGCCTTCTTTGTCTCTTTTGATCTTTGTTGGTTTAAAGTCTGTTTTATCTGAGACTAGGATTGCAACCCCTGCCTTTTTTTGTTTTCCATTTGTTTAGTAGATCTTCCTCCATCCCTTTATTTTGAGCCTATGTGTGTCTCTGCATGTGAGGTGAGTCTCCTGAATACAGCACACTGAGAGGTGTTGACTCTTCATCAAATTTACCAGTCTGTGTTTTTAATTGGAGCATTTAGCTCATTTACATTTAAGGTTAATATTGTTATATGTGAATTTGATCCTGTCATTATGATGTCAGCTGGTTATTTTGCTTGCTAGTTGATGCAGTTTCTTCTTGGCATCGATGGTCTTTATAATTTGGCATGTTTTTGCAGTGGCTGGTACCGGTTGTTCCTTTCCATGTTTAGTGCTTCCTTCAGGAGCTCTTTTAGGGCAGGCCTGGTGGTGACAAAATCTCTCAGCATTTGCTTTTCTGTAAAGGATTTTATTTCTCCTTCACTTATGAAGCTTAGTTTGGCTGGATATGAAATTCTGGGTTGAAAATTCTTTTATTTAAGAATGTTGAGTATTGGCCCCCACTCTCTTCTAGCTTGTAGAGTTTCTGCCGAGAGATCCACTGTTAGTCTGATGGGCTTCCCTTTGTGGTTAACTCGACCTTTCTCTCTGGCTGCCCTTAACATTTTTTCCTTCATTTCAACTTTGGTGAATCTGACAATTACGTGTCTTGGAGTTGCTCTTCTTGAGGAGTATCTTTGTGGCATTCTCTGTATTTCCTGAATTTGAATGTTGGCCTGCCTTGCTAGGTTGGGGAAGTTCTCCTGGATAATATCCTGCAGAGTGTTTCCCAACTTGGTTCCATTCTCCCTGTCACTTTCAGGTACACCAATTAGACATAGATTTGGTCTTTTCACATAGTCCCATATTTCTTGGAGGCTTTGTCCATTTCTTTTTACTCTTTTTTCTCTAAACTTCTCTTCTCACTTCATTTCATTCATTTGATCTTCAGTCACTGATACTTTTTCTTCCAGGTGATCAAATTGGCCACTGAAGCTTGTGCATTTGTCACAGAGTTCTCGTGCCATGGTTTTCAGCTCCATCAGGTCATTTAAGGACTTCTCTACACTGGTTATTCTAATTAGCCACTCATCTAATCTTTTTTCAAGGTTTTTAGCTTCTTTGTGTTGGGTTTGAACTTGCTCCTTTTGCTCAGAGAAGTTTGACTGTCTGAAGCCTTCTTCTCTCAACTCGTCAAAGTCATTCTCCATCCAGCTTTGTTCCATTCCTGGTGAAGAGCTGCATTCCTTTGGAGGGGGAGAGGCCCTCTGATTTTTAGAATTTTCAGCTTTTCTGCTCTGTTTTTTCCCCATCTTTGTGGTTTTATCTACCTTTGTTCTTTGTTGATGGTGATGTACAGATGGGGATTTGGTGTGGATGTCCTTTCCGTTTGTTAGTTTTCCTTCTAACAGTCAGAACCCTCAGCTGCAGGTCTGTTGGAGTTTGTTGGAGGTCCACTCCAGACCCTGCTTGCCTGGGTAACAGCAGCAGAGGCTGCAGAACAGTGGATATTGGTGAACAGCAAATGTTGCTGCCTGATTGTTCCTCTGGAAGCTTCATCTCATAGGGGTACCCAGCCATGTGAGGTGTCAGTCTGCCCCTACTGATTGGTGCCTCCCAGTTAGGCTACTTGGGGATCAGGGACCCACTTGAGGAGGCAGTCTGCCCGTTCTCAGATCTCAAACTCTGTTCTGGGAGAACCACTACTTTCTTCAAAGCTGTCAGACAGGGACATTTAAGTCTGCAGAGGTTTCTGCTGCCTTTTGCTCAGCTATGTCCTGCCCCCAGAGGTGGAGTCTACAGAGGCAGGAAGGCCTCCCTGAGTTGCGGTGGGCTCCACCCAGTTCGAGCTTCTAGGCCGCTTTGTTTACCTACTCAAGCCTCAGCGATGGCTTGCACCCCTCCCCCAGCCTCGCTGCTGCCTTGCAGTTAGATCTCAGACTGCTGTGCTAGCAATAAGCAAGGCTCTGTGGGTGTGGGACCCTCTGAGCCAGGCACAGGATATAATCTCCTGGTGTGCCATTTGCTAAGACTGTTGGAAAAGTGCGGTATTAGGGTAGGAGTGACCCAATTTTCCAGGTGCCGTCTGTCACCCCTTCCCTTTGCTAGGAAAGGGAATTCCCTGACCCCTTGCACTTCTCGGGTGAGGCAATGCCTTGCCCTGCTTTGGCTCATGCTCAGTGGGCTGCACCCACTGTCCTGCACCCACTGTCTGACAAGCCCCAGTGAGATGAACCCGGTACCTCAGTTGGAAATGCAGAAATCTCTGTCTTCTGTGTCGCTCACACTGGGAGCTCTAGACTGGAGCTGTTTCTATTCAGCCATCTCGGAACCACCCCCAATATTCAACATTCTTAAATAAAAGAAATTTCAACCCAGCATTTCAGATCCAGACAAACTAAGCTTCATAAGTGAAGGAGAAATAAAATCCTTTACAGACAAGCAAATGCTTAGGGATTTCATGGCCACCAGGCCTGCCTTGCAAGAGCTCTGAAAGAAGCACTAAATATGGAAAGGAAAAACCAGTACCAGCCACTACAAAAACACACCAAAATATAAAGACCAATGACACTATAAAGAAATTGCATCAACTAGTGTGCAAAATAACCAGCTAGCATCATGATGACAAGATCAAATTCACACATAACAATATTAACCTTAAATGTAAGTGGGCTAAATGCCCCAATTAAAAGACACAGACTGGCAAATTGGATAAAGAATCAAGACCCATCGGAGTGCTGTATTCAGGAGACCCATCTCACTTGCAAAGACACAAATAGGTTCAAAATAAAGGGACGGAGGAAAAATTACCAAGCAAATGGAAAGCAGAAAAAAAAAAAAAGCAGGGGTTGCAATCCTAGTCTCTGACAAACAGACTTTAAACTGACAAAGATCAAAAAAGACAAAGAAGGACATTACATAATAGTAAAGGGATCAGTGCAACAAGAAGAGCTAACTATCCCCCAATACAGGAGCACCCAGATTTATAAAACAAGTTCTTAGAGACCTACAAAGAGACATAAACCACCACACAATAATAGTGGGAGAGTTTAACACCCCACAGTCAATATTAGATAGATCAACAAGACAGAAAATTAACAAGGATATTCAGGACTTGAAATCAGCTCTGGACCAAGTGGACCTGATAGACGTCTACAGAACTCTCCACCCCAAATCAACAGAATACACCTTCTTCTCAGTGCCACATGGCACTTATTCTAAGATCAACCACATAATTGAAAGTAAAACACTCTTCAGCAAATGCAAAAGAACTGAAATCATAACAGTCTCTCAGACCACAGTGCAATCAAATTAGGACTCAGGATTAAGAAACTCACTCAAAGCCACACGACTGCATGGAAATTGAACAACCTGCTCCAGAATGACTCCTGGGTAAACAATGAAATTAAGGCAGAAATCAAGAAGTTCTTTGAAACTAATGAGAACAAAGAGACAACATACCAGCATCTCTGGGACAGAGCTAAAGCAGTGTTAAGAGGGAAATTTATAGCACTAAATGCTCACATCAGAAATCTAGAAAGATCTCAAACTAACACCCTAAGATTACAATTGAAAGAACTAGAGAAGCAAGAGCAAACAAATCCGAAAGCTAACAGAAGACAAGAAATAACTAAGATCAGAGCAGAACTGAAGGAGATAGAGACAAAAAAAAAACCCTTCAGAAAAAAATCAATGAATCCAGAATCTGGTTTTTTTGAAAAAATTAAGATATACCACTAACTAGACTAATAAAGAGGAAAAGAGAGATGAATCAAATAGACACAATAAAAATGATAAAGGGGATATTACCACTGACCCCACAGAAATACAAACTACCATCAGAGAATACTGTAAACACCTCTATGCAAAGACTTTAGAAAATCTAGAAGGAATGGATAAATTCCTGGATACATACATCCTCTCAAGACTAAACCAGGCAGAAGTCGAATCCCTGAATAGATCAATAACAAATTCTGAAATTGAGGCAGTAATTAATAGCCTACCAGCCAAAAAAAGCTCATGACCAGATGGATTCATAGCCAAATTCTAACAGGGGTACAAAGAGGAGCTGGTACCATTTCTTCTGAAATTATTCCAAACAATTGAAAAGGAGGGACTACTCCCTAACTCATTTTATGAGGCCAGCATCATCCTGATATGAAAACCTGGCAGAGACATAGAAAGAAAGAAAACTTCAGGCCAATATCCCTGATCAACATCAATGCAAAAATCCTCAATAAAATACTGGCAAACCAAATCCAGCAGCACATCAAAAAGCTTATCCACCACGATCAAGCTGACTTCATCCCTGGGATGCAAGTCTGGTTCAACATATGCAATCAATAAACATAATTCATCACATAAACAGAACCAATGACAAAAACCACATGATTATCTCAATAGATGCAGAAAAGGCCTTTGATAAAATTTAACATCCCTTCATGCTAAAAACTCTCAATAAACTAGGTATTGATGAAACATATCTCAAAATAATAAGAACTAGTTATGACAAACCCATAACCAATGTCATACTGAATGGACAAAAGCTGGAAGCATTCCCTTTGAAAACAGACACAAGACAAGGATGCCCTCTCTCACCACTCCTATTCAAAATAGTATTGGACTTCTGGCCAGGGCAATCAGGCAAGAGAAAGAAATAAAGGGTATTCAAATAAGAAGAAAGAAAGTCAAATTTTCTCTGTTTGCAGATGACTTGATTCTATATTTAGAAAACCCCATCGTCTCAGCTCAAAATCTTAAGCTGATAAGGAACTTCAGCAAAGTCTCAGGATAAAAAGTCAATGTCCAAAAATCACAAGCATTCCTATACATCAATCATAGACAGGCAGAGAGCCAAATAATGAATGAACTCCCATTCACAATTGCTACAAAGAGAATAAAATAACTAGGAATACAGCTAACAAAGGATGTGAAGGACCTCTTCAAGGAGAACTAAAAACTACTGCTCAAGGAAATAAGGGAGGACAAAAACAAATGGAAAAACCTTCCATTCTCATGGATAGGAAGATTCAATATTGTAAAAATGGCCATACTGCCCAAAGTAACTTACAGATTCCATGCTATTCCCATCAAACTACCACTGACATTCTTCACAGAATTAGAAAAAAAAGAACTACTTTAAATTTCATATGGAACCAAAAAAAAGCCTATATAGCCAAGACAATCTTCAGCAAAAAGAACAAACCTGAAGGCATCACGCCACCTGAATTCAAACTATGCCACAAGGCTACAGTAACAAAAACAGCGTGGCACTGTTACCAAAGCAGACATATAGACCAATGGAACAAAACAGAGACCTCAGAAGTAACATTACACATCTACAACAATGTGATCTTTGACAGACCTGACAAAAACAAACAATGGGGAAAGGATTCGCTATTTAATAAATGGTACTGGAAAACTGGCTAGCCATATGAAGAAAACTAAAACTGGACCCTTTCCTTACACCTTATACAAAATTAACTCAAGATGGATTAAAGACTTAAATGTAAGACTGCAAACCATAAAAACTCTAGAAGAAAACCTAGGCAATACCATTCAGGACATAGGCATTGGCAAAGACTTCATGGCAAAAATGCCAAAAGCAATCACAACAAAAGCCAAGATTGACAGACAAAAGGGATCTAATTAAACTAAAAAGTTTTTGCACAGCAAAAGAAACTATTATCAAAGTGTGCACACAACCTTCAAAATGGGAGAAAATTTTTGCAATCTACCCATCTGATGAAGGTCTAATATCCAGAATCTACATGGAACCTAAACAAATTTACAAGATTAAAAACAAACAAACAAACAAAAAACATTAAAAAGTGAGCAAAGGATATGAACAGACACTTCTTGAAAGAAGATGTTTATGTGGTCAAAAAACATATGAAGAAAAGCTCAACATCACTGATCGTTAGAGAAATGCAAATCAAAACCATATATGAGACACCACCTCATGGCAGTCAGAATGATGATTTTTAAAAAGTCAAGAAACAATAGTTGCTGGTGAGGCTGTGGAGAAATAGGAACACTTTTATACTGTGGGTGGGAATGTAAATTAGTTCAACCATTGTGGAAGACAGTGTGACAATTCTTCAAGGATCTAGAACCAGAAATACCATTTGACCCAGCAACTGCATTATTGGTTATATACCCAAGGGATTATAAATCATTCTGCTATAAAGACACATGCACACATATGTTTATTGCAGCACTATTTACAATAGCAAAGACATAGAAATAACCCAAATGCCCATCAATAATAGATGCGATAGGCCGGGAGTGGTGGCTCACGCCTGTAATCCCAGCACTTTGGGAGGCTGAGATCAGGAGTTCAAGACCAGTCTGACCAAAATGGAGAAACCCCATCTCTACTAAAAATACAAAATTAGCTTGGCGTGGTGGCACATACCTTTAATCCCAGCTACTCAGGAGGCTGAGGCAGGAGAATCACTTGAACCTGGAAGATGGAGGTTGCCGTGAGCTGAGATTGCAACATTGTACTCCAGCCTGGGCAACAAGAGTGAAACACCATCTCAAAATAAATAAATAAATAAATAAATAAATAAATAAATAAATAAAATAGACTAGATAAAGAAAATGTGGTGCATATACACCATGGAACACTATGCAGCCATAAAAAGGAATGAGATCATATCTTTGCAGGGACATGAATGAAACTGGAAGCCATCACCCTCAGCAAACTAACACAGGAACAGAAAACTAAACACCACATGTTCTTTCTCATAAGTGGGAGTTGAACAATGGATATAGGGAGGGGAATAACACACATCAGGGCCTGTCAGTGTGTTGGGGTCAAGGGGAGGGTGAGCATTAGGACAAATACCTAACTCATGCAGGGCTTAAAGCCTAGGTGATGGGTTGATAGGTGCAGCAAATCACTATGGCACTTGTATAGCTATGTAACAAACCTTCATGTACCACACATGTATCCTGGAACTTAAAATTTTTTAAAAAAGAAAATGGACAAAAGATTTCAACAGATGATTCACAAAAGAACATATGCCAATGACCAACAGGCATATAAAAGAGTGTTCACATTATTAGTCATCCAGGAAAAGCAAGTGCAAACCACAATGAACTACACGACACACCTACTAGAATGGGTAAAATGTAAAATATTGACATCATCAAATTTTGGAGCAACTGAAACTCTCATACATTGCTATTGGGAATACGAAATGTAACAATCATTTTAGGAAACTGGCAGTTTCTTTAAAAGTTTAACACACATTTCCCCTATGACCTAACAATTCCACTCCTAGAATTTATCCAAGAAAAAAGAAGACTTATGTGTACAAAAAACCATATAAAAATGTTCATAGCAACTTTTTTTCATAATAGGCCCAAAGCAAAAAAAATCTTACATGTACATCAATAGGAGAATGGATAAGCAAACAAATATTCCTGTAATAGAATACTACTCATAAATAAAATGGATAAACTACCGATATCTGCAGCAACATAAATCATTCTCAAAAATGTTATGCTGAATGAAAGAAGATGCAAAAGATGACGTATTATATAATTTAATTTAAATGAATCTTTAGAATATGCAAAACTGTCATATAGTGATAAACAACAGGGTTAGTGGTTGTTTCTTAGAGGGGAATTGCCTCTGCAATGACACAGAATATTTTTTGGGTTGATGGAAATGTTCTGTGTTTTGATAGGGGTGTGGTCTACACAAGTGTACACATTTATTGAAACTGATTGGATAGAACACTTAAGAGCCAAATATTTCACTGTGTTGAAATTATACCTCAATAAATAAAAACGGAAGGACTTATTCTTTCAAGTATTCAGTGGCCAGATTATACTTGGGGGTAGTTATGGTGATGGTGTTGTGAAGGATGCCATGGAAATGGAGATATGAGTGTGACAATCACTCTTTAGTGTGTCCTATTGCATTCATTTCTTTATAAAACACTTTATGGAAACACTTTTTTGTTAATACAGAAAGCTGTACGTATTTAGTATATTCAACTGGGTGAGTTGGGGGATAAGTATATACCCATGAAACCATCATGACCGTCAAAGCCATAGACATAACCATCGCCTCCCAGAGTTTCCCCCCCACCCCTTTTATTATTATTATTTGTATGTGTAGGGGGAGAGGGTGGGTAAGAACACTTAAGTTTCTACTCTTTTTGCAAATTTTAAGTGCAGTATTGTTAGCTATTTGCACTTTGTTGTATAGTATATCTCAGTGATTGTCTCCAGGGCCCTGGGAATTACAGACTGGGAACAGATATAGAGAGGCTCATCCCGTGCCTGTAGGACATCAACAGATAACTTATGTGGTTTTCAATTTCATTTCCTGCCCTGATTTAATGCTGCCGATTTAAATTTCATAGTTTAACAAATAGCATGATAGGCTGATGTTAACAGGAAGGCACAGGACTACAGGCATGTTTTATTGTCATCATTATGATAATAAAAATAAATTAGAAGTAAATGGCCCAGGCGCGGTGGCTCACGACTGTAATCCCAGCACTTTGGGAGGCTGGGGCGGGTGGATCACAAGGTCAGGAGTTCGAGATCAATCTGACCAACATAGTACAACACTGTCTCTATTAAAAATACAAAAATTAGCCAGGTGTAGTGGTGGGCACCTGTAATCCCAGCTGCTCAGGAGGTTGAGGCAGGAGAAGTGCTTGAACCCGGGAGTTGGAGATTGCAGTGAGCCAAGATGGCACCACTGTACTCTAGCCTGGGTGACAGAGTGAGACTCCATCTCAAAAAAAAAAAAAAAAAAAAGTAAATGAATACCTATGTGACGTTTATAAGTACCAAGCTTTTGAGGAATTAGTGGAAAAAGATAATTATATCATGAGATTACTTGGAAAGTAGTATATCTATGACCTAAGGTTAAGGAAAAAGAACTAAGGAGAGCAGTATCATTAATTTATTTTTGAGACATAAGATTTGAGCTGTAAATAGAGACCAACTCTATTTCATGCCATATAACCAATTGAAAAAGAAAATAAAATATACTGAATGCAAAATGAGGGTTTTGTAGTTAACAGCAATCAAAAGAGTGTTGAATGTTTCTTAAGTGGAAATGCATTGTACTAAGAAAAGAAGAGAGAATGGAGTCTGCTGAAAATGGACCTTTGCTTAGGTGCAACCAGTGGAACAGATAATTTAGTCTTTAACTAGGAGCAATCCAGTGATGATTAGTGTGAGGAAATTATTTATACCTGTATGAGCTAACGTATTAAATTTGTATTTGTGATTGGCTATATTTTGCTAGCATTTTGACATTTAAAAATCAGTACAACACTTTGTATGGACAGAATTAAAACAAAAAAATTATTTTAAAGATTATTATAATGATCGAAGCTAATTTTATTAATCACTGACTACAAAATTTTCTTGATTCTAAGATTCCATTGATTTATTAACATCTTCTAGGAAAAAAATGAAAAAGAAAAGAAAAGAAAGCCTACTAGGAATCTCAAATGTAAGACACATTCCAATTTCAGAACATAAAAATATGTCTTAGAATGCAGGAATTATGGTCTGACACTGTGCTAAATAATTTGCATTAAAGTAATGTTGATGAAAACAGTCAAATTCTGTAAAATATTTGAAGAGATTTATTCTGAGCCAAATATGAGTGACCATATTTCATGACAGAGCCCTTGGGAGATCCTGAGAACTGTCTCCAAGGTGGTCAGGGTGCAGCTTGGTTTTATACATTTTGGGAGGGATGAGACATCAACCAAATACATTTAAGAAATACGTTGGTTTGGCCCAGAAAGATGGGACAACTGAAAGCGGGGGGCTTCCAGGCTATAGGTAAATTTCAGCTTTTTCTGGTTGATAATTGGTTGAGTTTGTCTAAAGACCTGGGATCAACAGAAAGGAATGTCTGGGTTAAGAAAAAGAATTGTGGAGACCCAAGTTCTTAATTGCAGAGGAAGCCTTCTGGGAGTAGGCTTCAGAGAGACTAGGTTGTAAAATGTTTCTGATCTAACTTAAAGTCTGTGTTGATGTTAATGCTAATGCTGGAGCAGTATAATGAGGCCCATCCAACCCCTACTTCCCATCAGGGCCTGAAACAGTCTCTCAGGTTAAATTTTAAAAGAGCCCAGGCTGAGGATGAAGTCTGTTCAGATGGTTGGGAGGCCATAGAATTTTATTTTTGGTTTACAAAATCACAGTGAATCCCCACAACAATCTTATGAAGTAGGGATTATCTTTCCTATTTATAATTATCCTGCAAAGATAATTAACTTGACCAAGATTATATTGTTAGTAATTACTGGGCATAGATTGAAGCCTAAATCCTCCTGGCTTCAAAGTCCCTGCATTGCAGAAGCTGGGATCATTCATTATTTAGTGGTCATGTCATTTCTGTTTTCTGGACCGAGGAAAGATCTTATTTTGTGTGGTGTCCTCTCCTCAATTATTTCTGAGGCTCCTTCATGGTTTAGTTCCAATCTTTCCAAGTCTGTCTTACGTGGAGCAAGACGAAAATAAGAGAAGACAACTATATATGAATAAACACCAACAGATAGTGGAGTAGGGGAAAGACCAGAAGATTCTCTCTCCTTTTTTTTTTTTTTTTTTTGAGATGGAGTCTCCCTCTGTCGCCCAGGCTGGAGTGCAATGGCACGATCTTGGCTCACTGCGACCTCTGCCTCCTGGGTTGTAGCAATTCTCCCACCTCAGTCTCCCGAGTAGCTGTGACTACAGGTGTGTGCCACCACACCCTGCTAAGTTTTATATTTTTAGTAGAGACAGCGTTTCACCACGTTGGACGGACTGCTCTTGAACTCCTGACCTCAAGTGATCTGCCTATCTCAGCCTCCCAAAGTACTGGGATTACAGGCATGAGCCACCACACCTGGCCGACCAGAAGATTCTTACCAAATATTTTAAGTCCACAGGCCAACATGAGCAATGCAGGGAACCTTGGTGCTTTGCAGACACCACCATGGAATAAAAAAGTGCTCCTATTTATTCATGGTCTAGATCCAGTTCATCTGAGGAGCAGCAAGGTCTTTCACTCCAATTATCTTAAAAGCTTTAGACCTCCAAAAACACTTTAGGGATGGCCTAGTTCCTCACTCTACAGAAGAAGAGTCTCAGTGAGAGAAAGTGATTTGCCCTGGTGAGTCATATAGGGAATCACTGGTAGATCTAGCAGCAGTGCTCAAATTTTTTATCAGTAATCATAATGACGATAATCACTACAATTTGTTGAGTATTTTACTATATGCTAGGCCCTGTGCTATTAAGCCACAATTACTCTTGCACCAACCTAATAATAGTTTTATAAGTAATTTTGACAACAACTTTGTGAGGTTGATCCTATTATTATCCCTACTTTATAGGTGAGGAAATTGAGGCTATGAGAGGTTACTTTCTTCACCCAAAGTCACTTATATACTAAGTAAAGCAGCAGGATTCAAATCTAAGTTTATCTGATTCCAGAGCCCATGGCTTTCTCCTGCTCTTTCAATTCACAGCATAATCAATTGCATCAGTTCTCCATTGGTTTTGTCTATAATGCCTGTTTCCTCATGATAGTTGACCTCACACAAGGATGGAGATACCCACATTTGCTGTACTGATACTGACAGCTACTTTATGATGTTTCTATTTCATTAGCTAACTAAATTTTCCTACAGAAAATAAGCAATTCAAAAATTAAGGTACTAATATTTGTTCAAATAACATATCTCTCAGCTAATATGTGCCCTTTAACAAATGTTGAATATCTATCAATCATCTATCTACCTGTCTATCTATCTATCTATCTATTCAGTGATGATGGAAGTGTTTTTCCCTTTTACCAATAGCTAAAGAATAGCCCCTCTTAGCCAGTGGTTAAACTCCCATGATATTTTCCCCTCTCCTGCCTCTTCCTAGTTAATTTCATTAGTTTGGGAAAAAACATGCCATAAGCAATTGATTTAGGCCAATTGATTTCTCCACAGAATGTTCAGTAATTTTCATTGCAGAACTGGAAGCCCTCACTCTCTAGAGACAGAGGTAAAATTTCCTTTGTAATGGGCAAACTGCTGCTGTGATATTAGATTGTGATTTAGAATAAGAAATACATATTTGGTATGTCAACTTGAAACAATTGAAAAGGATCAGAATCCTGTATATCCTTTAAATGTTCCCTTAAATCTCAAAATATTTTAAAGTTCCAACAGCTTAGATTTTGAATTACTCATTTCCAAAGGCCTTTGACCTTTTCCTGGCACACAACTCCTAAAACCCTTGGAATCTCCAGAGTGATAAGTATCTTTGTATGCTAGTGAGATGACTGGTGGCTTGGGGCCACCAGAAAGAAGGCCAAGGTGTGGTTGGAGGGTTGGGACTTTCAGCCGCATTGACAGATCCCTAGGGTGTGGAGAGGGGCTGGTGGTTGGGTTGATCACCAATGGCCGATGATGTAACCAATCATGCCTAGGTAATGAAGGCTCCATAAAAACCCCAAAGGACAGGGTTCAAAGAGCAAACACATCCACGGCTGATAGGGTGGGATACCCCAACTCCACAAAGTCAGAATAGCCTGTGCTCAGGACACTTCCAAATCTTCCCTTATGCATCTTTTCACTGGCTGTTCATCTATATCCCTTATTAATAAGCCAGGAAATGTAAGTAAAGTGTTTCCCTGAGTTCTGGGAGTAGTTCTAGCTGATTAATTGAACCTGAGAGGACAGTCATGGGAATCCTTAATTTATAGCCCCTTGATCAGAAGTGTAGATGACAATACCACTTTCTATTGGCAGCTGAAGTGGGATTTTCAGGCTATATTTAGTACAAAGGATATCATTTGGGGAGGAAGTTTGAAGAACTGCTTCCTACTGGGACTTCAAACGAAGTGGTGTACAGCTCCCAACAGAATGATCACTGTGCAACTATAACCTTGATGATTGAAAGCTTAGAAAGGTCCCCAGTTATATAACAGGCAAACTATAATGACAACATGCTGCTAAAGAAAAAAAATATTCAATGATACTTGTTAAAGCACGGTTAGGAAGACTTTATTCAAGACCATCACTCATAGGTATAGAGACCACTTGCAATGAGATTTTGTAGTGAGGGAGTGGAATTGGGCTCAACTCTGAATACAGCATGGGAAAGTAAGAATTTATAACTGAAGAGTGGAATAAGGGCAAGTAGATGAAAAGATACTAAGAAAAACATCAAGAGTGTGTAGCATTCTGGCTAAAGCAACCTAACAGGATTCTTGCTAAAGTCATGCCAGAGTGATCATATGTCACCCGGAGGATGGTGGAGAATGAATAACCTGATGAGATATTGAGGGTGATTAGATATCGAGGATAATGAATTCTTGCTAAATTGACTTAGCAGTGTTCTTTGCTAAAACTGGATTTTATACAGAAGCGCACAGGTGAGCCTAGGAGAAGTTTCTGACTAAAGTTTGGCCAGGTAAAAGAAGTCTTTGTCAATGCCCAACATGCCACAGTGTGCTGTACATAAATACAAATCACCCTTGTTTTAATGGATGAAAAACTATTAAGCAAAATAGGGAAAAATAATGGGTCCCTGATGGTATCAAAGCAGTTGGCATCACTTGGTGGATTTGAGTTGCCCTGGAGAACGGCCTCTCCCTCAGATAAGGAAGCTGTGGGAAATGTTGTGACACACTTAGTCTAAATTACACCTAGGTGTGACCACTACTTATCTAACCTAGTATGGGGCACCCAACACTTTTGGGTGCAAAACATGTATCCTAACTGCACTAGGGCTGTTAGTAGACAATGGCAACAATGTGCATGGATACCCTTGATTTCCCAGAGAGGCACCTATCTCTCCAAAGGCTCTCCTCTGCCTTGTGAGCCAATGATGCTTATTACTATGAGGAGCAGCATCCAGAGGACAAATATTTATTATCTAGAATAGGCAGATAAGAGGGATTCTCTTCCAGGAGGAAGGCAAAGTATGGGAGCCAGTCTGGAAAGTTAATGAGGCTTTAGCAAAGTGGGCAAAGCAGATGCAACAAATAATTCAGGAAAATGGTCAAACCCAGCTATGGGAAAGGGGCCTGTGCCCTGACCCAACAGGGCCTCTTGACTGTTTTTAATACAAATTGAAGTTTAAGTGGTTATGGGGCAATGGCCTTATCTTTTAGCTGATGAAGCTCAAGGGGCACACCTGTGGGAATCTCACGGCTCTCAAAACTTATAGAAGTTCTCTGAGGGCACTTGTAATTTATATTGATATACTATGAGTGCTCTTGCTCCCAAAATAGGTGAAAACAAAATACATCCTGCAGTACAGTTAGCAGGGATAAGAGCTATTATAAATACAATCTATATTCTCCGTGTAGGAGGCAGGTGGGCCCTGCTGTATAATAGCTCCCAATGGAATCCTGTCTCAGTGCAAGCCTGTGAGATGAGACAGAGTGACTGGCTTTGTCCCCATTTGACACAGAACTCAGAAGTAAACAAGTCATGGGCAATTGTAACAATGCCTGTCCTTAATAACATCTGATACATGGGCAAGGGTAGATTCTGAAAAAGCAAACACCTCTGTAATTTTTACTGAGTTGCTCTGTAATGAAACTGAACAAATGTACATGATCATATTGTGATATGATGTAATACTGGTGTTGTTGGTAAAATTTAACTACTTCATGTAAATAAGCCTTATGATAATGCTGATACTGATAATCAAACTTATTGGGCGACTGAGTTAAATTGTCCTTAGGATGTAGTACCTATGGGAAATGACTGGCCTGAGGAGGAATTGGATCTAGTTAAACATCAGCTGATTTCTGTGTTAAACAGTTTTGCACAAGCTCATGAAAAGGTACAAATAGCAGTAGATGAGGAAGAAAAATAATAAGTGAATTAGTACAAGAATATAAAAATGTATGTAGTGGAGTTATAGGGAAAGTTTTTTGTTTCTTTAAATCTATCCTTACTCCACCCTGGCTTCTCCAAATGTTAGTCATACTTGTGTTGGTATTCTTGTTATATCTATTCTATAAATGCCACATTTAATGTAAATACTCAGAGAAATAAGATCATTTTGCTGTAAGGAGTCAGTGGCTAGTGACGCAGGGATTGGCTAGAAATAATAAGAAATGTGTGTGTGTGTATATGTGTGTGTGTATATATATATATATATATATATATATATATATATATATATATATATATATATAAGTTTATATATGTTTATATATGTTTTGGTCTCTGCTCCCAGTCCCTGGCACAGAACTCCTAAAACCCATGTAATTTCCTAAGTGATATGGGTGCTAGAATCCTTTGTTCTAATATTTTGTCTTTGATCTCAGTTCTGCCACAGAGCTCCTAAGACCTTTGTAATTTCCTGAGAGGTAGGAGCGTCTGACACAGAGCTCTTAATCCGTTGGAATTACGTGGGTGGCAGGAACATCTTTTGTTCTAATGAAGCAGCTCTTGGTGGGCTCCTGGAGGGGGGCTGGTCACCAGAAAGACCAAGCCAGGGTCATAAGCTTGGAGCCTTCAGTCCTACCCTCCTTATTCAGCTGATCAGGCAGAAGCACAGGTCACAACCTACTGCTTTGCAATTGACATGTGAAGGAAGGGAAGTCTTGTGGGACTGGGCCCTTAAACTGTGAGATCTAACTCTAACTCCAAGTAGATAGTGTTAGAATTGGATTTAATTATAGTCCACCCCAGCAGATCCCCTGAGGTCAAGAGTTCAAGACCAGCCTGGCCAACATGGTGAAACCCTGTCTCTACTACACACACACACACACACACACACACACACACACAAAATAGTTGGCATTGTGGCTAATGATGGTATTCCCAGCTACTTGGGAGTCTGAGGTATGAGAATCACTTGGACCTGGGAGGTGGAGGTTGTAGTGAGCCAAGAGCACGCCACTGCACTTCAGCCTGGGCAACAGAGGGAGACTCGGTCTCAAAAAAAAAAAAAAAAAAAAAAGGAAAAAAGAAAGAAAAGAAAAGAAAATCAAAAGCAAAATGGATGGGAACCCTAATTCTGGGAAATGTTACAAAAGGAGAAGTTTAAAAGTATTACGTGGAAACTAAGGATACATGATGCTTAACCCTTTGTCAGATGAGTAGGTTGCGAAAATTTTCTCCCATGTTGTAGGTTGCCTGTTCACTCTGATGGTAGTTTCTTTTGCTGTGCAGAAGCTCTTTAGTTTAATTAGATCCCATTTGTCAATTTTGGCTTTTGTTGCCATTGCTTTTGGTGTTTTGGACATGAAGTCCTTGCCCATGCCTATGTCCTGAATGGTAATTCCTAGGTTTTCTTCTAGGGTTTTTATGGTTTTAGGTCTAATGTTTAAATCTTTAATCCATCTTGAATTGATTTTTGTATAAGGTGTAAGGAAGGGATCCAGTTTCAGCTTTCTACATATGGCTAGCCAGTTTTCCCAGCACCATTTATTAAATAGGGAATCCTTTCCCCATTGCTTGTTTTTCTCAGGTTTGTCAAAGATCAGATAGTTGTAGGTATGCGGCATTATTTCTGAGGGCTCTGTTCTGTTCCATTGATCTATATCTCTGTTTTGGTACCAGTACCATGCTGTTTTGGTTACTGTAGCCTTGTAGTATAGTTTGAAGTCAGGTAGTGTGATGCCTCCAGCTTTGTTCTTTTGGCTTAGGATTGACTTGGTGATGCGGGCTCTTTTGTGGTTCCATATGAACTTTAAAGTAGTTTTTTCCAATTCTGTGAAGAAAGTCATTGGTAGCTTGATGGGGATGGCATTGAATCTGTAAATTACCTTGGGTAGTATGGCCATTTTCATGATATTGATTCTTCCTACCCATGAGCATGAAATGTTCTTCCATTTGTTTGTATCCTCTTTTATTTCCTTGAGCAGTGGTTTGTAGTTCTCCTTGAAGAGGTCCTTCACATCCCTTGTAAGTTGGATTCCTAGGTATTTTATTCTCTTTGAAGCAATTGTGACTGGGAGTTCACTCATGATTTGGCTCTCTGTTTGTGTGTTGTTGGTGTATAAGAATGCTTGTGATTTTTGTACATTGATTTTGTATCCTGAGACTTTGCTGAAGTTGCTTATCAGCTTAAGGAAATTTTGGGCTGAGACGATGGGGTTTTCTAGATAAACAATCATGTCGTCTGCAAACAGGGACAATTTGACTTCCTCTTTTCCTAATTGAATACCCTTTATTTCCTTCTCCTGCCTGATTGCCCTGGCCAGAACTTCCAACACTATGTTAAATAGGAGCGGTGAGAGAGGGCATCCCTGTCTTGTGCCAGTTTTCAAAGGGAATGCTTCCAGTTTTTGCCCATTCAGTATGATATTGGCTGTGGGTTTGTCATAGATAGCTCTTATTATTTTGAAATACGTCCCATCAATACCTAATTTATTGAGAGTTTTTAGCATGAAGGGTTGTTGAATTTTGTCAAAGGCTTTTTCTGCATCTATTGAGATAATCATGTGGTTTTTGTCTTTGGCTCTGTTTATATGCTGGATTACATTTATTGATTTGCGTATATTGAACCAGCCTTGCATCCCAGGGATGAAGCCCACTTGATCATGGTGGATAAGCTTTTTGATGTGCTGCTGGATTCGGTTTGCCAGTATTTTATTGAGGATTTTTGCATCAATGTTCATCAAGGATATTGGTCTAAAATTCTCTTTTTTGGTTGTGTCTCTGCCTGGCTTTGGTATCAGAATGATGCTGGCCTCATAAAATGATGCTTAACACAACATCTTGTTTTAAGGATACTTACATCTTTTTAAAAAATATTTTAAACATTTTATCATTTTAATTGTGATTTTTTAAAAAAATACAGAAAATATAGAAAATAAAGAACATGTTCATCTCCCAGTTTTATTCAATGTTAATATTTTGCTTTTTTTTAAAAAGAACTAGAACATTAAGAGTATAACTATGTTCCACTCAGCCATTTCCATCCCCGCTCCTTAAGTCGATGCCTATCATGCCTGTAGTTATTTTTTCTTTCACTACATGTGTACATATATATTTGTGTGTATATATACATTTTTACATAAGCAGGAAAAATAATAATAACAATAATAATAATTTGTGTCTGCTGGAGAATTGCTCGGTGTGTGGGGAAAAACCAACACACATTTTGGTGACCAGAGATGAAATATTCTGTGTTGAATGGTGTGTGATAGCAGAAAAAACAGTTTTTTTTAATGCATATATCAGACAACTACCCACTCCAGTATTTCCCTGCATGATTTTGAAATTGCCTGATTTCCATTCTGAGCCCTGCACTAACACTTTTTTGTGTAGGCTGTCACTGTGATGGGGCATCTGACAGGATCTCCAAGGGAAGGTCTGGTATATTACAGCTTAGTGCAGAGATCAGGTAGAGAACTATAGTTTTCAGGCCAAGCCTTGCTTGCCACCCATTTTCATAAATAAACTTTTATTGTGACATAGCCGTATCCATTTGTTTACATAGTATATTCGGCTGTGTGGAGTAGTTGTGGCTGAAACTATATGCCCCACAAAGACTAAAATATTTACTATCAGACCCTTTACAGACCCCTGGCCTAGTGGATCTGTGTTCACTTTCAGGATTTCTCATTGAAGTGGGAGGAAAATGAGTGTCTTCTTTGCCATCTCAAATTCAATACTGGGTGGCTAGTGTAGGTAAAGCTGAATGAACTACCAGGGAAAAATACAGATGTATAGGATGTGCTGTCTGTCCTCAAAATAATATTCATTGGTGGATCCCTTTTCAAAGAGTAGAATGCTTTTCATATCCCTCCCTGCCCGTATTATTTTCTCTGAGAAAAGAATCCAGCTAGTGTTTGCACTTGTAATTCATGACATTTATATAGCACCACAGAGCATGCATAGCCTACACATAATTTTATTGAATCCAGAGATCAGAATCATTGTTTTCCTTCCACATTTGGAGTGGGAGGGGGAAGGCAGAATGAGTCAAAAGCTGGAAATGAGAAAAAGTTTCCTGAAGCATGAAACAAAGTAGAATAGCTATTTTGCTGTGGACCAAGTGGGTAAAGACATGGCATAAACAATGTGGATTCACTAAAAGCCATTATCATGAGCATGATTCATGGGTGTGTAAAAAATTTAAACAAAAATTCCTTTACCCAGTAGTCAAATTTCTCAAATTTATGACTCACTCATCATACCCTTCTATCATCTGGAACTAAATCAAATATTCAGGTTCCATCATGTTTTGGATATTTCAGGTCTTCATTTATCATTTCTCCCCTTAAAGGGCCCTCAGGGAGAGGGCAACGGTTTGATGGATTATATATTTCAATCTTTCACACTCAGGGTAGCATCCTGTTTCCTGGTGTTAAAAGTAAAGATTGTTTCCTTTCCACAAGTAGCTTTTAAGCCCTACTCATTAACGTTTTAGATTATTTTATGGCCTTATATATGATGTAGTTTACAATGATATCATCATCAAAAATTTATGATGCTGCCACGTAAAACTAGAGAAAGAAAAACTCTATCAAAAGAGACACCTCTTTTGAAAAAGTACCTCTGTTAATATGAATACACTGCCATGTTTAAAGATGCAGAACATGTTACAAATAAATGGACATGGCTGATTGTGTTTCCCAGCCTGGCTACATTTTCATATTACTGTGATTAATTCTGTCAAAGGAGGACAATTATGACATCTGAAAGTGTGTTTTGATTTTTAAAATCCAAAAAGGAACATGCCTTCTTGGTTAAATGGAGTTATTAAAATATTTGGTAAGAATGAACTTCCCAAAAGGTAGCATAGCTTTGCTTATCATCTAGACTTAAAATTAAAAGCAGCTTTATGTTAGATTTTAATAAACTGTATAATTTCTAAATTTTTATTTTATATATAAATATATATATTCTTTTTATACATGAGATATGTATCTAGCTATCAGGATAGCACTATGGTTTAATTAATTTTTAAATATTAACAAGGCAATTTGATCCACATTTGTGTAGGTACAGCTGGTTGCCTACATAACATTTATTCTCCTCCTTAAACTTCTTTCTCTCTACTAAAATTCTAATTTTGTGTGGCTATACACCCTCTTCAATAGGGTCATTTACATCAGGGAAGAATGAGCCCTGATTGGTTTAAGTTAATCATGTGATTGATTTAGCTTGGCATGTGAGTCAGGCCAGTGGCCATCAGCAGAAGTCAGCTAAGGGCTTTTTGTGAGATGGTTCTTTCTCATTTGAAAAGTTTGTAAGAAAGAGTTCATTACTGGACATTTTCAATGGGATAGCTAAAACGGTGGCAGTCATATTGAGACCTCAGGCGAGGAACTAGGGGAGGACAAGGCTAACAGGCTGAAGATGGCACAAGACAAGGAAGGAATGATGACATCATGAGCCAAGGATTAATCAACCTTGGAGTTAAGCTGTTCTGACAATTCTTGTTAGAGGAAATGGTTTATTTTCTTTAGTATCTAAGCTAACTTATATTGATGCTTCGGTAACTTGCAGCCTAAAGCAGCTTGACTGATACAGGCCTGAAAGTCAAGCTACTACTTAGCTATTTTGGGGGTTCCTCTCAAAATAGTAACATCAACCCAAAGGAAGAAAGTAGACACACTGTCACTTTAGTATGCCATCTTCAACCATCTAGTGGGCATCTATTGATTTTAATTTTATTTAAATCTAAGGAATAACTACTGTGTTCTGAGTGTCCTGCACTTAACTAAGCTGATTGTCCAAGGAGAAGATATTTCTCTACTGTGACAAGTTCTCCTATTTCCTAATTAAAGTACAATTAATACTCTGAAACAAGAGTAGCAAACTTTTTCATAAGAACTCACACATGGTAAAGAAAGAACTAGAGTGTTGACAATTACAAAGTATCATTGATTAAATGAGAGTTAGAGGCTGGTATGGTTTGGCTGTCTGTCCCCACCCAAGTCTGATCTCGAATTGTAATCTCCACAGGTCAAGGGAGGGACCTGGTGGGAGGTGAATGGATGATGGGGGTGGTTTCCCCCATGCTGTTCTTATGATAGTGAGGGAGTTCTCATGAGATCTGATTGTTTGATAAATGTCTGGCATTTCCCCTGTGCTCACTCTCACTCACCTGCCACCATGTAAGATGTGCCTTGCTTCTCCTTCACCTTTTGCCATGATTGTAAGCTTCCTGAGGCCTCCTCTGCCATGCATAATTGTGAGTCAATTAAACCTTTCTTTATAAAGTACCCAGTCTTAGGTATTTCTTTATAATAGTGTGAAAATGGACTAATACAGAACCCATATTGTGAATGTATCTTTTTAATCATTAACCAGCTGAAAATGTGAACGTTTCTTACTTGAACTAGCACATAGTTCTTAAATTTTAAAAAGAAGCATATAAATGTCTTTGTTTAGGAATGGAAACATATACATGTTATACACACATATCTCCAAATTATGTAGAAAATGTGTATGCTTAGTTTGCATACACTTGTGGATGAGTGTATCTCTCTCTCACACACATGTACATATGTACATTAAACAGACACATGCAAACACATGTGTAAACACATGAGAAAAGGTCTGGAAGGATTTACCTAAAACTACGAATTCTTCTCTGGATGTTAAAGTAGTGGAGATAAATTGAGGGACACAGAAATAGGAGGACACCAGAGGATATGATATCTATCCTATGACTTTATACTTTCTATGAAAAACACAGATGTTTTTATTATATGTATATATGTGACTTATAAGTTCAAGAGCCTTAAAATCTTATACTTTTTGATTTAGCAATTTCTCCTTTACTAACTCATCATATAAAAATAATGTTAAATGTGGAAAAGATTTATATACAAAGATAATTTTCTACAGAATTATTTGTAATAGAAAATATGTGAAGAAGCCAAGATGGCTGAATAGACACAGTCAGGAAGAGCTTCTCTCAACAAGAGAGAACAGACAACCAGGTACACTCTGAATAGGTCTTTGAAAAGAAAGCATTAAAAGTGTACAGAGGGAGGATGCAGATCCCAGGCTGAAAGGGAAGGAAGCTGGGAAACTTGCACAGGGTTGCTGAGCACCAGGACTTGTTACTGGCCCTAAGTGGCTCCTGGAAAAGGGGTGAATGGAATAAGCATGGAATGGCTCACTCTTGCCATGGACCTCTGGAATCCTAGCTGTAGAAGACCCCACAATCCCCATGGACATTTGAGCTGGCACAGGGAACTGGATAGTTGGCAGGGATGGAACTCTAGCTTGCATGGAGGCCAGAGGGTTTTGTGCAGGAACAGCTACAGTAGAGTACAGCCATGGGTACCCATAAACCAAGGCTCACCACACTCCTCTAGGTGGCTTTAGCCTTTGTTGACTGCTGGACAAGGACAGAGCAGGATTATCTTTCTTGTAGGATGGAGCCAGTCTGATCTAAGCAACACTCTGTCTGTTGGCCTATCCTAGGGTCCCTACTGGCTACAGCCTCTTGCAGCGTGGCCTCAGCTGTCCATCCAAGGTGCTTGCCAGCAGCCACATAATAGCTCTTTCACCAGCAGATGCCACCTAATAGTCAGAGAGCTGCTACTGGTGGGCCCCCACTGATGAGCACCTGCCCACAGTCCTCCCTGGCCAGCACATACTCACCTGCAGCTTTCCTCAACTGCTTCTCAGTCACACATTCTCCTGCAGCCTCCCCCTGCTTCATTAATGCAAATGCAGGATCTGGCATTTTCTACTACCTCCTGCATGCTCATGCATGGACATGGCCGCTGCCCACCATCTCCCGGCTGAAATACTTTTGCCAGCATTCCTCATTGGAGGGTTGTTGCCAGCAGACTAGGAACACCTCAGTCCCTTCAATGCAGCAGGTACTGAAACTTGAGGGCCCAAAGAAAAAAGCCATGGCCCAGTCCCAGCATCCCCAGGGTTAGAGTACAAATTTCTAGAGTGCTGAGCTTAGCTTTGCCCCCTGAACTAATAAAGAAGCAAAGCCAATAGACAAAACCCAACTTATACCACAGTCAAACCCACAAGGGCATCAAAGAATTAAAGATCAAAGGGCTCTATCCAAAGGGAACAGCTTTAAAGATTAAAGGAACATCAGCCCACACAGATGAGAAAGAACCAGCAGAAGAACTCTGGCAACCCTAAAAGCCAGAGTCTCTTCTTAGCTTCAAATAACCTCACTAGCTTCCAGGTAATGGCTCTTAACCAGATGGAAATGGCTGGAGTGACAGACATAGAATTTAGAATCTAAATGACAATGAAGATCATCAAGATTAAAACCCAATCCAAGGAATCTAAGGAATCCAGTAAAACGATTCAAGAGCTGCAAGACAAAATAGCCATTTTAAGAAAGAATGAAACTGATCTTATACAGCTTAAAAACTCACTACAAGAATTTCATAATAAAATAGGAAATATTGGAGCAAAATAGACCAAGCTGAGGAAAGAATTTCAAAGCTCAAATGCCAGTTCTTTAAATGAATTCAGTTAGACAAAAATTATTTTAAAATAATTTTTAAAAATGAATAAAATTTCTGAGAAATATGGGATTATGTGAAGAGACCAAATCTATGACTCATTGACATCCCAGAAAGAGAGAGAGAGAGCAAGCAACTTGGAAAACATATTTGAGGATATTGTCCACAAAAGTTTCCACAATCTCCCTAGAGAGGTTTACATGCAAATTCAGGAAATTCAGAGAACCCCAGTAAGATACTATACAAGATAACGATTTCCAAGACACAGTCATCAGATTCTCCAAATCAATGTGAAAGAAAAGAACATTAAAGACAGATAGAGAGAAGGGGAAGGTCAAATACAAAGGGAATTCTTTCAGGCTAACAGTGGACCTTTCAGTAGAACCCTTGCAAGACAGAAGAGACTGGGAGTCTATATGTAGCATCCTTAAAGAAAAGAAATTCCAATCAAGAGTTTTATATCCAGATGAGTTAAGCTTCAAAAGCAAAGGAGAAATAAAATCCTATTCAGATAAACAAATGCTAAAGTAATATATTCCCACCAGAACCTGCCTTATGAGAGGTCGTTGAGGGGGTGTTAAATGTGAAAAAGAAAGACCAAAGCACACTGAAGTAGATAGACCATCAACAGTATACAGCAATTATACTATCAAGTCTACATAACAACGAGCTAACAATATGATGACAATATCAAATCCTCACATCAATATTAACCTTGAGTATAAATGGGCTAAATGCCCCACTTAGTAGACACCAAGTGGCAAGTTGTATAAAGAAGCAAGACCCAACTGTATGCTGTCTTCAAGAGACTCATCTCTCATGTAATGACACATAGGCTCAAAGCAAAGGGATGGAGAAAGATCTATCAAGCAAATAAAAAACAAAAGAGAGCAGAGGCTGCTGTTCTTATTTCAGACAAAACAGACTTTAAATGAACAATGATCAAAAAAGACAAAGAAGGGAATTACATAATGATAAAGCTTTAGCTGTCCTAAATATAATATATGCACCCAACTCAACAAGAAGACTTAACTGTCCTAAATATATGCACCTAATAATAGAGCACTCAGATTTATAAAACAAATTCTTAGAGACCTATGAAGAGACTTTAGATAACCACTCAATAATAGTGTGAGTCCAGCACCCCATTGAGAGTGTTGGACAGATCACTGAGGCAGAAAACTAACAAAGATATTTGATAACTCAATTAGACATTTGGCCAAATGGACATAACAGACATCTACAGAATACTCCACTCAACAACAACAGAACACACGTTCTTCTCTTCTGCATATGGGACATATTCTAAGATCAACAACATGCTCAGCCATATAGCAATTCTCAACAAATTCCAAAAGAACCAAACTCATACTAAGCACACTCTCAGACCAGAATGCAATAAAAATAGAAGTTAATACTGAGAATGTCTCTCAAAACCATATAATTACATGGAAATTAAACAATCTGCTCCTGAATAACTTCTGAGTAAAGAATGAAATAAAAGCAAAAATCAAGAAATTATTTCAGACTAATGGAACCAAATATACAGTATGCCAGAATCTCTGGGAAAGAGCTAAAAGAAAGGTTAAGAGGAAAGTTTACAGCAGCAAATTCCTATATCAAAAAGTTAGAAAGACCTCAACTTAACAACCTAACATTACAGCCAGAGGAACTAGAAAAACAAGAACAAACCAGCCTCAAATCTAGCAGAAGAAAAGAAATAACCAAAATCAGAACTGAGCTCAATGAAATTGAGATTTGAAAAATCCATACAGAAGACCAACAAAACCAAAAGTTTGTTCTTTGAAAGAATAAATAAGATTGATAGACCATTAGCTAGATTAATAAATAAAGAAATAGAGAAGATCCAAATAAACACAATCAAAAATGACAAAGGGGACATTACCATTAACCCCACAGAAATACAAAACACCCTCAAAGACTATTATGAACACTGTTATACACACAAACTAGAGAACCTAGAAGAAATGGATAAATTTCTGGAAACAAAAAACCTGCCAGGATTGAACCAGGAAGCAAATAAATATCTGACTAGACCAATGTTGAGATATGAAATTGAATCAATAATAAAAAACCTGCTAACCAGAAAAAGCCCTGGACCAGATGGATGCACAGCCCAATTTTACCAGACATGTAAGTAAGAGCTGATGCCAATCGTACTGAAGTTATTAAAAAAAAAACATTGAGGAGGAAAAACTCCTCCCTAACTCATTCTATGAGGTCAGCATCATTTTGATACTAAACCTGGCAGAGATATAATGAAAAAAGAAAAGTTCAAGCCAGTATCACTAATGAACAAAAATGCAAAACTCTTGAACAAAATACTAGCAACTTGAATCCAGTAGTACATTAAAAAGCAAATCCACCATGATTAAGTATGCTTTATTCTGGAGATACAAGTTTGGTTCAACTTACACAAATCAATAAATGTGACTTATTACATAAACAGAACTAAACAAAAACCACATGACCACCTCAATAGACACAAAAAAAGCTTTTGATAAAATTAAACTTTCCTTCATGTTAAAAACTTTCCAAAAGAACATACTTCAAAATAATATGAGATATCTATGACAAATCCACAGCAAACCTCATACTGAACCAGGCAAAAGTTGGAAGCATCCTGCTTGAGAACCAGAACAAGGCAAGGATGTCCACTCTCACTACTCCTATTCAACATAGTGCTGGAAATCCTAGCCAGAGCAATTAGGCAAGAGAAAGAAATAAAGGGCATTTAAATAGAGAAGAGAAAGTCAAACTATCTCTCTTCACAGATGATATGATTCTATACCTAGAAAACTTCATAGTCTCTGTCTAAAGGCTCCTAGAACTGATAAACAACTTCAGTAAAGTTTCAAGTTACAAAATCAATGTACGAAAACAGCAGCATTTCTGTACACCAATAATGTCTAAGCTGAGAGCCAAATCAAGAGTGTAATACCCTTCAAAATAGCCACAAAAATTAAAATACCAATGAATACAGCCAACCAAGGAGAATAAAAGATCTGTACAATAAGAATGAAAAAACACTGCTGAAAGAAATCAGAGGTGACACAAACAAATGGGAAAACATTGCATACTCGTGGATAGGAAGAATCAAAATTGTTAAAATGGCCATTCTGACCAAAGCAATTTACAGATTCAATGCTATTCTGATCAAACTACCAACATAATTTTTCAGAGTTAGAAAAAAAATTCTAAGATTCATATGGAACTAAAAATCAGCCCAGATAGCCAAAACAATTCTAAGCAAAAAGAACAAAGCTGGAGGCTTCACGCTACTTGACTTCAAACTATACTACAAGGCTGCACTAATGAATACAGCCTGGTATTTGTACAAAAACAGACAAATATGCCAATGGAACAAGTTAGAAAACTAAATAAACTAATAAAGCCACACATGTGCAATCAATAGATCTTCAGGAAAGTTGACAATAAAAAGCAATAGGGAAAATACTCCCTGTTCAATAAATTGTGCTGAGACATCTGGCCAGCCATATACAGAAGATTGAAACTGGACCCCTTCCTTTCACAGTATGCAAAAATCAATTCAAGATGGATTAAAGACTTAAATGTAAAACCTAAGACTGTAAAAACCCTAGCAGAAAACCTAGAAAAAACCATTCTGGACATTGGCCTTGGCAAAGATTTCAGGATGAAGATGCTGAAAGCAATTGCAACAAAAATAAAAATTGACAAATGAGATCTAATTAAACTAAACAGCTTCTGCACAGAAAAATAAGCTATCAACAGAGTAAACAGACAATCTACAGAATAGGAGAAAATGTTTGCAAACTATGCATCTGACAAAGGTTTAATATCCAGAATCTATAAGAAACAAATCAACAAGCAAAGAGCAAAGAACTCCATTAAAAGTGGGCAAAGGACATGAATAGTCCTGTTGTGGAAAGTCAGGGACCCCGAACAGAGAGACCGGCTGGAGCCGAGGCAGAAGAACATAAATTGTGAAGATTTCATGGACATTTATCACTTCCCCAATCAATACTCTTATAATTTCTTATGCCTGTCTTTACTTTAATCTCTTAATCCTGCTATCTTCATAAGCTGAGAATGTACATCACCTTAGGACCACTATTGTACAAAATGAATGTAAAATATGTATGTTTGAACAATATGAAATCAGTGCACCCTGAAAAAGAACAGAATAACAGCGATTTTCAGGGAACGAGGGAAGATGACCATAAGGTCTGACTGCCTGCAGGGTCAGGCAGAATACAGCCATATTTTTCTTCTTGCAGGGAGCCTATAAAAGGATGTGGGAGTAGGAGAAATATCACTGAATTCTTTCCAGCAAAGAATATTAATAATTGAGACCCTGGGGAAGAAATGTATTCCTGGAGGTAGGTCTATAGACGGCCGCTCTGGGAGTGTCTGTCTTATGCGGTTGAGATAAGGACTGAAATATGCCCTGGTCTCCTGCAGTACCCTCAAGCTTACTAGGATTGGGAAATTACAGCCTGGTAAATTCTAGTCTGATCAGTTGTCTGCTCTCAAACCCTGTTTCCTGTTAAGATGTGTATCAAGACAATGCGTGCACAGTGGGACATAGAACCTCATCGTAATTCTAATTTTGCCTTGCCTTGTGATCTTTATGGCCCTTTGAAGCATGTGATCCTTGTGACTTACTCCCTGTTCGTACACCCCCTCCCTTTTTAAAATCCCTAATAAAAACTTGCTGGTTTTGCAGCTCGGGGTTGCCGTCACAGTCCTACCAATATGTGATGACACCCCCAGAGGCCCAGCTGTAAAATTTCTCTCTTTGTACTCTTTCTCTTTATTTCTGAGACCAGCTGACACTTAGGGAAAATAGAAAGAACCTATGTTGAAATATTGGGGGCTGGTTCCCCCAATATAGTCCCTTCTCAAAGCAGACATACATGCAGCCGACAGCATATGAAAAAAATGTTCAGCATCACTAATCACTAGAGAAATGCAAATCAAAATCACAATGAGATACTATCTCACACCAGTCAAAATGGATATTATTTAAACAGTGTCAAAAAACAATACCTATTGGCAAGATTGCAGAGAAAAGGGAATGCTTATACACTGCTGGTGGGCTTGTAAGTTAGTCCAGCCACTGTGGAAAGCATTTTGGATATTCCTCAAACCACTTAAAACAGAAGTACCATTCAACCCTGTAATCCCATTACTGTGTATATACCAAGGGAATATAAATCATTCTACCATAAAGACAATGTAGTATATTCATCACAGCACTTTTTACAATAGCAAAGACATAGAATCAAACTAGATGCCCAATTGTGGTGGATCAGATAAAGAAAATGTGGTACATATACATCATGGAATACTACACAGCCATAGAAAAGAATGAAATCATGACCTTTGCAGCAACATGGATGTACCTGGAGGCCATTATCCTAAGCAAATTAACACAGGAATGGAAAACCAAATACTGCATATCCTCACGGATAAGTGGGTTCTTATCACTGAGTACACAAGGACACAAAGAGGGAAACAATAGACACTGGGGCTTGCTTGAAGTTGGAGAGTGGGAGGAGGGTGAGGATTGAAAAACTACCTATTGGGTACTATGCTCACTACCTGGGTGATGAACTCATTTGTAAACCTAATCCTAGCACCACGCAATTTACCCATGTAACAAACCTGCACATGTACCTACTGAACCTAAAATAAAAATTGGAAGAAAATGGAGATTTTTAAAACTATAAGATCATAACATGCATAACTATACAAACACATTTTAAAATTGGAATGAATGAATATTTTCTAGAAAAGAAAATGACCACAACTGGCCACAGAAAAAAAAATAAAAGACCTGAATAGACTAATAATCATAGAAAAATCTGAAGATATATTCTGATAACTTTCTTTTCTTAAAAAAAATCACCAAACTCTTTTAAAAATGATTTCACAAGAGATTTCTTTTATAATAAATATGTTCTCTCCCAGTTTTTAAAAACTGTTCTAAAGTTTAGAAAAATATAGAAAACTTTCTAAATCATTTTAGGGAACTAGCATAGCCATAAGACCAAAATCTATGGTAGCACATATACAAAAAGACTCTATGACAGTTTAATTTATAAATATAAATTTTAAAAATCTAAATAAGACATAAGCAACTCAAATTGAGAAGTGCATTAAAAGAAAAAGATGTATCACCATCATGTAGAGTTCATCCCAAGATGAACCATTCCAAGTATGGCTCAACGTTAAGAAATGTAAATATCCTTTACTTGTTGAATTCTGTCAACCAGAAACCAGTAAGTGTGTCTTATGTAATGGTTTGGTAGTGGAAAAATTTCCTTTAAAACAAACATAGAATTCTTATTGTCATTACTATCACTAAATATGGACTGGAGGTAGTAAGCAATGTAATAAGACATTTATTTGTAAAAGAAGAGGTGATCTTGTAATTATTTTCAGAGATTTTTTATCATTTACCTAGAAATGGTAAATTGAAATGAATACCCTTCACAGTTTAAAAAATGTCTCCATTTCCTACAAAAAAATCTATAAATCCATCTATATAGTTTCCTATATTTTCTATTTACTCTCCCTTTTGAATAGAAGATACGTCTCTGATCCTATCAAAGATCAGTCTCTCTACTCAAGCCCTGGGGTTTAATCCTTTCTCTTCCCTCAACAATTTTGCTTATGCATGCTTTCTTCTCTCTCCTACACCTTTGATTTCTTCCTTTCTGCTGGGTTATTGACTCGTCTCAGAAGAGATACAAGCTCTGATATCTAAAATATTTTGAATAAGAGCAAATCATTCCCTGATCCCGCTTCATCCCCTTTTGTTACTACTCTATTTCTTTGTTCCCATTACAACAAACCTTCTTTAAGGGGTTAATTGTCTACTCTAGTTGTCTCCATTTCCTCATCTTCCATATTACTCGACCCATTTCAACATGGCTTTCACCCCAATATTTCACTGAAGCTGGTTTTGTGAAGGTCATCAACTACACCTTCTTTTTTCCCAACTTCTCAGCAGCTCTTGATGGAGTTCTTGATGGAGCTCTCTTCTTAAATCTCCATCCTCACTTGGCTTCTGTGACATCACTCTTTCCCGCTGTTACTTTTCCATTTTCTCCAGCTGTTTTGCTATCTCCTCCTTCTCTACCTCACATCTAACCACCACATTGACACAGAGTTTGGTCATGAGCTCTTTCTTTTCCCTCTTCTTCTCCTTCTTCTGTTTCTTCTTCTCCCTCTTCTTCTTCTTCTTCTTCTTCTTCTTCTTCCTCTTCTTCTTCTTCTTTTTTTTTTGAGTTGAATTCTCACTCTGTCACCATGCTGGAGTGCAGTCTCTTGATCTCGGTTCACTGCAACCTCTGCCTCCCAGGTTCAAGCAATTGTCCTGTCTCAACCTCCTGAGTAGCTGGGACTACAGGCACATGCCATCACACCCAGCTAATTTTTGTATTTTTAGTAGAGACAGGGTTTAACCATTTTGGCCAGGGTGGTCTTGATCTCTTGACCTCATGATCTGCCCGCCTCGGCCTCCCACAGTGCTGGGATTACAGACATGAGCCACGACACCTGGCCGCTCTTTCTTCTCTAACTTTACTATCTTCCTACATTATCCCATCTAGTCCTACAGCTTTAAATTCTAACTACATGCTTATAAATTTCAGGTTTATATCTCCAGGATTGATTGTTCCCCTGAGCAACAAATTCATCTATGTAAGCATGTATTTGACATATTTACATGGATGTCAACTAGGCATTTCAAAATAAACATTTCCCAAACAGAATCCTTGATCCTCCCTCTCCCTTGATGATCTACCATTCTCCAGTGTTTGTTATCTCAACAAATATTACCACAAATCACCCAGTTATTCAAGCCAAAAGCCTAATAGTCCTCTCCATTAAATTCATTAGTGAGTCTGATTCAGTCTACCTCATAGTTTGAGGTACTGCCAATCCAGCCAAGCCACCATCACTCTTAACTCCTGCAACGCAACCTCTCCTATTTCTACTCTTGTTTACTTGAAGATGTTTCTCCACACAGCCTGAGCAATAGTTTTAAAGCATAAATCAGATTGTTTCACTACTGTGCACTTTCAGTAGTTCCCAACTGCACTTGGAATATTTGAGATTCTTGCCCTGGCCTAACCCGACTTCTATTATCTTGGGTTTCTATTTATTTATCTGAACTCTCACCCTTGCACACTTAGATCCAATTTCTGTTCCTTGCACTGCCAGATGCTTTCTAACATCAGGGCCTTTGGGTTAGTTGTCTTCTCTTCTAGAAAGTTCTTGACATGACTGGGTCCACTTTCTCCTCAGTCTCAAGCCTGTCCTCAAAAAGGCCTTCCTTGGTCATACGCCTGTGTATGACCTCTTCACTCTTCGTTACATCATTCTGTTTTACTTCTTCCATAGCACTAAAATATGTATTTGTTTCTTTGTTTATGACTCATTTTCCTACACTGGAATGCAAAGTCTCTGTGGGCACAGACCTGGCAATATCTCCAACGTTTGACACATAATGGGTGTTCAATAGTTATTTAATAAAAATCTAGATAGCAACTATTTGATTATTCAAATTAATAAATGAGTTAAAAAAGGTGACTACACTGTAGCAATAGGTAAATTTTAGGAGTATTCCTTTTCATAAGTAATAACAAATTTGAAAATTTAATAGATTTAAAAAATCTTGCCGGGTGCAGTGGCTCACGCCTGTAATCCCAGCACTTTGGGAGGCCGAGGTGGGTGGATCACGATGACAGGAGTTCAAGACCAGCCTGGCCAAGATGGTGATCCCATCTCTACTAAAAATACAAAAATTAGCCAGCCACGGTGGCAGGCGCCTGTAATCCCAGCTGTTCAGGAGGCTGAGGCAGAAGAATTGCTTGAATTTGGAGCTTAGAGGTTGCAGTGAGCCGAGACTGTGCCACTGCACTCCAGCCTGGGTGACAGAGTGAGACTCTGTCTCAAAAAAAAAAAAAAATCTATATAGATAGATAGATAGATAGATAGATAGATAGATAGAGAGTTAGATAGATAAGGGCAACAAAACCTTATGAAACACCTATCAGTAAACCTGACAGGGATTATACTAGAATCTATTTGAAGAAAACTATAAAACCTAATTGAAATATGTAAGAGAAAATCTGAATAAATAGACTAATATATCATATTCCTGGGTAGGATTAAATAAACTAATTTCTACAAAATAAATTGACAGAGTCAAGTGAGTCTTAATAAAAATCTTTTTTTTTTTTTTTTTTTTTTTTTTTATTAACAGAAATGAGGTCTCACTATGTAGCCAGGCTGGTCTTGAATTCCTGGGCTCAAGTGATCCTCCTGCTTCCACCTCCCAAAGTGCTAGTATTACAGACGTGAGCCAACATGCCCAAACCTTCAATAGTAGTCTTAACACGATTTTAAAAAACGTAATGAGAGTCAATTCTAAAACTTTTCTGAAGAAGAAAATAAGAATATCTAAGAAAACTTTCTTAAACTTTTTAAGGGAAAGAATAATGGAGGAGGGTAAAGACTTACCTTTCCTGATGTTTTAAAAAATTAAAATAAATTTAAAAATTAAAATGACAAATATTAAGATAGTGTAGAAATGGCATAGGAGTGAACTACATCAATGTAACAGACTAGAAATCTATGATGTATGTTAACTGCAATGTTTCAAAATAGGGGTATGGACATAACATTTAGTGAATAGTGTTGAAAAAGTTGTCAATTTTTAAAAATAAAACAAAATCTCTATCAAGCACTGTACACAAATGCAAATTCCTTATGGATTCAGGTATTAAACAAAAAATACAACTAGAAAATAATAAGATGAAATTTTTCCAATATTCTTACAATGTAAGTATTGGAGATATAAAACCCCAGAAACTATTAAAGCAGCTGAAAATTTAAATTCTTTTAATAAAAAATAAATCATAAACAAAATTCAAAAAGAAGTACTAAAAACATTATTTGCAACATACAACACACAAAAGTCTCAATATCCAGAATATACAGAAAATAACTATAAATCAATATATATATAAGACACACATCATAGCAGAAAAATGCACAGAGATCAGGAATAGATAACTTACAGAAGAAATACAGCTGTCCACTTAAAAACATGAATAAATGCTGAGCCTCACAAAAAATTGTGGAAATACAGTTTTTAAAACAATAATATTGTTTTGACCCATCATTATGCTGGCAAGATATTGAGAAAATGGACATTCTCATAGACTATATGTTACACCCTTATTGGAAAGAAACTTGTCAATAGTGTCAAAGTGTTAAACATATCTTCCTTTAAGCCAGTAATTGTCATTCCAGGGGATCTATCTAAAGAAATACTAGTGTAAGCACACAAAAAAGTATATTCTTTCTATCATTATTAGTAATAGCCAAAAGAAGAAAAAAAATACTGAAATATTGATCAGTTGGGAAATGGCTAAAATAACTTATGGTACATCTATACCACAGAATGTATGCAGCATTTAAGAATAATTAAGTAGACCCATATATAAGATCTGGAAAAATCACCATGTTAAAAAAAAAAACTACTAAGCTGCAGGGAACAATATATACAGTACAATTTCGCACATGCACAGGCCCTCTTAGAAACTGATGCAGTTTCTGTGGGTAATATGGCTCAGGTGCAGCTGAAATAACACAAGTTACAGCTCTTCTGATTTCCATCTGGGTATGTAGGGCAGCCTATTTACCCTCTGCTTCTTCATATGTAGTATGGAAAAAATAATCTGCCTCTCACATTTATTATGAGAATTAAACTAAATAGAATAAAATAAGTAGAGCTTATTTTATTAATTTAATTAAACCAAGTAGAATAAATTTAATTTAATTAAACCAAGTAGAATAAAATAAGTAAGCCACTGCCTGGTACATGTTATATCCTCCATAAGGGGACACATTATTTCTGATGGTGACAGTGATTGTGATGACGGTGGTGGTAACAATAGTAGCAAAAACTCACATTTGTTTCACCAAGGACTCTCGTAAGTCCCTTCTAGGCATCATCTCATTTTATTTTGCAATCACCTGAGGAGGTGTGTACTATATTATATATAACATTCTGAATTTATAGATGAAGACAGTGAGTTCTAATGAGCTTAAGTATCTGCTGGATATCATGACCTAGCAAGTAATAAAGTCCGGGAATGGAGCTGAAATTTTACTGACTCCCAAGCCCTCTCTAAATCACCATGTTACTTGTTCCTTTGAGCCAGGAGCCAGGAAGTCTGCTTTATCTGGTTACCCAGGGAGGCAGATTACCCAATACATTCTCAACATCATTCCTTGAAGTATGCTTGGTAGACTGCATACACCAGATTTACTTTCAGAACCAAAACCTTAGGGTAGAGCCCTCAATATTCATTTTATTTATTTATTTTTGCTGTTGTTTGTTGTTTTAATTTTTTTAAAAAACATGCTACCCAACTGAACCTAATATACTCTGACTTTGGAGAAACAAAAGCTAACCGTTCCAATTATGTGGCAGGAATACAGACAGATAAAATATGCCTTGGCTACATCCCACCCTCACATGCTTGTTTTTTCTATCAGAATGACTAACTCTCCATTTCCAGGTTGATTTTATTTTATCCCTTCCACTCCCAGGCATAAGCTATAACATCATACTGTACTTGCCACCTGTAGCTGAGGACACATTCCAGTGATGACTTTGTATTACTCTCGTCCCTGACCTTTATATTATGCTGGGAGTTTAGGCAAGGCTGAATTTGGATTTTCCTCAGTCTAAGTCATTAAAGAAGTCATAAAGGACTGGGTCTTCTGGATGTTATGTAGTCCCCCTAGGCACATAAATTCTGAAGTGTATGTAAGCTGGCTCTGGACCAAGAAATTGGGCTATTTATTTCTCTCTGTCTCTGCTTCTCAGGCTCTCTCTCCCACTGCCTTCTTCCTGCTCATTCTCTTCTTTCCCTGTTTCTATGCATCTGTCTCTTTCTGTCTCAAACAGACAACACACACACACAGACACAGACACACACACACACACACACACACACACACACACACACATTTAGGAAGCAGGAAGGCATCAGGTCCTAGCTGTTCCATGGTACTGAGATCAATCAGGGCAAAAATGAGAGTTCATTTCTTACTTGCTTCTCTGTCTCCAGCCATGTCCTTTCTATCCCTGGTGCCTCACTGTCTTTAGGACACTACACATTTATTCTTAAAACTTTCTCAACTGCCTAGTACAGAAGAAAGCAGAACATTGAAGGACCATCACAGCCTGTACACATGAAGGTCAAATGCTTCCCCTGTGGTTAGCTTGCCATGTAAATTCTTTTACTTGCTTTATTCTGGTTGTAGCAATTCAGAATATGTGTGTTTGGAAACTCCACAGAAACAGGTCATCTGTAATTCACTACAGCATCCCTCTCCTGTAGCTACACTTGCATGTAAGGTACAGCAGTAGGAGTTTTTGTTTCTGTTTTTGTTTCGGCAGTTACCACGTTCCTTGGAGAATTAGAGCAAGCAGAAGAAACTAAATCTCTCTTCAATGCACCCTGCTCAGATAAAATGGGAAGCAGACAAAAGCCTGTTCAATGCCACTCAGTCTTTGTCACACTCTAGACCTAGCTTACACTTGTACTAGAGGGTTGTTGATTTAACTTACATTCTTCCTTTTCAAATATGCATTAAGCAGGATCAGCAGGAAATATGAGTTTTCCCCCTTTTCCCTCCAAAGTTTCCTGTTGGTGGACTTTCCACAGATGTTTTTGTTTGTAGCAGCAAGGCACAAACAACTTACTGCTCAGAAAAGAAGCAAACAGCTTGGCTAATAGCAATGCAGCTCTGATGAAAACTCTCCAGTGAGTCAAGGAGGGAATGTGGTTATTGTAAACATTTATCCATCAGGTAGTGGGTCTCTTTAATCCCCCACTCTGCCGAACTTCAGTGAACCCCTGAGGCAGGCCCCTGACCAACCTGCCAGGACTTCAAAGGGAGCATGCCTGGGAAGCGTGTGGCTCTGGTGGGGTGCAGCCCCTTTCCTGGGGCTGGAAGGGCTTAACTCATGCTTACAGAGTTTGAAGGGAGCCCCATCTCCATGGGGCAGTCCGCTTGGGGTTAGGATTGCCAGATTTGGTAAGTAAAAATACAGAACAGCCAGTTAAATTTGAATCTCAAATACACATTATTTTTTTTTTAGTATAAGCATGTTCCACACCACATATGAGACATACTTATACTTGTTTATCAGGAATTCAAGACTAACTGGCTGTCAGGTATTTCATCCAACATATTCTGTTAGGGTTCCTCTCTTTGACAAGCCATGGGTTTTTTCAGGATTATTTCTTTCAGGGATCATTTTTTCTCCTTGCAGCTGGACCTATTGGGCTTTGCATTTGGAAACTCTGAAAGTGAAATATCCTTTCCCTCACTCTTTTCTCCGGAGGGTATCCAGGTGTATAGATCCAGTAAAGTCTTTGATTTCACTTTCTGGCAGTAAATCCTTAGCATGGAGCCAAATTCTCCCAGTGGACAAGTTTCTCTGTGGGAAAGGGTGAGGCAGAGCCAAAGTTATTTTAACTCTTTCAAGCCCCCAGGATTCCATTTTGTAGAAGACACTCTCAGGACAGGAATGCTCCAAGAGGCTAATGGCTTCACCCAAAAGTCTCATTTGATCAGTGTCTTCTTAGAATCCCAGCTTAGTTCATCACAGATCAGGTGTGGAGGGTACTTTTGCTTTATGTATGAATCAGATCGGTGCTGATGGCCAAACCCATCATTAGTGTTTTCTTAATGCCAGCAACAATACCAGTATGCCTGCTTGTGGTGACCTAATAAGTCAGCCAGGGAATGGTGCTGAAAACATCTTGTTTTCCAGGTTCAGACCTATCACTTGTAGGGAGATTTTAAGTTGTGTTGCATAGAACCCAAGGTGTGGCTGAGCAGCCTGGATCCTGGACCCCCTCAGCAACATGCCAACCAGAGTGGCTCCATTCATAACTGTTATATACTTAGGGTTTTATCTAATGCTGTTTGAAATAAGGGTTCTTTGGCTGCAAGCAAGTTTGAAAACAACTGAACTAGGATGAGCTCTAACTTCTCTTTTGACAGTGTCCATATTTAGACAATGCTTTCTCCAAACCCTCCACATGGCATTTGTGGCTGTCTACGCATTAATGCCATGTCCCTTGTTTCCCATTACCAACCTGTGTTTACTTTGGTTCCATTCACCATGCACTGGGAACGTTTGTTCCCTAAACAGCCCACTCTCCTTTACTCTTCTACTTCTCTGTTTTGCAAAACTCTTCTTATCTTTCCAACCCTGATTCAAATTGGTCCTCCAGGGAGAGGTACCCAGCTCCCCCTTCTCCGAGAGTTGGAAATAAGCTCTTCTTCCTGCACACTGCCAGACAGTTTTGTTCATATCCATGCTACGAACACACTCCTCATTCATTGTTGATGCAGCTGCCTCTCAGACTTGATTTTAAGCTCTTAGAGAGTAGGAAACTGCTCTCTGTTTCTCTCACAAACCCAGCATGGGACATTGCATGCAGCAGTGCGGGACAAAAGTTCATTTCGCCTAGCCTGCTACTTTTCTCCATCTCTCCTTGCTGAACTTCCCACCCTCAAGAACTAAATCAAAAATAGCTTTCTCCAGGATGTCCTCCCTGACTCTCCATTGTCACCAGACACATCATAGGCACTCTTATTATATTATCACGTTCTATTTATAATTGTTTATTTAGATGCATGTCTCCTTACCACAAAGTGAGATCCTTGATGGCAGAAACCGTCCTATTCATCTTTGTAACGAAGCCCAATATCTCACGTGGAATTGGTACTTAAATAATGCTTATTGAATGTATGAGTGAATAAATGAACAAAGAACTGATAAAAAGACCAAATGAACAAAGTTTGATCCACCACTATTTCTTATATATTAACAGTACAGTTAGGAAATCTATTGTGTAGTAGATTAAGAACTAGGCTCTGGACTCTGATTGCTTGAATATGAATTCCAACTTTTCCACTTACTAGGTGTGTAACTTCAGGCAAGTTAACCATTTGTGCCTCACCTTTATCTCCTATAAAATGGGAATAATTACTCCATTCTCCTTCTAGGATGTTTATGAAGATTGCATTAGATAATCAAAGTAAAGCACTTCTCATAATAAGTATATACTAAATAAATGTTAACTATTATTATTGTGATATTACTGTAGTTAGTGCAACTAAGTCAAGGAAGGCTACTATCCCTGTTAAAAAGACAATAATTAGTATATCTGTAGCAACATGAACATGAACTTATTTCCAGCATTTCTACAGTATATGCAATAGGCATATATATATATGCTCATTATTAAATGTATTAAGATATGAGTCAAATCCTGTTCTGGAACAAGAAAAAATGCCTTTACACAAAGGGTATAACAATGCCCAAACCTTAAGCAAATTGAAAATATATTTTTTCCACTGACTCCATCACATCCTGTCCTAATGGACGTGCACTGACTATCCACAGGTGGACCTTCTCTATGCCCTGAGCAGCACCAGCCCTGTGACGGTGACTTCATGTCTGTCTAGAGAGGTCCTTAGAGTCAGCACCTTGAGTCATCCAGGGGTGGAGTTGCAAAGGCTCTGACTATTTCAATAACAAGATATGGAGTCAGTGACCTTCCATGGCAGTTGAATGCTTCTCCCCTCATCTCTTTCCAGTGGGGAAAGAGATTTTATCTTTTTATAGCGGTCCTTTTCTCATGGCTGAAATGCCTTAGTCCTGTTGATTCTTACAATGTCCCCAAGGTTTGGTAGCCTTTGGACCCTTCAGGCACAAAGTTATATTCTTTAAAGGCTTGGATCCTGGCAAGTGTCTGTCTCTATGAGGCATGGAAATGGGCCTGTGGAAAGAAACACATAGACCTTTGCTGCCAACTGTCTCCACTCCAAGGCATGTTTGTGGACTTCTGAGGATATGGTATGGGCTGGGGTTGTTGGATTGGAAAGAGGCAAGAGAAGATGGGTGAAGCTACAATCTGCCTGGGAAGGCCTTGCAATCCTGGAATATGTATAGATTCTGCAAAGTCATAGCCATGCCAAGATCCACAAACCACCCAAGGCCAGCAGTTGCCTATTCTGAAAACAGGATTGTTCAGAAGCTCTCTTTCCATTTTCCAGCATGAGGGAGGTGGAGATAAGGAACATAGAGTGTTCTCTTGTCTGGAAAGCAAACATGGGATTTAAATTTCATGTGTGTCTCATCAGGGAAAAAATATTTGGCACACGCTGGGAAAGTAGGATTAAGTTCCAGTAGGATTTGGGGAAAGAGGAAGAAACATGATTGTTTTTACTTTGACATTTCATGGCCAAATAACGCAGATTTAAGGAAGAGCACTAGGTAGGGATCAGAAACTGGCCTCTATACAACCTTGCTGTGTTCTTAGAGCTCATTGTGCTTCAGAGCTCCAATCCATAAAGTGAAGGTTCTGTAACTTTTCAAATGCAAAAGAACACCCTGGGAGCATTTTTAAAATGCATATTCCTGGGATGCCTATACCTGCATCTTTAACAGGCCTCCCAGATGACTGTGATGAAGGTAATCCTCAGATCATTCTTTGATCTCTGTTATGAACTAAAGTTCCATGACTCGGTGATTCTGCATGTCAGCAGAGTAGTAAAACACTATTTCAAGCTTTAGGTGCTCATTTGGTCACAAGGCCATCCATGTCCATTAATCATGATGTTGTAACCTCCCTTGAGTGTTATGTATGTTTTAAAGCCATCACCTTTCAAATCATTTTCTAGGTGGGTTTATGGTTGCCAGTAAAAGGCATGCAGTGATGGGCAGAGAGAGATTTGGATATGTAAAACATATAACTTTTCAGTCAGCAAGTGTAAAACTGAAGTGGGGGTGAGACCTGTGGGAGACCTGAACCTGGGGACGAGACAGATTAAAAGCCACACACAGGAAACAGCTGTAAACCTACTTCCTCCAAGTTCTTAAAGAAGGTTATCGCAAAAGACTCAGCATGTAGATCAATAAAATAGGTGTAAGTCCACTTGGTTATCCATTTCCTGAATTGTTATTATAAAGGAAATATAAGGAAAGGTTATTAAATCCTACAACAAATATTCACTAGACTATAGGTTCCATGAGAAGAACAGGAGCTACATCTTTTTCATCTCATATTCTCAAGGCCTAGTACAGTACATGGCACCTAATAGATGCTCACTAAAAATTTAAGGAATGGAAGAATGATATTATTCTTCAATCTAATGACTGTAAAGGAATAAAAAAATTAAATGTAAATGTCTGTTTTCAGTTGTCTCTCAGGTGACAATCTCAGAAAGTGTCTTTTGTTTTTAAATTGCCAAATGTAATGTCTTTGCAATGCCTGAAAGTAAATTTGTTCATTCCTTTATGTATTCAGCAGATTATATCCAGCTAGCAAGGGGGCTATGAAGATGAAATGGACACTATGCTCAGGGAACTGATGATGTGAGATGGAGTTGTGATGTGTATAAGATTTGAGAGATTTTAGGAAACATTTGGTAAAGGTAACATTTTTGAAAATTACGTATATGTAATAGAACCTCTCAGGACAGGCCTTCATTCTGTCCAAAGGAAGAAAATGCAAAATTTCTTCCCAGTACTTAACAATCTAAGAGTGAAAGCTTGGACTCAAAAACAAGCACAAAGGTCATATAAACAGACACAAAGGTTGCTAAAAAATAGTTCAATAAAAATAGCTCAATTTGCCTTCCCATCTCCATCCCTCATGTTCCCTGACCCCTGCACCAAATACAAAAACCTCACAGGGCCCACTCTCCCTCAAATCAACTGCTTATCATAATCAGAGGGAAAATTCCAACTCAAAGTATTGAGAAATAAATAACAAAATTTCCAGGTAATTCAACACTGATAAGTACTGATACCATTTCTCATGATCAATAGTGAAAAGTAGACTTCGAGGCTGCTGACCAGACCAAAAGCAACTGCTTCACCTGTCTCCTCCCATTATAAATCTTCAGGAGTCCTGTGGAGGTGGGACCTTCTGTACACCAGCAGTTGAATGCTGGTTGATCCAAAAAAAACTGCTGCTTCTAGAAAAATGTAGTGACCAACTGGAACTCTGACAAGAATATAAAGCCATGTCTGTCTCAGAAATGCAGATGTCTGACCAGGCATTTGCTGTGGGTGGGCTGTGTCATTTCTTTGAATGACTGATATAGTTTAGATATTTGTCCCTTCCAATTCTCTTGTTGAAATTTGAACTCCATTGTTGGAGGCAGGGCCTGGAGGAAAGTGTTTTGGTCGTGGGGATGGATCCATCATGAATGGATTGGTGTCAGTCTCGTAGGAGTGAGTTCTCACTCTTAGTTTCCAAAAGAACTGCTCATTGAAAACAGCCTGGCATCTCCTCCTCTGTATCTTCCCTCTTCTCTGGTCATGTGATCTACATATGTGAGCACCACTTAGCTTTCTGCCATGAGTGAAAACTTTCTGAGGCCTGCATCAGAAGGAAATGCAGGCACTATGCTCCTTGTACAGCCTGCAGAACTGCGAGCCAAATAAATCTATTTTCTTTATAATTATCCAGCCTTAGGTATTGCTTTATAGCAACACAAATGGACTAAGACAGTGCCTAAACAAACAGCTTTGTCTTTGCCTACCATTCAGCATTATTCACACCTTCCATTCCCCTGTCTTTTTTACATTAAAAAAGTTGAAATTTATAGTGAGAATTGTTTGAGTTTTCTAAGTTAATTCTAAGGCCACTAATTCAGATGGTCACTTCCTTCATAGCACATCTGAGTGTATTTTGCTTTTGTCTAATGAAATTTTTAAGAAATGAAAGCCATATAGAGAAACTTAGGAATCCAATTCTGTAGCAACTCCAATTCCTCTAACACCATCATAACATCAAAGGTTTGGGCTAGTAATTCTGAAGAGACAATGAAACCTTTTAAGGAGTATTTAGAAAATTTGGAGAGGAGTTGTTTCGGTTACACAGTGATTGAGGGCACTGCTTGCCTTTAAGGAGGCTGAGAATGCCAGATCTTGACAATTTTAACAATTCAACTTGAGGAAAAAATGTCTCAAGATTTGCATGAGTCTCTATTGTCCCCAAGGACAGTCCTGTAGCTAAGAAACCTATTTATAATTATCTTTGCGTAAAACCTTTGATTTCACATAAATTTAAAGATTTTTCTTTCACAGTTATGATTTAGGGCAACTTTCTGGCAATGCAACTACTATGCAGATTGATGGAAGGTTTTTTTTTTGTTTTTATTATTTGTTTTTGCTTTCTCAATTTCATTGGAACATTACCAAGAACTGTTCACCATTTTAGAAAAATCAGTCTTCAGCAATTGCTCATGGCATTCAAGACACAAATACAACTTCCTGTCATATTCATGGTGATATGGTGTACAGGGATGAGCACCTGACTATTCCCTTATGTCTTCAAGTGAAAATAGGACTGAGGATTTTACATATTAAAATAAATGTTTCACAATAAATTAAATATATTTATTTTTCACCTTCTATTTAAGGCATTTTAATTTTTTACTGTTTAATATTATGCAGGTAAATAAGTTATCTATGAATTTTATTTCAAGAGAAAAAAAGCAACAGAATTATAAAATATTGGTTACAAAAAAGGTAGTTGGGGAGAATATTACATTCTTATTCCTTTTTTTAAACCTGCCTAAGGAGAAATATTATACATAAAGCAAACACCTGTGTAACCACCATCCAGATCAAGAAATAAAACATTGCTAACACCACAGAAACTCATTTTTTTTGCTTTGTTTTTGTTTTTGTTTTTTTACTGAAGGATGAACTAAATACATCTCCTCCAGCAGTGTATGAGAGTTTTTTGTTTATAAATTACATTTCCACATATGAGTGGGTTCCTTTCTGCACTCTATTCTATTCTATTGGACAATTAGTCTATGCTGGTGCCAATACCACACTGTAACAATCATATAACAATCATAAGACTTGGTTTCTGATAAAGCAAGTTCTCCCATCTATCTTTTTAAAAAGTATCTATCTTTGCTGACCTTGTTTCCTTGAACAAGAGAAAAACAAACAACCGCATTAAAAAGATGGCAAAGGACATGAACAGACATTTTTCAAAATAAGATATACATGCAGCCAATGATCATATATATATATATATGTATATATATATATAACTCAACATCACTGATTATTGGAGAAATGCAAATCAAAACCACAATGAGATACCATCTCACAGCAGTCAGAATGGCTATTATTAAAAAGTCAAAAAATAAAAGATGCTGGCGAGGTTGTAGAAAAACAAGAATGCTTATGCACTGTTGGTGGGAGTGTAAATTAGTTCAACCATTGCGGAAGACAATGTGGCAATTCCTCAAATACCTAAAGACAGAACTACCGTTTGACGCAGTAATCCCATTACTGGGTATATACCCAAAGGAATGTAAATAATTCTATTATAAAGACATATACATGCATATGTTCACTGAAGCACTATTCACAATAGCAAAGACATGGAATCAACCTAAATGCCCATCAACAATAGACTGGATAATGAAAATGTGGTACATATACACCATGGAATACTATGTAGCCATAAAAAAGAACGACATCACGAGATCATGTCTTTTGCAGGAACATGGATGAAGCTGGAGGCCATTATCCTTAGCAAATGAATGCAGGAAGAGAAAACCAAATACTGCATGTTCTCACCTATAAGTGGGAGCTAAATAATGAGAACTCATGGATGCATAGAGGGGAACAACACACACTGGAGCCTATTGGAGGGTGGAGGACGGGAAGAGGGAGAGGATCAGGAAAAATAACTAAAAGGGTACTAGGTTTAGTACCTGAGTGACAAAATAATCTGTACAGCAAACCCCAATGACACAAGTTTACCTATATAAAAAACCTGCACATGTACCCCTGAACTTAAAAGTTTAAAAAAAAACAAAGAAGATCTACCTTTTCCTTGAGGCATTTTAATTTCACCTGCAGAAAATTATTGTAATTAACACACATATTCAGTGTCTTCCTCATGAATGGTGCCCCTTAGAATTATGCAGTATGTTGTATATGGTGACCTGGCCTTCCCTTACCCATCCCCAGGGTAGGTCAGGTTTCCCAGGTCTGCACTCACACAGGACCCGATACTACTTCTCTGTAATACTTGTTACAGTGCAACTGCTCAGTTACAATTCCACACAACACGATACTGAAAAACAGTATCTTTGTTTTTCACTGTGTACACATAGTAGGTGGGCAATAAATATTTTTGAGTAAATGAGTGCATAAATGAATTTAACTGTCTATGTATTTATTTGTATTTGTATAATTTAAGGCATACAAGTACAGTTTGTTACATGGATATATTGCACAGTGGTGAAGTCTGGGCATTAGTGGAATCATCACTTGAATAACGGACATTGTAGCCATTAAGCAATTTCTGATCTCTCTTCCCACTCCCACTCTCCTGTCCTTTCGATGTCTATTCTTCCATACTCTATATCCATGGGTAAACATTATTTAGCTCCCACTTATAAGTGAAAACATGTGATATTTTACTTTCTGAAATTCTTGTAGGTAAAACCAAGGTGGGGTAGGCAGTACTTCTCCTAGTATCAAAGGGCAGTTACTCTATCCAGGGGATCCAAGAGTTAATTACCTTTCTCCAAGCATTTCTTCCATGTTTCTCTGCTTCTTGAGAGTAGACCAGAATGGAGAAGATGCTTCAGGACCTGGCTTGTTCTTTTGTAAAGGCTCATATCTGCAGCTGATACTGCCATTGACCTTCCCAGTACTGAAAAATATGGGTAGCAAACTTCTAGAATCACACGGAATGATTTCTTTAGATGAGTTAGCTGGCCCAGAAAAATTAATGTTTCATTCTAATTTCTGAATGAGTCAAAGTAAATAAACATAGAGCCACAGTTGATGGAATTCATTCTGCTTGTGCTGAAATAGGAGACAGATGTTTTACTTTTTAGGTGAATTACGAGTGTTTTAATCAGTCCATCCCACCTTGCTGGTATGTAAGGCCAACACGAAGGCCAGTTGACACTAGATCTACTAAGAAATAAAAAAAAATTCATCAATTTTGATTAGTTGGTGTTTAAAGGCAAACCACCATCACTATAATCTTCAATGATCAACAATAATAACAGTTCCCCTGCATTGAGACCTTACTCTATTCCATTAGCTCATTTTCTTGTCACGATAACATTATGAGATGAACAAAATTATCTTTATTTTGAATATAGAGAAAACAAAGCAAGGAAATGTTAGGATTAATTTTCCTCAGGTGGCCCAGTTGCAAATGGGAGCACTGAGATTTGAATCTGAAGTCACAGACCTGCCTTTTCACAAAGGCAGAGGTACCAACCCAACCAAAGTTTCCTGAATGCCTTATGATCATTCAACAGGTGTGTAGACAAGAGCTGCAGTTGTCACAATGATCAAGTCTCTTGTTATTTGATCAATTGAGTGACTTTAAAAAAATAGCAATTGGCCGGTTCTGGTGGCTCCCACCTGTAATACACCCAGCTCTTTGGGAGGCCGAGACAGGATGATCGCTTGAGCTCAGTAGTTTGAGACCAGCCTGGGCAACATGGTGAAACCCCATCTCTACAAAAAAGACAAAAATTAGCCTGGTGTGGTGACGTGTGCCTGTGGTCTCAGCTACTCGGGAGGCTGAGGTGGGAGGATGGCTTGAGTCTGGGAGGCAGAGGTTGCAGTGAGCTGAGATCGCACCACTGCAACTCTAGCCTGGGCAATAGAGCCAGACTCTATCTCAAAAAATAATAATAATAATAACAATTGCTGTCTGTATCCTTCCTATGGCTACAAACAAATTTGAAAGATGACACAAAGGATTGTATCAAGCAAGAATTTTCCAATAGTAGTGTTTGTTGCTCAGAGAAAGAGACAGAGAAAGAGAGAAATGAAATGGAAGCATCTGTTTCTGCAGGTGGATAACCTGCTAGGTTCCTGGAAGCTCCCAATTTTTTCCCAGGTAAGGAGTCATGAGCCAATCACTTGCCACCTCTATTAGTAAACACCTGTAAACTAGCCTTCCTCATTTTCATAAATGGAGCATCAGCTGACTACCACTCATAAAGGCTTTACCATAGGCCATAGACTAGCCACTGTGCCAAGCACTTCACAGACACTAACTGGATGAATCCTCTGGAAACCTCATGACATTAAGTATATCTTGTGTCAGAGATGCTCTGGGTCACCCAACCACCTTCTCCTCCTGGACACCTCCTGGGCATCTCCTTTTCCTTTGAGGTCACCAGCCTTTTTTGAAGTTAGATCAGGCCGTATAACTGACCTCTGCTCTATAGGATGTAGGCAGAAGTGATATGCACTGCTGTGGGGATAATTTTTCCCACAGCAGGCAGCATCCTTGAATTTGGGGGTTATGGTTATCCTGACTGACACTATTGCTATGTCATTTTACAGATGAAAATGAATGTGTATGATCTGCCTACATGCACACGTCTAGTGAGCTGTAGATCTTGGACTCAAACCCATGCCGGTTTGACTCAAAGACTTACTCTCCCACTGTGTTAACCACCATAGTTTGCTGCCTTGGAAAGTGGGATTACCACGATCACAAATCCAGTACCACCACAAATGCTATAGCCCTCATACTGATCCCAAAGAACAAGCAGCAGAAAATACTGCCTTCTGTTGCATACACACACAGAGGACAGAATTCTTTCTTTATCTGAAAGAGCACTTCAATCTGCTCCAACATTTGTTTTGAATTAAGCTATAAGACTCTGTTATACTGCCTCTTTGGTTAATTCTAATTACTGTAAGAGAAAGATTTTTTCCATATAAAAAAGGATTTTAAATTTTTAATAAAAATTGTATGTACTGTCATAAAATGCAGATGGAGTGTATTTGCATAATATCAGGTTTCTCAAAGTTTAGTGCACTGATTAGATGCTGCTACCACAATGAGAGTTTGGAGCTCTGCTGGGCAAGCTTTTATAATGCTGCTGCCATCTCAAACTTCCTCTCTTTTGGAAGTTCCACATACTTTACTTTGGTGCCAGTGTCAAAAATCCTATGGAAAAATATAATCATTGAACAGACTCAGAGAAGAGATCTGCATTGAGGTATGTTGAAACAGGGAGAGTTGAGAAGATGTTTTGACTGGTGGAGAGGGATGGTTGATGCCTTCTTTGTCTTCTTCTTCAGTCTTAGGATGTTACACTACAGTTGCATGAGACCCATTTCCCCTCCCCTGTCACTACCAATTTATTTCGTGAAGCTGATAAAATTCTTCAATTTTCTGAGCTATAAATTAATGCCTTTCAGAGATGATCTAATAGATCAGGGGTCAGCAAACCTTTTCTATAAGGGGCCAGATGATAAGTATTTCCAGCTTTGCAGGCCATAGGCTTCTGTTGCAGTTATTCAACTCTGTTGTTTTAGTATTAAAAACCACCCTAGCAATTCATAAATGAATAAGCACGGCTGTGTTCCTATAAAATTTTATTTTCAAAAGTAGGTGATGAACTACATTTGGCCCATGGCCATAGTTTCTGACTCCTGCTGTAGAGAGTCACCTAATAAATGAAAATATCCTTTATTTGAGTATTTGTTTATTCATTTACTCATATGAGAAATATTAGTGGAGGGGTAACTTGAGTGTTAGGCACTGTTCAGGTCACTGGAGATAGAGCAGCAAACCAGACAGGTAAGACCTGCCTGGTCTCTGAAACTTGCTTTCTTGACAAAAAGACAATGAATACCTAAAAAATAATTTTGGATAATAATAGGTGCTTTGAATATGTGAAAGCTGAATGTGTGCTAGGGAATGTCTGGGCCCTGAAGGAAAATGTATATAGTACTTCAGATGTGAGTCCAAGAAGGTGACTTAGCACAGAGGCTATGTGCCTGTGGGCTGTGCCTTATAAAACAGTGTCTTTAACTGCCATTATAACACCACCAGTTGTATCATTATACCTTTTAATATAGAAGAGGAAACCAAAGCTCAGAAACTCAGAGAAGGAAGGTAACTTGCCTACAGTTCATAGCTACTAATGACAGAGCTGTAATCCAGATCTCAGCTGGGATTCAAATCCATTTGTCTCTAAGGGCCAAAGACTTTCACTTTCTCCAAGGAGCCATCGTCTTTGCTCAGAGAGTCCCATGTAGTGTCCCTTCCAGCTACTAATGAATTCTAGGAAGTCAGGACTGGAAAGCTGAGAGACACCTTCATTCATTCACCCCGTCATGAAAGCATCATTCCTTCCCCAAACAAATATTTACTGAGCATCTGCTATGTACCAGGACAACTGAGGATATAGTGAGCCAGACAAGTAAGGTCTCTGACCATATGCCAGTAAGTGTTAAAAACTGGCTCTGCAGGAGTGAAAGCAGGCCTGATTCATACAGTTTGCTTATTTCTGTAGTGTAAATACTTCCACCATGGCTGATTTCATGCTGCCAACTTGTCATGAACTGGGTTGCAAAATTTCCGAAAATCTAACAGTTGGTTCTTCTGAGCAGCTGCAACCTAGCTCCAGCCACTGCTATGGCACTGGTGCACAGTGCTTGCAATTTGGTGGGTATATGAAAATAAACAGAACATTTTAATGTGGGGCATGAAGCGCTATTATAAGAGGCCTCGTTAGGATGGTTTTGGTGCTGGGTTAATGCAAAGACAGGGCACTTAACTCAGACATGAAAACAGAAAGAAAGAAACGAATCACAGTCATATATACTTGACACCAAAGAAGTAAATATTTGGCAACATTTTGATAGATAAAAATCTTTACTTTTAATAGAAATATTGTCATCTTGTTGACACACTCCAAATGGTCCTTTGCCCAAATTATTTAGATTATCACTTGAATTATTTACTTTGCAAAAGGGAGCCCAATTTAATGAGAGGTTTGAGGTTCCCATTTAGAATTATTGTTTGAATTCTCTACTTTGCAAAACAGAGCCCAATTTAATGAGAGGTTTGAGGTTCTAGAGTCTCACTCCTGCGGTTAATTGTTGTGACCATGGGTAAGTGACTTGATTCTCAGTGTACTGGTGTCTAGATAACTTAAGGCATGTCAAGTGTCTGCACTTTACTAATCGGCCTCTTCAGATATTAGAGTTTTATGGATATAAAGCCTCTCTCTTCTGTGCCTTTCAGTAATGGCACTCAGACAACATGCACAGAAGATGAGCTGGAATTCTGCCTGGCTTCTTGCAGGGCACTCTCATTTTTCGCACTCTAGAACCATTTAGAGAAGGCCCCATTTAGAATTTAAAATGTAGTTGGGCCCAAATGAGTATAAAACAGGTATACAATCCACACTATTTTAAAACCAAGATGGGACAGGAAAATCGATGCCATGTGGATGGCCTTTTGAAAATGTCACCAGCTCTGAAATATCTACCAAATTAAGGCAAATTTTGGGACTCCTGGGACTTAAGCACTTTTCCAGTCATATCCAGAGGCATCTGCTCAATTATTAACACCCACCCTCTTTGTAAATGAGACAGCGGCTGGGTTCTGTTCACACATCAGCTAGAAACATTGTTTGGGAAACAATTGTTCCCAGAACCATGATGACCAACACGTGTGCTGTCATCCTTGCACCCCATAGGGTTATCATTGCCTCTCTGGTATTGCCAAAAACCAGGGCCTACGTGCAGTTTCTGATTGTGTAACTGGATTCTCTGATTGTGAAGGCAAAGGTCTGCAGCTGTTTCCAAGCCTTTCTTTCTGCAGTCATCCCAATTCAATTTGCCACCTCTGAAGGGATCTGTGTGGGTAGGCAGCTCATGGCTGTTCCAGCACAAAGCCCAGCAATTCCAAGTCTTGCCTCACTTCATTTGTAAATGAGGGTTACATCCCAGAGACTGGAGATGTGATTAATAAAACAACCACAGCTGCACCTGAAAGCGGACATATTAACTCTTTTCTTATGGTTGTTCCAAGCATATGTGTTGGGTTCATTTGTAATTCATTCCTCTGACTTTAATTCAAAAGCAGCACCTAGAAGTCTTCAGATGGTGCATTGTGATGACAGCCTTGCCTGTGTCTACAAAGTGCAAATTTGACAGCTCTCGAAAATGAAAATTCTCCATTCATGCTGTGTAACTTGATGCGGTTAACTAATGACCAAATCTATACTTCACTGGGTTCTTGGTAAACCAAAACCTCATTGCATGTCTACAGAGCTAGTATCCAGGTCAATGTGACCCACTGTAATTTTCTGTCTGTCAGAATATCAGTAATTACACATTCAACCAGATTTACTGATAGGAAATAGAAGTCAAAATTTTGTCAGAGAGACAACAGAGAATACTGGAGATTGAGGCAAAGTAGAAAACTCTTGCCTTGTGTAAAGAAGGCAGCCTTTGATTTGTTCCACGAGATTGTTGTCATGTGGCAATGTAAGCCCAGTGCTACAAGATAATTCCAAGTTTTCAAAAGAAGCATGCAATCTGTATTTTAATATAAATTCCCCCAATTCAGAGATTCACAACTAATTTAGAGGTTCACAACTAATTTAATTTTTGTTTAAACTTGTCATCTAAACATATCTGTGGATTTAAACCTGGTACACACAGACCACGATTTTGTAATCTCTGGTACTAACAACCTATAACAACCTTCAATTTTGAAGATTTTACAGCACCTTAAAAATTTTCTCCACCACTGCCAGGCACCCTTCTTTTTTTTTTAAACACATATTTTATTTTATTACCATATAAATTAAGGAAAATATATACGTCATAAGTGCACTGTTTCACAAACAGAACTTACATGTGTAACTAGCACTCAGTTGTGGAAATAAACCATTATTCCAAAAGCCCACCCTGGCCCCCTCCAGTCACTACTCATCCTCACAAGAGTAGCTGCTGTTGCATGCACTTTTCTATTACTTTTTTTCTGTAAGTACAGTCAAATTAATGAGTCAAACAAATGCTATCTATGCATGAATTCATTACAATAATACAAACTGTGGTTTGCTGAAAAGAAACCAACAATGTATGCATATAGAATTGTCATGCTGAAAACCTTGGGCTGATATTTCAAACAATTTATCAGCAGACTTTGACATAACATCTTTATGTCATAACATCTTTGGCCAAATTTTCCATTCACTTTGTCCATACAAACAAAGCAAAATAAAGACTTTGCATTCACAGCCTTTATGTCACCTAACCCAAGCCATTGGAGCTAAATGCTTTCCTAACTACATGTGTAGATAAAATTCAAAGTTTCCTGGTCTGAGTGTCAAGATACTATTGCAAATTTCTTCATGAAATGAACCATATGTATAAAATATGGGACTTTGCTTCAATGCACGTATTTATTTTACCAAGTTTATGACAGTCCATCAACAAGCCCTGCTGTGCTTTGGCTTCTCAATATGTTTCTCTTTTCTCCCTTCAGCAGTCATCCTGCAGTTTACATTTTTTGGTTCTCACATCCTTTGTTTTGAAAGGAACCTGAATCTGGCATCATTTTTTTTTTAAGTGAGAAATCATCTGTGAAGTACATTATGGCATATTTGGTACAGGGTGCCAAAAAAAAAAAAAAAAGAGACAGGGTTTTGTAGGGTTTGTGTCAAAACACATGCCAGCATATTGGTGAAAATAGTTGCCCTACTTCTTACTGTCAGTCGTCGTCACTTCCTGATTGATTCAGGTGCTGGACATCTGCTCTGGCTACTCTAGTTCAGAGCTGCTCCTGCTCCATGCCATGCTGGGCAGCAGAGAAACAAGCACATTGGACTCCTGTCACATGGCCTGCTGTCTATGGATCTCTGCACGACTATGCATTCAATGACCATTTTATAAAATGTTGTTTAAAACCCATCTTCATTTGGATTTTAAATCCAAATGAATTTAAATGGATTTAAAATCCATAAATGGATTTAAAAGCCACCAAGTATCCTGGATAAAAAGCCACCCAGTATCCCGCTCAATGTCACCCATTGTAATTTTCTGTCAGAGTATCAATAATTGCACATTCAACCAGATTGACCGATAGGCAATAGAATTCACACATTTTGTCAGAGACAACAGGGAATGCTGGAGACTGTGGCAAAGTAGAAAACTTATGCCTTGTGTACAGAAGGCAGCCTTTAATCTGTTCCACAAGATTGTCACCGTGTGGCTATGTAAGCCCAGTGCTACAAGGTATTCTAATTTTTCCAAAGAAGCATGCAAACTCGGGAACAAATTCAAGCAACACTGAAATGCCTTTTTACCTATCAAATGTGAAGTTTGTTATTGTAATTTTCATTGCCTAAATAATAAGGCCCATGCTTGAGGAGAATGTGAGAAAATGGAAATTTTCATACAATGCTGGAGGCAGTATACACTGATACAGGACATTCTGAAAGGCAATACCTATTGTATGTGGTAGGTGGGATTTTGGCCACCATGGCTTTTGATCCTTACGAAGACAAAAGGGACTTTGCAGATGCAATTAAGGCTGTTAATCAGCTGGCCTTACAATAGAGACATTATCCTATGCTATCAGATGAGCCCAATGTAATCATTTGAACCCTTAAGAGCAGAAGAGGGAGGCAGAGACATGTGTCTGCTTCGGAATGATTCAACCCTGTTTCTAGTCCTGAGCTATGGTGGGCTTCTTGCAAGTGCAAAAAGTGGACTCTAATAGCTAAGGGAGGCCCCAGCTGACAGTCAGCAAGGAAATGGGGACCTTTTCCTACAGGTGCGGGGAACTAAATTTTGTTGACAACATGAAGGAGTCTGGAAACAGGTTCTCTTCTAGAGTCTCCAGAAGGGGATGCAGCCCTGCTGACACCTTAATTTTGGACTTGTGAGGCTTCAGGCAGAGAAACCAGCCAAACCCACTGGATGCCTAACTTACAGAACTGCTAAATAAGAAAAGAGTGTGGCTTTGAGTCACTAAATCATTCATAATTTGTTATGGCAGCCATAGAAAACTAGCACAAATTCCCTCAACAAATCTCCACATCATTTGATCCAATAATTCCTCTTCTGGGACTTTAGAAATCCATCAAAGATTGAATGCAAAATGTTTACCCCAGTGACTAAATATTGAAAATAATCTAATTGTCTAATGTTAGAGATTTAGTTGAATAAATTACAGTAAAGTCATATGATAAAATACTATGCAGTTACAAAGATTGATTTTTATGTGAATATTCAGTAATATGAAAATGCATACAGTATAATATTAAGTGAAATAGAAAGAACACAATGCAATATATAAAATTTGGCCCTGTCACATTTGTGTGCTTTTTTCTCTATGTGTGTATACATACGTAAGTATATGTTAACAGGATGCTTATCTTGGTTCTGGCCAAGGCCCCAGAAGCCAAGAATAAAATTAGATGCAGGTGCCCCCATTCCAAGGCCAGGTGGTAGACAGGATTGGCAAAGCGGGTCACTGAAATTAGCCCATCACCCTCTCCAGGGTATAAAAGAAGGATGCAGAGAGTGGGGGTGCTTCAGCCTCTTTTCTTGACTGTTTATGGAAGGGGAGAGAGGTGCTTGACTTTCATCTCACAACAAATGAAAGAGGGATTTCAAGCAGCTATACAGAGAACTTGCTATATCCTCTCAAATGTGGAGGACACAGGGGCTGGGTTGTGTCACAATTTTTAGTAACTCCATTCATTCATTTACTCAATCAAGCAATATTTACTGAGCCAAATTACATGTACTATGTATTGTGCCGGGTGCTGGATTCTAGGTCATTTTTGTTAAGTTTTAAAGTAATCTAATGCATTAAAAACAAAGTGAAGTAATCTAATGCATTAAAATCTCTAAAGTGGACATTTATTCTGAAAATACAGTGCAATATTAAGTGAAAAAGAAAGAATACAAAGCTATATATGAAATTTGGTCCTATTACAAATTATACCTCCCCATATCCATCCTTGCTTATTCTGCGTAAAGCCCACAATTTGGGTTTGGAAATTCACCCTTCCCCTACCTCAGGGCACACTTAGGTCAAGTGTGGAGTACATGGCTCAAGCCAACTAGTGCTCTTCATTCCCACAATCATAGTGATTAATTTAGGAATGAACACATGAATCTCACAGCCCAATGAGATGCAATGAAATGTTGGCTGGAAATCTTTGAATAGAGGCAGTTTCTCTTTCTTGCTGAATGTGAACTTGAGGACAAGCAAGAGCTGGAACAGCTGCAGTCATTTTGTTACTGTCAGCAACTTGGGAATTGAGTTACTGCAGTGGAGAAAGCCTGGTGACATTGCTTGAGCCTAGGATGGAGCTGTAACTGAAGAAAGCCCTATTCTGGTATTACTCACATCTATGAGTCCTCTTTCCTTAAGTCAATCTTTTAAATTGTGGGTTATCACTTGCAACAGAAAATGCTCTCTTACTGACAACATCCTTTACTACTTCATGTTTTCAACTCTAAAATGTTGTTAAAAGCTTGAATTTAAGTTCTCAAAATAGAATTTGAAACTTAAAGAGGAAAAGTAATATGACAATCTCATAAATTTAAAACTATACATACATAATATGATAAAAGTGATTTTATATCTTAAAATATGCCTAAACTAAATTTCAAATCAGAACACCCTTAGGACAGGGAAAGTGTGATAACCCAATTAAGAATGAAGAGAATGTTTCCATTCTCTTTTAAGATTCTTTGATTAACTCTCTTGTTGCTTTCAGGTTATGGGCCAATCTGAGAATAGAGATATGGAGAAGAAATGCTTGAAGGGTAACAGAAGAAAAAAAAAAGTCAGCAATTATTCTGACATCTAAACTTCTGTCAGATGCCTCCTATGAAGGAACTTTGATGTTAGTTGCCAATTTCCTTTTTAAAAATTCTCTGTACACTCTATGCTTTCAAAAACACACTAGAACATATCCTGTCATATACTTAACATCTGGTAGGAGGGGAAATTTCTCAAAGGAATCTTGGCTGTCTCATGCTCCCCTGAAGGAATTTCCCCCAGAATTAGGATGACAGTGTGTTAAATAGCCATCATTCGTTTGTGTGACAGTTCAGCATCTAACCACATCTGAGAATAAAAGAGTGACGGTCTCTGATTTTTGCAGGCTAACGTTGGGGTACATTATTTGATGCCAAAACATCCAGATTAACATTAAAAATATTCAGCCATCCATCCACATTTTCCAAAGTATCCAGATGTTTGACATCTTGTAAGCATAGCATGTGATGGCACTAATTGGATACTATAAGAATTTTCATACTCCTTGGTCATTAAGCATTTATTATAATCTGCTTATGTGTGAGTCGTATAGGTTGGATTGATTCATAAGCCATTGCTCCTGCTCATTATGGAATTTACTAGCAATTGGCATACAAGTAACACAGAACTACAAGAAAATGTGATGGGTGCTGTACCAAATTAGGATGGTCTCATTGCAAAGAAAAGAACATTCAACTAAAAGCTTTTCCACTAGCTTTGTGCTTTTATGCAAAATTTTTAAAATATGCCTCGTTCTCTAGGCAAACACAGTCCTACATCATAATAGATATGGTGGTGGGCAGCAGTATACCCTTGCACACATGTACATGAACATATGTGATATAAATACTTAACATTTTCTAGAATGAGAAGTGTAGAGGTAGGCAATTCCAGGGTTGATCAGTTCTGTGATGGGAGAGCTGTATTGAGAACTAGATGTTTTCCATATTTCTTCTCTGGCATTATTAGCATTTGGCTCTTACCTTCAGGCTCATTCTCTCATGGTTACAAAAGAGTTGCTGCAGCTCTAAGCAATACTTCTTCATAGAACCCAAAGACAAGAGGGCATCTGTTTTGATCAAGGTGGAAAATTATTTTCCAAAGACCTTCCAGAAAACTCCCCCTTACTTCTCATTGGCTATAGCTGGACCACTTAGTTATTTCTAAGTTGATCTTTAGAATTACCAGGTTTGGTTGTAACCAGTCAAAATTTTCTACATGGGTATAGTGAGGGTATCAGACTCCTCTTACTTATAGAGACACCTGAAACTAACAAAGGTGGGATTTGGTTAAGAGAAAGAAGGATAAAGTCCCTTGTGGGTTATATTAACCAGTACTTAACATATAATCAGTGAGTGTAATCAAAGTGCCACAAGAGCAGAAAAACAAACAAAAAGGCCATTGATTTGACCTCATGGTAATCCTGATTTTGGAATTGGTACTTGATACATGAGAAGTATTTCTCCAGTGAATAAATGATGGAAACATATTTCAAAACAAAAATATTATGTAAAATCATTAATTTGAAGGTTATGTTAATTTTTTCTTATAATGAGATAAATGTTTTATACACTCACAAACTTATCCAAGAAAGACATGGTAGGAAAAAAATAAAAGATAATTTTCTTCCCATTAAAAAAAAATGCATTCTTTTATTGAAACACATACACATATGTAAGCATTATTTTTTAAAAACAAAGCACAATTAATCCAGACAAGGATACAGTAAAAAAAGAAAACCACAAGCCAATATCCCTGATAAATATAGATGCAAAAATCTTCAACAAAATACCACAAATTGAATTCAAATGCACATCAAAAAGATTATGCCGTCAAGTGGGCTTTATCCTAGGGATGCAAGGATGGTTTAACATATGCAAATCAATAAATGCGACACAACACATCAACGGAATGAAGAACAAAAGCCATATGATCATCTTAATAAATTCAGAAAAAACCATTTGATAAAATTCAACATCTCTTCATGATAAAATCTCTCAACATATTAGGTATAGAAGGAATTTACTTAAACACAATAAAGGGCATATATGACAAACCTGCAGCTGACATCATACTAAATGGGGAAAGTTAAAAGCTTTCTCTCAAAAAACTGTAATAAGACAAGGATGCTCACTTTCACCACTCTTATTCAACATATAACTAGAAGTTCTAGAAAGAGCAATTAGAAAAGAAAAAGAAATAAAAGGCACCCAAGTTGAAAAGAAGAATGTCAAATGTACCTGCTTATAAACAACATAATCTTATATATATAAAATCTAAAGCCTCCAGGAAAAAACTCTTAGAACTGATAGAATAATTCAGTAAAGTTTCATGACACAAAATCAACATGCAAAAATCCATAGTGTTTCTATATACCAATAACAAACTAGTTGAAAACAAATAAAAAATTAATCTAATTTATAATAGCTACAGAAAGATAAAATACCTAGGAGTAAATTTAACCAACGAGGTGAAAGATCTCTGTGATAAAAACTATAAAACACAGATGAAAGAAATGTAAGAGAATACACACAAAATGGAAATTCATACCATTTTCATTAATTGGGGCAATAAATATTGTTAAAATGTCCATACTCCCCAAGAGAGCTACAGATTCAGTGCAATTCCTATCAAAATGACAATGATATTCTTCACAGAGATAAAGAAATCAATCCTAAAATTTGTACAGAACCACAAAGACCCCAAATAACCAAAGTACTCTTGAGCAAAAAAAACAAAGTTGGAGGCGTTACACTACCTGATTTCAAAATACATTACAAAGCTATAGTCACTAAACAGCATGGTACTGGCATAAGTACAGACACATAGACCAGTGGAACAGAACAGAGAGCTCAGATATAAATTCACATATTTACAGCCAAATGATTTTCAACAAAGATACCCAGATCATACATTAGGGGGGAAAATAATCTTTTCAGTAAATGTTGCTGGGAAAACCAGATATCCATGTACAGAATAATGAAACTAGACCCCCATCCCTCACCACGTACAAAAATCAACTCAAAATGGATTAAAGATTTAAACATAGGGCTCAAAACTACAAAACTACTGGAAAAAATACAAAGAAACACTTCAGAACATTGGTCTGGGAAAAGATTTTATGGTTAAGATCTCAAAAGCACAGGCAACAAAAGCAAAAATAGACAAATAGGAATCATATCAAACTAAAAAGCCTCTGTACAGCAAAGGATGTGGTCAATAGAGTGAAGAGACAATTTGAAAAACATGAGAAAATATTTGGAAACCATTCATCAGATAAAATATTAATACCCAGAATAAACAAGGAACCCAAACAATTTAAGAGCAAAATGGCAAATAATCCAATTAAAAAATGGGCAAAGGATCTGAATAGACATTTCTTAAAAGAAGACAAATGGCCAACAAGTATGTGAAAAAATGCTCAACAACACTAGTCATCAGGCAAATGCAAATTAAAACCATGATGAGATATCATCTTGCCCCAGTTAGAATACCTGTTACCAGAAAGACACAAAATAACAAATGTTAGAGAAGATGTGGAGAAAAGGGGACTCTTTCTTATACACTGTTGACGGGACTGTAAACCAACACAACCATTATGTAAAACAGTATCAAGTTTCCTCAAAAAGCTAATCATACAACTACCATATGATCTTGCAATCCAACTACCAGGTATTTATCTAAAGGAAAGAAAATCAGTATGTCAAAGAGATATCTGCACTCCCATGTTTATTGCAGCACTACTCACAATAGCCAAGATATGAAATTAACCTTCATGTCTATGGACAGATGAATGGGATATATACACAATGGAATATTATTAAGACATAAAAAAGAATGAAATCCTGTCATTTGTGTCAATGTGGATAAGCCTGGGGGACATCATGTTACATGAAATAAGCCAGGCACAGAAAGAGAAATAATACATGTTCTCATTCATACGTGGGAGCTCAAAAAGTTGATCTCATAAAAGTAGAGAGTAGAATAGTGGTTACTAGAGGTTAGGAAGGGTAGGTGAAAGGGTGGATAGGGAGAGGTTAACAGATACAAAATTATAGAAAGATAGGGGAAATAAGTTCTAGCCTTAGGTAGCTCTATGGGTAAACAACAATTCATTGTATTTTTTCAAATAGCTAGAAGATAATATTTTGAATGTTACCAACACAAAGACAAAATACAGTTGTGAGGTGATAAATTTGCTAATTACCCTGATTTGATATTACACATTGTTTGCATGTATCAAAGTAGTATACATGTATCAAAGTATCACACTGCATTCCATAAATATGTACAATTACTATGTGTCAACTAAAAATATGTAGTAAACAGTTTTTAAAAACTTAAAACTAGCTTAAGTAAAAAGAGGACTTATTGTATATTATATTCAGAAGTTCAGATCTAGATGCCGAAACTATTCTGTGCCCCTCAGTTATGACTGTATTGTTCCCTATGCTGACAGGATTCCTCTAATAGCAGGGACAATGGCTTTCAACAACTCCAAATCCCAAACTTGCAGATATAACAACCTCAGAGAAAAGTGAATATTTCTCTTCCTTTGTGTGCATATCAATACTAGAAAAGGACACTGACTGGTCATGCTGGGTCAGTTGCTCACCCCTCAACCAACCATGGTTGCCAGGAGGGTGGTAATGCTCATCTGGGCCTTCTGTTCATTTCTGTGGCTGTCATGGTGGGTAACACTTTTGTCCATGATAATAATTGTTAGAGAAAATTGAAAAATAAGGAAAGAAAACATAGTAAAACTACATTTAATGACACTATGAAAAAATAATCACTGTATTCTTCCCATAATATTAGAGTTATGTGTCCTTTTCCAATATTATTATTAAAAATATAATATTATAATTAACATTATAAAATTGTAATCCTATATATAGTATAAACATAGTTTTGCATTGTTTTTAAATATTATATTGTTATAAAATTATTTTAAAAACTAAAAATTATTCTATATTACAAAATTCCTTTTTATTTTAGAAAAAAATAGAACACATAATAATTAGTTATTCATTCAACCAACTAGGAATAGAAGGAAATTTCCTCAAGCCAATAAGGGCATATACAAAAAACTCACAGCTAGCCTCATATTTAATTGCAAAAAGATTGAATTTTTCCCTTCTGAGATTGCAAACAAGACAAATATATTTGCTCTCATCACTTTATATGCAACATTATAGCAGAGATTTTGGCCAGGGCAATCAGGCAAATAAAAGAATAAAAGACATTCAGATTGGAAAGGAAGAAGTAAAACTATCTGTATTTGCAGACGATATGATCTTGTATATTGAAAATTCTAAGTAATCCACTAAAAACGATTAGAACTAACAAATAAGTTCAGCAATGTGGCAGGATATAAGATCAATATATGAAATTCAATTGTATTTCTATACACTAGCAATGAATAATCTTAAAATGAAATTAAGAAACAACCCTGCTTATAATAGCACAAAAGGAATAAAATACCTAGGAATGAATTTAACAAAAGAAATGCAAGACTTGAACACTCACAAACTATAAAACATTGAAAGAAATTAAAGATCTAAATAAATTAAAAGATATAAAATATTCCACCTCCGTAAATTAAGATAACAATTGTTAAGATGGGAATAATTCCTAAATTGATTGAGAGTCAGTATAATCCCTTTCAAAATCCCAACTTTTTTTTAGATGTTGACAAGTTGGCTCTAACATTTATATGAAAATGCAGGGGGGCCAGAAGAGTCTAACTAATCTTGAAAAAGAAGAACAAATACTGGAGGATTCATGCTTCTTAATTACAAAATATCCTACAAAGCTACAGTAATCAAGACCATGGTACTGGCATAAGGATAAATATATACACGGATGGACCATAATCCCAAATCTAGATGTAAACCCTCACATTTATGGTCATTTGACTTTTTATAAGGTTGACAGACAATTTAATGGGGAAAAATAGCCTTTTAAACACATAAAGCTAGGACAACTGATATCTATATGCAAACAAAAAAGAGAGAGAAAAGAATTTTGATGCTTATCTCATACCATATAAAAAATTAACTCAAAATAAAGATATAACTAAATATAGGAGCTAAAACTATAAAGATCTTATAATAAAATATAGGACCAAAGTCTTGTGACTTTGAATTAGGCAGTTTTTCTGATATGACACTAAAAGTACAAATGGCAAAAGAAAAAACAAACAAATTGGACTTCAATGAAATTAAAAATTTTGTGCCTCAAAGGCCAACATCAAAAAACTGAAAAGTCACCTTACAGGATTGTAGAAAATATTTTCAAATGTATCTGACAAGGCAGTTTTATCCAGATTACATAAAGAAGTCTTACAATGCAGCAATAAAAGCACAAATAACCCAATTAAAATGGGCAAAGGATTTGAATTGACATTTTTCATAAGATGATAAAGAAATAATGGTCAATTATCACAAACAAATATGCTAAATATAATTAGCCATTAGAAAATTGCTAATCAAAACCGTAATGGGATACTACTTTTCACCTGCTAAGATGGTGAAAATTAAAAAGACAGGTAATAGCAAGTCTTGAAGGGATGTAGGTAAATTGGAACACATACATTAATGGTGGGAATGTAAATGGTGAAGCCACTGTGGGAAACATTCTAGGAGTTCCTCAAAATGCTAAATACAGTATACACCCAAGATTAATGAAAATGTATGTCCATACAAAAACTTGTAAATGAACATTTATAGCAACATTATTCATAATAGCCAAAAAGTGGAAACAAACTAAATGTCCATCAACTGATGCATGGATAAACAAAACGCATTATATTCATAACAATGGAATATTATTTGGCAATAAAAAGAAATGAAGTACTAATACATGTTACAATACGAGGCACCTTGAAAACATGGTCAGAAGAAGCCAAACACAAAACACCACATGTTACATAAATTCATTTATGGGAAATGTTCATAATAGGTAAAAAAAAAAAAAAAAAAAAAAAAGAAAATAACAGGTAAATTCACAGAGACAAAAAGAAAAATTTTTTTTCTGACTCCCAGGGACTAGGCTGAGTGTGGGGAGTCAGAAAAGAAGAATAACCATGAATGAGTATTTCATTTCAGTTGGAAGTGATAAAAGTTTCCACAATTAGACTGTGGTGATGGTTTCACAACTATGTGAATATACTAAAATTCACTGAAATGAAAAATTTAAATAGGTAAATTTTATGGTATGTGAACTAGAACTTAACAAAACTTTAAAAAATAGATTAGCTCTGTGTGTGTGTGTGTGTGTGTGTGTGTGTGTGTGACTACTACCACCACCTAGAGATAATCATGTTAATATTTTTGTGTATAATTCAGACTTTTCTGTAAGTATGCATACAGAACATGCATTCTAATGTTAATATATTGATCATATATGTGCATATTTATAAGTGTATGTATATACATGTAAACATACACATATATGCATGTATATGTGTATATATACACGTGCATGCATATCTGTATATGTATGTATTTACTCAAGTATGTATATATGTATTTACACATACATATGTGTTTATGTATTACATATAAACATACATATTTATATATATTATATACATTTGTGTATGCGTATGTATATATACATAATGTATACGTGTATATACACACACACACACATAATTGATTTAACCATTCTTCCCTTAAAGGAGAGACCTTTTCAAAGTGTGCTCACTCAGTTTCTGTTTGATTTTGTATTTGTGAGTTAAAATGAAAGTCTGACTCGTGTCTAAGATTTTATAAAACTTATTAGAGAAAAAAAGAGAAAAACACAAGCATTAATCTATTTATTTTAAAAACTACTGCTGTCCGAACAATTTTATGTTGCCTTGTAAGTGGTACTCTTTTTTCATTTATGCTGTATTTAGAACATTAGTTACCATAACGACAAGATATAATTCATCATATAGGAACTCAACTTGAGGAGCATTGTCTAGTAAGAATTTTTAGATTATGTTTAAACATAAAGATGAAAGACAGTTCTATATATTATTAAGTTTAGTCTTCTGCATCTAGGATAGGTTGCCCTAAAACTTCCAAACAGATAGGCTGTAAACTGATTTTTTAAAAGAAATATAAAACGAGACTTGTGGAATCAAAATCCTACTATCTCATTTCAAAATTTGATTCAGGATTCTAAAACCAAGGTGTAGGTATTCTCTGTGGAATAAATCTTAAATAATTCTCCCATTTACTTTTTCCTGGGTATGCAAAAACAAAAACAAAAACATAAACAAAAACCTGCACGTAACAGCCTTTCTTAACCCCAGCTCTTATCAAACATGGCTGAGCTCCAAAAACATACTAGCAATGTGCCTTTTTAGCCACGAAAGGGAGACTTTTCTTCTGCCATGTTTGCTTCACTGCCTTTCATTAAGATCAATCATATTTAATCTTTTGGCTCATCCATCTCTTTGGGACTCTGCTAAAACCCAGGGCCCTATTTATAAAGAAAATGTACGTAATACACACAATTTTATTCAAATTTCAGAGGTTTCATGGGTCCCCCAAAAGCTCATCTATATCCCTGTAAGGTTAAAATTCTTGGATTACATTCTAATGGATTCTATCTTTCCATTTCATTCATTTTCATTTACTCATTCATTTGTTCAGCCAAACATTTACTGAAGCTCATGATATGGCATGCACTCTCCTAAGTACTTGTAGTCACATGACTTCTGTGTCACTCAGGAGACTTTGTGAGGACTAGCAGGCTCTGGAAGGCTGAGTATTGCTCTCTGTGCTCTGACACAGTGCAACTCTACTTGTTTTACAGAAAAGTGATTCCTTTGTTTGATGCACCTGGCTATTATGATTTCCTTCTAGATGTATAGTCCTATGTAGCTCTGTGAAAGCCTTTTTCCTAGCAACACAGGATTTTGTAGAAAACACAGCATTCCAGGTCAGAAGGTTTCAATTCAGCCCCAGCGTTACCATTTCCTATTCCCATAGACCTAGACAAGTCATCTAACTTCTTAAATCCTTAATTTCTTCCCCTGGAAAATGGAGCTAATAATAATGACTACCTTAAATTACCTCTGTCTGGGAGTATGAGTTTAAAAAGCAACAAAATAAGAAAATGGATGTTGAAGCATTTTCAAAGCATAAAACAAATAATCATTAGTATACTATTGTTGTCATTATGCCATTGTTATTACTGAGAATCAGACCAAAAGATCACTTTTGGCTCTATAGGGTAACAGAGAGGTGAGAGAACCCATCTCAGTTTTCTCCTCCAATTTGAATTCAACTAAAGGTTGTTGGAAGAAAGCAGGTATCATAGTTTCAAAACTGTGAGACCTCTCACGAGGCAATTCCCAGCCTCTTATTTGCAGCTATAGTGCACCAAATTATAATGAATTACATGCACACACGTTCACTTTACATAAACCCAGGTCACTTCTAAGCATTTTCAGGAATAAAAATACATTTTAATTGCTTGTCCTGGGCATATCTTTAAAAGGCCTTTGCAAATGGTATTAGGAATTATTTTGGTGGGAAGTAACAGAAACCAGCTCTACTTGCCTAAACTTCCATATGAGGCATTTATTTTCAAGATAAGCAGGGTCTTACGGATCTCATGAGCTGGGCTGAGTTGCCTGGCCATCAGGAAAGGCTGATGCAAAGGCAGTCAGAACCCTCAGAACTCCTCCTCCACCCCGCTTCTCTGTGTGGTGTGCTCACATTGTTCCTGACTCTTTCTCATCAGATCAGCTTCCTCTTCCCCTGAACATAGCAGGCAAAATATAATTATATGTGACTGTACCCAACTTGACATGTTTGTGCCCAGTGCCCGAGATAAATGGAATCTAGCTCTTTGCCCCAATTCCACACCCCCAGAGATGGGACTTAGATTGGCCTAAGTTGTATTAAGCACCTGTTGAGATTTAGGAGGACCCAATAACACCCAAATATCCTCTTTCCAACCCAGATTTTAAAGCATTTGAGAAAATAATAGAGAGATGGAGAAGTACCCTATCAACTGTATTACAAATAAAGGTAGTTTAAATGTGCTGAAACAGTGGGATTCCAATTGGGGGCAGGAGCCTTTACCCAGTGGTAGGAAACTGGCACAGCAAATGCTCCCTGGAAGCAGAGAGCACCCAGAAGAGGCAAGAGGGATGGCCTGAACCAAGCAAACCCATGTATTCATCTGGAACTCATCAATCAGATGACTTACTCCTCCTCTGTTGGAGGAAGGAGTGAAGGAGGCTGGTGGTATTGTAGAGGCAGGGCTTCCTCTGCCTGGATGAGTTTCAGGCCTGAGAGGACGTGTTCTCCCCTCGTACAGTGCTTACTCCTCATCTACTCAACTGTGTCTGTGGGCATGGGATAGAGTCATGGGGACAGTCATGGTTCTTTTGGACAGCAGGACAATTAAGGGAATAATTGTGAACCAAGTGTGTACTTCAAAAGGTGTGTACTACAGCTATTTCTCCTTTTAGATAAATAGAGAATCCCTGGAGGGTTATGATTGGGCCTTGAGTTCAATGCTGTCAGAAACATGGCAGGAGAGAAGTTGAGACCACTGCACTACTCTTCAAATAAGGGGACTCTTCATTCAATCTCTGCTCTTATTGTGGCAGGAGAGGTTTCCTGTCCCCTTCACCCTCTCTGGCCTTTCCATTTTTCAGCCTTACAAGAAGGAGTTCTTGTTTTGTTTTGATCTAGCCTAGCATGTGCTAAAGTTAAGCAGTTTGGTGCAGTCAGCATTGGGGTTTGGGTGGGGTATTTATATCTTGTAGTTGTTCCATTATGAACAACTGCAAGGCACAAGCTGATTCTAAGGAGGCTTCTGTTCTACTAAGACACATAGCAGAAATATGATTGTTGACATTAACCAAGCTTTATGGCTTGCAGCTTCACCCCCCTCCAGGAGAGAATGACTTTACTATCTAGAATTCAAGTTAGCTTTGTCAAAGATCAGATAGTTGTAGGTTTATAGCCTTATCTCTGGGTTCTGTATTCTGTTTCATTGGTCTATGTGTCTGTTTTTGTACCAGTACCATGCTGTTTGGGTTATTGTAGCCTTGTAGTATAGTTTGAAATCAGGTAGTGTGATGCCTCCAGCTTTGCTCTTTTGCTTAGGATTATCTTGGCTATTTGGGCTTTTTTTTGGTTTCATATAAATTTTAAAGTAGTTTTTTCTAGTTCTGTGAAGAATCTCAATGGTAGTTTAATAGGAATAGCACTGAATATTTAAATTGCTTTGGACAGTGTGGCCATTTTAATGATATTGATTCTTCCTATCCATGAGCATGAATTTCTTTATCTATTTGTTTGTGTCATCTCTGATTTCTTTGAGCAGTGTTTTGTAGTTATCAATGTAGAGATCTTTCACCTCCCTAGTTAGTTGTATTCCTACGTATTTTATTCTTTTTGTGGCAATTGTGAATGGGATTGTGTTCCAGATTTGGCTCTTGGCTTGACTGTTGTTGTACAGGAATGCTAATGATTTTTGTACTTGGATTATGGATCCTGAGACTTCGCTGGAGTCATCAGATTAAGGAGCTTTTAGACCAATGCTATGTGGTTTTCTAGATATAGAATCATGTCATCTGCAAATAGCGATAGTTTGACTTCCTCTCTTCATATTTAGATGCCGTTGTTTTTCTCTCTTGCCTGATTACTCTGGCCAGGATTTCCAATAGTATGTTGAAGAGGAGTGGTGAGAGAAGGCATCCTTGTCTTGTGCTAGTTTTCAAGGAGAATGCTTCCAGCTTTTTTCAATTCAGTATGATGTTGGCTGTGGGTTTGTCATAGATGGCTCTTAGTATTTTGCAGCTGGTTCCTTCAATACCTAGTTCTTGAGGGTTTTTAACATGAAGGCATACTGAATTTTATCAAAAGCCTTTTCTTCTACTGAGATAATCATGTGGTTTTTGTCCTTAGCTCTGCTTATATGATGAATCACATTTATTGACTTGCATATGTTGAACCAACCTTACATCCCATGGGTAAAGCCTACTTGATCATGGTGGATAAACTTTTTGATGTGCTGTTGGATTCAGTTTGCAAGTATTTTGTTGAGAATTTTTGCATTGACGTTCTTCAAGGATATTGGCCTGAAGTTTACTTTTTCTGTTGTGTTTCTGCCAGGTTTTGGTATCAGGCTGATGCTGGCCTCATAGAATGAGCTGGGAAGGAGTCCCATCTCGTCAATATTTTTCAAATAGTTTCAGCAGGAATGGTACCAGCTCTTCTTTGTGCATCTGGTAGAATTCAGCTGTGAATTGGTCTGGTGCTGGGCCTTTGTTGGTAGGCTATTTATTGCTCATTCAATTTGGGAGCTTGTTTTTGGTCTGTTCAGGGATTCAATTTCTTCCTGGTTCAGTCTTGGGGGGATGTACGTTTTGAGGAATTTATCTGTTTTTTCTGAATTTTCTAGTTTGTGTGCATTGAAGCTATGGATCTGATGGTTATTTGCATTTCTGTGGGGTCAGTGGTAATATCCACTTTGTAATTTCTAATTGATTTTATTTGGATCTTCTTTCTTTTCTTCTTTACTAGTCTAGCTAGCATAGTGGTCTATCTATTTTATTAATTTTTTGAAAAAACCAAGTCCTGGATTCATTGATCTAGTTACGCTTTTATTATCCTAAAGGATCTTACCTGGTTTTGTAACAAATTGAGCATTACTGTCTCAGCATTACTTACTTTCTTTGCTACTCCTTATCGAATCACAATTTTTCATATCATCTTTGGAACTAGCTTTGATATCCATCTGCTTCTCTCATGAATACATAAAATCAAATCTTAACAAGTGCTCACTGTTTGCATTAAAATTATATTTTAATGGGTGGGTAATAATGACTCAGTTTCCTGCTGGGCTCTAATTTCTCACTCTTGGCTTCCTTTTCAAATACTTTGCTAATTTTTTCATAAAGCAGATTCTGGGCTCCTTCCCCAGAAATTCTGATTCAGTGAGCTCTTGGAGAATAAGTATTTTTGAATGTTCTTCCTGTGATTCTAATGCATTACTAAGTTTGACTCACTGCCTTGATTAATATTAATAATCATATTAATACTAACAAATATTAAATTTATTATCTTAGATAAAATTAATAATAGTAGCTATTGATCATTTCCTTATTACCAGCCCCTGTGCTATGTGCTTTATATACATTGTGCCTTTTATTCTTATCTAATCTCTATCCAAACCCTAGACAAAAAGAGGCGGCTTGGAAAGCTCCATCCATTTTTTAAGGGTACCAGACAAAATAGAATACAAAAAGAGTGCTTTATACCGCAAAAATAAGAATAGCTGACATTAATCATGCTGTTTCTTTTTGCCAAGTTCACTGATAAGGAATTTACACTTGGGTACCCCTCCCTTTGCCCCAGACTGAACTTCAATTATTTTTGCATGATTACATTCATTCATTAAATCATCCTAATAGCATTTGTCAGCCTTCTACCATTTTCTAGCTACTGTCCTAAGGATACCAGGCAACACTGCACCTTATCTTTAAGAAGCTTATCAGCTTACAAAGCCAGGGAATCACTTTTTATAAAAAAAAATCAGGCCCTGGCCAATTTGCATACTTTTCTACCTGTATTCCAACACTTGCTCAGGATTATGATCTCCCAAATTCATGGCCTAGGACGAGAATCATTGCAGAGAGATCTGTCCAGACCTGATTACCTCTAATGTTGCAGAACTTTCTCCTTAGTTCAGCTAAAACCGGGCTCTTGTCACACAGCCAGGAAGGATTAGGCTCATGGACACATGGAAGGGTGAGAAAAATGGAATTTAGTGGGTGAAAAGGAAAAAGGAAAAATAACTCTCAGCAAAGTGAGAGAGAGTCCTTCTAGCAGGTTTCCCACCTCACAGATTGAATCCCAGGTCACCATACAGGGACAGGAGAGGCCAGGCTCCTCCTCACTGAAACACTGTGCACTTCCCGAGGCTCTACCCCATCCTCCCAGTGTGCAGATGGGGATTAGTCAAAAAGAATCCGCTGGGAAATGGCAGGCTTCATCTAGGACCACAGTCCAGCTTTTCAGCCTTGCTATTTTAGGCTTGAAGGTGGGGTTTCACCGGGGCACCCTTGGCTGCCTTCTGTCTCTATCACTAGATCTTTTGGGCCCTTTGTTAAAAGGCAATTATTTTAGGTACTACCTATCTCCACAAACTCTCAAGCAGAGTTTGGCAGGTATTGAAAACGTTCAGACTAAATCTTTTGGTTGGCTAAGAAATAGTTATACAGTACAGAGCCTGTAGATTGCAAGGGTTGATGGGTAGAATCTGAAGATCTTTGAACTGGGTAGGAAAAATTATATTTTTATTTTCATTAACCTCTAACTCAAATGAATCATTCCTTCAATTATGCATGTAGGTAATAAAACAATATTAACCACATTCATGACTATGTTATCAATACAAATCACAAATGTTGTTATATTATGTTATTTATTATAGCTATCTCTAAAAATCATATTTATCACCACTTTGATATCATAATGTTTACTTGGCTTGCCTCTAGATCTTGTTATTTCATGCATGAGTAAAGAAGCGTATATATTATTATGTCACAAGTCTTTTTTTAAAAATATTTTGAGGCTGGGTGTTGTGGCTCATGCCTGTAATCCCTGGACTTTGGGAGACTGAGGCAGACAGATCACTTGAAGCCAAAAGTTGGAGACCAGTCTGGCCAACACGGTGAAACCCCATCATCTACTGAAAAAACAAAAAACCAAGAATTAGCTGGGCATGGTGGTCTGTGTCTGTAATCCAAGCTATTTGGGAGGCTGAGGCACGAGAATCGCTTGAGCCCAGGAGGCGGAGGCTGCAGTGAGCCAAGATCACACTACTGCACTCCAGCCTGAGTGACTGACTGAGACTCTGACTCCAAAAAAAAAAAAAAATGTTTTTTGATAACTCTATTTTCATATAATTGGCTTCCTTTGTAATCCTGTATATTTATAGGTATTTTAAAACATTCTAAGAAGGGAATTGTTAGGCTCCACCACACACATACACATTAAGAATCCCTAATATCACTTTGTTGATGCTCTGCAACATAGAGAAATAGAGACACTTGACATTCACAAAAGAGATTCCCCACTAATGCCATGATTATCTAAATTCACAAATGCCACCACAGTGCAGCAGGTATGAATCTCAATACACAACTTAGGTGTGTAAGAAGTTTAATTTTCTGTAACTTAATTCCTATTATGAGCTTCTTTACATCAAGAGGCAAAAACCTAGTATCATTCAATTCAGGGTGCATTCCTCCTTTAGAGGGTGGCATTTCTAGAGAGGGTAGTGTAGTACCCAGGCATTGTGGGACAGGCTTTATCAACCGCTATTCTCCTCTGCTTTGATAGCCTCGGCCCTACCTGACCTCGGTCCCTGGTACCACAGGTGGTTGCTGGCTGGTTCTTGGTCCTGGCCCAGGGCTCCTTTGGAGCTGTGTCTATCTGATTGTTGGACCCAGCCCGGTGTGTTGGGGGTGCCCTGCTCTTCTCTGCCTATGCATGCCTGTCCTAGGTCCATCTTCCTGGAACTATCACCTAGCTATTTCTACTCTGGGGCTTCACCTTCCAGGGCATAACGAGAAGCTGGGCACAGCTCTTTTTTTCACTCAGATCCCTCAAACCTATCTGAAATTTTGTCACCCCCACTCCAAGAAATTCATCCATCTGGGCATGGATTGGCAGAGGAGAGAGAGTTTAAAGAGCCACTTTTTTGGATATAAACTGGGGTCAGAGCTTCCTCGCTTCCCTGCACCTCCTTACCTCCTCTTAATTTGAGCAAACTTTCCAGTCTAGGAGGCTAGGAAGATTTGCTTCTACCTTCTCTACGCCTGGCTCCCCCTCAAATCCTATGACTTGAAATGCAAAGGCAATGGTTTTTAAAGTTCAAAATCTTTTACTCTGTGTCTTGTCCTCCCTGGAGAATTCAATCTCTCTCCCCTTAGGCAAATTTAGGGAAAGGTGAAGGGGTTAAAAGGAAATACCAAGGAAGACACACCAATTCGTGCAAAATATTTTTCCACCACAAAAACATACAAATTCACACACCAAATACATAGAACATAGTTAAAGGAATTAATCTACCCATTTTCACTCTCAGTGAGAAATTCCACAAGAACATAGAAACTAATAAAGGTGTAATGAGATGTGGATGTTGTCTTGGAGAGGCTCACTGATTAACAAAATTATTTACTTCCATGCATCACACTCTTATGTTATGGGAGTCAAAAGAGAGACTCCATAAAGTACAAATTGTTCCCTGTTATCTTGTAATACTTTCAACAGTTCCTATCTAAGCCCCAAGGTTGTAGGAGGGCTTCTTGTTCTATGCTTCTCTAACACCCTGGGTAAACATCAATCTCAACTCAAAAACGTACACAGAGTAAGACAGCAAGGATTGAGCAATGACTATCAAGATTTTGCTGCCAAGCAGAGTCTAAGCTCTGGAGTGTATGGTAAATATTTTTTAAATGTCTGTATATTATGATGTTTTGACATCTTAAGCCTTTCTGGCTGGGGAAAGAATGCATGTCTTTGATATGCAAAGTAACCAATCTAGAGCCAAGCCTCCTTTGTCTGGCCTGTATATCACAGGAGGTAATATTTCTCTGCCTTAATCATTCCAGAGCCAAGTGTCAGGAAACTCAGAACCACCCCTAAAGCCCAAAGCTCACCAAAGTTATTCCAACTGGCTAAACCTAAACTGTTCACTCTGCTCTGCCTTGCCTTTCCCACGGAAATGCCAATAAAGGCAATGGCCTAAACCTTTCCCTGGCTCCTGCCGTCTGCCTCCTGACCATTCCTCCTGACCACGGTGTGTTTCCCATGTGGCTCCTGCAGGGCGTGCCTCTTGTCTCTAAGACCTGTACTTACAATATATATTTTTTTCTTTGAGCCTCTTCTGTGTCTCCTGTTGTGGCCACATCTGACTGATTATCACATAAAATAATACGCAACATGGGAGAGGAATTCTGAAGGGGGAAAAGTGAAGTGGGTATTTTACAACAAAAGACGACAAACTGCATCTATGGAGAGGAAAAAAAGCAAAGCCTCTCTGTTGCTGCCTAGCTTCTTCTACCTGGGCTTGTGGGCTGGGTTGGCACGGAGCTGGCTGCAGAGGCACAGCATCTATCTCATGACCAGAGCATCTAGCTGCCCCTGTTGCACACATGAGGGGTCATGTTGAGATTATGGCTTCCAGTCACTCCTGCACCTTCTGCAGGCTAGGGAGCCAGGTCAGCGGAAGCCACCACTTTCCAGTCATTACCAGTTAATCTTTCAACCTCTTGTGACTAAGCTCATAGAGGGCAGAAACCATACTTTACTCATCCTTGTAACCCATCACCCTGCACAGGAACTAGCACACAGAAAATGCTCAGCAACACTCAACAGGCTAGGCAAGGAAGCTCATGCCTGTAATCCCAGCACTTTGGGAGGCCGAGGCTGGTGGATCACTTGAAGTCAGGAGTTCAAGACCAGCCTGGCCAACATGGTGAAACCCTGTCTCTACTAAAAATACAAAAATTAGCCAGACGAGGTGGTGGGCACCTGTAGTCCCAGCTACTTGAGAGACTGAGGCAGGAGAATTGCTTGAACCCAGGAGGCAGAGATGGCAGTGAGCTGAGATCACGCCACTGCACTCCAGCCTGGCAACAGAATGAGACTCTGTCCCCCACCCGAAAAAAAAAAAAGACCGAACCCCCCAATGTTTAGTGAGCACTTTCTTGGTGTGAAGTTCTGGGCTTACACTTGAAATGCACTATCCCATTTCATCCTCACAAAGAGTCCCTGAGGTGCATGCAGCATCACATAGAGGACATGCACATCGCCTAGGGTCACACACCTGGTAAGTGACAGAGCCAATATTTCAATCAGGAGTGGCTGACTCCTGAGGCTCAGCTCCTAAACACCTGCAATGCTGAATAGAAAGCACCGAGAAGCATTCTACAACTTCCTCGAGCATCAGGAGACTGCTCTTTAGAAGTCCAGGGCAGCTAGATCTGGAGTTGATGTGGACTGTAGGACCTGTGTTTCCATGGTTGCAGGTCTGCCAAGATTTCTGAGTAAGATAAAGCACAGAGATGAGAGCCTGAGCTTTTTTGTCAAATGATAAATCCTGAGATAGTTACATTTGTATTCACTAGCCTCTTTTCCAAAAGGTTCAAAGAGAGCTCGATGTCCAGCAGCAAGAAAACACACACATAAAGCAACAACAGCTGAATAGATCAGGCGCCCCGAGTTCACTACATTTTGGGGGGATCATCCCTCAGGTTCAAGCTTTCTCTTCTGTAAAATGAGGAGATTGTGATTCTCACTGTGATTCTCCATCTGTGGACTGACAACAAATAATATTTTAAAACACAATTTCCAGGTTTCCGCGCTGCAGCGTTTTTATTTCAGCAGGTTTTCGGCAAAGCCTAGGAGTTTGTATTTTTAAAGCTCATTGAGTGATTCTAATGCTCAGCCTAGTTTGGGAACCACTGGTCTGGGTGATCTCCTTGGTTGCTTCCTGACTGGATTACCCATTTTGGGGATTAAATCCCCGAGTTCTATCAGATGAGTACAGGGGTACTATAGAATGTTTAAGAAATGTTAAACTGAGTCTGGGGATGGGGACCAGAAAAAGTATCTGGAGAATGTGACAATACTAATTTACCTGATGAACGATAAGAAAGACAGTGCCTTTTTATAATGAACATCTTTTGATTTTGCAGGCCCAGCATTCGTTTTCCTACTGTTGAAAAAAAATGTCTTGATATTCCTCTGAGATATCACTCCATTCCCATCTCTTAATCCCTGTGTTTTGAGTGGGTTTGAAGCCATGGTGCTGGTGACCTCAAGGGCTATCTCTGCTTGGCTGCCCAGTGTAGGCATGGGACCCAAGCTAGGCCAATAGGACTCAAACCCAGAGTTTTTGATGGCTTGGTTGTAAAGCTAGGACTTTTTAATCTTGGAGCTGCTGGCAGCCCTCTTCCGTCATTGCAGGGAAGAAGCCTATGTACAATAGGGAAAAATGAGGCCAACACATAGAACACAGACAGTGTAAATCAACCTCTAAAAGCACAATCTGTCAGGTTTTAAATAGTGATGCATTTTATTACACCTAGATTGAATTTTGTCAGTGACCGATACCATGTACATATTTAACAGAAGGCTGCCAGAATATGATAAGGTATTTGTAATGTCAAAGAAGAAAAAGAAGACTAATATCTTTTAGAATAAGCAAGAAAGTCCTGTAAATCAAGAAGAAAAAGATTGCAAATGAGTACATGATCTGAATAGAAAATTTACAGAAAAGGAAACTCCAAAAGTTAACAAACCCAGAAATGAGCTGCTCAAAATCATGATGATCAAGAAAAGTTCAAATTAAAACAATTAAATATTACTTTATACCCATTAAACTGGCAGAAATTAGGAAGCTGGATATCGCCAAAGGTTGGAGGGAATGTGGAAATACAGGACCCTCCATGTATTGCTGGTGTGACTGTGCACCACTGTAGCTTTTTTGCAAGGAACTAGGCCCAAATTGGTCAAATTAGCTCTACATAAGCCACAAACCCAGTAACCTACCAGTGCTGTTGCAGGTTCTACATACCAGTGGATTTCTCTCAGGTTCACAAAAGGGCATGTGTAAGGTTCATAGAAATATTGTCTGTGGTAGCAGGGAGCTAGAGGTACCCATCACTAGGAGAAGGAGTGAGGAAAATGTGGTAGATCCACACCATTGATTATTATGTAGCAGTCATAATCAAGAAAAAATATATTATACAAACAAAGTGAGAAAAGGAGAAAACAGAATAAGGTCTATAGCCAAGTACCACTTGCACAAATTAAAAATACATGTACACAAAACAATTTATATTTTGAAAAGACATATCCAATAAAAGTCTATACATATTAAAAATATTAAAATGGATGCCCCCAAAGGATCCTTAGTTCTATGGGTGTTAAAAAAAAAAAAAAAGAAATCAAACAAATATTGGACAAGTGCAATAATGGGAAGACAAAATAAAAAACCCAGGTGCTAAGAGAAAGAATAATAAGAGAAATTTACTTTGCACAGGTTGGTCAGGAGGGGCTTCTCTGAGATCTCTGGTATTTCAGCTTCAACGTGACCGTGGACTAGCATCTGAGTGAATAGTTCTGGGAAAGCAGCTGCGTAGAAGAAAAGCCAAGAGAAAAGCTTGGAGGAGGGTAAGAGTTGGATAATTAGGGAACTAAAAGAAGTCAGAGGATGGTGACCCAAGAAGGCAAAGTCTCTCTTCTTGAGAGTTTCTGCGTTGGGGGATGGTGTGGGTGAAGCTGGGAAATCAAAATCATCACAAACAGTGTACAGGTTTGGAGCTGTGGGAGGACTTTTTAGCACAAGCAGGCAGCAGACTTTCCCCTGATAGCACTGTGTTAATACTACATAATTAGCCTGAGCTGTAAAATCCATTCTCTTTAGTCTGCACAGTCATTACATGGAGGAAGGAAGACACTTTTCAGGTAAACCTCCTTTCAGTATTGCAGCAACCAGAGTGCATTTGGAAGAAATAAGTCTGTGATTGTAATGGGAGGTCTCCATGTGGAATTAACACAAAACCTGCCTGTGAGGTACTGCTTTGAACTCTTCACTAGTCCTTAGTCTGAAGTCATGGAGGCTGTGGCTGCGTGGTATATGGGTAAGAACTTTGGGATCTGAAGGCCTTGTCCTATTCATGGTGTCAACCTCTGTCTGGTGCCTGATATTCTAGTCAGTAGATGCACAATTATATCTATGGGATGGATATAAATAAATATTTTACTTACTTTAAAAACAGAAGTTTGAATGAAAAGGTCATGATACAGTATGACTGGTTACACCCCTGCTATCACACACACATACACACACACACACACGCCAAAGCCATAAAGAAAAGACTAGAAGTAAGTGGAGGAAACATACAGAAATGTTGACAGTGATTTTGTATATATATTATATGGAGGATCTATGGGAAAACTTAACTTATATTTTAAAATTTTGAATATTCCATATTTTCTAGTAGATTATGCATATAATCTAATATAGATTTCTGTAATTTTTAATTTTCTGTTTTTTGATGTGATTTTCTATAACATAATTTTTTTAATAGAAATAAATAATTTAGTATAGGAAGAAAAAATGTTGTTAAAAATACCCTGTCTCCTCCTCTTAGGGGATGAACCATATTCACATATTTTTGATGGCTAATGGTCATACATATATATGTAAGATTAGATAGATAGATAATAAAAAAGAAAGAAAGGAGAAAGAAAGAAAGAGAGAGAGAAAGAAAGAAAGGAAGGAGGAAAGAAAGAAAGGAAGGAGGAAAGAAAGAAAAAGAAAAAGAAAGAAAGAGAGAAAGAAAGAAAGAAAGAAAGAAAGAAAGAAAGAAAGAAAGAAAGAAAGAAAGAAAGAAAGAGAGAGAGAAAGAGAGAAAGAAAAGAAAAGAAATCCGGTATTTGGATATGCAAGGATAGACCTGAAGCATAGTCTAAGGGGGAGCTGAAAGCTGTAATTTTTGTGCCTGAGTAAACAACAAGAAATGTGGGTCTGCACCTGCATCTGGAGAGATGGAGAGCCTAGGAGACAGATGGGCCTGAGCAAAGTAATGACAGGCAGAATCCAAGAAAACATGGCCATGGAGAAATTTCCCATGATGGGGTTGCTGTAAATTATTGAGAATAGCAATGTCTGGCTTTCCGTGTTAATTTCTGGCAAGGAAACATCTTCTTATGGGCCAGGCCATATGCTTGGAGCTGGGGTTACAACGTTAAAAAGAGAGACAAGATCTCTGTTTTCCAGGATTTTGTGTTCTCGGGAGGGGGAGAATAATAATAGTAATATTTATAATATTTATAATATGTATATAGCATTAAATATGCACCAAGCACTGTTCTCAGTGCTTTATATGTATTAACTCCTTTAATCCTCACAACAACCTCACAACAATGAGCTCTTCATTTCACAGATGCAAAACTAAAGCACAAAAAAAATTAACTAGCCTAAGACCCTTTAGCTAGTAAATGGTGAGGTTGAGATTAGAACTCATGTAGTCTGCCTCTAGGATTAGTAAATAAATGTAGTTATAGGCTGTAGTGAATGGCAGGAAAGGTATTTGCCGAGTATTTTGTTGGCAAATAACTAGGCAGGATCCACTTTTGAAAGATTGGTCCTAGAAGCCCTTTAAAGTGGCATTTAAAGGGAAACCTAAATGATGAAAATGAGACATGTCTAAGCTGAGGTGAATACTTTTCTATTATCCCCATACACAGCAAGTTGACTAGCTTTGGGGTTAATGGGGCTTTGGAAAATGAAGGAAGAAGGTGGTGGCAAAATGGTTCTCAAAAAGGGTGACCAAAGGAGCTAAGGCAGGGGGTGGAGATGACACTGACCAGGACTAGATATAACACATGCTCAATTTTCTCCAAAACACAGTAGGAGAAAATGATTCTCAAATCAGAAGACCCAGGATGGTATTTACACGGACAATACAGAAAAAGGCAAACCAGGCAGTAGACACTAGGGTTACACATCAGAGACAGGAGCTGACTGCAAAAGGGAAGTTGTAATCTCTTCCTCTCCACCCTCTTCAAAGTACCTTTTGCATAATATCCTTAAGGCCGTTTCCTAAGAGGCATTATTACAAGATGGCATGATATAAAGTGCTACCAAATTAACCACGTTTCACAGTGTTCCAAATCTATGCCCACAATATACAACGAGATTTTTTAAAAGCAAGAAAATGAGCCTATTTTTAACAGAGGGATATGAATGGTAATGCTGCCCATTCATGAATGACCATTGCTAAGTGGAAAATTATTCTAACATATTTTATTATTCAAAAATCATCAGGACTAAATAGCTGGTAAGATGAAGCTTTGGCTGTCCAAATAAGACTCATTCCAAACTATTGCCTTAAACTTTGGTACTGCTGAAAAGACTTTTGGTAGATTTGATATGTTTGCAGATGCATCTCCTTTGGTGCCATCCCTGCTGCTTCTGAAGAGCCCCTACACTTGGTGAGCAAAACCTGTTGAAAATTTCTGCTGATTCCTGCCACTAGGAAGATTTTCTTAGAGAGCCAAAGGGCTTTCCCTCATGTGCTGCAGAGATCTTCATGCCTCTTCTGCCATTCCTTCTGCCCTCCCTTTGAACATTCACAGTTTCTTGGTGGCCTGGATTAGACGTACCACTGAGACTATATGCTTTCAGTTAAAAAATATTTTCTTTAATCTTTGCAGTAATTCATTTTGCTATAAAACAAATTACCCCAAACTCAGTGGCTTAACAAAACCCAACCATCTATCTCAGAGTTTTTGTAGGTCAGGAATTTGGAAGTGGCCCAGCTGAGTGGTACTGGTGCAGGGTCTTTCAGCAGATTGCATTCAAGATGTTGGCTGGGGCTGCAGTTATCTGAAAGCTTGACTGTGGCTGGAGGGTCAACAGCTAAGGTAGCTCACTCACATGGCTCCTTATCATGTGGGCCTCTCTACAGGGCTTCTTGAGTATCCTCATGAGCAATCCCTGAGAGAGTAAGGCAGAAGCCATAATGTCTTTTAGGATCTAGCCTCAGAAGTCACACAATTTCCATAATATCTTAGTGGTTATACAGGTCAGCCCTTGTTAATGTAGAAGGAGACTACCAAGGGCACTTAGAATCATGGGGATAATCTTGGAGGCTAACTACCACACCAGTGAAGGGTATGTACTCAGCCTCTGATTTAAACATATGGAAGCATGTAGAAATCAAACTGAACTGACCTGCTTAAAAAGATAGTCAGCTAGCACACTCCTTTCTATATGGTGATATAATTAATTCACTCATATTTATTTGGGGATAAATTATCTATTTTGAAGATTATCAAAGTCGTTATCAAGATGATTATGATTAATCTTATTTTTATTTATAATCCCACTTATTGCATTCTACTAGGTGTCAATTATAGGGCTAGGCACTTTACCCACATTTAATCTTCACAATAATCCTGTGAGGTTGGTATTACCAGCTCCTCTTTACGGATAAGGAAATAGATGAAGAGTCTCCAGTTTACAAATAATCTAAAAGACCATTGAGTGTAAACGCCTCACAGAAGGGAACCTGTAGCTTGGAGAGTTTAAGAGACTCTTCTGCAGTCCATAGTGAATGAATGACTGAGTTGGCACCAAAGCCCTGGCCTTCTAAGTCTGGGAAAAGTTCTCTTTCAATTACATGAAGCAGCTTTCTTGTGATATTTTCTCCTAACCAAAAAGCTAGAACTCTGATAAGACATCTAATCTCTGTGAGTCTGTTAAAATGGGTATAACAATAGAACTTATAAAGTGCTGTGAGGATTTCATGAGCAAATGAATGTAAAGTGCCAAGTGCAGTGCCTGCCACACATCAAGCACTCATCATATGATAGCTCTTATTCCTGTCATTGTCAGTATCATTACTGATTTACGAACAGGAAAACTAATCTAAGCCATCATTCAGCACCTTGATGGTGGGGATCATGCATTAAAGTCAGCGCTGTGCTGGACTCCACATCACCCTTCCTAATCAAATCAATCTGCTGAGCTGGCATAACATATTATGAACTAGCCAGTCTCTTCTTTACTCTAGTACCAGGGGCACACACCTCTCACTTAAATCCAGCCAGGGGCACGTGACCCTTACTTTGGCTAAAAGCTGGATTTAAGATGTTTCCAGTTGGCGTGCATTTTTATATTTTAATAGTTATGTATTTATCTTAATAAGTATTAGAAAAATAAAACTAGTAGATAAAACCACTGATTTAATTGATAATCTTCCCTTGGGGAGGCTAAAATGGATGGATTTATGGAAGAATATTAAGTAAATAAATAAATGGTGGCATGCAATTACAATAAGAATTGTAAAGATGAAATGTAAATTAAGTTTTGGAAGCACTGATTTAACATATGTTGAAAATAATGATAGAGATTTGACAGTTCATAATAGCTTTGTTTATTGTTATTATTCTTTTTATTTTGCCAGTGTACTCTCTTCTGAGGTAGCTCAGCCTGTGTTCTTTTTACACATACCACTCCATGCCTCTCTTCTTGTTCTAACCTTGCCTTAGAAATTATTTTCCACTCTCTTTACTTAGATAATTCCTCTGATCCTTTAAACTTTGGATTAGGCATGGTCTCATTTGAGAAGAAGGAATCTCCATTGCCCTTTCAATCCAGGCTCCCAAAGCATCGTCTTTATACCTCTATCCCTGCATTTAGCACTTTGTACAGAAATTAAATAATTTTATGCCTCTCTCCCCTACTTTTCTGGAGCCCTATTTGTCTTCACATCCCCAGCACCGAACACCGTGCTGGCATAGGGAAGACATTCAGTTAATGGTTACCTGAAATGAGCTATTACCACAGACTGAAAAAGAAATACAAGCAATGTTCCTTCTTGCTGGTCCCTTAAAACTCACTGCTTGTCCAATGCACAGGGGCAATCATGAAAGAGCTTTGTAACTATTCTGTTTTATTCATGAACCTAGTGGCTATTAAATATTTCTCAGCTTGTCAAGTGTGGGAAAGGCAAGAGATGAATATGGTGAAGAAACAGTAGCATTGTTCAGGCTCTAGAATGCACAAACTTCTATTTGCTGTAACTGGTAACCTGGTTTGAACTGGTAACTTTTAATTAGAACAAAACCTTGGGGAAAAAAAAATCCCTCCCACATGCAAATGCTTCCATCTGTGATCCTATTAAACATTTGCTAGTTCAGCAAAAACTTGCCAAACTGCCACATTATCTCTTCTTCTTGATAATTAACATTTGATCCAGCAATGAGGAATGGTGGAACAAACACAGACTATGGGACTCATTTTAAACAAACTGAGTATTAAATAAAACAAGCCTGCAACTTCATTAAAGTCCTGAATAACTTGCCAGAAATTGCTTTCTCCTCTAGTGTGATGAATCACTAGACTAGGCGATTTCCATCAGGACAGGAAAGAAAAGTGTATTGGAAGAGTGAAGAGATTTAGATTCTATCTCTAATTTTGCTTTTGGGTAAGGCTTTGGGCAAGGCAGTGAACCTACTTAGACATTAGTTTCTCCTATAAATTAGGGGATTGAACTAGGTTATCCTAGGACTTTTCTAGGTCTAAAAAACTATCTTTAGTTCATTTATACATATAATAAATATTTATTGAGCATCCACTCTGTGGTAGGCATGGTTCTGGTCTTTGCGGGTAGTCAGTAGCAAGATAGATGAGGTCTCTGCTCTACTGAGACTGGGTGATGAAGATAAGCCTTAAGCAAGTGATTATGCATGATTGGACAAATAATTATTTAAGCGTGGTTGCACTAAGCATGTTGAAAAGGGCAGAGTAGCATGACCATACATGGTCAGGAGACCTAGAGTAGCCCCAGAGGTCAGAGAATGCTTCCCTGAGGAAGTGAGATTTGACAGCTACTATCTGAAAGATGGGTAGGGGTGGCCCAGGGCAAGAACAGGGAGAAGACTGATCCAAGTAGAGGAAAGAAACTGGGTGTTTGAAGAACTAAGAGTAACCAGTGAGGGGCTGGGAAGTCACATGAGCTGAAGCTGGAGAGGCCAGCTGTGCAGCCAGTCCATGCGGGACTTTATAGGTCATGGAAAATTTAATCTCCTTCAGTGGTAAAAGGAAGCTGTCATTAAAGGTGATATAATTAGAAGTGAAAAGATTCACAGTAACTCTGACTAAGGAAACTTACTTCTCTCTGTCCTTATCCCCAAACTATAATAGGCTCTGGTTGGCAAGATCTTAAATTGGATTCTTCTGGATTCACTATTGCAGAAGAAATATTGTAATCTGAGGCTTCTTTAGGGTTCTTGAGTAATTCTACATGGCTTCCGGACCTCTAACCCTTGCAAATAATCATGTGCTTATTTTGCACATTACTGCAATATTCCAGGAAAGAATATGCTGGTAGAACCTTAAGCAGACCTTCACTGATGGGTTCCCACACAAATGCTCTAGGCAGGAAATAGCACCTTTGTAAGAACCATCATGGACAATGTTTTGAAGGAAGTCAGCATATTTTTTGCCTTTTGAACTCTATAAAGCTCACTTTCCCCATTTCTCTTCTTCTCTTTGTAAAAGATCTAATAGCTTCCATTTAGAAGTTGAGGTGAATTAAAGTCATGTGCTCTCCTTTTTTCAAGGACACTAGCATTCTAGATTTAACTCCTATTGCAGATGGAAAGGCTTTGTACTTTATTTTAAGACTCTTAGAAATCAGCCAGCTGGTGGGAAAGAAATTGCGGAAGTTTGGGCAGTGAAAGGGTTGAGTTGAGGATCTTCACAAGTGTGCCTGTGTATATTTTGACCACATGTGTCACGCTAACCATGAACTATGTAGGAGCCACTTGGAAATTGGTTATAGCAAAAATTCCCTAATAAATATCCTGGGAGGTTTATCTATTTTTTATTCTACCTAAACAAAAGTATTGGTTTTTTCCCCCGCTTTTAAAACTACAACCATTTCAGTGGTATGCATTGTTGCTATTCTTGATGCCTGACCATATACAAGTCAATCCAATTATTGGACCAAAACCTTTCTCTAGGACCGATTTGGAGTTCACAATCAATATAGTAATGCACCATATTTGCCACTTATACTTGGTTACTTTGCCTATCTGATTTATAGACAATTGAGCTGCCAACAAAAAAGAAAGAAGGAGAAAAATAGGTCACACTAAGTCCAGGCCCTTTATTTCATGGAAGAGCTTTGGAGTATGGAACTGGTTTACTAACTGAGACTCCAGCAAAAAACCCATGTGTCTGATGACCTGCTTTACTATGAAGGTTAGTTAGTCACTTAGCAATGAAACAGGAAGGTCTGCTGGAGGTTGTGGTAGTAAGAAGGTGCATATTCAGATAATGAAGTGACAGCAGAGGTACCCAAGTAACTACGTTCTGCTATCTATGGCCAAACTGCAATAGTCTTTAAAAGTTATCAGTATTTAAAAAAAATGGTGTAGTATCATGTTTAAGAACATAGATTTTGGATTCCAGTTTGACCACTTCATAGCTATGTGACCTTGGACAATATTATTTACCTATCTATGCTTGAGTTTCCTTAATTATAAAATAGGCATAATAACACCTAAGGCTGTGGTGAGTAGGGTAAGTCTTCAGTGAGCCAAATTTTAAGTGGATGCCACAAAATCATATTTTAACGTAATTTAAAAACAACCTCAAATTTAATGCAAAAAAAAACCATGATGAACAAAATATCAAAAAGGCTTTGTGTGTGAATGACTGAAAATACTGACCTTTAAATCTCTTGGAATTTTAACAAAAGGTTGTAGAGTCACATACACAGCCTTTTCTCACTGCCACTGTTGGGTAGCCATTTTGAACTTTCAGTATCTTTTGATTTAAAGAGTCTGAGAATGTTCACAATTATCCAGTCTTGCTTATGCCATATTATTGACTCATTTTATTTTGTTTGTTTTACTTCCCCCACTAGAATTTAATCTCTATGAAGGCATGGATTTTCTAAAACATGTTGAAGCTGAAATAGTTTTAGATTTACAGAAAAGCTGCAAAGGTAATAGAGATAATTCCCATATATTCTTCATCCAGCCTCCCGAATGTTAACATCTTATAAAATCATGGTACATTGATTAAAACCAAGAAATTGATCTTCATAGTATTGGCACAATAGTATCGAATGAACTATATATTTCATGTAGATTTCTCCAGTTTTTCTATTAACATAATTTTTCTGTTTCAGGATCCAATTCAGGATTCACATTGCATTTAGTCATTATGGCTCTTTAATCTCCCCCAATTTGTGACAGTTTCCTCTTTCTCTTTCTGCTTTTCATGACCTTGACACTTTTGAAGAATACTAGTCAGATATTTAATCAAATGACCTTCAGTTTTGGTTTGTCTGATATTTTCTCGTGATTAGACTAAGGTTATGAATTTTGGGAAAGAATATCAGAAGTGATTAAAGTACATTAAAAAAATCTCATTCAGTGATGTTTCCTCAGCATCTAGAATTGTGCTTGGCATATAGGAACATTAAAATATTTGTCAGTTATTTGAGACAGAACTTATATGCATCTACCTGATGATGTCATGGCTGAATGATGTGTATATACAGATTTATAGCTATTAATTTTTTTCTAAAAAAAATGCTTGTAAAAGGTTTCTAAAGAAAACTGACTTCACTGAGACATGTACTTACATCCTAAATCAAGGTGAAAATGCTGTTTTTAATTAACTCTAAGTTATTGACTGTCAGAAAACAAACAAAAGACACGAAAATATAAGAAAGCTAGATTTAAGTACAGTGTATGAGATTCAAAAAATACTCACTAGTTTCTCTGCCAAATCATACAATGTTTTACACTTAAGTAAGAGTTGGAATTTGTAGAAGGGAAGCAGGTGGGTCTTGCTATGCTCTGTATTGCCAGCATCCAACATCTTATGTGCCCCTCATGGGTGCTTTACATGAGCATTTGCTTACCCCAATCTGTGCTACTCAACATACTGCACGAGGAAGTGCATACTGGTTCCTAGGCAGCCACTCCAAGTGGTTCGGCAGAAATGTCACAGGCTAATATTGAGTCAAACAAATAATCATTCAAATTCTAGTTCTACTAGGGCAAGTTTCTTGAGCTTCCTGAATTCCATTTTCTTTGTGTATAAAAATGGAAAGCCTTTTTACCTTTGTTGTCAGAGGTGAAACAAAGTGTTTTTTTTTTATTTTTTTTTTTCAAAATGTTCAGCAGGAATCCTAGCACATAGAGGATGGTCAATAAAGAATCTTTCTTATCTTTCCTTCTGTTTCTTTTCAGCTTCTCATCCTCTCTCCTGGTGAAGATGGGAGGGTTCCATTATAATAGACCACTGCCCCCAAGGAGGCACACTATTGACAGACAGAACCGGGAAAACGTGTTTGTCGATTTGCCACTCAGAAGTGTCATGACCTTGGATAGGTTATTAACTAACCCTTTTTTTTTATCTGTATAAAGGAGATACCAGTAATTACCTCAAAGAGATGCTGTGAGGATGCATAAAATGCTTAGGACTCTGCCTGAAACAAGTAATTCCTAATACATACTGCTTGTTGTTATAGTGGATAGTTACATTTTATGCACATGGCAGGTGATGGTAAGACAGCTATGCGAGGGAGAAGAGGAAAATAAAACCAGATTTATTATGAAGAAAATGAAAAACAGCGAATGATGTGTTATAAGAAGAGAATAATTTTGCCTGGCTCAGTAGGTACTTTAGAGCTGACTCTAAACCTTTCATGATTTAAACTTAACAGTAAGGGATAGGGAGAGGGGAAGGGGACATTGCTCTCAATTATTGTAGCATTTCCAGAGGTTTGAAACATGGGTCAGCAAATCTTTTCTAGGAGAGGTCAGATAGTAGATATTTTAGGCTTCAGGGACCACATACAGTCTCTATGTCCTATTTTGTTGTTTTCTCAGAACATTTTTAAAGCATAAATACAATTCTTTGGTCCACTGACCAAGGTCTGCTGATCCCTGGTAAAGTCAATTACTATATTTGAGAGAAATTTGAAGAAAGATGTAATGAGGAGGTGAGCTTAAGGGTTAGAGCATTATATATTTGCTGTTAAGGGAGAGGAAGAGAATTGCAGAATGGACAATTAAACCCCTTGTCAAAACCACAGAATGGAAGCAAGAAAAACCCAGAGTCAAAATCCAAGGCTTGGAAAAACATTCCTTTCATATATAGATAGCTCGTGATTTATTTGCGACAAAACCAGCAGGAAATTCATTTGGCCAAAGCTGTTTATAACTATTAGAAGATAATTCTCCATGGGCCGCTTAGGTTTCTGCACATCACGTGAGCAAGGCACTCACTGCTCCTTTGTTCCAGACTGTCTTTTGATGAACATCTGTGCAGTGAACAGCCTTGTAAGATAGAGATGTTGTCTCCCTCTGGAGCACGGACCAGGCATGCTTACTGACTATCCTAGAAGATCTGGGTTCCCTAAAATAAGGCTGTTTTTCTGTAACACACCCACTGCATGTGATCATCTGGCCTTCTTAATGATGGAAAAGAATGCTAGGGTAGCTGTCTTTTATCTCTTACCCAAGAGCCTCATGTCATCTGTCAACATCCATGAAACTCTGGCAGATTTACTTCTTAGCTCGTAAGTAGGAAAATATCTCAACCCTTTCACATGTTTGGTAGTGATAGAAATAACAATGAGGGACTAGTTAAAGCAAGACAGCTAGAACACTGTTTAAAAATTTACCTTTAAAAACACGTTTAGGAACATCTTTAAATGGTATGATACACTGAAACAGGAAAGAAGGTGGAACGACATGGTAAACAGTGACCTATTTAGCCTGCGTGGGTGATTTGGGTGAAAGTATCACATCGCCAAGGTCCCCCTCACATCTAATTTGGCCATTTACCTACTAAAATTGTACACATTGTTCAAAGGGCTTCTCAAATACCACTTTTCCTGGAAGGGACCTTTTCTTCAAAGCTCAATAATTTATACTGCTTCCATTAGCATACCATTTCAATAGTAGTGGTCTCATGGACTTGTTGGCTTATCCTAAATGATAAATCCAAAAGATTCTAGAATGTGTATGTTGTTAATAAATGTGTATGTTTTCATTTCTTTAGCTATTATGGTTATTGTGCCAGTCTTATGTAGATTGTAAGCTCATTGAGATTAACGATCCACTTTTATTTATCTTTGTACCCAAATTAGGTATTTGTTATAGGCTGAATTGTCCTACCTCCCCCGAAATTCATATGTTGTAGTCCTAATCCCCAGGACCTCAGAATATACTGTATTTGGGAGATAAGGTCAACATACAAGGAATTCAGTTAAAATAACATCATTAGGATGGGCTCTAATCCAGTGTAACTGGTATCCTTACAAGAATCAGGAATTTGGACCCAGATACAGAGGGGAGACCATGTGAAGACACAGGGAGAAGATGGCCACCTGAAAGCCAAGCAGAGGCCTCAAAAGAAGTCAACCCTGTCGGGGGCAGTGGTGCGTGTCTGTAGTCCCAAGCACTAGGGAGGCTGAGGCAGGAGGATCGCTTGAGTCCAGGAGTTCTGGGCTGTAGTACCCTATGTTGACTGGGTGTCTGCACTAAGTTTGGCATCAATATGGTGACCCTCCCAGGAGTGGGGGGGGCCATCAGATTTCCTAAGGAGGGGTTAACTGGCCCCGGTCAGAAGGGGAGCAGGTCAAAACTCCCATGCTGACCAGAAGAAATCAACACTGCTGACACCTAAGCTCAGACTTTGAGCCTCCAGAACTATGAGAAAATAACAAGAAGAAATGAATTTCCATTGTTTAAGTCAAAGTCTGTAGGACATTGTTATTGTGATCCAAATAAACTAATACAGTGTTCAAGATTTAGCTCTTAAATAAATGAACTTTCTATGGAAGCCATCCCTCCCTGTGGGTTAGATATTTCTCCTACTTATTGCTGGCACTAACTTCTATCATATCACCCACTTATCACATTTCATTGTAATAATCCCTGTATTTATTATTAGTATATATTATATATTAATATATGGTATAATATATATTACATATGTTGTATATGTTATTATATATTATAATAACATTATATCTGGTGAAAGTGACAGAAAATCTGGTTCAAATAAGATCAAGCAAAATGGAAATCTTCTGACACTTCAGAAGGAGATCTAGCTTTGGGCATGTTTTGATTTAAAGACTCATATTGCATCACTAAGGCCAGTCTCTTTTCATCTCTTAACTGCCTTTCTTCACACTAGTGTCATCCTTAGACTTCATGTCATGGCAAGGCAGCTGCCAACAGATTCAAGCCTACATACTCCCAGGTCACTTGATACTCAAGTTTCAGCAAAATTCCCCAGGTTGCATTTCACTGGGTCAGGCCACACGCTTATCCCTGAAGCAATTAGTGGAAGCAAAGGATGCAACGCTCAGGCCTAGGTGGAATCCATGCCTTGCCAGGAAGTCAGAGGCAGAGTCAGACACCTGAAACCCAAGTACTGAGGGAGGGAGAGAGGGATAGGAGGTGCTTTCCAGAGGAAAATTGAGATCCAGGAGAAGGGAAATGGATGTTGGGTGGGAAATATCAAGTGTTCTTGATGCTTGTTTGTTGCTCTCATATGACTGTTAAGCTCCCAAGGACTAAACAATCCACTTTCTTTATCTTCTGGACCTAGCAAGTTCACTAAATATAAAATAATAGGCACCAGTAAGTGTGTATTGAATGAATAAATGCAGTAGATGCGGCACCATCAATGAAGCATGAGAAAGAGATTTCTGTTCCTGTTGCAACCAGGACAGAGTGGAGTTTCACTTGTCTCCAGAGTTAGAAAAAAGCCTGCAGCCTCACAGCCTGAGCCTGGCCTATAGAGGAAAATGGCCCTCTTCCCAGCAAGTAACACACAGGCAGTTTTGGTGAGACTGTGCATATCAACTTTGTGATCAAATTCTATCTGGATGTGGAAGAGCAGTTGAAAATGAAGATATAAACAAATGAGGAAGGTGTGACAACAGAAACTGTCCTAAAATTTTCTGTTCTTTACTTCAGTCGGCAAGTGGGAATGACATCAGATAGGTTACAGAACCACCTAGTGGTGAAAGAGCATCTATGCTGGTATTATAGTATAGACTTGTGAGGTCTGTGTGTATAATGAGCTTAATCTGCCATCCTGGGTGTGGGGGAATGTTGTGCCTCAGTCACTGAAGGGTCTAGGTGCCCTCCTTGGCTTCTGCCTCTTCTCCTACTTCTGGGAATGCTACTGAGAGCAGGGATTTGGGATAAAATGTGTCACCTATATTGGCTTTTCATCTCTACTTTGTTACAGGAGATGTTGGGGAAAAGAGATGTTGACATGACAAAGGAGGCTGAAAACGTTAGTGAAAATCTCAGTCCAACATGTTCTTCTCACATCTATCAACTCCTACTTTCCTTAGAATCTGTGAGGGTGGGGAACACATGAGGGACTTCCAATTTCTACTTCAAATACTTTTGTACTGTAGGAATCAATTTACAATATGCATGCATTGCTTCTGTGATAACAAAAAAGAGGAACCATTTGAAACAAAGAAATGGATGTCACTTCCTCAGGAGCTTTCCCTGATATTTGAAGAGCAGAGTGCAGAAAACCTGCACTGATCTATCTACAAATCTCCCACATGCATTTTTGAGGTGTACAGCTGGCATTACAAGCATAGACAGTGGCTTTGGCACTAAATGGTGCTAACTTTTTCAGATGGGAAGTTGATCCGTGGACCTTGTTAGCCTGGGAACTCTGATCTTCCCCCAGAGAGTCTTGCTTTGGGCAGTACAATACTACAGGCCCTTGCCCTTGCCCCTCATTCTCAAGGGAGGTGGCTTGCTGCAGTATTCGAAGGAAATGAGGCTGGCAGATGAAGATGACTTGGTACTTCATTCATAAGACGGTAGTCACAATTCAAAATGCAGTCGGTGGCCTAGAAGTGCAGCTCTTTATGATGTTCTACATAAAGAGTTCCAAAGGCTTTAGATCATAATACATACAGCAGAATTACTGATAATTAAGTACACAATATTTAGAAATGTATCATTCCCCAAAGCTGTATTTTGAGGAGGGTAATTTGTGACCTGATGGTTTGGAGAGGGAGAGACACCAGCTTCCAAAATACCAATTAGGAGAGTGTTGTAATAATACAGGGGCAATAACGATGACAATTGCCATGGCAGGGAAAAAAGCGTTTCTTTGCCAGCACTGAATCCTCATTGTGCCCATTACAGTGCCCAGCATAGTGTAGACCACTGATAAGCATTGATTGAATAAACATTTACATAACCTGGATGATTAACCATAGTACTGTAGAGGATGAAGGCATGGGTGAGACTTGAAAGAATACAGAAGACTTGCCTAGTTCAGAGATGTAAGAAGCTATGGGGAGAGAAAATCAAATGATGACTCTGCATTCTTGTTGGTTAGTGGTATGGATGTGAGAAAGAGATGGAAAGGGAGAGAGGGAAAGGGAGAAGAAGAGAGAAGTCAAAAGGGCAACAGGAGATAGGAAGGAGAGAGAGAGAGAGAGAGCAACCCACTGAGAGAGAGAGAGAGAGCACGCAATGTGAAGGGACAGACTTTCAGGGTAGAAGAGGGAGGAAGAGAGGAGTTCCACTGTGCATAACTTGACTTTGAGTTGCCAGTGGGGTATCTTAAAGAAATGTCTAGCAGGCAATTGATAATAGGTATTTGAGCATGAGTGTAGTGTTGGTGTTTGGGATATAAACTAGATAGATCTAACATGGAGGCAAAAGTTGAATCTGTAAAAGCAAACAAACTGTCTTGGAGGGCAAGATGTAAAGAGAAAAAACAGGGCTCAGAATTGAGTTCTTAGAAACACTCACTACTTCAAAATGTATTGGGAACGCTGGATAAACTTGAAGGTGACAAGTTTCTGCAGTTGCCAGTTGGACTCTTCTTTACCAAAGGCTAGGTAAAATTACTTGATATTTTGAATGTAGACTATATAGAGAGTTATTCAAAGCCAGGTATAAAGTGGAAAATCCTGAGGTACACAGAAGAAATAAAATATTCCCAACTCTTATTTGTGCTTTGTTTTAAAATTCTCAAAAGCAACTCCAGGTTCTTCAGTTAAAAAGTTTACAGCTAAAGTTTGCTGTCGTTTTAGTCCGTTGGAGTATCCTTTTTCCCTTCTATTTTTGCTTTTGTCTCCACTTTGTAAAGAGGTTGCTGAAACCTGTGCATCGAATTCTTTACAAAGCAACCCAGCCACTAAGGGACAATCAAAAAGGAAGCACAGTGCATTTATAACAACTTTGCTGGGAATTGGTGGGAGGGGAACCCAAAAGGAGTGCTGTCTAGATCAATGACCCCAGAGCACTGGGATAAGTTAATTGGCAAACCATGAAGGAACATAATGGGAGAACCAAGAGGGGCTTAAGCAACCTTTTTAGGATTAAAGGATAATACCTTTGGCAGTAACCATTTTTCACTTCCTTTCTTCCCAGTGGCCCTCTTCTGGTAAGTTAACAAAAACAGTACTTTCCCAGGTGTAGTCAGACATCTAGAAATAAGAAACTGCCTGGATGAGGTAGCTGCTGAGCACAATTACTGTCTTGGGTAGTGCTGAGGCACCAAAAGGTTGCTGGAGGGCATGTTGAAATAAACATACATCACTTTTACTGATGCAAGAGGAAACAATTTCTCTACCAGGGGTGTGTATATGTGTGTGTGTATGTGAGAATGTGCGTTACCAGCATCAATTTGGATAGGTAAATGGAAACGTGATTACTCCACAATGATGCAAGTATGATGGAAACAATGCACTTTTCACCAAGTAGATATCACATGGAAGCAGGACCCAGGTGTTTCCTTTCTGAAGGAAACTCCCAACAACACTGAACAACACTAAATCCAATGTCAACAATGAAATGCATTGACAGAAAAGTCCAGTGATTCTTAAATCAGATTCTTAAAGGCTTATAACACTGTAAATTCAGCTCATAAAACTGAAAAGGGGAGAAATTAAAAAGTAATCATTTTAATTATCATGTTTGTGTTACATTTAGCCAACCGCTACAATAATATCATTTGGCATGTTCTACTGTAATTAATCCAGTAAGTGTACAAAGTAAACAGATTAGAACTATTTATAGCTCTGAAGCTCAAGTGGAAATGAGATATTGCCCAAGTACAATTACAATAAATATAGGGCTTGTTGACACTCCTTCAAATTATGCTGTTAGGACTTTTAACCCCCCATGTTGTTCTTTAACTGTATCAGCCTTCAGAAAACAAAGAAAATTCCAACAGTGGCTCTCGTCAGACTTATTATCAGATGTACACATCAAAGTGAGTAACCAGGTCCTTGTTTTATTTGAGCCAAATTAGGTAAATCTCATTAAAGATATGCTAACTAACATATGAACACCAGTGCAGTTTTAAAAGAAATCTCTGCAATGAGGTACAAAGAACACATGATTTTATGAGTCAGTCTCACAGAATAAAAGTTATGGTCAAGATTCGTATCATTTACTGCCATAGATGCCTTTAGACCTTTACTGCCATAGATGCCTTTAGATAATAATGAATTATATATAAATGAAAGGAAATATATATCTGGCACAAAAGATAAAAAAATCTATATTGAGAGGACCATTTTTTAAAAGGTAATATCCCTCACTTAGTAAAAACAAATGAAAATTGCTCACAAGACAGCTGGTCAACTATTTAGGTATAATACGTGCAAATTAGGTCCAAAGTAATTATATTCACAATTGTAAGAAAAAAAATGGTCTCTCGTGATATTGCTGCTACAAGTATTGCTGAGACCACTACTGTCCGTAATAATAAATAGCACCTACTATCTATTGCACACTTTTAGTTTACAAGGCACCATATTAAGTACTTGGCATTCTTTCCCTCAGTTAATCCCACAAAGGCTCATGAAGGAGGTGCAGTAGTTATCCCTGTGCTGAGATGAGAAAACTGAGACTAAGTGAGGACAATTCCTTTATGATTCTAGTACAGAAGCTGGCTTTTGAGCTCTGGTTGATCAGATTACAAAGCCTGTGCTCTTAAACACCATATTGTCTCCTGACAATTTCAAATGAAGAGTCTGAGTGAGGACTTTTGAATGCAGATGAAATAGTCTGCTCTTTTTAATTTTATTTTTTGTAGAGACAGGGTCTCATTATGTTGCCAGGGCTGGTTTTGAACTCTGAGCTCAAGCAATTCTCCTGCCTCAGCCTTCCAAAGTGCTGGGATTACAGCTGTGGCCCACTGTGCCCGGCTGGAAATGGCCTACTCTTTGTCTGGTTTGAGTGAAGCCAAGAAAATCCACCTTCTGTTGCTTACAGAAGAGGCCACAGTTTTGCCTCAGTATATTGGGCTTAGGCTCTGGTTTTACCCCAACCACAGGTTAATGTAAACAGCTCATGAATATATATCTGTTTATTATCTACAAAAGAATGTCCTGCATGTGTGTAGTCATTTCACATAAATGGTCTCTTTTGATCCTCTCCTTGGTGAAGTGGGCAGAGGAAGCATTTTTATCCCCATTTTACAGGAAGTAGAAAACTTACTTTATTCAATGCTGTATGATGGATTGAGGGCAGAGCTAGAAGTAGAATCTATTTTTCCCTCTTCTCCCAACCATTTTGCACACCAGCTTAGCTCTTCTATGTGAGGGAAAGCAAAACAACTACAGTAGCCCAAAAGATTTTCCAGTCACCCTCCAAATGAAGTGAATAACATCTGGCTTCATGTTCTCATGTTATCTGTAATTTAAAACTAGAGGCAGCTATCTCTAGTTAATTTCAAAACTGAACCCAAGTTCACTAATCCAACCCTGAGAGACAGCTCTACTTCTCATTTGTTGTCCCAAAAGCCCTTTGGGGAAAAATAAAAATTGTAATTCATCAGTTCAGTGCTGTGTATGTAATTTATTTATTTTTTCTAGTTTGCCCTTAGGATAAAAAATAAATTATAAGGCAACATGAATTCCATTCAAATGTGTCAAATTATGGCTATACTCTTTGTTAGTTAGCTATGTAATCATAGGGCAAACACTTTGCATCTTTAAAATAACCTAAAACTATAATAATAACATCTATTTCACTGGCTTGTTGTAATATTTAAATGAGATATGCATGGGGGACATCTGTCAGGGTGCCTGGCACGAGGCATATGACAAGTACGTTTTAGTTGCTGCTGCTGCTGATGTCACTCTGCAATGCATTCTTAAATGCATATTCAAAGCTATGTACCCAAATAGTGATTATGCTTTTGTCCATTTATCTTAATGTTGAAGTTAATCAGATTTGTCAACTAATCCAATATACCATTCAACTGGGAATTAATATTGATTAATTTGCATCTCTCTTAATAAAGGATGTAAGGTGTCAGAGCTGTGAAGACAGTCCTTGCCCTGGATGAATTCACTTAGGCTTTCTCTTTACTTTCTCAAGTAATTATTAGGATTTCACTAAGTTGTGAGCTCCTTAAGGGCAGAGCTAATTGTTTTTATCTGTATTCTTCCATAGAATCTATCATATAGTAGCCACTCAGTAAACATTTGTCGAACATTGATTTGATGCCAGAAAACTAAAAGCTATTCATCCATTAAAATAATTTATATAAGCTTTGAGATTTCCAGTATATCTGGTCAACAAGAGCACCTCTAATTCTCTGGGATCTGAATTATATTCTCAGGCACGGACTCCTTTATTTTATTCTGAGCAGAGCTTATAACACAAAAGAAAGAGGGAGAGAAAAGGAGAAAAAATAAGCAGAGAAAGAAAAGAGAGAAATAAGGAGTGACCGTATAGAAGAGAGAACAGAGAATTAATAATTTTCACTTTTGTCTTTCACCAAATATCCTTCAGTAGTTTTTAGTATGACTATTTATAACTTTTACAGCTACAAGTAAAAAAGCTGTTGGTTTTTGTATTAAAATATTTCAATTAAAATGGTAGGACAACTTGGACCTGATTTGTCATTGCAGCTATTATCCATGGTTTGGAGATTCCCGGAAGTCTTATAGTAGCAGAGTAGAAGGGAAAGAGCATGAGGCTTTGAAATCAGACAGATGTGGTCCTACAGCAATCTGTATTACCTTGTCCAATTGAATTAACCTCTTAGAGCTTCAATTTATTTATCATTAAAATAAGACAATATTAATTCTCTTCTGAAAATTGTATCAAGATCCAGAGCACAAGCTCTGGAGTAAGGCTCAAATGATGGTTCCAACGTTTACCCACAGGGTAACTGTGTGAACTTCATTTTCCTTATGAATGAAAATAAATATTAACGATATTTACCTCATCAGGTAGGGAGGAGACAAATTAGAGAACCAGAAATAACTCCATTCTACACATTAGTAGACCTGCATTATAAAAAATTATACTAAATTACTATATTTTTAATTTTTTCAATAAAAATTTTGTGGAAATTTGTTCTTTCTTATATATAATATGCATTTTACATCTATAACACCTATTTTACATGTATAGATATTATACATAATATCCTTGATTTTGCCTCTTGGCCAGTAAAGCCTAAAATATTTATTATCTAGCCTGATACAGAAAAAGTTTGCTGACCCCTGGTTTAGGATATAGGGAGTCACACTGTCCTGAGATACTACTTCTTCTAAGTCATGTATCTTTTCCATTAATAAAGCAGATACCATTAAGGTAAAAGCAGAGAGACTGAGGCTAGAGGAGGAAGAAAAATACAGACAATTTTTTAAAGAGATAAAGGAGAGAAAAGCTTTCCTTAACGGAGAGAAAAGGTTTCATTTTTTCAGGACTAACCTAGAAAAATGCTTTATGGTTAGCTTAACAGTACCTATCCTGGAGAGACCATAAAATAAATGGTGCTGGAACAATTGGCTATGCATTATGGGGGAAAACACCAGAAATTGATTTCTTCTCCATATAACAAGGGGCTAAAAAGTTTTAAATGTGAAAAGCAAAACTTTAAAATCTTTAGAAGAACTATTGAGACTGCTTTTATGACTATGGGATAAGGCAAAAAGACACAAACCCATACAAATGTAACACTTCAACCCTATGTAGATACCCAAAGAAACCCTTGCACACACGGTAGATACACTGCTTACAGACCATTGTTTGTAAAAGCAAGACTGGAGACAAACATAATGTCTATTAGCAGAAAAATGGATCAATGCGTGATGATATACTCATGGTATAATACAGACCAGTAAACAGAGCGTCACCAAGTACTCACATAACTGAACTGCAGAAACTTAGGAGTAAAAAAAGCAAGTTACAGAAGAAAAGCACAGCATTGTATCATTTATATAAAAGTCAAAAACATGCCAAGTAATACTACAATTTTTAAGAATAGATACATACCTAGTAAAAATATAAAGAAATGCTCAAAATGATAAACTAGTAATCTCTGAGGGGAAGATATGGGATGTAATTAAAGAATATGCAGGGTGTTTTAGATAGATTTAATATTGTTTTCACATTTCACTCTAAATGCAAGGGACATGCTATTATACTTTTTATCTTATTGCATATATTACATCTTATGATAAATATAAAAATCAAATCTATTAATAAACAACATAAAGTCTCCCTCTCCTTTATAAGCATTGCCTTTGGAGAGTCATACTAGTTTTTCCTGGACTTTCCATGTTGCTGAAATGAACACAATTGCTTTCTTCAAGAGTAGTGCAGCTTTCAATTTCTCAAAGATGTATTAGTTATTGAACTAAGGAAATGGTTACTGGACTTTTTGTGAAGAGTCACGTTACACCCCAGGAGGCTAGTGCTAATAGAGATGAACGTCCTTGGTACTTTAGAGTGAATCAGGTACCTACAAGATTGAGAGAGGCACTGATGAACCAAAAAGAAAAAAAATTAATCTAATGGTAGAATATCAAACTCTGAACTATGGGTGATATGCCTGGGTAATAGCTATATTTTTCAATGCAATTAGACTGGAAGGACAACATTTTATTTGTTTATTGATTGAGCCAGGGTCTCCCTCTGTCGCCCAGGCTGGAGTACAGTGTGATTATGGCTCACTGCAGTCTCAACCTCTTATGCTCAAGTGATCCTCCCACCTCAGCTTCCCAAGTAGCTGGGTCTATAGGTGTACACCACCATGCCTGACTAATATTTTTATTTTTGTAGAGACAGGGTCTTACTATATTACAGGCTGGTCTCGAACTCCTGGGCTGAAGCACATGGCCTCTCAAATTGCTGGGATAACAGGTGTGAATCATTACACCCAGCCAAGGACAAAATATTTAAAAGTCAAAATTACATTAAGCGTCATTGTAGCAAAATTACATTTTCTTTCTAAGGTATAGTTAAAACTTCTTCCAATCAAGAAGTTTGAAAACAGCATCTATAAATTCATTAATTCTCTCATTTAGTAAAATATTTGTCCCAGGTGGCAAGTGTGTGTGTACACACATGCACACACACACACAAATATGTAAAGTTCTTTTTGTTTTACAAAGATGGTATACTATATATACTTCCTGATAAAATTAAAATATATTCAGGGAAAACTTTACCATGTCAGTATTTATTCTCTTTTTAATATGGCTAAAATCTTATCACCATCTCAGAAATTGTAGAATTTCAGAATTGAAATGCTTTAAAGAATCTAATACAATTTCTTCATTTTATATAGAGAAAATTAAGGCACAAAAATTACTTATTCAAAATCTTACCAAGTTTTTTACCCATAACAGGGTGAGCACTAAGATATGTATTTACCACTGTCAGTTCAAAAGTATGCAAGAAATGTGTCACTTAGTTACATGAAAAGAAATAGATGGTTGGGCACAGTGGCTCATTCCTGTAATTCCAGCATATTGGGAGGCTAAGGTGGGAGGACTGCTTGAGCCCAGGAGTTCAAGACTAGCCTCAGCAACATAGTGATACTCTGTCTCTACAAAAATATGTAAAAAAAATTCCAAGTGTGGTGGTAGCGTGTGCCTGTGGTCCTAGCTACTCGGCAGGCTGAGGAGGGAGGACTTCAGCCCGAAAGGTCAAGGCTGCAGTAAGCCATGAATGCACCACTGCACTCCAGCCGAGGCAACAGAGCAAGAGCCTGTCAAAAAAAAAAAAAAAAAAAAAGAAAAAGATGTGAGGTCACCTTTACACACTCATGATTAGATACATGAAACATGCATTTTCCTGATCTGGACTATACAATTAAAGAAAGACATGAAGAATTCGGAAGGGATTTAGAGATTAATCCAAAGGCAATTAGAAAAAGAAAATAAGTTATGGGGCGGAAAAAAAACAAAAAACAAAACATCGAAGTAGAGAATATTAAGCTTGCTAAGGAGGAAGCCAAAAGCAGGGCTTTGTTCATGGTGGGCACTTAATGGCTTGGAACTTCATTGGGAAAACTCATAGAACAAGGGTGGAAAACATTTTCCAAGTTCCTAAACCAGGAAAATCTCAAGCAGGGGACTTATTTCTCCCCCTATACTTGCAAATATATATTTGATATTATTTTTCCCATCACTTGAAGATGAAATATTCTTTTACTTTTTTTGACCAAAAACTGAGAATAGACAAAACTTTGAAAGGCACAACAAATGCTACAAATACATCTTATTTCTAGATTAGAGTCAATTAAAGATCAAAGGGAAGGAAGAGATATAAACAGAAGGGTGAGACATCAAAAGGATAGAGACAGAGGTAGGGATAGAAGCCATACCCTAGGCATTAGCTATAGTGTTCTTCTTTAAAATCCTGATAAACTGCTTGCTTTTTACAGCTCTCTAACTGTTCAAATTCATAGGCTCTATTCTGATCAGAATAGCTTAATTGTCGATGTGTATAAAATGATTTTTGGAGCAGTGTCAGCAAATAGAGCACTATCAGCCTGGGAATGGGCCTGGGGAAATTGGGGGGTGTGCATGGGAGGGGAGGCAGATGAAATGAAGCCTGTTAGGATGGTAGTGAATGAATACTCTCTTCCAGATCTTGACTAGGGACAACAGGTTCCCTGCTTTAGTCTCAGAGGATGGTGACATGACCCCATCTCCAATAAAGAGAAAAGAACCAAGCTCCAATTGCAACGTGAGAAATTTAAATTTGTGATTAAGAAACATTTCCCAACACTAGGACTATAATGGATTTTTGAGAGGTTTTCCAGACATGTTAAATTAATATCAGCAAGAATTGGCTTATGTTATGTGAATATTTAAAAACTGCTTTAGAATTGAGTTTGAGAATTGATTTAAAGCATTCACATATCTTTCTGCTGATTTTTAGTAGTTACTGTTTTTATACCATGTACATAGGCTTTATTTTGATACACTAAGCTTTTAAAATCAATGTTTACGTAATATAGTATAAATATTAAAACAAATTCTCCAGCACATCTTAGCACAATCTCTCCCAACATTTCTTCTGCTGGTTCTTGTAAGGCCCCAGATTCCTCTCTAGCGCCTTCAATCCAGTCTTGACTTTCACACTGTCACCTCAGCTCCCATTCTGCCTGTAGCTGACTCCTGGTTAAGACAGAGCCTCCATGGTTTGTTCATAAATGATTCTCTCTTATTTTATGATATGAATAAAAACAGATAGTCAGTGTGACTCATGTCAAATATTAAATTCTAACTTTGGTTCAAAGTAGATAGATCATCAATGTAACCATGTCTAAACACCCTTCACCTCATTGGAGATGCCGTTTAATCTTTTATTCAAAGCACAGAAATGATTGGCTCTATTATAGAAAATGTCAAAACCAAGTTATCTCATCAGAAGACTGTGATCTAAACAAGGGTCAGAACAGAACATGATCTAAAGAGAAGATACAAATTGAGCCTGGGTTAAGTATGACTTTGTGACAGACCCAGACATGTGAGGAGTACCTAAATAAGCATTTTGGCCAAGGGATGTTGTTCAATACAACTGCTCATGTAGTGAGTAAAATGTACCACATTTAAAATATACAAAAATAGTTTTTAAAAATGTATTAGAAATCAAGCCTATCTATAGGCCACAGAACATTACGAATAGAATACCCAATTGAATGCCCTCAAAACAACCACATCCAAACAAAAAACAACAAAAAAGGCAGCATTTTAAATCATTTGACTAAGAAATTCAACCTTAAAGCTCAATACAAATTTATATAACAAACTCATTTATGCAGATGTCTGAATTTGGGGTGTTGCTTTTAGTTTTCTTACTGTGGTAAAACTTAACGCTTAGGAATTTAAATAGGAACAAATTGGGCAATAAGGCCTAACCTGAGCAAAGCCACTGTCAGATCATGCTATACATTTCACTGTATCGTTAGCATTGAGTATTGATACAATTCAAACACAATTAGTCAAATATTAGGGGCAGCATGAAATGACTAAATCCAATGGGCATACAGACACACTCAGGAAATTTAAAATGGGATTATTTCCGAATTTCTTAGAAAGCTATGTAAAGACAGTGACCTAGAAATTACACTGTCAGAATGACTCTTCTAAATAGGAAGAAAAAAAAAGGCGGCTCCCTTTGGATAAAGTCTTCTCTTCTAATGTGGGAATAATTTTAGGTAGGGGGTACTTATCATCTGTTTGAAAATATTCATATTCCGCTATTACAGAGTAGTAGAAAACCATTGAGATACTTGAAAACCAAAGAGCAATGCCTTGTACAAACATGGATGTGATTTTCATGCTTCAACAACTAACAGAAAACTATACTCACACTAAAAAACACTTAGGAAATAAAAACATTGACATTTTAAGAATTTAAATTGGCCAGGTATACTGGCTCATGCCTGTAATCCCAGCACTTTGGGAGGCCGAAGTAGGTGAATCACAAGGTCAGGAGTTTGAGATCAGCCTGGCCAACATGGTGAAACCCTGTCTCTAGTAAAAATAGAAAAATTAGCCAGGCGTGGTGGCAGGAGCCTGTTATCCCAGCTACTTGGGAGGCTGAGGCAGGAGAATCACTTGAACCCAGGAGGCGGAGGTTGCAGAGAGCTGAGATGGCGCCATTGCACTCCCGCCTGGGCAACACAGTGAGACTCTGCCTCAAAAAAAAAAAAAAAAAAAAAAAGAAAAAAGAAAAAAAAAAGAAAAGAATTTAAATTGAGTTTACAATAATGATCAACCCAAGCACAATGAACAGCAAATGTGACACTCTAGTTATAAAAATGCCAACAGCAAAGCTGCACGACTTAGTTTTTAGAAAAAGTACAAAGACATCAATTGTCCAACAATAGGGGATTAAGTAAATTAAACTCTGCTCATTTAATAAAATGATATCCAGCCATTAAAAACAATGAAGTAAATCTCGATGTTCAGCATATATAATAATCCCCATAATGGAATGCTAAGTTTAAAAACAAGAGACTTTGAAAACATTATGTAAACTCAAAGGTGCCAGAAACAAAAGGCCACATAGTGCATGCTTCCATTTCTATGAGATGTCCAGAATAAGCAGATCCAGAGACAGAAAAAAGATTAGTAGTCGCCAGGGTATGAAGGGGAAAATTGAGAGATAAAGGGAATTTTTGCGGGCAGTGGGGGGTGATAGAAATATTCTGAAAATAGTGGTGGGTGATGATTGTACAACATTGTGAATATGCTAAAAAACATTGAATTGTACACTTTAAAATGGTTAAAATGGTAAATTTTGTTATATGTTATATATATTTTATTGAATTTCAATTCAATAAAAACAAACTTAAAAGGTAAGTGCATGTATGTATTAATGTGTACACAAGTCACTAGGAAGAATTGGGTACCTGTGTGTATAGTCTGATAAAATGTATGCTAATCTATTTAAAGGCAGTTATGTGGGGAATGAAATTTGGGGATAGAGGGGCAATTTCACTTGTTCAGTATTAATATTCTTCTGGGAAAAGGTACTATATATATTTTTGTCTTTATTAAAATCTATCCTAAAACCCTTCTCTTGAACTCTAGAAACATAGATGTTCTGGTGGTTGCTCTGCCTCCCATTCCCCTTTCCATGTTTTTTAAAAAGTTTATTAACATATAATTTACATACCACAAAATCCACCTATTTTAGTATACACTTAAAATTTAGTTAGTAAACATACAGTTGTGCAGCCATCACCACTCAAAAAGTTCCCTCCTGCCTCATTTGCCGTCAGTCTCCACTACCACCTCCTGGTAACTATTTATCTGCTTTGTCTTTATAGATTGGCCTTTTCTAGATATTCATATAAATGGAATCATATGATATGTGGCCTTTTGTATTTGGCTTTTTCTTTTACTTGGCATATTTCTGAGGGTCATCCATTTTGAAATAGATTATCAATAATCTGCTTTTTATTGCTGTGTGAAGGTATTATCAAGATGACAGTGTACCTAGAAAAGGAAATAAAGATTATACATTTAGAAAACTAAAAATTAAAACACAGAAAACAAAAAGGCTTTTAGTGCCATTCATTGCCTAAAGACTACCAAGTTCTCCAATATTATCAGACCATGAAACTGATAACTGAAAGCAAACGTGTCATTAAATTTTACAGACACTCCTTTGCGTTATATTCTAACTAGGAAAATAGAAAATAACTATTTTTTCTGTTTGTAGGAAAATAAAAGTCATCCAACTAGATTAAAAGTATAATTTACAAGCATGTTAAATGTTTCTGCTGAGTACTTATTTGTTTTCTCATTTTTTTCTTTATTCATGTGTGTGCCACAAGTGCTGATAAGCTATTGAAAACACCTTAATGCATAATTAATCACTCTGCAAGCAATCAGCAGATTTAGTGCTAGTTGCAGAAATAAACCAAATTCATACATGCAAGGTAAGCCTAATTAGTTAAGCTCACAAAAAAATGTAATATCCGATTTTTGGAACCTAATGTGCTCAAGAAAGTATTTGTGCTTTTAAATTAGAACAGCTCTCTATTTAATTAGTCCTCATTTGAGTATGTAATCATTTTAATTTATTTACACAAACACAGGACATTGTGCTCCATCAGCAGATAATGTTCTTCATTAACCAGAGTAGGAACTTTGTGCTCAAGGGCAGCAGAAATATTTCCACCTGTGATGCAAAATCAGAACTGCATACTATCAAACTGCATTCTTTGGTTTTGATGGTCACCATCCTAAGATACATATTTGTTAATAATAACATAAGTTTAAGTACTCTACCAATCCATAGAAATTGACAATTTAAATATTTAATGTTTCATTTTACCTATTGCCCAGTTACAAAATGGATATTTAATTATTAATGAACAAATTAACTTACTGAAATTCAAGTATTAGTAATGTACTACAATTCAAACTTCAATAATTTGGATGGTGGAGAAGCAGAGTTAATTTTTTAAAAAGTTAATTCTTTCTTCATTAGGGGTGCAAAGTAATGATAGCCTAGATTGTAGAGAGTGGGGAGGCTAGGTTTTATTCAGACTGTATAAAAACAAACACTGTATGCTTGGCAGGGTAATGACATCATTCTTATGTATTCATTAAAGCACATAAAGCAATTCTTCCTTAAGGCGTTTCCAACAACCTTGAAACCTTGTTACTGGCACACTGCTTCCGATAAATCCTAAATACACTCTAAAAAGATAAAGAGACACTCTCATTAACTCATCTGCAGTATGTTTTTGCTACTAAATAACAGTTGAAATTTGACATGTCACAAAATGAGTCAGTGGATAGCATGTGAGGGCAGCTTTAACATGAGGAATTGTTTGGGTAGGAGGCTTGCTCTAGGTAGTATTTTGAAGGAAGGCCCAGGGCTAGTCTTTGGTAAGTATGCTTCATTGTACAATCTGTACCATGAGAGCTGCTATATTGTTTTGAAAACTTTCCATACTACTTTATGAAAGGCTAAATACTTGCTATATACAACTTTTTTTTTGTTTTCTTCCCACAAAGAAAGAGAAACAACTTGTCTGAGTAACTACATCAGATCTGCTTTATATAACAGCATGGCAAATGTAGCCTTGATTTCCCATAACTCTTCATGATATAGAGCATCTCTACAGAATAATATTTTAACTTGTACAATTTCCCTTTACCCAAAGTTTAAAATTCTTCCATTTATGTGAAAGAAAACTAGTGTATAGTTCACATCAGAAAGGCTCCCTTTTTCTGTAGGTAGTAAGTACTGCAAGCATAATTGCATAATTTTAACTTTAGAGACAACTGACTTAGCTTTGGAGCATATTTGAGTTTAGCAATGCCTATTAAGGTTAAAAATACAAATTTGCAAAATACCAAATGTACAATGCTAAATTCTATCCCAAATCATGTCATTAGATACATTTTAAAAAACTCTCTTTGATTAGGTGGCCACTATCCAAGGATAGTATCTTAAGATTTCTAGAACTTTGCATAATCTGCCTAACTATAACTGGAAAAAGAATGTCTATTTCCATAAGCCTAGTTATACAGCTCTTGAAAATACCCATTGGTAAACACAGTATTATAGCAATGCTATAAAATATACATTTACTCCATATGTAAAGTCAACTACATGATCTTGGCATGTATACATGTATGAGTAACACACTAGTGTTAAGTCAATTTGCCACTCCACTCACAAGTACAGTATTTGGAGATAAGGCGTGTTTCAGTCTGTTACCCCCACGATGAGTTTCAGTTACTCAATGACAATCACTGGATGAGCTTTTAGCTATGGTGTCTCTAGTGTTTAAAGATACCTGCATGCTTTTAGTATAAAATGGGCCTAAAGCAAGGCAGGTAATCTACCTGGTACTTAACTGAAGAAACCAATCTATTCCAATGATAGACAAAAAAAAAGCGCCACATAGTACTTTTTGAGACACAGTACAACAGTCTTTAATGTATATATAAATATGCCTACATAACAGAGTTTGATAAGAGAAGTTTTGGCTATATACAACTCTGCATGTAATCAAACTCTAGAACATCAAATGCAACTCCACTGCATAGCTGTTTTGACAGAGCAACAGTTAAGCATAAAATAGCTTTGCACCTTATTATTTTGGAGCAAAATAAAAAATAACCACCACAAAAAAAATCTCTACAATAATTTAAACTAAAAATGTTGTTGAGGATAGGGTAAACAACAAAAAAGAAAATAATTTGATCCATATGTGATATTTGGCTGAAGATTAACAGTGTTAAGTCTAACCAACAGCGAGATAATTTTAATTTCCAAAGCATCTTCTACCGTTTATTAGCAATATTTGGATATTAAGGGAAGACATTTGCCTTAACAAAAACTATACTGAAAAAGACAAATGAATTGAAAAAGACAAAAATACTATCCAAGAATTACAATAAAAAATTTGGTTAAGTTGGAAAGCCTATCAAATTACCTTCCAAATTGCTTTTTTAAAGCAATTTGGTAAGTTTGAAAACCTAGCCCAAAACAAATTAATGACAAGTGGGTTTCTCCAGACGATTAATGAAGAAAAACATACTTATGTGAATCAATAAATATGTTATTTCTCTCAACCTCTTTTTATGCTTTGAAAACTTGTTCTAAAAAAGAACCATTGATACATCATTTTGACATTTCTATTTAGTCTGAAAATCTCTTTAAAAAAAAAAAAAAGGCAGTATTTTCCTCCCTGTACCATATCTTTCTCGTAACTATAACTGAGCTTTGTCCAGAATCAGAGACAGTTTTTCTAGAAAAAGCCAATGATCAGTATACAAGATACAGTATTTTCCTACAGATTCTCTCTGGCAAGAGAACATGACAATATAAATCAAATAAATTTAATACAATAAAATAATGTAACTCAAACTGCTCATTTAATCCCCTTTTTGTCTGATTCTATATTAGCTGATTTCTATTCTTAAAGCTTAAATTAGGGGTCAAAATCAGAGCCTAGTTAAAAAAGAGACAAAGAGAACAGTAGTTTAGTAAAAGTAAATTCAATAACACAGTTAAAATTAATTGGGAAAGTTTTAATAAGCATTCAAATGTACTTTACATTGATAATTGCAATATTGAATTTTGTAAAACTTTAAATATTTTCCTTAAAAAAGGTTAGTGATTTTTTTATTATTTTTGGGAAATGTGGCGATCCAACGATTATAGCATTAATGCAACCATTCCAGGTCCCTAAGGTTGAGTTAACATTAATATGTAAGTAAGTGTTCGCATTTCATGTCTACAATAAGGTAGATTGTGAACTTCCCGTATCTCTGAATTTTAGCAAAAATTCCATGAGATAATTTACAGTAATGTCAAATTTTTGGAGTGCAAACTCATACTCTACATTTGGATCACTTTTTTGCTTTGAGTTACCTGACTTGAGAATACAAGGCAATTTTTCTTTCCTAAATCCTTGGAAAAATATTTTTGCAGTAAGTCTTGTGTCTCCTTTTTTTTTTTTTTTTGAGACAGAGTCTCACCCTGTCACCCAGGCTGGATGGAGTGCAGTGGTGTGATCTCGGCTCACTGCAAGCTCCGCCTCCTGGGTTCACACTTCTCCTGCCTCAGCCTCCTGAGTAGCTGGGACTACAGGCGCCCGCCACCACGCCCAGCTAATTTTTTTTGTAGTTTTAGTAGAGTCGGGGTTTCACCGTGTTAACCAGGATGGTCTCGATCTCCTGCCCTTGTGATCCGCCCGCCTCGGCCTCCCAAAGTGCTGGGATTACAGGCGTGAGCTACCACGCCCGGCCGTCTTGTGTCTTCTTTACTGTGACTGGGTCGTTTTTAAGAAAGGTTATCAGCTTTGTGTTTGGTTTCCCACAGTTGATAAAAATCTATCAAAAACATTATAATTTGCAAGGAAAAAGGTTTTTCAATGGCTGCAGGAACCAGAAAGAAATAGCATTTCTTATCTGTATAAACACAAACATTTAAAGCTAGTCACACCGCAGGTAAATCCAATATAGTATGCAAAAGTTCTATAAAAATGAACAAGAGATACACGTTTACTTTCATTGCTCCAACAGTCAAATGTAAATCTGCATGAGAGTTGCGCTGCAGCAGTTTGCTGGTCCAATTTAAGAGTTCAAGGTCCTTTTTGTACATCTGGCCCACTGATGTCCACATCCCAGATAAATTTTCAAAAGACGGAAATCAGGGCAAAGACTCCATATAACAAAGCGCAAGGATATGCTACTAAAAGTTGCTGTCCTTCCATGGCTAATGCAGAAATAAATATTTTGGAAGCAGAAAAACTACACCATCCAATAATCCCAGCAGTGAGAATGATTCCTACCATTCCTCTGTAAACAACAAGGAAAAAGGGGGGAGAAGAAAAAAAAGCAGATGAGATTAGTTATGTAAGAATACTACAATAACCTATTCTAAAGCATTTTAAATTTACATTTTAAATCTGCAAGTAGACATATGCAAAAATAATCAGGATTTTTTTTTTCAAATGCTAAAATGTACCTCACAGTAAATTCAATGATGGTGAATCATTTCATGGGATAAACAGCTTTTTTAGAACTATGTTTTACTTTTTAAAAATATAAGGTCTCTCATTCTTGGCACTACTGACATTTGGGCTGGATGCTATCTTTGTTGTGGGGGCTGTCCTGTGCACTGTCAGAATGTTCAGCAGCATCCCTGGCCTCTGTACATAAGATATAAGTAGCACCCTTGCCCCCCATCAGACATTGTCAAATGTCCCCTTGGAGGCAAAATTGTTCCTAGTTGAAAAAAGGGTTTTAGTAGAAAATAACTTCTGTAAAATTCAAATATGAATATATAAATTCTTAATAAATAAGAGTGATTTCTACACTGAAAATATGAAATATTTCTATTCAAAGCAGAAATAGTGTAAAGCATCATCTTGCCAAATTTCTTGTATTGGATAAATAATCGACATATTTGTCTCTTCTCCTCCCAAACCTCCACTTTAGCTTTCAAAGTGTAACAAAGCCTGACCACTGGTAATGTCTAACACTAGTCACATGGAGGATTTTATATTGAGACAATCTGCACACTGGCCAAGAGGAGGAACCTTATTGGCGGTAATGTATACCTTTCCTTCCTTTTTTTTTTTTTTTTTTTTTTTTTTTTGAGACAGTTTCGCTTTTGTTGCCCAGGCTGAAGTATGCAACAGGGCGATCTCGGCTCACTGCAACCTCTGCCTCCCGGGTTCAAGTGATTCTCCTGCCTCAGCCTCCCGAGTAGCTGGGATTACACAGGCATGTGCTACCATGCCCGGCTAATTTTGTATTTTTAGTAGAGACGGGGTTTCTTCATGCTGGTCAGGCTGGTCTCAAACTCCTGACATCAGGTGATCTGCCCGCCTAGGCCTCCCATAGTGCTGGGATTACAGGCGTGAGCAACCGTGCCTGGCCATACCTATCCTTTTAACCTAACCTAAAATATCATTTAAAAATTACACCATATTTAAAGCTGCTTACAAGTACATCTATCTGAGAAACACCGCAGGCTGATAACAGCCTCTTATCATAAAAAGAATACATTTCATTTCCAGTTAGAAAGCTGCCCAATAGAGAGTATGTATTTATTATTCGTACATTTGGCATATGTCCAATGGTTTGAAGAAATTAGGTGGGATCTAGAAAATATCAAAGAGGGTAAGCATAATTTGAACACTAATGACTTGACCTTTTTCATGTAATATTTAATAATTACCCTGTTCAATTTGTTACCACTATGACAATGGTAAGTAAACACAAAACTAGTGAAATTCTTGATCATGAGTAAAATAGAGATGGTATAAAGGTTTTTAAATTTATTCTCATTACCATTGTTCTTCATCCGAAACCATTTGGCACTGTCCCTACTACAAGAGGCACTATCTGATATGTTTGCTGAATCGGTGATTTATCTCAAACTGAAGATGAGGTGAATCCTACTACATAGAATTGGTCAATCAACCCCCAAAATAAAGAACAGTACTTACTGCAAAGAAAATATCACTGCAAAGCTGGAAAGTAGGATCATGGGCAGAAGACAATATCCAAGGACACTTGCCACACAACCAAATGAAACACCTGTCATACTCATTAAGTTTAATAAACAAAACATTCCTAGACATCCAATTGCACTGATCCCGTATACATAGCCAAACTGGATTTTGCCAGCCTATGGGTAAAGAAGATTACAGGTTAAAGGGCAAAAAATAAGTTATTTCTGGCCTTATTTCACCTGAATCAGTACATGTAGCAAATAATTTATGAGCATCAAAATCTACTAATCTATCTATTCTTTACGTAGAGAAGTAAAAGACTGAGCAGACTGGCTTGTTACATTCTTTGTAACTTTAAAGTACAGAGATATTTGGTTCTCCATTTTCCAGTTAGTGTGTAGGCTTGGCATAGAAGTGAACAAATAAAGAGACAAAAGCATAGCAGAATCACCCAAAATAGTAAGATTTCTAAAAAGAACTCTGGATGATTTTAGGCAAATAAACTAGAGACAAGATGGAAAGCCGTTCAAAATGTCTAGATAATTGTTATATCAGTTGAAAGTACCTAATTCCACCAAAAATGCCCCAAAGCATTAATTCTCATTGGTGGAGGTAGTCATAATCTTTTTAAGAAGAAATCTTATGATTCACTTTATATGGGTGCTAGAGGAGCAAGGGGAAAGGAAGCCAGGATAAACAGGAAGCCAGGGTTCTGTGAGGAACAGAGAAGAAATGGCAAAAGGAATATAATGGAAGATATTTTTTTCTTTATTTTTCCAAATTATTGGCTGATTTATACATCCCTTTGATTAAGAAAAGACAACAATAAACAGTTTAAGCACTGCAAAGATTAGCTAAATTGGAATTATCCTGTTAGTGAAGTTTGTGAACAAACTTTGTATTCAGGTCACACTATCACTAAAACCAGTTTACAGAAAAGCCTCCAAAAATTATTGATTTATCCAATTTTTGTCACATAAAAAGTAAATTAGGAGAATGCCTCTACAGATTATGTTAAGAAAAAAAATTATTGGGACTTTTATTAGATTATTTGTAAATACTTGATTAAAAATGCAGAAGTTTGAAAAAGCTCAGCTGAGTTCATTGATGAATTAATTCATGTAGTAATAAAAAAACTCACACTTGTACAGTGTTTTTAACTTTTCAATGTGTTCTCACATAACCTGTCTTGTTTCACCTTCAAAATAATCTTGCTAGGTAAGAAGGATAGGATTATTTTCTATGAGAGGAAACTGAAGGATTAAATGATGTGGCCAAAGGCTGATCAGGAGCACTCAGTTCAAGCCCAGCTCTTATGACTAAAAATCCCATCTTCCGTATATTACATTAGTTATCTCTCATAATTCAGAGACATAAGATAAAATAAATATTAACAATTATCTTTACAACTTTTCTGTTTTCAATATGCCTTAACATTCTTGGGAAGGTGATAAATTGGGAAAATAATTATATAGAAAAGTAATCATCAGTATGACTAGAACAAAATATTAACCAAGGTTTAGAGATTTTTAAAAAAATGCTGTCATTAAAAAAAAAAAGCAATAGTGTAAAAACTGTAAGTAACCTCTGAAAAGGCAGAATTCTAATGAGGGACTGAAGCTATACCTGTTGTTTACTATTTTTTTTTTGTTTTTTCCCCTAATAATTTAATCATTTCTTAGAAAAAGAAATGATTTTTAAAACATGCTACACTTACTATAGATGGAGAACTAATGAATAGGTATAAATACAAGCAACTCAGTACTATTCCAAACACATCAAAGACTTGAGGTGTAAAGCGGAGTTTCAAAATGGCTTTTGGTAGAACATTTAAAATTTAAAGGCTGTTCTTTAATTGCACCCTGAAGGTTGAAATGAAAATCTTACCAGTAGCAATGTGGCTCCAAAAGCAAGGCAAAAAACCATTGGACCTGCCAAATCAGTTTCATTCATGATGCTGCCATCTGCTACTTTTAACGGATGTAATACTGTTAGTGTTTTTTGCCAGATGTGGTCAAAATTGATACCTAACTCTAAAGAGAAAGAAAATTTAAAAGTTAATTAGGATTTGTGATGTATTTTTAATTCATCAAAATCTATCCTGAAACAAGAGACAAAATGACATAGCATCAAAAAAGGATCTAGCAATATTGGATGATATTATTATTATTATAATTATTGTGATAGGGTCTGTCTCCATCACCCAGGCTGGAGTGCAGTGGCATGATCATAGCTCACTATAGCCTCAAACTCCTGAACTCAAAGTGATGTTCCTGCCTCAGCCTCGTGAGTAGCTGGGACCACAGGTGTGCGCCACAACACAGAGCTAATTTTTTTCTTTTCTTTCTTTCTTTTTTTTTTTTGTAGAGACAGGGTCTTGCTGTGTTGCTCAGGCTGGTCTCCTGGCCTCAAGAGATCCTCCAGCCTCAGCCCCACAAAGCACTGGGATTACAGGCGTTGAGACATCGTGCCTGGCCTGGATGATATTATTTCAGTGAGCTCTCTATGCCAGTCTTCAATGTGGTGCTCATCCCACAAATATGTCATTTCTGGATTGGTGTTGGAAAAGGGTATGGATCTGATGAAACAGACACTTATTACATCCCTTAGGTATGACTGCATAGCAAAGAATATACAAAAAGGGTTAACAGTAAGGGGTTCTTTACTTGGGGCTTCAGGAATACCCGGGGGCCCATTTAACTGTATACAAAACTACGTCTCTATGCATATGTGTGCATTTCTTCTGAGGAGAGTGTTCATACCTTTCATTAGATTTTCAAAGAGTTATCTAGTTAAAAAAAAAGTTCAGAACTACCACTTCCTAGGTTTTGGAACACAATTTGAAAATCACCATTTTTTTAGTGATGTCACTAGTTCTGCCAGTTTATTTCCACACAGAATAATGGATAGCACACTTTTTCTTCTCACTTTTCCCACTAGCAGAATTTAGTCAATAACCTGAAGTAAAAGTCGATGCTGACATAGTAACATACTTTATTATCACTATTAAAAGATCTATTAAAAATCTGGTCCCCTCTGGCCCAATGTGGTTTCGCATATACTCTGTTTAAAATGAGTTGTTTAGCAGAAAACTTTTTTCTACAGATTATTTTTTTTAAAGGAAAAGACAATTTCTCCAAATTAAGATTAATTTTCACTAACCAGCTGAATACTATTGAGTACTATCAAGTGTTGCAACAAATCTTACCTTCTAATAAAGGTGGCTCATCCTCAAAGTTGTTTCCATAGAAAGGCTGAGGTGAAGCTGGAGTATATGCCTGAGTTGGCTGGTAAATCTGCCCGGTGTATGGCTGTTGTGGCTGCATCATGTCTGGAGGGACAAATCTGCCTTGCTGCGAATAGTCATAGCCAGCATACTGTCTATAAATGAAAGAAAGTTAAATTTTTCAGAGGTATTTCAACTCTGTACAGTTAATATCCCTTAAATTCCTAAATTTTCATGTGACAGCTAAAGAACCTTAGTTGTGAAATTCCTCAGGTACAAACTTTGCCAATTTTTATAAATCATGGTTGAAATGATCACTAAGATCAAGCTTATTATCTACAATAAAAAAATCATAATTTTTATAGAAAATATTCTTAATGATACCAATATTCACTTACATAGCACTAAGCATTTTACAAACTGTTAAAGGTTAGGAGGTCAACAAATGAAAATGTAAAAATTGTGTCTATTTTTCTCCCTTAGTGGATATATACAATATGAAGATACACTATGAAATAAAATCTATGGCTAAGACTGAATGAAACCTTAGGATGTCAGACTTTGTAATACATGTTATATAATTTTTCACTGTAATTTGGATAGCCATCGAATTATCATTCTTCTTTACTCTTCATAGTATGTTACTTTTGGCAAGCGGACAAATCTCTTTAAGAAAAACCATCAATTTAAAAACAGAGTGGACAAATCAAGCTTTTGCTTTGTGAGCACTTGCTGAATGTAACAAAAGATTTTTAGTACACTTTGCATTTGAATAGTACTTTAGCAAAGTACTATTTTTCAAAGTAGTTATACACTTATTGTCTCATTTGATATGTGCTATAGCAAACCCTGCATCTAGAGGGAAAGGCTTATCACAGCTATTTTAGTGACAATAGCAAGAGGGAAGAGGATACTGAAGCCACATCTTTACGCATCTGTTCCATCATGTTTTGAAAAAATCCAACTTACTGATGGGACTAATCTAATGATATACTAAGAAACACAGATGTAAAATAATTATTTTAAAAGATATTCTTAAAAATGAGAGCTGAGAAGCCTTAGAAAACCTTTAGTCTAATTCCCATTTAAATTCTTATAGTCATAATGTCAGTTGTTTTCCTTGGGGTGAGGCTCTCTATTCGTTTTTGAGAAAATATCTGCCAAATGCTCAAGTCTGAATAACCATAGTTTATCAGTTGTTCTTTCAAATAAAAATGGTCTTCATGAAATAACAGCCAGTTCAGCTTGCACAGGTGCTTTTCGTAGAGGCAGTAATTGTACTTTAGTATGCAGTAAACACTAAATTTCTTCACAAAGAATATTAAAGAAATATATGTACTAAAGGGTCAGGGTTTAATAAAAAGATAATTCTTACTGCTTCCTCAAGAGAATCCTTAAATGAAACTGACTGTCTGCCAACTCTCTAACAAGTATATAGAGTGATGAATAATATGATGACTACTAGAACAACTTGATGCCACTACCTTGATTCATACTCAGGTACCAGCAGTTTTACCAATCAATACTTTTGCAACAGCACTGCAAATGTTAACATACCTAAAAAGGTATATGATATCTTAGTATTGTTATGAAAATAACTTTGACTTTAAAGAATCTCAGAAGAGTCTCAAGGACCCTCTGTAGTCTACAGCCTAAATTTTGAGAGTTGCTGATACAGACCAATAAATTTCATGTAAGGAAGAAAAGTACTGCAAGCAGTTGATTGTTTCAAAGGTGGCACCATCATTCCATCTTCAAGAGGAAAGGTGAGAATGACAATATCATAGAATTTTACTATTTTCCTTTTCTGGCAGGACCTATTCAGGAAAATTTCTGACTTGTTCCTGCTGGTTTTAAACTAAAACATGGTATGGCAGACACGATCTTTACAGGCTAAAACAACATGAAAAGCAGCAGATACTAAATCAATACTCTCATAAGTACTCTGTACCAGTAACAAAGACAAAGCCTCTTAACATATTGGGTTGGTTACCTAAGTTCATGGAAAACCTCAGATATTCCATAAAGATACTACCAGGTAAGTCAAAGAAGAAAAAAAATAACAGCTTTCATAATTTAAAAAATGTGACTTGGTATTATGATATATTTCATAAGCATATCTAGAATACAATGTGGAACCTGTCCAATTTTCCATTTATATAACTCAACAGATTATGATCAAAGGGCCTTTTATACTTTTTTGTTTTTGTTTTTTTGGTGAATGGATCTATGAATGATACTTGTGAAACACCTATAGAGGAAACCAAAAAATGTTAAAGCTGACTTCATTATGGCAAATGCAGAACTGTGTACTAATAACAAGTCAAGTTAAAAACATAAAGACAATGCAAGTAATATGCTATTTGCACCTAGATTTTCACCAATGGAGAGCTAAAAGTTATTAGCGGATCTTTGTTACTAAATTAGCAAATCAAACAAAATATTATTTGGTTAACGGAGATGGACATTTAAAATGTCATTAGATTGCAGATCTACTTGAAGGTACGCACAGAAGAGTCCAGTTTTTACAAAATAAATCTCAGAAACTCAAATTTATTACTGTTAATACATTAGGCTTCTTGTTTTCCCAGGCATCATCTATAAACCCAAGTTTATAGCAATAATGGTTATATAATCACCCAGAATAAAACTTCATCACTAGTACTGAAGCAATGCTTACTGGTACATGATTTGGTTGGAATGAAACTGTGAGAACAGTTGGCAACAGGTGCTAACCAGCAACAAGTTGTTTAGAATATCTAAATTGCTGTGTGGAGAACTGAAATGACTGTTAAAGGGAATGAGACTGTAAGTCACACCTTTTAAGTGATGCAAACGTGGACAGGACAGAAAAGAAAAGAAAAGCAGAGGCAGATAAATCTCGTAGGCTGCAATCTAAATGGAATAGCTCTGTTGAGTTCTAATCATAAAAACCATTCGGATAAAAACAGGCCTGCATAGAGAGACAGGTTCTCCGAAGCTGTGTTGCTGCTTTAGGCAAGGATTTATTAGATGGACTCTGGCTCTCCTATACACAGAGCAATCACCAAAAATACATATTTAGGTAAATAAATGAATGGAAATACCTCAATACAAATTTTCCAACTCTGCCCATTAATTTATCAAAAGAGATAAATCCTCATTGGTATGTAATTAAGTAACAGAAAAGAGAAATGAATCACGGGGTATTTTGACATGCTCACTCCCATTGTTCAAATGTGTTAAGTTTTAGAGGGGAAAACAAAGCCTTAAAATATACCAAATTAAGCAGACTCAAAGAGACTATATGTTTTAGAAAGGATAGCCTAACCAAGACAGACACTATTACAGAGCCACAGTGAATTTGAATTTTGTTTTGTTTTTTAAATTCTTGGGCACTCTAATCCAAACACATTCCTGTATTGCATGTTTCTCACAAACTGACAGATACATAACCTTCCCCTGCCCTCATCGTGGAACAGTCTTTATGAGGTTTCAAATTCGGGATCCATGATGAACATCATTTAACACATGAATTGTCTGAAGTTATATATGCACATTTATTTGGGTGTTTGAGTGAATGCATGTATTTATGGGAAAGAGGCCCAGTTGTAATAGGATTCTCAAAGAGATCCAGAACCATCTAAAAAAGTTTAAGCAATCCTAGTATAGGAAGCTCCTTTATTTGACAGGAAGCTGATAAGATTATCTCTAGGGTCCTAAGAAACTAAGGAGATGATGTTTTAGGTGAGATTGCTAGAAAGCCTTCAGTTCATGTATTTTTGTCACAAACACCAGGTACTATAAAAAGATCATTTAAAAAAAAATGTTCAGAGGCTAACGGCTTTGAGTCAACCTCCTCAGTATGCAACTTATAACACGTGTGGCACTGACCATAAGGGTTTGAGAAGGAGGAGTAATAAAAATGATTATCAACTGCTGTATGAAAATCGCCTGATGATTCGTAATAAGGAGCTTACATCATTAAATAATGTCACTAAGCACTTTCAATTAGCACTGATAAAAGTCTCAGAGTTGGACTGATTTAACTACTAACAAAATACTTTAATTTTTCACTGGTCCTATGAACTAACAGCCTATCTCCTAGGTACCTGAAGCTCCCATCATCTTCTAAATACAGAAATACTGTTACTAGAAAACAGTTCTTCAAACAAGCTACTTTTCCATTCATGGTACACCTGAAGAGTTTGCAGAAGACACTCAACTCTTAAATAGAACAATACCTTCGAAGCCAAGCCAGTGTCACATATCTCTCTAGAGGAAGAAGATTATGCATGAAAGATCATACTCCTGATAAAGGACATGTTCACATATTGTTTTAGGCAGAACCAAATATTCTAAATATGTGTTTTCACTGCAATGTAGACTAAATTAATTGCCAAAGATGAAAAGTTACTTGCTATAGGGTCCTCCACTTCCTCCATAATCATAGGACTGCTGTGACTGATCATCGATGCTGTAACTTGTCTGGTAGAAATCCGTGTTTAAGTTTTCAAAGCCTGACATTGCAAATAATCTGTAATAAAAGAGAAATGGCAAATATTCCTTATGCCCAAGGTTCTACTGAATTCGTTCCTGGCAGTCTGCTTAAGCAAATAGAAACACAACAAATATTTTTTCAGTAATTCGGAGAGGGGATGGGGGCGGAAAGTACGCAGCATTTGAACGACGGTAGCGGAGAGAGAGTAAGAAAATGTATATTCTTTTAAGTTGCGGCCCAGTAAGACAACTCCACCTTAAAGAGCTGATATGCCTTCCATTAGGGGCGAGGTCGTGGGAGTTGTGGTTCCATAAGCGGTCTAAAATATCAATAACAACAAAGATGATTTTTCACCTTAGGACTGGGCTTTACAGCTGACAAGGCGACTGCTTCCTTGCAAAATAAGGCCTGCGGCCTGCCAGGAAAAAGTGCAGAATCTGGAAGGTCGCGCCTGAGGTGCAGGGGACCGCGTCAGGGCAAGGGCTTGAATGAGAGCGAGGGTCTGAGCGAAAGGACCAGGGCGCGGCGCCGAAAGACGGCAACAAGCCCATTTGCACGGGTGTGGAGAGAAGCTGAACACTGTGCCACGGGCCTGGGTCACTCACCAAACTCTGAGGCTGCGCTGGCGGCAAAGGCAGTAGCTTCACTAATCCCAAACAACCCCCAAACTCTGTTTCAGACCCTGAACCAGCCCCGTTGCTACGTGTCACAGGGCCAAAGAACGGCTTCCGGGGCACGCCCGCTCGCGCAGGCGTGTTAGCAGGTTGGGCACCGGTGGGCGGGAGGAGGAGACACGAGTATGGAGCTTGCGCAGTATCTACCCAACCTGCGGCTGGCCCGTGCCAAAGAGGAAAGTGCTTCCGGCAGCCTGGTTAGGGGTGGAACCAGGAAAGCGCAGGCGTAGCAATTGCTGCTTACTCGTAGGTAGGAGGAGGAGTTTCTCAGACCTAGGTGATGGAGGAAGACTGGGAGGCGCTAAAATGAGACAGACGGAGTCCCCTCTCCTGTCCACAAACTACAATGCCTACAATGCCTCGGTGTCAGCATTTACTGTGATTCAAGCACTGTGCTAAAGTGTTTGTATGTATTATTTAATCTTTACAACCTAATGAGATGGTTACCCTATTTCCCTTTTGTAAGTGAAGCTATTAAGTATTCATTCATTCTGTGCTAGCTGCTGGGGATACTGTGGTAAATATAAGCTAGGTGACATCTACCCACCTGGAGTTGGTGGTGGAGAGGGGTAATCGAACACATACAAATGCATGTGAAATTGCTACTAATATTCTTTAGTGTTCCATAATTCTTTGAAAGAGTAACATTCATCTGGGAAGAAGAGTCTGTAAAGCCACTATAAGAGGGTTATCAAAGGGTGAGTGGGAGTTAGAGAAGACCAGAAAAGAGAAGAAAGGGCAACGGGAAAGGAGGATAAGGGAAAATAGCCTGAATATTTTAGGCAAAGAGAACAATGTGTGCAAGATCTGGGAAGCATGGTCTGAGGAAAGATGAAAATCGAGCTCTGAACTTCAGCATTATTAACATTTTGAGTCAGGATGTTTCTTTATTGGGGGCTGCCCTGTGCATGATGCTTAGCAGTAGCATCCCTAATCTCTAGCCATTAGATGCCAGTACTCCCCCCAACCAACCACCACCACCATCACCACCAAGTTGTGACAGCTAAAAATCTCTCCAGACATTGCCAAATCCAAATGTCCTTGGGGGCGGTGGGGGCAACATTAGCTGAATTTGTCAACCACTCTTCTAAGTGGAACCTGAGTGACTGGAACAGCAAGTGAGGGGAGCCACATAGGAGTTGAGGCTGGAATAACAGGAAGGGGCCAGGAAATATCCTGTGGGATTTGTGTGTTGGTTCTAAAAGAAGTGAAGATTGTGAACTGATGAGTGATGTTTAAATTGTTTTCTTTTGAAAATGATTGCTTTGGCTCCTGTGTTAAATCACTTTCCCAAGATGGTGGAATCCCGAATATTGTGACTCGAAATAAGATGCTATTAACTAATGAGCAGAACTTTCTTCAGGGTTTATAGCAATAAAATTTATCATGAGCCACTGCATTATATTCTGGGATCAAAATCCTGAGGCCCTCACAAAAGAAGCCAGACCATTGTTGGGGACTAGTTTCCAAAGGAACAATAAAATTTCACTTAAAACTTTTCTCTCAACACCCCCCACCCCAATAAAACAAACAGAAAACGCACTCCCCTCCAAACAAAAATAGCAACAACAAAAGGATGTAAGACCCAACCAAAAAACCTAGGATTGTACTCTAGAGACCAACAGGCAGCTGCCCTTTGAGGTTTTTACCCATTAGCGAATTTATTTGTTTTATTTTTGTGGATACATCATAGTTGTACATATTTATGAGATAAATGTGACATTTTGATACAAGCATACAATGTGTAATAATGAAATCTGGGTAATTGAGATATATCTGTCGCCTCAGACATTTGTCATTGCTTTGTGTAGAGAAAATTATAAATCTACTCCTAGTTATTTTGAACTATACAATAAATTATTGTTAACTATAGCTACCCTATTTTGCCACTGAACACTAGATTTTTGTGCTTTCTAACTATATTTTTGAATTTCTGAAATTGCTCATTCAAGTGTTCACCACCTTTCATCAATCATTTTAGCATTTATTGGTTTAGGTATCATCTGCACAACTTCAGGTAGAATGACCACATATTATGATTTGCTGGAGACAATTCCATTGTCCCATTTTCTGCCTATTTTTACTTACCCTCAGCATAATTATTAATGTTGCTCCCTTTTACTCTCAAAAATATCCTAATTCAGTTGATAAACTTTGTGATTGTACTTTCTTTAAGCTACATTATCCATGAAGCTGTGTTTCGAGTCATCAATAAGATGCAATAATCCATCATTATCTATTTAATTAATCTTATGGTTAAAAAAATTCTAGTCTCTTTTGTTTTTTTCTGATGTTTCTATTTCTTCTGAATCAAAAAGGATATCCCTTTCAAATTTGAATGAGCTACAAGAATATGAGCATTAAAAATTGCTGATTTAGATGCTGGCGAGGTTTTAGAGAAAAAGGAATGCGTATACACTGTTAGTGAGAGTGTAAATTAGTTCAGCCATTATGGAGGACAGTGTGGCGAATCCTCAAAGACCTAAAGACAGAAATACCATTCGACCCAGCAATCCCATTACTGGGAATACACCCAAAAGGATATAAATCAGTCTATCATAACTACGCATGCATGTGTATGTTCATTGCAGCACTATTCACAGTAGCAAAGACATGGAAGCAACTTAAATGTCCATCCATCATAGACTGGATAAAGAAAATGTGACACATATACACCATGAAATATTATACAGCCATAAAAAGTAGAATGAGGTAATGTCCTTTGCAGGGACATAGATGGAGCTGCAGGACATTATCCTTAGCAAACTAATGCAGGAACAGAAAACCAGATACCACATATTCTCCTTATAAGTATGAGCTAAATAATGAGAACACATGGACACATAGAGGGGAGCAACACACAGTGGGGCATATTGGAGGGAGGAGGGAGAGAATCAGGAAAAATAACTAATAGATACTAGGCTTAATACCTGGGTGATGAAATAATCTGTACAACAAACCCCCATGATACAAGTTTATCTATGTAACAAACCTGCACCTGTACCCCTGAACTTAAAATTTAAAAAATTTGCCTGTTTAGGAATGAATTATTAGATATAGATATTATTCAAATTCTACTTCTGTCTCTGAAAGCAATTAACGTATTTATTTAAATTTTCCCCTTTGAATTTCTGCTCCAATTGAGAAGCCAAGCAAGAACATTGAGTTACCTGATTAAGTTTTGCATATTGTTTATTTGACTTTGAAATGTAAGCCAAGGTATCCTGCTGATGCCCCTTAGAAATTTTGAGAACATCCACTAATTTCATGGCTAGTCACGTAGGAATTTCTTTTTGGATTTTTTTTTTTTTTTTGGCATTGCTCCCTCACTCTGGGATAGGCTCCAGAAAGTTATATTAAAGGAGACTGGAGTACTTGGTAAATGTGCCGTCCTCTGTTAAAGTCACCCAGCTGGCTTTATTAGGAGTAGAAAGCCTCACCCTAGGTCAAGAGATGAGGCAACATGAGCTAGACTTGTAATAGCTGCGCAGTCCTTCCCTGGGACCTAATGTATCCATCACCAAAACAAAAAGGGAAAGGACATCCTAATAATGAGTAATATCATTTAGTTAGACAGTCATGTTAGTATACACACTAACACTTTTACATGCTTCACAAACACACGCAAAACAACTCCATTTTCTTAGTATGGCTCTGAAACTAAGATATTTTAGAGTTACTTTCTTTCCCTTCTGTTTTTCAGTTCATATGTCATGAAAAGTTGTGCCAGAAAATTATGGTTTGAACATGGGCAGTTTTCTCCTACCGTCAGCTATATCCACAAGCATCACATGAAGTGGAGATCTGGCAGCTCTGTGTATTTCAGTCAAGTTCCACAATGAAACCTGACAATAATGGTAAAAACCAATGTAAGTGCCAGTGTTTGTTTTTACTCTCCCTATATATTAACTATGTAACCTCTTTTCCCAAATATGACAATTATATTTCCTCCAAATTATCTTTTTTCCCCTACCAAAGAGTTTCCTCATCAAGTCTCCTGTACTAGGTTATTCAAATTCTGCTTCTTTTGTTTCAATTATTTTACTTTGAACGATGAATAGTTTTGGGAAGACAGGTTTGCCCGTAATGGCATTGGATGCTTTTGTACAGAACTGGTTTTTAAAAGGCAAAGAAATTTAACCCCAATTTTATAACTATTCCTGGAAGCTTGACTTCAGTATTGCAAGTGCTGCATGTTGTTAAAAATAAGTCTTTTAAAGATAACATATAAGCAATATTGTAAATACTGTAAATATTTTCATTGTAGAGATCAAAAATACCCTCTTCAGTAACAAACCTTTCTAATGTCAGGTGAATGGCTATTGTGGCTTGGAATATGAATTTCAGTGAAAGCACTGAAGCACTGAAGTCTGTATTTCAAATAATTTGGGTAGTAGGGGAGATAATATGAAAAACAGCACGGGAGAACTCAAAGTGGGCTCTAATGATGGCAAAGCCACTCATGCCAAAGGTAAAAATGAAGCATTTGAAAAATATGACAGCTAACACCTATTTATACTTCAAGAATTTGTGTGCCAAGCATTTCTTTAAGCACTTTGCACTTTTTAACTCAATTACTCCTCCTCCTGACAACCCAATGAGGTAGGTGCCATGTAATGCCCATTTGACACATGAGGAAATTGAAACAGAGTAAGTAATTTGTTAAACATTATTATGGTAGAAAATAGTAGACTAGACATTTTGAACTTGTTCCTGAGTCCTTATGCTAAAGCAGTAGGCTGTATTGTTATTGTGTTATGAAATGTGAATGAAGAAAAGTCAATAATTCTGATTAATATACTAATTTATCTAAAATGCGATTACTGAAATCCATATAAATTAAAATTGCAACTAGACATTTGATAATTGCATCTGTGTCTCCACATGTATATATATTCAAGTTGATAAAAATATTTTCTGTAATCTTCTCATTGGGCAAATAATATTTAAACCTTATGTTTAAGTTTATGTTACATTAGTCATGTATGTTAATTGATATTGCATAGTAGTTAAGGGTAGAGGCCCTGGAGCCAGACTGCATGGATTTACATTCTGTACTACTTACTTGCCATGGAGCTTCAGTAATTTATTTAAACTCTTTGTGCCTCACTTTTCTCATCTGTAAAAGCAAGATAGGAGTATTCATTGCTAGAAGGGTTGTATGATATAATGTATTCAAGTATAAGTGTCTAAGTACTAAGTATTCCATAAATATTTGCAATAATTATTGATGAATCTATGTAGCTACAGAAGCAATATGATTTCTTCAGGAAAAATTGTCTTTTTAAAAGCTATAAGGATTAGGTTTGAACAAGCTAACTACTTCTAAGATCAATTATAAACATTCACTCTATTGTTTCCCCTGCAGATTCTGTATTATATTATAATTTGCTTTTTGATATGGTGGAGTGTATTAAAATATGCTTTTTTATCTCTGTCCAAGATCTTTCAAATTTGGCTTGTCTGCATTGTAAATTTTAGTCTCATAAGTATTGTCTTAAGAACCGCCTATATTTAGGGCAATTATACTTGAAAATTGTGAACAGTGCTTCTCATATTCGATTTTCTTGATATGTTTCATCTTATTTCAAATACTATGAAAAGTGTCCATCTTTCTGCCTTCCCTTTCTCTCCTCTCTTCCCCTAAAACACAGAATTTATCAGGAGACAGAGCATAAGATGATTTATATTGTGGAAAATATATTTATTGGCAAAGAAAGAAAAAGGCAGTGTCCCAGGCAAATGAAATAATAGCCATAACAATTTTTAAAGATATAGTGTTTCTTTTTTTTTTTTTTTTTTTTTTTTTTGAGACGGAGTCTCGCTCTGTCGCCCAGGCCGGACTGCGGACTGCAGTGGCGCAATCTCGGCTCACTGCAAGCTCCGCTTCCCGGGTTCACGCCATTCTCCTGCCTCAGCCTCCCGAGTAGCTGGGACTACAGGCGCCCGCCACCGCGCCCGGCTAATTTTTTGTATTTTTAGTAGAGACGGGGTTTCACCTTGTTAGCCAGGATGGTCTCGATCTCCTGACCTCATGATCCACTCGCCTCGGCCTCCCAAAGTGCTGGGATTACAGGCGTGAGCCACCGCGCCCGGCCAAGATATAGTGTTTCTTAAAATCATAGATGTGTCAGATTTTATTATACTCAACAAGAGAACAGCTTAAAAATTACTGCAAGCGTGATATATTATGGTTTAGGTTCTCTAGGCAGTATACTTTTTCTATTTTTCTGTTAGAATTCTTCCTGACCATATCTGTTGTCCATTTTTATGTGGTTATTTGTTTTTCTTGTCGATTTAAGTTCCTTATAGATTCTGGTTACTAAATCTTTGTAACCAGATGCATACTTTGGATGCATACTTTGTAAATGTTTTCTCTTATTTTGTAGGTTGTTTACTTTTGCTGTGCAGAAGCGCTTTAGTTTAATTAGGTCCCACTTGTCAATTTTTTGTTGTTGTTGTTGCAATTGCTTTTGGGGACCTACATCAAAAACTCTTTGCCAGGACCAGTGTTGAGAAGGGTATTTTCTGGGTTTTCTTCCAGAATTAAAAAAAGAAGAAGAATTCCTCACAACTCTCTCAATTAGAGTTATTTTAAAGAAGGTTAATGCTTGAACCACAGTAACTGTCATGCTGTCATATCTGTATATCATTGTAATTTGTGCAGAAATTATTGGTAAGAAGGAACATTATACTGCTGTTGAGGAATGGAAGGGATGAGACTAAAGTGATGGTTTGAAAAAATAGAATTCAGACTGGATTAGTTTCCTAGGGATGCTGTAACAAAGTACCACAAACTGGGTGGCCTACATAAATGAAATTTATTGTCTTAGAGTTCTGGAGGTTAGAAACCTGAAATCAAGGTTTTGGCAAGGCTTTTTCCTTCTCAGGGCTGTGAGGGTGAATCTGCTCCGTACCTCTTTTGCAGCTTCTGGTGCTTTGAAAGCAATCTTTGACATTCCTTAGCTTGTAGATGCATCAGTCCAATCTCTGCCTTCACCTTGACATGGTCTTCGCATAGTCTTCTCTCTGTGTATGCCTGTCTCTGTGTCCACATTTCCCTTTTTTAAGAGCACGAGTCATGTTGGTTTAGCACCTACCCAGATGACCTCATTTTAATTTGATTATCTCTGTAAAGATCTTATTTTCAAATAAGGTCACATTCTGATGTCCTGGGAGTAAGGACTTCAATATGTCTTTTGGGGGGATGTACAGTTGAATTCATACCAGCCTTATGATGTTACTGCATTCTTTTGCCCAAATATAGACTAAGTCTTTTGCTACACACATGCTCGAAAGAACAATAATCTGATTTTTTTTCACTTTGATCAGCTATTCATGTCAATGTCAATTTGTTGTCACTATTGCAGAGTGGCAAACCTTTTGAATCAAATCTGTAGCAATGGAGACTTCAACTGCATCATTTTGGATGTCTAGTTTAACACTTGTCCCAAAGTAAACTTTTTACATTGGGTTTAAAGTCAATCTCATGCTTGTAGAAAGACACATGCTGGAATATTTTTCATCAGACTTTCTGAAACAAAGTAAGAGGCCATTATGTTTATAAATGAGTAAAAGCCTGCTAAAGGAAACTCTTAATGTCTACAGTACCAGTTCTTAAACAATGTTATTTTATTGATTTTTTTCACTCGTGATGATTTTTAAAAATATGAAGTAGAACTATAAAAGTAGGCATTCTGATTTTTCAGTTTTCTTCCATAGAAGAAAAAGTTATTATAATCATAATGCTTTTAATGTACTTAGATATGATTTTTTGTTATTAAGACTAATTATAATACTTAACTCTTTTCTTTAAATGAGGTTTATTTTATTTTTAAACAGAGACATGTGAAATCAAATGTCTGATTTTAATTAAATTCTGCACACTTAGATCTAGAAGTCAAAGATAAACACATTTTTTCCTTTTGATTTTAGGTGAAGCAGTCAAGATGTTTTTTATTATTCTTCTGCAGTCCTAATTTTATACAATTTAATGAAAATCATAAATCCCCTGCTGTCTGTGATAATGAATTTTCCTCTCTGGAAGAGAATATAAACATTTCTTAACTCTTGCTAAGATGTTATTTTGGAAAGATTAACATCATTTAAAATATTATTTGATTCTAGATTTATAAATGTCATTTCTTTTCTTGACTCTAATTAAAAGTTATTCCTTTTAATTTAAAAATTGACTTCTGTACTAAATATTATAATACACTACATCCCCTTCCCACTCCCTGGAAATTAAATGTCTCAACTTCATATTAAAATTTTGAGAGGCCCCTAGGAAATTGGCCTGAATTCACTGAGATAGCTCTAAAGTTAACAAGAATAGACTGATCTTCATAGAACAATCAGGACAGCACGTGCATCAGAAAATGACCAAAACACCCCTCGTTTAACTGGCTACACATATTAAGAATTAAAGAGAATTAAAACTGGCAGGAACCTTGAGAGAATTCATTCCCCACTCTTTGACTTTACAAATGAGGATCTGAGGCCAGGAGAAGTGAAGGTATGTATTGTAAGACCTACAGTTGCATGTGTTGACTTGACATTTCTGACCCTCACAGGTTCCTAAAGGTTTGGCCATGAGTTCCCTTGCTCTTGCCAGATATGTCCCCTACCCAGCAGAAAAGTCTCCCCACCAGGCAGGTTCCCCTATCAGCCACCCCACTCAGGCCTCAACCCAAGTGGTTTTGCCTTCTTATGAGCTGGTAAAATTATTCAAAGAAGCAAATTACATCCCCCTCCCCCCATGGGAACCAGGAGGCAACTCATCCTCTAGATACTGTACACCACAGGCCCTGCTTATTCACTCTGCTCCTGAGTGTAACCACTATGTATCCCTGCATGCGTGCAGGCTCCTCTCTCCCAGGCTGTGAGTGTATGTGATTAATAAACTGCTGCCAGTCTCATCTGTCCAGTGTTGAGTATATCATGAGCTCATCCATCTTGTACTATTTGGGAACAGGGATCCTTCCTTCACCAACATGGTAGATAGAAGACTATCAGAACAAGGGATTTGATCAATTTTACTAATAAGACTAGTATCAGATTCACCATTGAATCTTGTCTTTGCCTTTCGGCTAGTACATGACAAAGATTAGGTGATAAATAAGTGATTATAACCATCTAGTTATGTCAGAAACTCTATTAGAAGAGAGGTTATGTTATATTTACTTTTGTATCCCAACTCTAGGACATAAAATAATGTTGTTTGTGGTATTTATTCATTCGTTTAACAAAGATTTATTGAGAACCTACCATGTGCCAGTCACAATATACAACAAACAGATTCTGTGTCTGTCTATGGTTTTTTAAGCTTGACATAGTTCTACTCGCCCATTTTCCCTGTGGGTGCTTGCAAGTTCACTGGCATCAGTCCTCTGCCTGGAGAAATGCTCCTGTTCCTCAGTGCTTCTAGCTTGATGAGGTCATTACTGTGCTTCCATACAAGCCAGGATCACCATTCTTTGTGAACTGGAAGGTCTGAACCAAGAAAAGATTCTAATTTGGAGATCTGCTGCTTGGGAAGATGGGTATAGTGATCTGCCAATGACTATCCTTGCTGTCAGTGATAATGATGCTCCTACATGAGAAACATTCATCTGTTTCTAAGACCCACAGTCCTGAGCATTAGTGCACATGGGATTAGACACTGAGGGATAGCATACTTTGAGAACTTTTTATTTTGTTCAGGGCAAGGGGGAGTGGATCCATGCCAACAGGACTCCACAGAAGCACTCATTTAATCCCCTGGTAGTTCATTTCCTTAAATTCTTCTGCCATATTTCTCAATGTAACTATCCCTCATTCCAATTATCTGTTGCCTTGTAAAGAAAAACAAACAAACAAACAAAAAACTCCAAGAAGACAAAAGAACAAAAATCTCAAAACTTGGTGGATTAAAACCATAACAATAACATTTTATTTCTTGAAAATCCAAAATTTGGGCAGGCTTGTTGGGGGTAGCTCATCTCTGTTCCACACAACTTCAGCTGGGGAGCTCAAAAGCTGAATGTTGAATTCATCTGAAAGCTCATTCACATATGTGACTGCTGATGCTGGCTGCAGGTTGGGATCTCAGCTAGAGCTTTCAAACAGAACATATACACATGGTTTCTTCATGTGGTACGGGCTTCCTCAAAACATGGCGGCTGTAGTCTGGGGAAGAGTATCCTGAGAGAGAGAAAAAAAGCTGTATTACCATTTCTACATCATCCTTGGAAGTCATGTGATATTCTGAGGCATTCTATTGGCTAGAAAACGTGTCTCTAAAGCTGGTCCATATTCAAGGAAAAGACAATTATACTGCAACTTTTTCTTTTTTCTTTTTTTTTTTTTGAGACGGAGTCTCGCTCTGTCGCCCAGGCTGGAGTGCAGTGGCGCGATCTCGGCTCACTGCAAGCTCCGCCTCCCGGGTTCACGCCATTCTCCTGCCTCAGCCTCCCGAGTAGCTGGGACTACAGGCGCCCACCACCACGCCCGGCTAATTTTTTGTATTTTTTAGTAGAGGCGGGGTTTCACTGTGTTAGCCAGGATGGTCTCGATCTCCTGACCTCATGATCCGCCCGCCTCTGCCTCCCAAAGTGCTGGGATTACAGGCGTGAGCCACCGTGCCCAGCCTATACTGCAACTTTTTATGCAAAGATTTTCAAATATTTTTTAAACATGTTTTTAAAACCACCACTTCTCAATGGGATGTAATTGAAAAACAAAACAAAACAAAACAAAGAATAGTGAACGTTCTTGTGTAATCTGAGAGGCCTATGTTGGTTAGTAGCAGTATCTACACAGCAATTCCCTTTTGGGTCTATATAGCCAAAGGATATCAAATCAGCACCTTATAGAGATACCTGCACTCCCATGTTCATTGCAGCATTTTTCAAAATAGCTAAGATATGGAAACAACCTAAATGTCCATCAGTGGATGATTGAATAAAAAATTTGTTGTTGGTGGTGGTGTTTGTGTGTATAATTGAATATTATTCAGCTTTTGTAAAGAAGGAGATTCTGCCATTTGTGCAACATGGATGAAACTGGAGGACACTATGTTAAGTGACATAAAGCAGACATAGGAAAATACTGCATGATTTCCTTTGTATGTTGCTGTGGTTTGGATGTGTCCATCAAAAAGTTGTTGTGTTGGAAACTGAATGGTCATTGTAACAGTATTAAGAGGTGAGGCCTTTAAGAGGTGATCAGGGCAGGGCACGGTGGCTCATGCCTGTAATCCTAGCACTTTGGGAGACTGAGGCAGGTGGATCACCTGAGGTCAGGAGTTTGAGACCAGGCTGGCCAAGATGACAAAACCCCATCTCTACTAAAAATACAGAAATTAGCCAGCCGTGGTGGCACGTGCCTGTAATTCCAGCTACTTGGGAGGCTGAGTAGCTTGAACCTGGGAGGTGGAGGTTGCAGTGAGCTGAGATCGCGCCACTGCACTCTGGCCTGGGCAACAAAAGTGAAACTCCATCTCAAAAAAAAAAAAAAAAGTTATCAGGCCACTAGAGTTAAGCTCTCATGAAGGGATTGATGCTGTTATCGCAGGATTATGTTAGTTATGGCAGGAGTGGGCTCCTAATAAGGTTATCCCCATTCATTTCTCTGTCTTGTGTGGTCACTTCCCCCCTTCACCTTCTGGCATGGATGACTCTTGCCAGGTGCCAGCACCATGCTCTTGGACTTCACAGCCTCCAGAATGATAAGCCAAATAAAATTCTATTGCTTATAAAGTACCCAGTCTGTGGCATTCTGTTATAGCAGTAGAAAACAGACTAAAACATATGTGGAATCTAAAAGCAAACAGAGAAACAAAGCCCTTTAAATATACAAAAGCAGAATAGAATGATGGTTACCATAGGCCAGGGGAAGAAGGGATTGAGATATGTAGGTCAAAGGGTACAAAGTAGCAGTTATGAGGATTAGCACATCTTGAAATCCAAAATACAGCAGGAGGGCTATGAAGGTGATAGTTAATAATATACTATTGCATAATGGACATTTTCAAAGAGTAGATTTTAGGTGCTTTTACCACACACACACCAGCGATTGCTTGAGCCCGGGAGATTGAGGCTGCAGTGAGCCATAATGGTGCCATTGCCCTCCAGCCTAGGCTGACACAGGGAGATCCCTGTCTGAGAGAGAGAGAGAGAAAGAGAGAGAGAGAGAGAAAGACAGACAGAGACAGGTTAAAGAAAAAGTTTCTTAAGATTAAGTACAATTGTGATCTTAATTACCTTTTACCTTTCTTCACTCCCAGTTATGTTTGTTATTATTATTTCTTTGTTATTATTGTTTGTTGTTACTTAACACATATACATACACAGAGTATCTTGTGAGATGATGGATATGTTAAGTTGCTTACTTGTAATCATTTCTCTATGTACATGTATATAAAAAGTCATGTTGTACACCTTAACTTTATGTAATGAAACATAAAAAAAAAAAATAAAAGAGTGGGAGTAAGACCAAAGCAAAATAAACGTGAAAGAAAGAATTCTAAATATATATTAGATCCTAACATGTAAGTAAAGGGCTACTTCAGTATTGAATCTACTTATTGGTGTTTTGTGTTTCTGTGGATATGGTTTTACTGTTATTACATACATTTAGAAATGTTATTCAATTACTAGTGGAGTATTCTGCTTCTTGCACACTGTTCTTCCCTATAAAAACATGGTCTCAAAATAAAATAATTTACTCATAGAATAAAACACAGTTGGATAACTATTCCGTAGTGCTCTTTCTCTACCTATAATGATGCACAACATTTGCTGTTTGCTTATTTTTTTAATGATGCATAAAGGATGACTCTCCTTTTCGTCTCTACAATTTCACATCAGTAAAATGTTTATTCCATGCTCATTTTGCCCCCTAGTGGCTTTTTATGGCCTTGTCCCATATTTAAAAATAATTTTCAAATCTTGTGGAATATAAGAAGGAAAAGTACCATTCTGTTCCTCTGCCACATGCACATTGCTTTATACATGAGGAAACTAAGCCCCAGAAAACTCGCGGGACTAGTCTGGTGTCACACATCCAGCTAGAACTAGAAATTGTATATTGCTGCCTTCTCCTACCCTACTAGAAATAAGCCTCAGGAAGACAGGGCATTTTTGTTCATTGATGAACAAGAATAGTGCCTAGCAAATGGTAGGTGCTTAGTAAATATTTGCTATATGTTATAAATAAAAGTATAAATGAATCAAGGCTAGAACTTATATTTATAGGTTTCATGCTTTACATAATACTATGTAGTATGTTTTATCTTTACCATAAATCTTGTACATAGTGCTTGATACTTGATTCTACTTTACTTCGTGACAATTTCAACTCCTTGAACTACCTCACCCTTTACTTGTTTTGTCATTAGGTTTGTTACATTATCATTCATTTATTCATTCAATATTAGTACCAGCTTAATCAGGTACTGTGATGCCTACAGAACTATAAAGACGTACTTTTTAAAATTCAATTTTTATTTATTATTAACTTGGTAAAATACCATGTAACATAAAATTTGCTGTCTTAACTATTTTTAAGTATACAGTTCAGTGTTGTTAAGTGTATTCACATTGTTGTGAAACTAATCTCTATAACTTTTTAAACTTGCAAAGTGAAATTCTATCTCCATTAAACTTCCCACCCCAGCTCTGGCAAACACCATTCTACTTCTATTTCTATGCATTTGACTACTGTATATAGTATTATTCTTTTTATGACTGGCTTATTTCACTTAGCATAATGTCCTCAAGGTTCGTCCATGTTAAAGTCTATGGCACATTTTGTTTATCTGTTTATCACTGATGGACACTTGGGTTGCTTCCATCTTTTAGCTCTTAGGAATAATGCTCCTATGAATGTGGGTGTACAAATATCCACTTGAGACCCTGATTTCAATTCTTTTGGATATATACTTAGAAGTAGAATTGCCTGATCATATGGTAATTCTATTTCTAATTTTTGAGAAACTGCCATACTGTTTTCTATAGTGGCAACACCATTTTACATTCCCACCAACAGTGCACAAAGGTTCTAATTGCTCCATACGATAGCCAACACTTGTTATTATTTTCTTTCTTCCTTCTTGTAGTGCCATGCTGGTGAGTGTGAGGTGATATCTTATTATGGTTTTTATTTGCATTTCCCTGATGATTAGTGATGTTGAGCATCTTTTCATACACTTGTTGGACATTTGTATAAATTCTTTGGAGTAATGTCTATTCAAGCCCTTTGCTACAAAGAGGTGCATTTAATTAATCAGTTACTTCCTCTGTCTACAGAAAAATTTTAGTTAGCAACATGGTAAGAGCCATTTCCCTTGTTCTTTTTGATAAACTACATCACCATTATTTCAGATCTCAGTAATAAATATAAAATAATAACCAAAACTTGCTCTTATTATGTGTCAGGCACTGTTCTAAATATCTTACATATATTAACTAATTTACTCCTCAAAACTTCCTTATAAATGGATACTGTTAACTATCTTCATTTTGCAGAGGAAGACAGAGGCAGAGAGAGGTAAGTGACTTGTCCAAAGTCAAATGGCTGCTGAGCAGTAGAGTGAGGATGGGTACCTAGGAAGTTGATTTAGAGTCTATGCACTTAACCACAACATTATTTTGCCTCTCTGACACCTACTCAGTCTTTTAAAATATCACCTACATCTTTGTTATTGGACACCTCTTCTGTATAAGTTTGTATTTCAGACAACAGAAAATTAAATGCAAATTGATAGCATTGTAGGAAGATACTCATTGCCTCAGTGGATGCCAAGTCTAGGGTACAGCTAGCTTCAGATTTGTTTGAATTCAGTGGCTCAAACAATATCATATATCTTAATGGTCCCAGAAAATGTTCCCAAATCACATCTTTTTTGGCTCTGGTTGAGCTTCATGTCCATTGCTGTAATAAAAATGGTGGCAGGGAGTATAAAATGCTGTGACCAGTCTACCCAAGTAAGTCATGCACCTGTACCTGGAGCAAGGGTGACAGCAATACAGCCTGAAGCACAGAAACCTGGAGTAGGGGAGGGATAATTCTCATGCAGTATTACTAGACACCCATTTACATTTTATTGTTTTCTTGGGAGATAGGGAGCTTTTTTGCATTAGGAATAAATACATGAGTGAAATTACTAAGATTAAAAAAAAACCCCTTTCTTGTCATGAATGATTTGAGTAATAAAAAGATAATAACAATAGGTAACATCAATTTAGTACTTACTATATAATAAATGCTGTCCTAAGTATTTTACATGTATTGGCTCAATTAATCCTCACAAGAACTCTCTAAGTCAAGTGCTATTATCATCCTGTTTTACTGGTAAGATACCTGAGGTGCAAAAGTTTCTGGGTGTACCTGGAAGGGAATATGATAACTTGCCCTAGGTGACCCAGTTGATGAAGTCAAGATTTGAACTCCAAGTGAGCTTCAGAATCTCTTCTGTATTCTAACATTTGAACACCAGGCTGTCTTCAGAGCCTCTTCTATAATCTATCATTCATATCATAAGGTAGCTTACTTGTCACATATGGAAACTGTGGCCCACAAAAGAAACAGAATAATTCATCAGTTATGCTTGATGTTTGCTACCAGGAAAGACAGCAGAGACTCTCATATGGCCAACCCAGAAAACAATTAGAGTTTACACTAGCATCTAAAGTCTACAGTTATGTAAGAAAGAAATATGTAAATATGAAGTATATTCTACGAAGTTTGTGCTAGATCTCATTTTTTTTAAAAAAAAAAAGAAAAAAAAAAAAACTAATGGCTTATTGTCCCTGTTCAGAGCCTAAGGGAATTGGTTTAAAGTTTAAATAAAAAATTGTACATGCTGCCAGTCAGAACTATTCATCATCATAAGCATTGCATTTATTTTATTTATATGTGCTTTAACAATATTCTAGATTTGTAGTTTTAAAAAATAGCTGAAAAGTCTGTCTCAAAGCTCTCTCACCTCTTAAAAGAAAGCAGAAGGACTTTAAAAAACCAGTTTGTTTAAACAAGGCCAAACTGTTTTCCAGGTATCCACATTTTCTCCTCAACACATGCCCAATCCAAAGACAGAGCATCAAGGGCAATATACTCTATGTATGTTAAAGTTTTAATATTACCAAACTGATCAAGGTAAAGGATTATTAACTTTTTTAACCACTAGAAATGTAACATTAGCTGTGTAGCTTTTCTGGCCTCAGTTTTCTCAGCTGAATAATGAAGACAAAAAGAAACTGGAATAGGGATGTATTGATCCATCTATTCATTCAGTAACTCTTTATTCAACACCTATTATGTGTCAGGTTCTGTGCCAGGTGCTGGGGATGGGATATAATAATGAACAAAAATAATAATGATCCCTTCCCTCTCAGCGCTTACAGTGTCACTGGGGGAGAGAAACATGATTCAAATAATCACTCCTCAAATAGTCAAAGAACTCCTTAGGGCTTTTCAGTTCCTAAATTCCATATATACATAAACATAAAAAATAGTTCATAGAACACAAATCTTCTTACATGTTTATTTGAAAGATCTGACAAATCTCATTTATTTCTTAGACTCATTTTTTTTTCCAGATTATTAGCTACAGATATTGCAAACCACTTATAACAATTTTCTGCCTGCCAATGACATAATGCATTGTACTGGCTCATTATTGTAATAGTTGTTACTATGCATATTGAATGCAAATTTCAGGTAATATTTTAGTCTTCATTTTCTATTCATTCCTAGCACTGCCTTTCTATTTCTAACAGGGAGGGATTAAAAAATAACAGAGTCAATAAATTTTAGAGTTTCAAAGGTAAGAGCTGATTTCACACACACACACACACACACATATACACACACACATACACACAGGGGGCAAGAGAGAAAAAATGTTGTTTATTCTTCTAGCTATAACAAAATATCACTTGGGTTCCCCCTTTTCCTCAGATTTTAATTCTATTGATGAAGCATATACAGAGGAAAATATGAAAATGAGTTGTTTTCACTGAATCATTAATGACTTGAGGCTGGCAGTAGGTAGACTTCTTAATTGCTTAATTGTTTATTAAATTTATTCTTTAGCAGTTGATCTCTGGATTTCTTTGTGTACCCCAGAGTCTTGCTGTTAATCAAATATTCTGTAAAATTTTTGCTTTTGCCTGGAAAAATGATTCTACAAGTTCCAGATGTCTTAGGTTGTGTTAAATGTTTGAGGAAAGAAGGCTATTTATTGGAAACCAGCCAGGATCTTTGTTTAGATTATTTTTGCCAGCAGCTCTTCTACTTCAGGCTGTGATTTCATCAAAAAATATTTGCACAAGCCATTGCTTCAGTAACCACGTCTCCAGCCCCACCGGAAGTGGATGTGGTTAATCTAGTAGACAGCACTCTTCTGTCTGAGCCTAGCTTAGACATAGTAGACTGAAAAATTATGTATCTGGAGTTGTTTTTCACCAGGGTTGGCAAGAGGCTCTGATAATCTGCCATCATTATAGGTTTCTTGCTTCTTATCACAACAGCAAGGCTTCTTTGATGGGGTTGAGTCTAGGCAAATGTTTTGGTTGGTAATTAATTGTCCATATCTTACATTTCATCTGGATTTTTCTGTTAATGTGATCCTTCTATGTGTATTGTCCTTTGGTACTTACAAAAAGCTAATAGATATTAGCTTTGTACCTCTTCCAGATTTACTGTTATTTAGCAGTAGGGAATCATTAAGGCCGCATTCTCATCCTAGATCTGTTTTCTTATGTCTGTCAAGAGAAAGTACATGAGAAAATAGTCAAAGTTAGTTTTAAGAATGCATTTCCTGATGGAGTTTAGAATGATACATCTGGTGGTAAGCTTTCTCATCCTAACTCTTTTCTTTAACCCACAAAGGGTGCTTAACCAAAAGTGGCTAGGCTGATGGTTAGTAGGTAGGACATTTCAACCTCTGGCAAATTTGTCATTGAGCAGCATCAGTAAAAAGGTGGAAGATTCTCCACTATCCTCAAAACTTTTTCAATGACTATAAATCAAATGTAATAAAGAGGCATCTAACCAAAATAAAATTTAAGCTGTTGTGCCTAAGGTGATCCAAATATACATGAAGAGAAATGTATCAACAGATAAATAACTTGAGTTATGAAATAGGGGTTTGGAGTGGAAAAGAGTCAGGTGAGAGGTCAGCTTGAAAACACCAAATGGGGCATTGTAATATTCCTAATCAAATACTCACCTCCCCTCCCCTGCCACAAAAAGTTGAGAATCAATACTGAGTGAACAGCTTCTTTGAAAAGTGAATCTTTCTACAAAGAAGTTCCAAAAGAGAGATAAAAGATCAACTATACACAACATAATCAAAAGCAAGCCCTGTTGTCATGGTAAGGCCTTATATTCATGTGTAGGGTGTCTAAGTAGCACCAGTAATTTGCAAACACATTGATAAAGGCAATAAATAACAATGATATCAAAGGATGCACTTAGACATTTTGGACCCTCTAAGATATGCCAGGCTCTTTATACTTAAATCTACTGGAGTAGCAGTTCTGAAAGTATTTAACGCACAGCTCTTAACCTACTTGGAGAACATGTACTGTTTTGAAATTTGGATGAACTCTTGGGATCTCTAGAAAATGCAGAGCAGGTCACGCCTGTAATCCCAGGACTTTGGGAGGCCGAGGCGGGCGGATCACGAGGTCAGGAGATTGAGACCATCCTGGCTAACATGGTGAAACCCCGACTCTACTAAAAATACAGTAACAAAATTAGCCGGGTGTGGTGGCGGGCGCCTGTAGTCCCAGCTGCTCGGGAGGCTGAGGCAGGAGAATGGCGTGAACCTGGGAGGCGGAGCTTGCAGTGAGCCTAGATTGCGCCACTGCACTTCAGCCGGGGTGACAGAGTGAGACTCCATCTCAAAAAAAAAAAAAAAGAAAAAAGAAAAAGAAAATGTAGAGCAGGTACATAGAGTTTTGCATACAATTTCAGGGAATTCATGAATTTTGTGAATCCCGTTTGCAGACCTAGGTTAAGAATGGAGGCTTAAAGCAAATCGTGCTAGGTAATAAGGACCTTCACGGAATATAATTTTCCTTTCTGAGTAACTGTTGTCAGCCACCTTGTATCACAATACACATGCCCTTTAGTTTTTTCAGGTGGTTTGCCAGCATTTTTCCTCTTTTCCCTTATATTGGTCATCTCATTTTAATTCACATGGTTGCCATATTCCTTAGCCTTTTATGAAGGTAGTTAAGGTAGACTGCTATATTGTTATTTCCCTTCCTTCTCCACAGTGGCTTTAAAGAGTTTATGTGGCCTCTGTGTCAGAACTACTTATTGCATTCAGGATGAGGCTGACAACCCACAACCTGTGAAGACAGACTGGGGAAATCCACCGGAAAAGGTTTTGGAGGGAACTGCAGATTCGTTGTGAGTAACCAGACCCAGCGAGAGCAATGAATTACATAAGCACAAATGAATATGTCTGCATTTTGATAACCCTTCACCCCACCCGCAGCCAGGCACTTAGTCACTCTTTCCTCTGTGTCTCCTTAACGCTATTATACCTCTATTATAGCTCCTATCACTGCACTGGATTTATTTGTTTACGAGTCTGTCTCTCTTACTAGACTATGAGCAATTCCAAGGCAGAGTCCATGACTTATTTATCTCTGTACCTCAACCCAGTGTCTGGGTTAAGAGTGCAGGCTTTGGAGTCAGAGTGTCTGCACTCAAATCCACGTTCTGTACATTTGCGTAAGATCACTTGGGCTAGCTACTTGACTTATCTGAACCTTGGCTTCTCTCTCCTTCCGTTCTCTCTCTTTCTTACGATGCCTCACTTTCCTTTGTGCCTATAAGTGTCACACTAACAAAGCTTATTGTGAAGAATAAATGAAATAATGCTCAGCATAGTGACAGTCATGTAGTAGTGATTCAGTAATTGGTATCTATTATTATATCTATTAATATTACGATTGATTGTTGAATGAAAATTCCTTTCTTTACTATAGTTCACCTGACTGGAAAAAGCCTTTTTTAGCTTAAACTACTAAAGAACACACTTTTCCCCTACCTCTTTCCTTGTCCCCTCTGTCCCTTTGCTATTAATACCCCTCCCCAGTAACATAGTAATTAATATTCTATTTTATTTTTCTCCACTATATTTATTATCATCTGACATTCTATATGCTTATTCATTTATTGTCTAGAATGTGAGCTCTATGAAGGCAGGAGCTTCAGCTCTTTTGTGTTCATTGTGGAATCCCCATTGCCTATGGCAATGCCTAGCATGTGGAACATACTAAACAAACATTTACTGAATGAATGAGTGAATGGGCACTCACAGACACACACACACCACAACACACATAAAACATTCTCATTCTCTGCTGAAGGTGAGCCTCACTGATTGTCGTTAATGTGCGACATTCAATGTACACCATTCTTCACTTTGCCAAATGGGTAATAGAGCAGCTTTTATCTTTATTTCCCTTTCTTTCATGGCTGGGGGATAGAGGGAAAATATTTTTTAATACTGTTGTAAAAACGGAAATTCTTATTGCTTTAATGTCAAAGCCACACCTGTCAGTGGGGACATTGAATGGGAATCATTGGTGGAAGTCCTCCCTGATAAGTGAGCAAAGGGATGCTGGGGAGAGGGTAGATGAGTTCTGAGTTACTCTGTAGAAGTGGTGGTCGTTGAGAAACTTGTTTCTGTCATTTCTGCTCAAAAACTCACAATGACTACTTAGTGTTTACAGAATTAAGTTCAAACTCCTCCACTGTTCTTTCACTGGTGCCTTTTGCTCCAGCCAAACTGGATAATTGACTGTTCTTTTCCCAACTGCTGCTCCCCTCCATATACCCCCTGACACACTTACACACATATTTTTTCAACCACTTTTCCCTTCTACATAGAACCTTTAGCTTCTGTTTTCTAGGTTCCACCTGTCCTTCAAAGTGCAATAGCAACTCTGTCTAGTCATGATATTTCCTCTCATTCCTCTCATCCTCCCTCCCTAAGCCCTGAAGACAGCTGGCTGAGTTATCCTTCCTCAGATTTCTTTAAGAAATCTCACCTCCTCTTTGGGGGTGTTTACCAGCTTTTGCCTCCACTTATCTCTCTCTAGACTTGTCTGCTAAATTATCTCAACAGCCGAGACAGTTCCCTGTTTTTCTATGCATCTCAGGCTAACAGTGAGTGTTTGCGGCAGTGCTTCTGCATGGAGCTGCGTATTTCCATTTTTTTTTTTTTCAGCAGTACAAATAAACTTTAGGCCTTTTCTGATAACATGTTAAATATAAAGTATTTTTCTTATATGGTCAATACAAGTGAATTTCTTTCACCATTCATGCTGTAAAAGGCAGAATAATTAATAATGAAGGTAAATGTAGAGACAGGCTTGCATTTCTTGAGGCTACAGTGAGAAGGGATCAGTTTCTTATAGGGCTTGGCAGGGTATGTCAAGTTGGTGGACCAAAGGGGGCATCTCATTGCTGACTTTGGGAGCTTAAGACTTCACAAGTGGAAAGAAATTAGTAATTGAAATTGGGACTCAGTTGAGGATGCTGGGTAAGTGAACAGTGTTACTCAGGGTGACTTTCAGTTTCTCTTCTTCAAGGTTTCAGGTTGATGCAAGAGACTGTGATAACACTGCCCCCTTCTGTTACTCTAGATTGTTAATCCTGATGACGTCTCAAGTCGGCTTTGATGATCTTGACATGAATTTTTGATTTCTAAGAAATGCTTACTTAAGGCAGAAGAGAAAGGAAATCATATGTTCAATGTGATACACGATTTCATTCTATCAAGTTCTGCCTTTTTATAGTTTGCTTAATCATTACATTTTGTCATGAGGTTTCACTTAATTGCATTATAATGGGAGATTTTAGACCAGGGAACGAATAAAGCGAAGGATTGTAACAAAATCAATTAATTCATCTATTTATTTGTGTTCTAAGGGGTTACATGATTTCTTCTAGTTCCTAGAGCTTTCCTATTTCTTCCCTTGGAAGTTAAAGCAAGCCACTGGTTGAGGCACTGTGGCTTTTTCATTTATGACAGAACCTTTCAGATTTTAAGAGCAGTTGAAGAGCTGTGAATGCTGGTCCTTCACATATCAAAAACCAGCACCACTTTCTATGAATATCACTATTTTTGAAATGATTTATCTCAGAACTTTTGAATGTCTCTGTAACCATTTTTTTCCCTTTCCTTATCAGCCCATTTGTATGGAACTCTAAAGAAGGTGAGGCCAGATAGCAGAGAGCTTTGAATATACACCAAGGACTTTGGAGTTTATTCTATGAGCAGTGGTGAGCCAATTAAGATATCTGGGCAAATAATGGCATCTTTAGAAAGAGGACACTGTTAGCTTTGTGTCAAATGAACTGAGATGTAAAAACTTGAAAGGAGGAAGAACATTAACAGGTCCATATAGAAATACCACCACCTGTACCCCCAAAATCCTTGCTAGCTTTTCCTCATGTATTCTACTTCACTCTGGTCTGAGACATCATCATATATCACTAAATCCCTGTAAATTCTCCCCACTGATCTCCCTACAACTAATTTTGTTTCCCTGACAATCTGTTATCCCCATATCAGCCAAAGTCACCTTTTAAAAAGTAAGCAAACCAGAACATGTCACTTCTAACTTTAAATTCCCAATGACTTCCCATAACACATAGAATGAAATCTGTGGTTTGGTCCCTGCCTACTTCTCAGACCTGCACTCTCACCCTTGCTCATTGGGATCCAACTTGCTGGCTTTCTTGGTTCCTTGAACAAGCCGAGCTTAGTTTCACCTCAGACAGCTGAGCCTTTGCTGTTTCCATTCCACCTGCCTAGAGCACACTGTTCCCAGCATTTCACATAGCTGGCTCCCCTCCCCAGAGTCTCAGCCTGCAGTATCAATCCTCTTCTCCTTGCCCCAAACAAGATTTTTTAAATATTACCTATTCTATTTTATTCATAGCTCATTTCACTATATGAAATGATCTTGCTCATTTATTTGTTTATTTGTTTATGATCTGTGTGTCTGGCCTATAATGGAAGTTCCATGATGGCAAAGAGCTGGTCTACTTTATTCATTTCTGGATCCCCAACACATAGAGCTTATAGCTTAGTGTTGTGCCTGGCTCATGGCTCCATAATTATTTCTTAGTCAAATTTGGGTAAAAGGCAAAGAACAAAGGTACGACAAATGGAAGCGAAGAGAAGAGATATCTGAAAGAAGTATAGTAGAGAAAGTGGGTAGACTTAATTATTGAGTGTTGGGTGCCAATGGAAAGGGAGGGATCAGATGATGGATTTTCACTTGGACTGAGAAACCTGTGATGCTCTTAACACAGAAGGAGAACTTGGAGAAATGAAAAAGATGAGAGTGGAAAACAGATATTTAGCTTAGGACTCGAGTGTAAGGTGCTGGTAGATCTCTGTAAAAATGCCCAGCAGGTGTATGGAAGTTGAGAAGAAAGCAAGGCCAAGCATTTAGGTGTTACAGTCATTTGCATACAGTGAAGATGGTTCACCGAGACTGAATTAGTCAACAAGGGGGAATATTTAGGAAGAAAGAAGAGAACATTAAAAATGTGCAGACTTTCACTCAGATATCCTTGTATATAAAGCACCATGCTGGGACAAGTGACATCTAACAAATGAGGAACAAGCTCTGGAGCTTATGGGGCCAGAGATGGTGACACTGATAACTTGTCAAGTAGAAAATGTGTTATCCATGCGGGAAACATTACAACACTGCCGTATGGTGCTCTTTGACTTATCCAAACCACCTCTCAGTAGGAGGCTCTGCATCCTCAAGGGAGATTTATATGATTGCTCTGTTTCCTTCCCTTCACATCTGTAAGGGGTCCAGAGTAAGGATTGGTCAATGTTAGTGATGTGGCTCTACCCTGAGCTCTTGTGGAGCTAATAATTAGAACAGTTTGGGGAAGGAGAGAATTCATTTTTAAAAAGACACGAAGCAATGTGTTTGTAATAGCAAATGATACATTTGTTGAGCATTTACTATGGGCCAGTTAGTGCACTAAGCATTTAACATGCATTATTTATTTAGTTCTCACAAAACTCTGTATGGGAAGTACAATTATTACCCCTGTTGTACAGATGAGAAAACTGTGGCTCAGATGTATGTAACTTTTTCAGCTGGTAAACAATGGAGGTGGGATTCGACCCCAGGACTCTCTGATCCCAAAGCCCACCCTTTTAACCATGATGCTCTATTGCTTCTCTGTGCAAGAAATAATCATTTTTAGTACTTAAATTGTGTTTTGGTATTTTTTGTGAATACTATGAATTTGTGAATACTAGGTGAACTTAAGGAAAATTTTATTTGCAGTAATGAAAGGTGACCACAAATCCTTCAATGTTGTCATTTTGTGCTGATCAAAAGTAACTTGTTCTTTTATTAGATTTCCTTTGTGTCACACACTTGCCTTAAAGAACTGTTGCTTACACCGTCAGCTTCCCCAGACCCTCAGGATATCCTTAATTACAGGACTCCCTGTGTATCTGAAATAGAAATAGTGCTTGAAATCCTCCTCTACCACCATCCCCCAATTGTTAAACTATAGGCATACCCTGTTAGCATGGGGGAATCTCTTCCTGGAAATTATCACATTAACTACATTGATGCTATATGTGCCTTTGGCCCAAGATTTCTTCTATTTACCTTTCTTATCTTTCTGGGTTGCTGCAAGGCTTATGTTGTCCTTCAAAATCTCAAAGGATTTCTACCAGGCAACAAATGTCTGCTGATCTGGGTTTCTTAGACCACCTCCTTGGGGGCATCTGAGGTTGTTGCAGTGCAGCCTGCTTGCTACCATCCAGCACCTTTCATGATTTTTGCAGAATCTCCAGCACCGTTGCTTGGTCACCTTTTGTCAGCCATCTTGAGCTTCAGTGTTCACTGGCACACAAGGAACCACAGAAAGAGGGAGCTGGTGGAGTCAACAAATGGAGAGGGAAGGGCCACTCAAATGGCTCTTAGTCTTCACTGGCTGAGAACCAAATACAGATTAGCTGTACGGTAGAGTGCTGCAACGGACTTACATTTATATACACATATAAAATATTTCTGAGATCATCAGCACTCTAATGAATCAGCCCTGTCTGGAACAGCTCTAAATGAATTCTAAATGAGTGCCTCTCTGATTTCATACCGAGTAAATGTATAGTAATGCAAAGTGGCACTTTCTTTAGTTCATCAATAATTTATTAATGGGCACTTTGTTCTAGGCATGATGTTTCTTAGAGTTTCAAAAAATGACTTTGCTTTTGGTTGCTCTGTTGCTCTCATAGAACTTTTTCCTCTTCTCTTAACAGCAGTCATCACTTTCTCCTGTGTGCCAGTTGTCTCCAAGTCAGACACAGAGTGTTTTCCCCTATTGGATTATAAGCTTAGTGAAGGTAACACTCATGTTTGATTCACTATTACATTCTCTACAAAGCCTAACATAGTTCCTTGTACAAATAGATACACATAAATATTTGAGTAAATGAATGATAATAAGAGACATGGCCAAAACATTTTAAAGGAGCTCAAAACGTATTTTGCTGGACTCCAGCAATCTTAGCTGTCATTACTATGTGGGGCTCTAGGGAAGGACTCTATGTCGGCTCTGATTGGCCAGTGGCTCTGCAGGTGATCTTATTTTTTTGGAGGGAAGCGAGTTTTTACTATTGTGAAGCACTTTTATTATTGTCAGTGCCTCACAATAATAAAACTCCATCAGTCACTTCCATTGGGCAGTTACTTTTTCTTTCTTTACCCTTATAGGTATAAATGACCTCGGACCAAATGGCAATAAAAGGAAGGTATTTTATTACTGTCTTTGGGGCAAATAAAACATTTATTATTTCTCCATCCCTAGCCCTTTCATCTAATTTTTAATCTTAATTTATAATTGTATTATATGTCCTATCCAGGAGTAATTGCAGCTTCTATGTCCTGTATTATGGCACATCAACAACACAGATGTATGTAACTACTCTCAAGACCTCATTTAAATATATGAAAAATTCAAGAGATTGTTCAAGGGACACCAGGTTGAATCCAGGTTCTATCAGATACATAAATCTTTTTTTGTGTCACTCCATTTGTTCATAGGCATTCTTTTTCCTGATGAATGGCAACCAGATTTATCAGGAAGATATACAACACTGGCTCCATTTCAAACAATTGTCTGATGTCCTCTGGCAGCTATTGGAACTGCACATTGCAATAGTACCAGCCTGTCATTTTGAGAGACCCCTAGGGTAATTGTGAGATGTGCTTGAGGCTCAGATCATTGTCTGTAAAGGTAACATGCAATTTCCTTGGCAGCAGCTGTGCAAATCTGCGTTGTACAGCAAAAAAGGTGATGTTTCCTACCTCATATTTGAATTATGTACTTTGGCCCTTTAAATCTTGTGCCCGGTATGTGTGTCTATGTAGGTCAATCATTATCAGGCATTCTAACTCCATAACCCATCCTACACACATGTTTGGAAAGAATGCAGAGTAACTGATGCATAAAATAGTTGGATTATAATTGTCTGGTACCTTGACAAAATACTTTTTCAGTAAATCATATTTTTCAAGCATATAAGCACTTTTTAAAAAATAAAAACTAGAATTTTATAGTTCTGATGTAAACTTTTATCCTAAAAGCAATGTCTTATTTCTATAAGCTTTTAAATTCTGGAACATAAACATATATATTACTTATCCTTTTGGATTCATGAAGGGTCAGTTCTCTGATGCTCTATTCATAAACATTTCACTTTTCACATTTGGAAACAACATTTCAGGAGTAAAGAAAATTAGATATGCTACACTCTTAGATCACATGCTTGTTATATCCAGATGAAACTTCTGGATACCACTGGCCTAATTGGTGGTTTATTCTTTCATTCATTCATTTGCTTGTTCATTCTCACAACCCTTTGACAAATATATATAGAGTGCTTACTCTGAGCCTGGCACTGAACTGCGATTGGGGATATAGTGGTGATCTATGCTGGATTGTGTTGGTGTTCTTTGTGATGCCAAACCATTGGGTACACAGTGAGCATATTTAATAAAAGAAACTATATGCCCAAATAATTTGGGTGTAGTGAAAAAGGACCTCGGAATCAGACAGGTTTGGTGTGATCCGCTGCTGGTTACTTAACCTCTTGGAGGCTCTTTTATTCTCCCCACAATGCTAACATTTCAGGATTGTTTTAGGAATTAAGATAGAAAATGTATGTGGAATTGCCTGGCAATTGGGTCAGTTAATTTTATTAATTTGTTTGGCCACAGGCACAGACATGAATCTTTTAAGAAACTGGTGTCAGTGAAATTTTGAAACTGGAAACTCTGATCTCTTACTCTTTCAGGAGTGTTTCTTTTAAAGGTTTCTCTTTTTTTCCATTCCAATTTGACCCCACATCGAAGACATGAATACCTCTTTGTAGTAGTGGGTTAAGAGAGGGTGGTTTTCGCAGTCAGCTTATTTCTCTCGGACCTGACCAAATGAAAAGATCCCTGCTAGCATGTAGAACTCAATGTCTGAGAAACAAACTGGAATCAACTACCTTATATTCCTAACCAACAGCTCCATCTGATATGACCCTATCAGCTTTGTAATTGTTTCATTGGGCCATTCTGAGGATTTCGCTCTTGGTTCTGCAATTAAATTAAACAAACATTAATTGAGCATCTCTCAGATGCCAGACCTTGTGCTACCTGCTTGAGGGTACCAAGAATGAAAAATGACCCCTGCCCCATGGATTTCTTGCAAATAATTCAAAAGGGAAGGGAAAAAAGTGGTATTCAGAGCATATCTGCAATTCTCAGCTTTGAGTCCTCGAGTCCTCTAATAAAACAATTCCATTTTGCTCCTTGAGCTAAATCTTTCCATTTGTTATTTGGTGTTTGCCCTTCTTACTTCCTGCTGTTCCCCATCTGCAGATGCCACTGGTAAGATTCATTTCAGCCTAAGAGTATGACATGTTTGGATTTATTTGTGAAAAACGCCTTCTACAAACAATCGCTATACCAAAGTGACTGTGCTGAATCACTGTAAAATGATGTGATCTGTTTTGAATGAGCCAGCCTGTTCATTCACTTTCTTCTATTCATCATCCTTTGAAAGGTGTAGATACTTTCCAAGTTAGAAGCCCTGTTTTTAAATGAACAAATTATCAATCTCCAAGGGCAAATGTGCTTAGAGTTCTGAGTATCACTTTACTTTCTCGTATTCCTCTCCTAGAAGGGAGAGCCAGGCTTTCAGAAAAGGGATCAGTAACATCAACAGCATAAATGAGTAAAGTGTTTGCTCATGATTATATAGCTGGTAAGTACCTCTTTCAAACTCTGTTCTGCCTGATTCTAAAACCTGTTTCTTTTCTTTACAAACAGGATTTTAAAACTCTATTTCCTTAAGTTGCTTCAGGGTATTCCACAAATTCCATTTACACATATATAAAACTATTTAGAAAAAAATTAAAATGCATTCTAAAGACATTTGAGATATTTATTATTGCAAGTTCTGGAAGATTTTTTAAAAAATAAATATTTTTGAACTTAACACCTAAGCTGATTCTGATTTCATTCCACTTGTATCTGTTGCATATTATGGAATGACAACAAAGACGCCTTTTGAAAGATGGGTTCCCTAGGTAGGAGATAAAAGGTTGATAATTACTGGCTTGCAGTTTACACTACTGCTTTACCGAAAGATATATTACATAGTACATAGAGCAGACATAAAGAAGACTCCACCAACATGTGTAATACAATTTAGCTAACAAACATCCCACAGGGAATAACACGACATGGATCAACAGGCTGTAGGTGAAGGACTTCAGGGGAGGCAAAGGTAGGCGTCTTGTTTTTAGGGCTATTCCTAAAATAGTGCATGTGGATTTAGTAAAACCAATTATATGAGAATCGTGCAGCTAATTGTGCAGCTATGTTTTTCATTTGCCAACCCATTTTCAGAAATAAGTATATTTCTGTTGGTTAGGCTTCATGCTGATGAGATCACAGTTTTAAAACACATATGTGGGAGTTGGCTTTACTTGACTTCATGGCCAAATTGTGCACTCCTAACTTTGACCATTTGTTCCAGAACAGCTTCATTTTTTTTTTTTTTTTTTTTTTTTTTTTGAGACAGAGTCTCGCTTTGTCATCAGGCTGGAGTGCAGTGGCAAAATCTTGGCTCATTGCAATCTCCGCCTTCCGGGTTCAAGCGATTCCCCTGATTCAGCCTCCCGTAGCTGGGACTACAAGTGCGTACCATCACACCCGACTAATTTTTTGTATTTTAGTAGAGACAGGGTTTCACCATGTTAGCCAGGATGGTCTCGATCTCCTGATCTCATGATCCGCCCGCTTCTGCCTCCCAAAGTGCTTCCTCGTTTTGAAGACAAATTTAAAATGTGACTTCACATCTGTACCTACTACAGAAATGTATACTTGCGTACACACTCACATACATGCACACCGCAAAAATTTTAGACCCTGTGAATATAGTCAGTAAAGTTGCCTTTATGTCTGAAGAGCAGTACTTTTTTTTCAGAGTAGCATAATTTTTTTTTTTTAAAGATCAAATCTCAAAATTATAGTTCACTTAGAAGAACTTTATCCTGTAGAATTCTGTTCGGAGGCACAATGGTGATACAGACAGCTTTTGCTTTCATTTGTATTTTATGACAGTGGAAATCAGGAGTATTTTCAGGGAGAAACTGTGAGAGAAATGACTTGGCTGAACATCTGCTATGAAGCTTTTATCTGAATCTGAGGCTGCAGTGGATGACCCCGAAGGATCTCCACTCCCAACTTTTAGATTATACAAGTCTAATCCAAATTCTTTCTTGCCAGGCTTTACGTTAACAAGAAAGATCACTGTTTGCTGCCTTCTTCATCTGTTTCTTACATAGCAAATTACTTCCTAGAATGTCTGAAGATTTGACAGCTGTATTTGATCTTTATTTTGTCATTGGCCATGATATCTCTTTAAGGGGAGATGGTTTCATTTTATAGATATGGAAGCAGAGGCCATCTGAGGTTAAATGGTTTGTCAAAATCATACGTGAACTATGTAACACCAAAGGCTAAATACGGCACTAGGGATATTTCTGAAAATAAAAGGCAGTGCCCAAGAATCTATAACTTTGTTTTCTTTTTGAGGTAGGGTCTCACTCTGTTGCCCAGGCTGGTGTGCAGAGGCACCATCATAGCTCATTGCACCCTTAAACTCGAGACTCAAGGTATTCTCCCCCCTCAGCCTCCCAAGTAGCTGGGACTATAGGAATGCACCACCACACCAGGCTAATTTTTCTATTTCTTAATGTATTTTTGTAGAGACAGGGTCTTGCTGTTGCCCAGCGTGGTCTCAAACTCTTGGCCTTAAGCAATCTTCCCACATCATCCTCCCAAAGTGCTGGAATTACAGGTGCGAGCCACCTTACCCAGCCAATGTAACTTTAAATTTTTTCCCCCATTGGTAGGATTTTGAGTTTGTGTGTGCATTTGCATGTGAGTGTTTGAGTCAGAGACTATATGAAATCGGGCTTTGCATCTCAACTACCTAGAAGTGTGCTGGACACAACATAGGCACTTAATAAATCCATGTAGTATAAATGAAAGGTTACCAGGGAAATAATCTTGTCTGGCAAAAGACAGTGGCATTTTCATTTTTAACCACTGCGATACTGATTATTTTCAGTTCCCCACTCTGCCACCCCATCTCCCTCACCAAATCCTGAAATTCCCCCATGAATAATAAATACATTTATAACAAGCAATGGTGTTAACCTGAATTTTCATACTGGAAAGAGTAATGATTTTGGATGTAGAACTCAATTTCTATGTTTGGGCATCTTTTGTAATTTCTTTATGCCTCAATTGGAGTTTAACAACAATGAATACAGATATTTTAAACCACTAGCATGAACACTAATGACATTTATTAAGCACTTGCTAAAAGCCATGGAATGTGCCAGAGAGCTCACATGCATCTTCATATTTAGTCCACGCAACACACCTGCGAGGCAGGTCTTTTTATTGCCACCATACCCTGGCTCAGAGACATGAGTCTCCTGTTCAAAGTCACACAGCCAGCCAGGCAGAACTGGAAGAGGGATAACGACTGACTGTGGTGAGGACTTGATGGTCATCCCTCCATAAACAGCAGCTATTAAGATAATGGTGATAATGCAGGAATCCTTGGGAGCACATAACACGATGAGTGTGCAGCATCTTAGCATAAGTAAGTTTATGAGGTCTGTTTCCTCCCTGATAGCGAAGGCTGTCAGCATGAAAGCTATCTCTGCTTGAGGGCAGAGAAAACTTAAGGATGTGTTAGGAGTGAGAATGTAGAGAGTGATCACATTATTTCAAAATTAAAATAGTCCTTTTGAGAATATACCCTTCAATATTTGGCTGTGCATGTGAAAGCAGGAAACAGAGGCGAAAACATATTTTATCAATTTCACAATTTACCTAACATACGTCTTGATTTGCTATATGCTTGAATATTACAAAGAACAGGATGGAGCATTCTTCCTTGCTCTTCCTCTAAGAGAAATCTGTTGCCGTATGCTGTTCAGCCTTCAGTCCGGGAGTGCCATCCCACAGTGTTTCAGCGGAGAGCTGCCAAGAGAGAATAATAACACTAGCGGTGTTATTTGCTGACACGAAGGCTAGGAATACACTTACAGCCTAGACTTGGCTTCTTGCCTCTTGTTAAGGCACCAAACAGCCGGGCTTACCGACAACTTCCCTGAGACATTCGCTTACTCTAGCACTATTTAAATCTCTTTGTAGAGTGTATTGCTTTATTTCCTTCAAGTCTTTTATCTTTTTAATCTCACCTCTCATTCGTTTTCATCCCTGAGACTAAAGAAACAAGAAGGAGTACAGATCTGGGGATGTTAACCTGAGGTCTATGAACCCCAACATGAATGGGCTTCAGGCCAATCTTGAACCAAACCCCTGATCTCTCAGAAGGTGAGGGAGGCCTAGACCATCTTGCTTTTCTGAGGTTCCATTTAGATTAAAAAGTAGATATGCCCAAATAGAGTTAGCAAAGCAAGTGTTTATTTTTAACTGCTTACTATAATAAACAAACTGTTTTAGCACACAACAATTAACAATATGATGCAATATAATTGTGCAAAACAGGATATTTACAGTGTTTATGAAAAATACCAATTCAAAATGTTTCAGGTGGTATGATCAAATCATGGGTTGCAAGATTAAGGTTGTCTGGTGAATGTTTTCCATTTTTCAATTCTCAGAGTGTGTCTCTGTGAATGTATGTGTAATCTCACTTCAAAAAGAAGTTTCATAGTCAAAATTTGAGGAATTCTGCTTATGTGAATCATCAACTACATGGCCCCCGCACCTGTTCCTCTTTTTACTCAGCCTTTCCTGAGAGGTTCTGCCTTGACAGTGAATGCAAACTTTTATGCTTGTGGATTCATTTCCTAGGTTTTATTAGATTCTCTAAGCAGTCCATTTTCCAAAAAAGGTTAAGAATCTACTTGTCTCAAAAGTAACCTAACCTATAAAACCCAGACCAATGAACAGAACTCCTCATTTTAAAAATTCAGAATATTCTTCTTTTATATTATAAAATCTTTTAACTCTGCAATTTAAAGTAATATTAATACTCTTTTTAAGAGTATTAATATTAATATTAATTCTTGGTGTGCTTTTTAAAAACATGTTTAGTAATCTTGAAATTTGTTGTTTCAAATTTCAAGAAAATGTCTTGCAATTTGTTGTTTCAAAAAAAATCTTGTTTCTTAAACTTGCCGCCTCTCTATTCCTATTCAAGAATATCTAAGGTTAAAATGAGGATGGTTATCCTGAAGAGTCAGTGGTCTAAAGCCCATCCTGTTACTCTGGAATCGTGTGACCCTGAGGAAGTGCTGAACCTCTCTGTTCCTCAGTTCTGCATCTCTAAGAAGAGATAGTTAATTTTCATTCCTCAAGTCCGTTTTAGCTCTAAAAGATTATAATTTTTCTTACTCTGTTTCTCCACCTACTGCCATACTGTCCCTGCAGTGTTTTCATACCTGAGCTCCAAAGCTATCGTCATGACGTTTTGACCTACTCTCTTAGAAATAAAACATTTGCTTACTTTACAACCAAAACCAGTACTTAATAGGTCTGAATTCAGATTTATTTTGTCTTTGACCTGATGTCAACGAAATATTTATTTTGTTGTCATGGTGAGCAGTGCATGCCAAGTAAACTTAGATCACTATAAAAACTTAAAAATAAAAGAAAATCTAAATGTTTTGGCCCTATTAAGTTGCCAGATACAGAGCTGCACTGATAGCTTAGGGCACTAGATGGCGATATAAGTGCATCACATAACAAACATCTTGCTTGGTCCAGCATTAAAATCCTAATGATTGAGGCCAGAACAGGTTAATGCATTAGTTAACGAAACAAAGTCAAATATAATCAGGTGTAGGAATGTTAGCTAACGCTCTGAATATGTTCAGTAACCCAATGCTTATTGAAAGAAAAGATTGTTAAAGTAGAAACTAATTTATCCTACTGTTGAGCGTATCTTCAAGCTAATTTTTTGGGCAAGAGTTGGCAATAAACACGTTTCTCATAAAATGTATATAATTCCTAAGTTCACCTCCATTTTTGTTTTTCACTTTTTAAAAATAGCAATTGTTTGGGATGGCGTGTGCCTCACATATATTATTCATTGACCAAGCACTATATTCTTATCAGGGATGTGAGCCCTAAGACACTGGTGTTTTAAAGGGGAAATGGCCGACTTACTGTAAGCTGTTGGCTGGGCCATTATTGACTGTCAGGCTCAACTGGAAGCACTTTGTTAGTGGATTAGGTTGCCCTGGAAATGCCTTCCTGAAACTCTAATGATGCACTTAAGGGAGCCCTCTGGAACAGGAGTAAAATGTCTTTTAGCAGCAGTGCCTTCCACCAGAGTCCTCTTGGGATGACTTGGGAGGGGCTGGGGGCACGTCCAAAGAGACGCGCAGTAAGGAAACAACCCCAGAAAAAGGTTGCAGGTATCAATTTCTTACAGGTGAGCTAAGATAATGACTTATGGATGTAAACTGTGGGCTTTCTGTGGGTGCCGGTGCTTCACGTCTTCATTTTGAAAGAGCATCATTAATTTCAGAGAGAGTGTTTATGTATCTACCTATTTACATATATATTCATATTTATTTATTTGCTAGGGGTTGTGGTGGCAGGCGGATGAAATAGAAAAGGAAAAAAAGGGAGAATTTGAGTGAATATGGTTTAAATCAAAGGATTAAAAAAAACACTGTGTAGTTTGAACACTGGGGTCATTTGGTGTGCGTGTCTGTGTTTTAAAACAAGCATTAGAGGGATATTTGCCCTTCAGCAGGAAGGAATTCCGTGAACGAGGAGGGGGGAGGGGGGAAGATCTGTAGATTTTTCAAATAAAAAGTCAGTTGTGTTTATCTCACAACTTACCTCTTGGGTAGGGGGCAGGGATTTGCTGTGGGATGGTGATGGAGGTAAAGACAAGGAAGAAGGAAAAGGCCCTTGGAAACTCCAGACTCCAGGACAGGACAGGGAGGGAAGTGGCTGCGCAGCACTGCGTCCCCGCCCCAAGCCCCGCGCGCCTGGCAATCGCGTGCCCACCGCCGGAGCGCGGCGTCCCCGTGCAGTCCTGGCAACCTGTCACCGAGGAGGACGTGACTCGGAGCTGCCTCCGCTTTCTCCAAGCCATATTCCTTTAAGATGATGTAATAGTCATTTCCCTGGATGGTTTCTTGCCTGCACTGCTGAAACAACAGCATCCGAACTGCACTGGGAACTGTGGAACCACCCAGCTCCGCCGCCAGAGAAGCCGGAGCCCCGGGCCCCCCGCCGGCATCTCTGCGCTGCGTTGGCCTCTGGCTCGCACCGGCTCCCACCTGGCTGGGAACATGGGAGTCCGTTTGCCCTTGCCGGCAGGTGGGGTGGCTACCTGGGACCCTAGCAGGGCACATCTCTCCATCTTTCTGCTTCTGGGCTTTCTGAAAAGCTTCTAAGTCCTGGTACCTCTTGCAACTCTCTTCTAAGGATCCTTTCCAAAGATTTCTTTTTCCATTTTTCTTTTCCCCTGGGGAAGCTTTGGTTGAATATTTTCTCTGCTTTACTTCTTCAACCCAACCTCCTCTCATCAGGGCTTAACTTTTTTTGCGACTTGTTTTAACTTAAGATACGGAATGAACACATATGTACCTACATACATACATAAATACAAATAGGCATTTATATAAATGCATATATATAATAGTTATTTTCCAAGAGCACACCTCTCTGGCACTTTTCATTGATACCTCGGTCGTTTACCTGTTTGGGATTTGACAAGATCCAGACTCAGTTTGGCTGTGGATTTTGATTGCTTTACAAATGGTTATTATTATTTTTTTCACAAGAACTGGGTCTCCAGCACTCACTAAGGTAAGCTCTAAGACTTATTGCTTTTCCTGTCCAGCTGAAAAAAAAATTCCCATTTGGAAGTTGAAAATTGCATGTTTCTTTTTAATGTAGACTTACAAGTAAATTGTTTTTCATACTAATTGCTGGAGACAGAGGCTTATAGATAAACATGTAGGCACAAAATAGCATGAGAGAAGCTATGATTTAATTGAAGAATGGCTGAGATCAGTAGTTCCAGAGCTGCTTATGTAAAATAATCTCTCTCTCCCTCCCTCTGTTTTTCCCTCCCTCCCTCTCTCTCTCTCCAGAGGACTCTTTTTCTGACTCATTCCAGGTTTGAGGAAATAATTTTTTCTCTTTTCCTTCAGACGGACATCTGAGTAACTGGGGAATTGGCCTGCCTTGCATGTGAGCTTGATGGAAGATTGGATATAGACGAGTTGATTATATTTTATGAAGTAGCAGCTCACTACCATCCACCATCCAGGGTTTAAACTACTTTTTCAGCATCACTTCACCTGTGGACTCTTATACATTTTGATTTCTTGGGGGAAAAATACTGGGATAAGAGGAGGTCATTTTTTAATAAGTTAGCATCCTTTTCCCTTTCTTACAAGTTGATCCAAAGGATAAGGCTGTGACTCCATTGGATTGCACCTTTAAATCAAAATAGCAGCAGCAGAAGAAAGGGACAATGGCTCTGAGTGGAAACTGTAGTCGTTATTATCCTCGAGAACAAGGGTCCGCAGTTCCCAACTCCTTCCCTGAGGTGGTAGAGCTGAATGTCGGGGGTCAAGTTTATTTTACTCGCCATTCCACATTGATAAGCATCCCTCATTCCCTCCTGTGGAAAATGTTTTCCCCAAAGAGAGACACGGCTAATGATCTAGCCAAGGACTCCAAGGGAAGGTTTTTCATTGACAGAGATGGATTCTTGTTCCGTTATATTCTGGACTATCTCAGGGACAGGCAGGTGGTCCTGCCTGATCACTTTCCAGAAAAAGGAAGACTGAAAAGGGAAGCTGAATACTTCCAGCTCCCAGACTTGGTCAAACTCCTGACCCCCGATGAAATCAAGCAAAGCCCAGATGAATTCTGCCACAGTGACTTTGAAGATGCCTCCCAAGGAAGCGACACAAGAATCTGCCCCCCTTCCTCCCTGCTCCCTGCCGACCGCAAGTGGGGTTTCATTACTGTGGGTTACAGAGGATCCTGCACCTTGGGCAGAGAGGGACAGGCAGATGCCAAGTTTCGGAGAGTTCCCCGGATTTTGGTTTGTGGAAGGATTTCCTTGGCAAAAGAAGTCTTTGGAGAAACTTTGAATGAAAGCAGAGACCCTGATCGAGCCCCAGAAAGATACACCTCCAGATTTTATCTCAAATTCAAGCACCTGGAAAGGGCTTTTGATATGTTGTCAGAGTGTGGATTCCACATGGTGGCCTGTAACTCATCGGTGACAGCATCTTTCATCAACCAATATACAGATGACAAGATCTGGTCAAGCTACACTGAATATGTCTTCTACCGTAAGTACAAAGGGTTGTTTTAATTTTTTATGTGTGTCAATGCTCTTCACAAATGTATATGGTCTGTGTGTTCTCTCCATACCTAAGGAACATGGTTTGGAATTCTTTTTAACTCTTGAGTTGTAGTTAGAGGATTAGAGGTTATAATTCAGCTCTCATGTCTAACCTAAGGCAACTTTTATCCAATGAGGTCACAGAATATTCAAAGGCCTCCAAAATAATAAAATGCAAATGATATTGGTATATGCAATATGTAAAATGGAACAAGCATGTATGTCTTTTTGTTTTTGCCAGATATTGAATTGAGAAAATAAGGTTGATTATTACATCTTGGCTGTTTGTCCACAGGAGCTTGGTATACTCAGTGGGTGAATTACTGCTGTCTATTCATTTAGCTGGACTTTGAGGTCTATTAAGCTGGTTGCTGAAGACTTGCTTTCATCAGGGGCTTTGAAAACACAAATGGATGTTGCAATGAATAATGTGGTCTTGGCTAGATGGCAGTACAGACTGCTGAAAGGCCCCCTGCTCCCCCCAAGTCTAAATTTTGCTTTTAAGGGTTTTACAAATCTGCTGTTTGATTCTGAAGCCTTTTGTACTGAGACCTGAGTTGCACTGCAGACTTAATTAAGCTGAACTTCATTTAAGATCTATGTAAAAGGAACTAGATCCTTCAGAATTGTCAATCACATTTAAACACCTTCAGACAGCTGAGGTGGTAGAATTACTGACATAAAAGGAAGCCAGAGAGGGAAGAAATGAAACAATGATACTGAAGCCTTTTAAGTAAGGGGTTCTTAGAGGTCAGTTCATTTGCTTAAATGAAGATACCCTGCAGATTCCTCATTTTATGATATGGCATTATTCTAAACTATAAACTGTGAGCCATTGATCCCTGAAAGGAAAAGAGTAAATCAGCCTGCACTCTTTGGTACTTGATTTTAACTGCCGATTTTCAACAGGCCCAGGAGTTGGGTGAAGTAAATTCCACAAGAAATATGTTTCCAGTGTTAACATTTGATTTCCTCTATTCTTATTCTAAAACAAATCCAGAATTCAGGATTAAAATATCTAAATTTCTTTAAACATAAAAGTAGGACTGAATTTCTTGGACTGGTTTTTTTCCTTAGTTATGTTTAATCATTTGGCAATGGTGCCGGGAACCTTGGTAGAGAGGCTAGTGGGAAGCCAAGTCATTCTCTACTAAGCTATCACACATTTGGTTAAGACACATGTATTGCATAGCCAGAACAACCTGTGGAAAAAAACGAAATCAGTAATCAGTTCAGGAGTATATTGATGTGCGATAACAAACATCATTTGGTTCATTAATCCTATCTGTGGCCTTTATCTACAATCTATATCTTTCTTTATGCTAGAGCTTAGTGGACAGGTATTGTCTTCTTCCTTTTGGTAAATTTCCCACTAGTGTAGAGATAAGATTCCGGCTTTTTAGCTTTCTATAAAGGAATATGACATTATCTATAATTCTGAAGCAGAAATATCTTCTCCAAACTTTTTGGAGAAGTACATCTTAAAGATAGTTCCAATGCAGCTTTGTAATATTTACCATGTTCTCCGATTTTGAATATTTGAAAACATAGCATCGTAAGAAGCTTCAACCAAATAAATGGAAACATACCAGTTATACCCTCCAAAAAGACCACATTGGATTTATAGTCACTTGCTTACATAAATGAGACCCACACACTGAAATTTATTTGTCTACCAGTGGCATTTCTGTGTTCATCAAAGGCTCATCTGTCCAACACGATTTCCCTTTAGATTTATCTGGACAGGCTCCATTCTCCTGACTATGTCGTTTCTTCTTTCTTTGTTGAATTGCTGAGAGATTGCTGAGGAACAGTTTGTTCTCCATCTCTCCATGGACAGGCTAGCACAAATGCACAGGAACTTCATACCAGCAGCATATATCTTGCAAATGATATACTTCCCCTTTGTACCCACCATCTAGAGCTAAGTGTTAACTCTTCCTCTGTCTTAGGACCAATAAAACTGACAGCTGGCTTTCTAGGGTGCATAACAGCTTCCGTGCAGCTGCTTAGCCATAATTATTTAATTAGAAGCTGCCAACTGTGCCTATATAAGCATTAATTCATCAAGCTGTTGTGCTCGGGTTAATGGGACGAAACCATGGGAGATGCTCTAAAGAAGGGAGTTGGCTGCATGCAAAGATGCTTTTCACAAAGGAACTCAACTTCCTCCTGGGCTTAGGGGGAAATATATATATATATATATTTATATGTGTGTATATATATAAATATATATATATTTATATGTGTATATATATACACATATATATGTGTGTATGTATGTATATATATGTGTGTGTATATATATGTATATATATATATATACAAGCTCCTTAGATCTAAGGAATTAACAATTTAAGCAATCAGTCTTTTTTAATAACACAGGAATAAGGCAGAGTCACTTTGCATGGATCAATATCTCAGTAAAAAATAAACAGCAAGAAATTAGTGCATAGCATGATGGTTCATAATCATGGGGAGAGACTTCTTGTTTCCCTGTTTGCCTATTTTTTCTTCTGAGTCTTCCAAGAAAAATTGGGGAGACCGAAATCTACCTATCAACCATGAATAAGTTAGATTCTTACCTCATTTAAATTTTCATGTGGACCTAGAGTTGATGGTCAATATCAGGTGGTTTTCAGTGTGTGTTTTGTTAGTGTAGAACTATGAACAATGAAAAAGTCAACAGGTATTTGTATGTGCTTAAGAGGCAGGTAAGAAATGTGTTTGTCTACATCACTCACACACCAAAATACAGGTGAAATGCTATGGATTATGATTCACTTATATGCAACTAAAAGAGTTAATATGAGTGATAGAGGAACATAGAAAAGAAACGTCTACCCTAGGGATTGCCTTACAAAGTATTTTAGACATGTCCTTTGCTTTAATTTAAAACAATAAGAAGGTTTCTTTACTACTTTCCCAACCAACTGACTGAATAATTACTTTTCAAGCATTATGTGGAAGGTGAGGTCATAAATATCAGAAAATGCCTTCTTGATTCACCTCTAAATAAAATGAGAACTATGTAATCTGCAAAAGACAAGTCCTGATTTTGAACTAGATACTCAATAACAATTCACATCACTTAGGAACCAAATGACAGGTGCATGGAAATAAATGAACCTTTATTTCCAGAGCCATCTTCTGATGCCTGAGAGAGTGGGAAGATTGTTCTTGGTTGGAGAGAATTATGCACATTTCCATAAGCCTACTCATGAGTGAGTTACTTCAGCCAAATGCCTGAAAGCACTAAGATTTAAAGGCATTTGCCTCTAATAAAGCTGTGATAACGTGACCACACTTAGGGAGGTTAATTCATAGGACACTTATTCTGAAAACATACACTCTGAATTCTATGAATTATGGAAACAGACACACTGATTCATCATCTTTTCAACAAATTGCAGCTTGTAAGTGCATTTTAACCTTTCTTCTCTTTACTTATTTTCCTAAAATTTAGAGTTGCTTCCACAGAAGTCTCTAAATTACCTTTTAGATGCAGTATATATCTTCAGGATTATTGATTAAGATAGGCTGTTGGAAAAAAGTAGATCAAGAAATTATCTTCCATTTATAATTCAGCTGTGTGACCTCGTATTGGGGAGAAATATATGCTTTGGCCACTGTGAATAATTTAGCTAAGCTTGACTTTAACAAGCTTCAATAAGAGCATGTGCCTTCATAAGAAAACAGGTGGAAATGCATCTACCCTAAGATTATTCTAGCCTTTTTTTTCTCCTGGCTACTTGAAAGATACCAGTACAGGTTGAGCATCCCTACTTCAAAAATTCCATGTCCAAAATGATTCAAAATCCAGGACTTCTTGAGCACCAGCATGATGCCACAAGTGGAAAATTCCACATATAAGTACTCAACACAAACTTTGTTTCATGTCCCAAATTATTAAAACTATTGTATACAATTACATTAGGCTATGTGTATAATGTGCATATAAAACATAAATGAATTGCATGTTCAAACTTGAGTCTTAGCCCTAAGATATGTCATTACATATATGCAAATATCATAAAATCTGAAAAAATCCAAAATCTGAAACATGTCCAGTTCAGGCATTTTGAGTAAGGGATATTCAACCTGTAATAATTTCAATTTTTATTACCTATAGAGATATGGTATTGGCACATTCAAAGTGAAACATCAGGGATAGCAGAGTGGCCAAAATCATAAGGTATGTGATGTTTGGTCCTTACACTACCAGCATCTCTCTCTGTGACTTCCTTCTGTTGTCTCACCTTAGCTGCTCCTCTTTCCTTCTGTTTGAGTCATGTCTGCTCTCCAGTTCTTTCTCCCATGCCATAATCAAAGCTCATCAGGAAAAATTCTGCTCTGTCATTATATTTAGAATGCTTTCAAGGCATGATGTTACCTTCCCCAGGGGTATTTGTACATAAGAGCACTTTTAATAGTTGTGGATCAGGCATCCTTTTACCTTGAAGAAAGTGTTCTTAAGATTTGAAGCTTCTTAATTTCTGATGAAAAACAAACCGCAGTTTAAGTATAAGGCTTCATTATGAAGTCAGTTTAGACCCATGCTCAGGCAGATATTGGATAATAAAGGGCAGAAGCAGCAGGCATAATTTTTCTTATTTCTTTAAGATGCTGTGCACTGAGAATTGGGCTTAATAGAACAGTGATTTAAGCATGTTAGTGAAGTATTTTATTATACTGTTTTCACTTCTATGCCAAGCAAGAGCTGTTACCTGAGCCCAGTCCCTTGTAGGAGAAGATTAAAATAGTTTCTTCCTGGGTCTGTGGCATCAGGGAAGGTATTTGGCAGCAAGAATTGTGTCAATGTATGGGTGAAAAGGAGAGGTCTCTGAAGTTGCCCCCAAGTGTTCTGATACATTAAAATATATATGATTGGAAAGAGAAGACCAAATATTTCTAACAGCCTAATGAGGTTGTATCTAATCAAAGAAATTAGAAATGGAAGTAGCTGAGAATGTGCCACAAAGCTCCATCTGGAACACCTCCAAACACAAAACACGGAAAGGAGCGACTACGCATAGGATGAGTGCCAGTCCCATGCATAGAAAGAAGTCTTCCAGAAATGGATAGATGAATGCTCAGTTTCTGCATCATAACGCACTGTTGCTCTTTTTCTTTTGCCTCTGCGATGGCTTTTCTCAAGTATTGTGTTTCTTGGCAAATCAGTTAATTTTTTTTTATTACAGAAATTTTGAAATGTATCCAAATGTAGAGATAATGGCATAATGAACTTTCATGTAACCATCACCCATCTCTAATAATTACCCTTAGCACAGCAAGATCAATCTTGTTTCATCCATATTCCTACTTACTTTCCCTTTTGTCGATGCTGGATTATTTTGAAGCAAATCCCAGACATCAATTCATTTCTTTATCCACAAATGCTATGGTATATATTTCTAAAATATAAATTATTTTTAAAAGCAACATAACATCATTATATGGTATTCTACCATATACCATTATAACATACAAAATTAATAATTCTTTAATATTATCAAATATCTAGTCAGTGTTTAAAGTTTCCTGATTTCTTCACAATGTTTTAAAAGTTGGTTTGAATCAAGATGCAAATGAAATCTACATATTATATTATATTTGTTTGCTAATTTTCTTTTCTCTCATCATTTAAAAAATATTGCATATAACTTATATGCAACAAAGTGGTAAAATGTCCATCTTACATCTCTTTTAATTCCTCCCTTTCTTTCTCTTGCTCTATTCCCTTTTCTCTCTCTCTTTTCCCTTCCCTTCCCTTCTTTCTCTTTCTTTCTTTCTTTCTCTCTCTTTCTTTTTTTCTCTCTCTCTTTCTTTTTCTTTCTCCTCTTTTTTACAACTTACTTGTTTCATGAAATCAAGTTGTCATGTTGAATATCTTGCATTCTGGGTTTTGCTCATCCATCTCTATGATCTCCGTGATATTATGAACACACCCTCCTCAATCCTTATGTTTTTGGTAAGCTCGTTAGATCTAGACTCCAGATTTTAGAGGCCTAATCAAATTCACTCAGTATTTCTGACAAGTTTTCACAGGTGACAGCAAGTTCATTTTACAATTTGCATTGGAGGATTGAAATGCTATATGTTATGGAGGCAAGGTAAGGGCATGTTTTTATTGTTAGCTTTTACATATTTATCATCTGAATCAATAGCTATTGGGTGTATTCTCTCCATTGTTCAAGTTGATTCTGATGACAAAGCAGGCATTCAAAGAGGTCCCTTATTTTCTCTCCAGTCATTCAAGGTCTAGTATTGCACTTCCATTCTTGTCATTAGATTAGGCTACCATTCAGGTGCTGCAGTGGTAGCCTGCTGAGCTTACCAAGATGTGCAGTGGGCCCTGTTGACTATGAGAATCATTTTGGGTAGAAAAGTTTGCCTTCTGGCTATTCTGATTTTACATTTGAGTATCTTTGTATTTTTTCAATTGTGCTGAAACTCCACTGAACTTAACCATTTGTGTTTCCCAAGCTTCTTCTCTAAATGGCATTGTTAGTCACTTAGTTGCCCAAGGAGGAATAAAACATAGGTGACATTCCTGATTCTTTCTTCTCCCCACTTTCTCCAATCTCCAACAAGTCCTGTTGGTTCTTCTCCTTCATCTCCCTCAGGTCCGTCCTCTTCTTTCCATCTCCGCTGATGGAAAGGCCATGAGCATTCCTTTATTGCTTTTCTATACTATTGCAAATGAGCTTAAATTGTTCTCCCCCTCCCGCATCCAGTATTTTCCCCTTTGGATCTATCCTCCTTGCTGCAAATATGATGAGATTTCTAAGGAGTGACTGACCATGTCACTCCTTTGCTTAAAGTTCATAATTGTCTTACAACTGCTCTTGTATTCAAATACAAACTCTTTAACATGAACCACATCCTTTTGTGAAATCGCTTCTGCTTCCCTCCTCAGCCTCTACTGTTGCCATTCTGCCCTCTTTGCATTTATAACCTTAGCCATAACAGATCTTTTTTAGTTCTTGGATACTTTTGTGTACTTGCATGTTCATTTTTTGTGAGTGATGTTCCCTCTGCCTGGAACTCTGCCTCCATCTGCTTTGGTTAGCTAAATGTTCAGTTTCCCAATCCAGAAGTTACTTCTTCTGGGAAGACTTTCCTAGTCCACCATACCTGGATTAGGTACCCCTTATCTTTGCCTCTTAAGATCCTATTTTTCTATATCACAGCACATATAATAATGTATTCTACTTGGTTATTTACCTGTCTTTCCAACTGTAAGCTTTGTGAAGCCAGAAGCTATATCTGTCATCTTCATTATTGTACCTGATTCAGTGCCTGGAACAAATGTAGGTATAGTACTTTATAAATATTTCTTTAGAATGCATTTTTAAAAGTTCTTACTGCAATATTCTGTTTTGGTCATAGATGCTACTGTCTTGAATATACTATTGTATTGTCTCTTAATAGAAGAACTGGAGGGCAGTGATGGTTTGATTGATGCTTTAAATAATAATAATAATGTTATTTTCTAACTTTCACTGAGTGCTAAGCATTTTACATACTAGTTGGATTTCTCACTGAAAGGTGCTCTACTCTTCGCACCTGCGCAAAGATTCTAGCTCTAGGGAACTGAGAAAAACACTTACCAGCAGCAAAGACTCCTGTGGTCTCCTTTTAGTTGGTTCATCCAAGCAGGAGTAAATTGAAGCTGGATGTGACCAGGGTTTAAGGAGCAACCCAGGATTCAGAAAAGTGCTGCAAAATTGATAAATATCCCCAATAGAAAAAGAGCTCTACTAGAAGGCAACTGTACTGTGAGACCGACAAGGTTGCCTTCTTAATTTTCTTACTGCCAAAGTATTCCATTTCCTCTTCTCTTCCCATAAATGTTAATTATCATTTCTTAATGCCAGAGGCAGCATAACATAGTGGTTAAGAGCCTGGATTTTGGTGCCCAGGCAGCTTGAGGTTGAATCTCAACTTTGCTACCACCAGATACATGATCATTAGCAAATTGCTTCCGTGCCTCAGTTTCCTCAACTGTAAAATGGAAAGGATAACAATAGTACTTGCCACATAGAGTTGTTATGATAATTAAATGGGTTGATATATAGAAAGTGCTTAAAACAGTGCCAGACACCCAGTCAGTGCAATAGAAGCCTTAGTAAATATGAGGACCTCTGGGAATACTGGCATGGATAAGACATAAGTGCTTCCTTTAAATAACATATATGATTCTTTCTAATAGTCCTTTTGAAAACTTTTCCCAGTTTATTGATGTTAAAACAGGTTAAAACAAACAAAAATATACAGAAGTCACTTTATAAGAAGAAGTTTTAGCTATTTGTTATAACTGAATCTGAGATAAACCCCTTAAAAGGCTTTGAATTCTAGTAACTATTTGCTTCATTCTGGCTATTGCACAATGGAAGTGATTAATAGATGGTTTCCTCCCCCTATCCCTCACCTTGATTTCAACCTGTGGCTTTTCGGAACCTAGAGTAATATATGATGGATTTAAAAATTAAGAATACAACTTAAATTGTATATCTGATCACTGTGGAATTAGAATAACCTTTTGTGAATATCAGCCTAGAGAGTATTCCCTTTCATGGTGACAGAAAATGGTTATTGAGTATGTCACTGACAATAGGATCATTGAAATTGCTCCAGAAATGAAAACAAGACATTTTGCTTCACACTGTGAGTAGCTGTGTTATGTGGCATTCAAAGGAAATAAGATTGCTAATGGGATGGGAGTCTGTTACTGTGTGACCCATTCAAAAACTGCCCCGTGTGAAGAAATTCATACTTCTCTCCTTTTATTCATCAGTTCCATTCCAGAGAAGAAAGTTATAATAATTTCCTCAGTCAAATTTACAGCAACTTTTTATTCTGAGTAAATCTGATATAATCTGATTAGGAGTTAGTTGTATTGATGAAAATAGAAAGCAACTCATTGAACATAATTTGGTGGCAAAGTTAAGAGACTGTCAGCCGGGCGCGGTGGCTCACACCTGTAATCCCAGCACTTTGGGGGACTGAGGTGGGTGGATTGCCTGAGCTCAGGAGTTTGAGACCAGCCTGGCCAACATGGGGAAATTCCATCTCTACTAAAATTACAAAAATTAGCCGAGTATGGTGACGGGCGCCTGTAGTCCCAGTTACTCGGGAGGCTGAGGCAGGAGAATTGCTTGAACCCGGGAGGTGGAGGTTGCAGTGAGCCGTCATCACGCCACTGCACCCCAGCCTAGGCCACAGAGGGAGACTCTGTCTGGAAAAAAAAAAAAAAAAGAAAAAGAGAGAGAGACTCTCAGGCTGTTTGGCTGTTTTAGACAACATTGTGGACTGTCCAGGTCAACAATGAGAAAATAGAGAAAAGGACAGCTAAGCTCTGGTAGTGGTAACTTTTTTGTAAAGGGGACTCTGGAGCAGCACAGAAATTCTAGTAATTAGACTAAAGGAAATTAGGCATATGGATATTAAAATGTGGCAGAGGCATGGAATTAAAACCAAGGGAATTCTCTTGACTTGGAGAAGAGTTTCAGAGTTCTGAAGCTACCCCAAACAGAGAATGAGCTGGATCACGTTGAAAAGCACATCAAGCACTGGTCAGGCATCAGTGCTAATTTTCTTATGGCTTAAGCACTCATTTACATCAGTTAAAGACATTTTCCTATGGGCATATGCCTGCCAAATTACACAGTAATTCAAATGGAAGGTAGAATCCAGTTTTTACTAATTTTCTTTCTAGTCAACTAGGTGAGATTTTTTTTTCCTTAAATAGAGGGATATCTGTGTGGAGTTGTTCAATTTTGTCAAGCTGCAACAAAATAAAATTTATTAATTCTTATTTGCCCAATAAAAGTATATCTTAGAAAATGAGCAGTTTCACTTGGCTTTTCTGAATAGATGCTCCTCTGGGACAGAGGGGTAATAACGGATAATATAATGTGTGATATTTTCAACAATTTTAGGTCAATTTTGGATGTTCAAATATATAAAATATTTATTTGGAAAGATGTTATTGCTTCACACTTATTGAGGACCTGTCTTATATGAAGTACTTTTCTGTAGGCCTGTTCAGTTAAAATGGGTAGAAAATGTCATATCTGTATGCAAAGAATCAGCATTCTGATTCACCAGCTCTTCACGTTAATGATTTTCTAGTACTTCTCCACAATCTGCCAGGGAAGTGATTAACAATCTGCATATACTTCATTGATTGGAAACTGCAGGCACTTCAAACCTTCCTTCATCTGCACCCTTACATGCAGACCAAAAAAAAAAAAAAGTAATGAAGTGTAATTTTGTTTTCTTACACACCTTGACATCCTTTTGACAGAGTGACCTTCTTTAATAGGCAGATTTAGGTCTAGCCTCAGTTAGTTGCTGAGAGTTGTGTTTACTAGTTTCTGGGCACATGAGTAAATAACAGGCACCCTGACCTTGCTGTGCCCTTTGCTCTTGTGCCTGTTAGGTTCCTCAACATCCACCACATGCAGTGGTGGGCTTTTATATGTCTTCTAGAAATACCTATTGAATACCTAAAGTGTGCCCACGATTGCACAAACCTCCAGTAATTCACCTGTGAACAGAAGCATATGGTCATTGTTGCCATGGAGCATATGGTATAGAAAGAGATTAGAATAGTAAATGGGAAATTTCAATCTAGTGTGATGAGGAAGTGTAAACTGATATGAAGATAGTGAGATAGCTCCTAGTCTGTACTTGGGGTATCAGGTAATTAAAACTGATTTAATATTAATACTTAGAGAGGAGAAAATATTTAAATCTTTTTTGCATTTTTTGACTTTCAGACACTAGCTGGTGGATGGAGTAATAAAAGTTATATCCTAGGAGGCTTAGGAAAACTTTAAGATTATTAACAATCCTTTTATTTCTGATTTAATTAGATTTTTTCCATTGGTAGCTGTGCAAATGATATTATTAATAGTTATGCCAAGAACCAATATCATGTTTTTTTAACTCTTCAGGTTTCTCTCCCATTCAAACCTTTGTCTGTTAATAGTGCTTTAGCCAAATCAGAGTCTAAATGATAACCAAGATAACCAGTAATTGATTTTAAGAGTACTTTATATTTCTAGTCTCCTTTTATAATGATTATCAAAATGGTATATACCATTATTATGATTTTAACTTTAACTAAACATTGCTGATTTACCTTGCTAATCTCATGCACAAATCATTTGCAGCAACTACTACAGTGCTGAACACTCAGGAGGTGCTCAGTAAAAGTTTGTGGAATGTATGGATAAATTAATAATACCACATTTTAAAGCAAGGAAACATGAAGTGTAAAATAAATGAGATTTTCCCGCATTTTACTTTCTAATCACTTTTAATCACGAATATACCCCATGAGTGACAGTAAAATATGGTTGAATACCCTAACAGCATCAAACTCATCTGGATAAAAGCCTTAGTTCGGTTACTTCCTATCAGGGCATACTTGGGCAAGTGTCTTTTCTTCCTAACACATCAGATCACCTCCCTCCACATAAAAGGGGGATGAGGAAGCTTCTCTCATGGCAGCGTTGTGAGAACTAAGCCAAGGTCATGCCACCTTGTTAGCTTTGTTTTCATCAGTAGCCAGGCATTTTGTCTCCCAGCTCTTTTATTTTTTTATTTTTTTTATTTTTTGAGATGGAGTCTGGCTCTTGTTGCCCAGGCTGGAGTACAGTGGCATGACCTTGGCTCATAGCAACCTCCATTTCCTGGGTCCAAGCGATTCTCCTGCCTCAGCCTCCCGTGTAGCTGGGATTACAGGCCCCCGCCACTGCGTCTGGCTAATTTTTGTATTTTTAGTAGAGACAGGGTTTTGCCATGTTGGCCAGGCTGGTCTCAAACTCCTGACCTCAGGTGATCTGCCCGCCTCAGCCTCCCAAAGTGCTAGGATGACAGGCATGAGCCACTGTGCTGGGCCTTTTTTTTTTTTTTTTTTTTTTTTTGAGACGGAGTCTCGCTCTGTCTCGCAGGCTGGAGTGCAATGGCGCGATCTCGGCTCACTGCAACCTCCGCCTCTCGGAATCAAGTGATTCTTCTGCCTCAGCCTCCTGAGTAGCTGGGACTCCAGGCATCCAACACTGCGCCTGGCTAATTTTGTATTTTTAGTAGAGATGGGGTTTCACCATGTTGGTCAGTCTGGTCTCGAGCTCCTGATCTACCTCAGATGATCCACCCGCCTCGGCCTCCCAAAGTGTTGGGATTACAGGCGTGAAACACCGCGCCTGGCCTCTCCCAGCTCTTTTAATTCATCTTACAAATGTTTGGACCCAGCAGGAGAAACTGAGAGCAGATGGACCTGTTAGAGTGATGCTGCCTGCTGCCGAAACAGAAGTGCTGCAGCTACCCACTGGTCTAACTCTGCACTGTTACTACACATACTTCATGGCCCTGGAGACAGAAAAAACATATCACAACTCACATTCCTTTAGTTCCTCTGGTCTGCTCACCTGTCCTGCCCCTTCTTTAGGCACTCATCCATTACATTGCCCTTTTGATGGCTCTTAACAACAGGCCAGCCTCTTTCCCACCTCGAGGGATTTGTCTTACCTCTCCCCCAAACACTCATCCTTCCACTTCTCATTTTTCTGAGACCTACTCATTCTTCAGAGTCAGGCTTCAGTGGGTTTTCCTTGAAAAGGCCTTCTGCTGTCGTCCCAGCTGAAGTAGCCAGTGTTTTCCTAGTGATGTCTATTCAGTACCTTGTTTGTTTCCATCCTCGTACTGTTCACATGTGTAACTATTTGCTTGATTTACTTGTTTATTTTCCCTCTATATATGAACTGTAAGCTTCCTGGGGCAGGAGCTATATTTGTCCTACTCTTTTGTATCCTCAGCACCTAGTATAGTGCCTTATACATAGTAGGAACTCAATAAGTTATTTTTCTCTATTCTCCCCACCTCATGATGATAAATTATAATAATAGAATTTCCTCTCACCATGAAGGCAGCAGGTTATATGTATATTTATGTGTGTGTGTGTGTGTGTGTTTATACATACACACTTACTATATACATGTATGTAGGTGTATATAATAGCTGGCTTCTTATAGAAATGAATGAAAAGGGCCAGGTGCAGTGGCTCACGCCTGTAATCCCAGCACTTTGGGAGGCCGAGGCGGGTGGATCACTAGGTCAGGAGATCGAGACCATCCTGGCTAACACGGTGAAACCCCGTCTCTACTAAAAATATAAAAAATTAGCCGGGCGTGGTGGCGGGCACCTGTAGTCCCAGCTACCTGGGAGGCTGAGGCAGGAGAATGGCATGAACGCAGGAGACGGAGGTTGCAGTGAGCCGAGATCACGCCACTGCACTCCAGCCTGGGCGACAGAGCGAGACTACGTCTCAAAAAAAAAAAAGAAGAAGAAATGAGTGAAAGATAAAAAAGAAAAGGGCAACTTGAACCTTGAGAAAGAGGTTAAGAGATGTGGACAGGAGTGGGCAAAGTCACTTTGCTAAGTCAGATTCCTTAGGTACCTCCGTTGTATGACAGGAATGGTAGATCTATGTAACTGCATTGTAAGACACTGAGTAGCAAATAATACCACATATGTAAAGTGGCCATGTTGCTTATTAGATGTCTGCTATTAAGGCAGATTTTATATTAGCTTGAGTGAACATCTAGAGAATGTCTTAAGGATGCGTAATGAAGAAGAGAGACATTAAATCTGCTTTAGTATTATTATTATTATACTTTAAGTTCTGGGATACATGTGCAGAACGTGCAGGTTTGTTACATAGGTATACACATGCCATGGTGGTTTGCTGCACCCATCATCCCATCACCTACATTAGGTATTTCTCCTAATGTTATGACTCCCCTTGCCCCCCACCCCCTGACAGGCCCCAGTGTGTGATGATCCTTTCTCTGTGTCCATGTGTTCTCATTGTTCAACTCTCACTTATGAGTGAGAACATGCAGTGTTTGGTTTTCTGTTCTTGTGTTAGTTTGCTGAGAATGATGGTTTCCAGCTTCATCCGTGTCCCTGCAAAGGACATGAATTCATCCCTTTTTATGGCTGCATAGTATTCCATGGTGTATATGTGCCACATTTCTTTATCCAGTCTATTATTGATGGGCATTTGGGTTGGTTTGAAGTCTTTGCTATTGTGAACGGTACTGTAATAAACATACGTGTGCATGTGTCTTTAGAGTAGGATGATTTATAATCCTTTGGGTATATACCCAGTAATGGGATTGCTGCGTCAAATGGTATTTCTGGTTCTTGATCCTTGAGGAATCCCCACACTGTCTTCCACAATGGTTGAACTAATTTACACTCCCATCAACAGTGTAAAAGTGTTCCTATTTCTCCACATCCTCCCCAGCACCTGTTGTTTCCTGACTTTTTAATGATTGCCATTCTAACTGGCGTGAGATGGTATCTCATTGTGGTTTTGATTTGCATTTCTCTAATGACCAGTGATGATGAGCTTTTTTTCATATGTTTGTTGACCGCATAAATATCTTCTTTTGAGAAGTGTCTGTTCACCTTTGCCCATTTTTTGATGGGGTTGTTTGTTTTTTTCTTGTGAATTTTTTAAAGTTCTTTGTACATTCTGGGTATTAGCCTTTTGTCAATGGATAGATTGCAAAAATGTTCTCCCATTCTGTAGGTTGCCAGTTCTAACTGCTTTTTTTAGAGAGTTGCAAAAGCATTTATATATCAATGGTCAAAATAAAAAATAAGTATTTTAATGGGCAAATACATTTCTATTATTTAAATTATTATAAGACTAGCGATTAAAGAAAAAGTAATAATGTGGTGTGGGGTATTCAACATTAAAGTAAGATGCATAACAACTATAATCCAAGGGCCTGGAGCAGATAAATGAGGATATGCCATTGTAAGATTCCTATGTGCACAAAGCGGCATAATATCACTTAGAAGTAGACATACACTTCTCAAAAGAAGACATTTATGCCGCCAACAGACACATGAAAAAATGCTCATCATTGCTGGCCATCAGAGAAATGCAAATCAAAACCACAATGAGATACCATCTCACACCAGTTAGAATGGCGATCATTAAAAAGTCAGGAAACGACAGGTGCTGGAGAGGATGTGGAGAAATAGGAACACTTTTACACTGTTGGTGGGACTGTAAACTAGTTCAACCATTGTGGAAGACAGCGTAGCGATTCCTCAAATATCCAGAACTAGAAATACCATTTGACCCAGCCATCCCATTACTGGGTATATACCCAAAGGATTATAAATCATGCTGCTATAAAGACACATGCACACGTATGTTTACTGCGGCGCTGTTCACAATAGCAAAGACTTGGAACCAACCCAAATGTCCAACAATGATAGACTGGATTAAGAAAATGGGGCACATATACAGCATGGAACACTATGCAGCTGTAAAAAAGGATGAGTTCATGTCTTTTGTAGGGACATGGATGAAGCTGGAAACCATCATGCTCAGCAAACTATCGCAAGGACAAAAAAACCAAACACCGCATGTTCTCACTCATAGGTGGGAATTGAACAATGAGAACACTTGGACACAGGAAGGGGAACATCACACACCAGGGTCTGTTGTGGGGTCGGGGGAGCGGGGAGGGATAGCATTAGGAGATATACCTAATGTAAATGACGAGTTAATGGGTGCAGCACACCAACATGGCACATGTATACATATGTAACAAACCTGCACATTGTGCACACGTACCCTAGAACTTAAAGTATAATAAAAATAATATATGTATAAAAAAGTAGATAGTAGAAAGTTAAAAATATGTACTATAAATTCTAAAGACATCATTAAAGTAACAAAACACAGATATGTAGCTAATAAGCTAGTAAAGAAATAAAGAAGATAAAATGAAAAATAGGTTTTAATAGAATGGTAGCATCAGCCCTATATTTTTATACAGTTCAGTATCATACATCCAAGATATGGGTACATTTGGATCTTCCTGACTTGTGTAATAATTGTACCGTTATGGTGTGTAGATCCTAGGTCCTAGCCAAACAGATTAAAACAAATCCCTTATCCAAGTCCTGTAAACTGCAATGCTGGATGAAAGTGTGAAGTACATTTTTTGTTTTTTTTTTTGATCCTAGGCTGCGTACTTTATAATATCAACTTACTTTATAAAATTAGAGCATCCCGAGGTGGAGAGGGGAGGAATTCCATGATTTCATGATTCAGTTTCCTGACTTCGAGTTGCTAGGCTGTAAATGAAGTCCTAGGTAGAAGACAACATATAGAAGCTTTTAAAGTGGTGCTGTTTGGATTGAAGTGAGAATTAGGTAAGGTGTTCCTCCTTGTTCCCCATTTCTTCCTTTTATCCTGGTGGTCCTTGGGGCAATTCCAGGAAACCTAGGGCTCAGCGTAGGTGTTTTTTTTTAAAAAAACCCGACCCAGATGTTCTAAATAAAAGGTGAATTTCCCTCTCTTGAAAACTTGGCTTTTTGCATTTTTGTTCAGGTTCGTAGTAGTGTGTTCATTTTTATTTGTTTTGTTTTCCTTTGACTTATATTTAGTTCTCAGAACAAGTCTACATGAAGGCAATTATTAGAAAAATTAAACGGCAAAAACAAATTAATTTTGATTCTATCTTTTGGATCTTTTTGAGAATGTCACCTTAATTATCCACTTTACATTTTTTTTTATAACAACAAAAACAATTGGAGTTATTTCTATTGAAAACAGGGTGTGGAAGATGGTTTCTACAACTGACTTTAAATGCTTTGTACCTAGTAGTTTGGAATTATTTTCTATATTGTAAATAAAACCCAAGGTTGGTATATTATTTTTATTGGATCAATATAATGTGTTTTTTTTTTTTTTTTTTTTTCCTCCAAAGGGCTCAGAAACTGTGGTAAAATATCTGGTTAAAATGGTGCTTTCTATTCTGACATAAAGAATTAATGGTAAACAAAAAAATCTATTTTGGGTGTGTTCGCAAATAATCCCTCATACCAGCCCTATTCTGTAAAAACACAGCCGGAACACTTTCTTTTTATCATAGCTATATTTTTATATTTTTTACTGTCTGTAATTTGCCTTGGTAATTCGCTTCTTTTTATGAGAAAACAAGTTTTCTTCCAAACAACCAGATACAATGTAGTCAAATAATTGCGGTCTTAACTTGCTACTGAAATCCTCCTGACTCCAGATAGAAATAATGTACAGGTATGCTATGGTATATATTTACATTCTGTGATGTTAGCAATAATCATAGCTATCCTTACTGAATGCTATGTCCTGTGTCAAGTGTTCCTCATTTAATTCCCACAAAACCCCACAATGGTAAACTGGGGCTCAGAGAAGTTTAACTTAACCAAGATCATACTCTTAGGGACTGCTTCAGAATTTCCGTATAGTAGAACCTAGTAGTATCCATCTGGCTTTAAGTTTAAGAAAAGTTCATAGGTTCATATTAAGAATGGGGGTAAGGATAGACCAATGAAGCAGAATTCAAACCCCAATTGCCCTGACCCGAATTCTGGCATTCTTCACCATCATGCCATACCACAGAAATACCAGATGGCAATGCTATCTTTTTCGAACTGCCAAAACAGAGCTATTCAAGGGAGCCGCCTCACAAGATAAAATGAGAAGCCCACATAAAGCCTCTAGTGGGGTGTGTGGATGGGAGAAGGTGCTTAACATGGCTGATTTTTTTTCTTCTTTTCCTCTTCAAATTTCAAGTTTTATGAACACAATTTTCTCATGATACAGCTTTTAAGAAATTGAACCAGATTGGGCCGAAATCTGACAATCTGTCCTCAGTTACCCACACAGAACTTCTGGGATACAATCTCTTCTCCCAGTGACTCCTACACAGCATTATTTTTAAGAATTTGATTTCCTAGGTACCACGGATATGAAAAGGCACAGAATTTCATAGTACAAAAAAGATGTCAAAAGAATTCGAAACAGAATAGGAAGAATTTATCATTTTCTTCCTCTGCTCCACCACATACCTAAGCAAAAATAAATTGTGTGTGTGTGTGTGTGTGTGTGTGTGTGTGTGTGTGTGTGTGTCTTTAAAACTAAGAAGTCATGTTAGAGTTTCTGGCTCTAGAATCAGTAGCAAGACTAATATGAGTGAAGTAGTCTTAAACAAGATTAATCTTAGTGCCCTAGCAGGCATTTGCCTAGAGAAAGGGTACATTTAAGCATGAAACCTATGACTAACCTGAAACTCTGTTTAAATCATAAAATATTCAGACAATGAGCTTCTTTTTTAGTAGCTTGCCTAGTTTTGCATTTGGGGAGAGTTATTTGGGAACATAATTTTGTTGTAAGTATTTCATGTTAATAACAGCTTTCCATTACTTTAGAAGCCTAGCTATTATAGCAGCAAGCTTGCAACCAAAAAACTAGAAAGAAAAACTTATTCTTTATTTAAAAACCAATTGCCTTTCTCAACTCCTTTTTCTTCTGAATCTTGATGAAAATCCTAAAACCCTAGAGACAGGGAAGTATACACTTTTGCTTTTCCTTATCTCTTATGGTTTTTGTTTTTCTCCACTTAACTGTTTACCTTTCTCTGCAATGAACTATAGATGCCTCTGATTGAGTGCAAGTCACCCAGCAGATACTGTGGTAAGTGCTTTGCAGATGTTGTGATGTTTTCTCTTTAGAGCACTAAGATTTCTCATTAGAATGATTAGGAGGTAGGGATTATTTCCCCTATTTTACAGATAAGAAGACTGAGACCTAGGAAGATTCTTACCAAAGATCATAGCTAGTAAATAATAAAATCAGGATTCAGACTCCAGTCAAGTCTGTCTGATACCAAAGACTATACATGCTTTTTAATTGCTAAGTTACACTGGGTTATCCATAGACTACAGAGTTTTCCTATCCATGAGGTAATATTTTTAAAAGATTTAGAACAATCTGTGGAATATAGTAAGTATGAGTTCATTAAATAAAATTGATCTTATTGTTTCTTCAGTTGTTCACCGTAAAATTGAACCTGAAGTGATTCTATGTTTGACTTTGAGAAAAAAAAATATGTCTTTTTTTTTTTTGACAGGGTCTCAGTCTATTACCCAGGCTGAAGTGCAGTGGCATCGTCTTGGCTCACTGCGACCTCTGCCTCCCAGCTTCAAGCAATCTTCCCACCTCAGCCACCCAAGTAGCTGGGATTACAGGCATGTGCCACCACACCAAGCTAATTTTTGTATTTTTAGTTGAGATGGGATTTCGCCATGTTGGTCAGGCTGGTCTCAAACTCCTGACCTCAGGTGATCTGCCCGCCTTGGCCTCCCAAAATGCTGGGATTACAGGTGTGAGACACTGCGCCTGGCCAAATCTATTTCTTTATGAATACATAATAGCCAACATTTGAGGGTGGTGTATTTTTTCCAGGCTTTATGCTAAGGGTTTTATGCATTATTAATTTATTTAACTATTTTTATTAAACAGCTACTATATGCCAAACAGTGTTCTAGGCATTGAGGAGTCAGCACTGAATAAAACACACATAGCTGTCTGCCTTCAAGGAGCTTATATCCTAGGATGTGTATGTATACATGTGTCTGGAGAGATGGATAATAAACAGCATAAATAAACAAAATATAAATTATGTCACAAGGATATGTAGATAAACACTATGGAGAATGAAGCAGGCTGGGTTTAGGGATGTGTGTTGGAATTTTAGGTGGAAGACAGGCATGTCTTCACTGAGGCAGTGATATTTAAATAAAGGCTTGTAGAAGATGAACTTTCAAACTATGGGGAATCTGACAGGCAGAGGGAAAAGCACATATCAAGGTCCTGAGGTTGGAGAGTGCTGGGTCTATTGGAGAAGAAGCTTAGAAGGGTAGTGTAGCTGGAACTGGTAAGGGAGGAAGAGGCTGGGAGAAAATGAGATTACAGAGATAAAAGGGAGCCAGATTCTGTAGGGATTTATAGGTCTTTGTAAGGACTTTGACTCTGACTCTGCTGACATGGGCAGCCATTGTTGGGTTTTCAGCAGGTAAGTGACAAGATTTGGCCTATTTTTAAAAGCTGCCTGCCAAATGATGTCAGAAATTTGACATATATTTTAACAAGCTGCTGTTGTATTCAACCTTGGCTGCTATTTTGAGAACAGACTGATGAAACCAAGGGAAGAAGTGTGGCAATCAATTAGACAACTATCGGAATAATCCAGTTGAGAGGAGTGGATGGCTCAGAGAAGGTCGATAGGAGTGGAAATGGTGAGAATGGTCAGTTTCTGAATATATTTTGAAGGTAGAGGCATCAGAATATGCTGATGGCATGGGTGTGTTGTATGAGCAAAAGAACAGTGTTGAGGATGACTTCAAGAATTTTAGCTTAAGCAATTTGGAAGAATGGAGTTACTGCTAATCAAGATAAAGAAACCTGAGGAAAGATTGCCTTTTTTAGAGGTAATATTAGGAATTCAAAATCTGGACATGTTAGCTTGGAGATGCTTGTTAGACATTCATGTGAATAATAGGAGTTAGACATATGGGTCTGTGATTGTAGGGCAGAGTTCAGGCTTAAGATATAAAGCTGGGAGTCATCACCATGTAGAATGTATTTAAATCTGAGACTGAATGACAATACTAAGGAAGTAATGCAGTAAGAAAAGAGAGTAGGTCCGAGAATGGAGGTCTAAGCACTCAAGTGTTAAGACCTGGGAGTTGAAGAGGAACCTACAAAGGAGACTCAGAAGGAGTGGCCAATGAAGTAGGAAGAGAACCAGGAAAGTGGGGTGTCCTGGAAGCCAGGTGAAAATAAAAATGCTTCAAGTGGGAGGGAATAATTAACTGAGTCACATACTGCTGAAAGAGTAAATTCTTTGCAAATTGAGAGTAATGGCTATTGGATATACCAATGTGGAGGTCATTGATAACTTTGACAGCAGCAGTTTCGATGAACTGCTGAGGGCAAAAGCCTCATTGGAATGTATTTCAGAGGAATCGTAGCAGAGGAACTAGGAAAAGTGAGTACAGACAGAACTTTCAAGAAGTTTTGCTAAAAAGTGAAATATAGAAATTAGGTGGTAGAACAGAAAGTGAGAGAAAAAGAGAATTTTTTTAGACATTAGAAAAAAACAGCATGCTTGTATTTTTATAAGAAGAATTCAGTGGTTAGAGAAAAAAGTCAACAATTCAGGAGATAAGTGGGAGGTAGCTGAAGTGATATCCTTGGATAAGTAAGAAGGAATGAGATTGAGTGCATAAAGAATTTGTTATGAGCCTTGTCAGTTCATCTATCATGACAGGATCTATGAATATTGAATAGATATGTAGCCGATACAGTACATATAGTAATATGTACATATAGTACCTACGTATAGTAATATAGTACATGTAGTAATATGTGTACATGCATACGTACATATATGAGGAAGGAAGTATTTGAAGTTTGAAGAGAGAAGACCATATAAAATAGTAGTCCAGGACTGTGGGAGAGTGAATAAACTAGGGAAATGTATTATTGACCAGTGGCACTGAAGGACTCACTTGAAACAAATGGCCATGAATGTGAAGTGAGATCATTCCACATGGTTGTTTATTTTTCTCCAGCTATGTCCAGTTGCATGGGGGCAGGTGGAAGTAAGCCCAGATTTTATCCTCACCAGCAGGCATGGGGTTTTGTAAAGTCAAGGCAGAAGAGCTCAAGGTGTATGCAAGAGAATTGTTTAAATGATTGGCCATTGCATTTAAGTGGGTTAAGAAATTCAGTGAAGACATGAAGGAGAGGGGGGACAATGAAAAGATATAGGACCAATGGATTGAAGATCTCTCTGGGGTTAAGGGTTTTTGGAATCTGGTACTAGAGGAAATGAGATGGAAATGTAGGAGAAGATAGTGTTGTTTGAAGTTGAGCTTATGGAGGGTCAATGAATGAATAATGACACACTCAGGGAATGGCCATAAAGGGAATGACTAAAGGAGGATGAGATTTTTGAATGTTAGGAGTTAGGAGTACTCAAAGATCACCTATGTGGCTATCGAAAGGGCCACAAATTATATTATTTCATCTTAATAATGACTCTTTTGTCCACATTTTAGAGAGAAAAGCTGAGGCTAAGAGTTGGGAAACAAGTCCAAGGTCCCCAAGCTAGGAGAGGGTAGACTGGGATTTGAATCTGGTTTGTAAGATTCATCATCTCTCTTACCCACTGTGCATAATGGCTCATGTATGGTATGTTCTGCTGCCTCTGTGCCATGGCCAATGAAAAGGAGTTGGGAGATTTTCAAATGTTTTGTGTCATTCGCTAACCAAATCTGTCATTCATTAACAAAGACTTATTAAGCACCTATTAAACAGGAGTGCAAGGCTGGGTGCAGTGGCTCACATCTGTAATCCCAGCACTTTGGGAGGCCGAGGCGGGCTAATCACTTGAGGCCAGTAGTTTGAAACCAGCGTGGCCAACATGGTGAAACCATATCTCTACTAAAAATACAAAAATCAGCTGGACATGGTAGCTTGTGCCTGTGGTCCTAGCTACATGGGAGGCTGAGGGACAAGAATCATTTGAACCCTGGAGGTGGAGACTGCAGTGAGCCAAGATCACGCCACTGTACTTCAGCCTGGGTGACAGAGCAAGACTCTGCTTCAAAAAACAAAACAAAACAAAATCAGCAGTGCATTGCACTGTTTAATGTTCCAGGGCTACAAGGATGAAATGTATTGTATGGAATTGCAGTTGAGAATTCAATCTCAGCTGCATTTTCGTCTTTGCCAGTATAAAAGTGTTTGAGTAATTATTTGAATGCTTTATTGTATCTTGCCCTTATTATCTTATAAAAATGGGTAGGTAATAGAAAATGAAAGTGCTGATATTGGTGATAAGAACCATATATCTCAAACTTAATGTAATTCAGACAAAGATGGAAATCTTTAGGCATGCTGAAAGGTGTGAATCCTCAGCCTTAAGTGGATATCATTGGATTTATGCCAGTTGAGTGAGTTTTCAATTAGGAAAGAACAAATGCATGGTTAAAAATGTATAAAATGTGGGAACTATATTTCAAAGATACTGTCTAAAAAGGCAGGTGTAAATAGGAAAAGTTTTTTTTTTTCTTTTCTTAATTGGGAATGCCAATTATATAAGGTGTAAATCTATGGTTTGCCTTATGCAGCAAGACCATATTTATACATGACTTCAGGGATGTATAATGTATGAATATATGGAACACTTTTATAATATGGAAGTGATACAAGTATTAGGAAAAAGTAGAAGAGAAAGTACTTAATTCTGAATGGAATGATCAGGGATATTGTCCCAGAGATGGCAATTCTTAAGTAATGTCGTATAGAATAAGAAGTTTGTCAGGCAGACAACACAAGGAACAGCATTCTAGGCAGCAGGATGAGCAGATGCTGAGGCCTGGAAGTCAGGCAGAGCATAGCCTGTTCTCTGAGCCTCATAGTGAGAGCACAAGGGCAGAGAGCAAACAATGACTTGGCATGGAGAGCTAAGCAGAGAGCAGATGGTGAAGGGCCTTATGTGACGTGCTGAACTACTGGACTTTATCCTGGATGGTGGAGAGACTTGTAGACACCTAGTAACCACAGAACATTCTCCTTAGTTTCTTCCTTCTATTTTCATTGCTAATTCGATGTTAGTTAAATTCATGTCGCTGTTGTTTGATGTTAACATTTTGTGATATCTAATTGTAAGATTTGGGGTATTCTTTTCTGGGCCCATTTTCATCAGTTTCTTCCTTTCAGCTATATGCCTTATGGAGTCTTTCTCTTCATCCATGTATTTGATTAAAAATATAGTGAGCACATACTCTCTATCAAGTATGCTCTAAGCACTTGGGATTCAGGGTGAAAAAAATTTATGTTCTCATGAAGCTCACATTCTAGTGGAGCATATAGATTGATAGGCACATTAGTAGAAAAAATATTATGTTAAGTAGCTATTTTATAGTAATATTGTTATTCCCTGTCTATGTCTCAACTTTCCAACTAAGCTTTAATCTAGTGATAGTCTGTGATACTACATACCATATGTAGAATGTATCTGATATGGTTTGGCTGTGTTGGGCACTCAAACCTCACCTTGAATTGTAATAATCCCCATGTATCAGGGGCGGGACCAGTTGGAGATAATTGAATTATGGGGGTGGTTCCCCCATACTGTTCTCATGATAGTGAATTTTCACGAGATCTGATGGTTTTATAAGGGGCTTTTTCCCCTTTTGCTCGGCACTGCTCCTTGCTGCCACCATGTGAAGAAGGATGTGTTTGGTTTCCCCTTCCTCCATGATTGTAAGTTTTCTGAAGCCCCCAGCCATGCTGAACTGTGAGTCAATTAAACCTTTTTCCTTCATAAATTACCCAGTCTCAGATATATCTTTATTAGCAGCGTGAGAACAGACTAATACACTATCATATTTCATATATCTATACTGTGTCATTGGAAGAGCCAAAACAGTATTTATTTAAAGTAGTGTCCAGGATTACTGCCTGTAAGATTTGCCTTAGGCTGAACTGTGAATCGATAAGGCCCCTTCCCATTCTATAATATACCTTTGCCCCCTTTTGATGTTAAGAGTGTTCCAGAAATGGAAGCACCACACAACGAAAGGACAAGAGTTTCCAATCATACTATTAACCCTTCATTAAGAACAAAGAACTATTCTCAAGTTGTGAGTGTTCCTGCTACTTGATGGTTTGCCAAAGGATAGACTATTTTTCCCTTGTAAATCATAAATATGATCCATAAGATCACAATATTTTATTTGTTTTTGAAATTCCAGATATTCTCCTAATGATGCTCAAATAACAAAGTTGCTAATTACGACAACAGTAATAGTTAATATTTTTTGAGCACTTACTTGCTAAGTATATTAGACACATTATTTGAACGTGTGAAGAAATGGACTCAGAGTGGCTAAGCAACTCGCTCAAGGTCACACAGCTGGTGAAAAGCAGATCTTGGAATTTAAACCTGAGCTGTGTGTTTCCAGAGCCTTGGCTCTCAGCCTCTATGTAATACGTGACCATGCTGCCAGAAGGCCAAGCTATCAAATCGTCTTTTTCTTTCTGGCAAATAAACATCTTTCAATGAACTGTGAAGTTGATTACTTTCTAAGGTAGATTCTTTCCCTAAGGTAGATTCTGCAGTTTTTAGAGCAGTACTGTTCAATAGAAACATAAAATGAACCATGTATTTAATTTTGTTTTATAATAACCACATGAAAAAAGTAAAAGGAAACAGTAAAATTAACTTGAATAAAACATTTTAACCCACCGTGTCAAAAATATTCAACATACTTCCAAATATTTTCATTGCTTCAATTTTTAAATTAAAGTCATTAAAACTAAATAAAATGAAAAAATGGAGTTCTTGAGTCACACCTACCATATTTCAAGTGCTCAACAGCACATGTGGCTAATGGCTACTACCCTGAAAACTGTGGTTTCCTAGGGTTGCATTTTAACGAGTCTCATGTTGCTCGTGGACATCCTCTATTGATTCATCAGTAGACCTGGGAATTGAGGTTATTCCTCAAAGCAATATTGGAAAACATGGAATTTTTTTTTCAGGCAGATCGAGTCATGGTAGAACTGTGTCTTTTAGATTTTGATAATTGCTTTACAGTTACCTGACATATTTTCAGCTTGAGTGGGCCTACAAGCTCATAAAGAAAGCCACATCAACTGTTAAATAAAAAAAGGGTCTTCCATCATAAGTTAACTTTTTCTGGTTGTTGTTATGGTAGGCACCAGCTGAGATGAAGGCTGTGATCCTTGTCATTTCCTTTAATACCAGGAGAAATTCTGATTCTATCATTTTTAATTCATTGGCTTATTACTCTGAAATCTATACTGTGAGGGCTTGATACCATCAAGGTCAACTCTGTTTCCATCTGATTTTTGTAAACAGTAAGGAATCTTAACTGCCGGAGCTTTCTTCCTATGCCTGGAAAAAAGAAAAAGAGGAAAGAAATGTCTGAGAGTTGCATGGCAGCCCTTCTCACAGTTCTTTTATTCCCCCCACATCCAAACCCTTTTTGCTTGTATTTTCTCTTAAAAGGCAAAGAGTTTAGTGATAATGACTTTAAGTTCTGTCCATCATAGCCCTGTCCCCAAAAGACTGTGCTATTACATTATTTGCACTTTAAATGGAATCCATTGTTAGAGTTTGGTTTTTCTTGTTTTACACCCTTTAGATCATCCGTAAACAGGACAGATATTGAATATAAAAGAATGCAGCTTACCTAGCAAGATAAGGCAGAGTTGCCCAGGTGTTTGAATTGTGCCAACTGGTTTTATCTGGTTGCAATAAATCTGCTTCTGCCCTGGCAGTCAATCCTAAGGAAGGAGAGGGAGAAGAGGGAGGGATCAAAAAATGCTAATTAGTACTGGGCTATTTAATTTCTGCAGTATCTGCTTTGCATCTAGGAAACCATACTATTTACTAGACAAAAGTCTCCCAGGATTAACACACAATTGTAATATTTTCTGCTTAGAAAAAAGAATGAACCGCAGGAAGAGATGATCCATTGTGAAGAATATAATCTTCAATTACTGTACTTTGGTTTTGTACTGAAGCGTTTGCATTCCTAATCATCTGATGTCAAACAGGTGCTGTATTAGCAGCCAAGTTTTAGTAATGGGGAGGAAATGAGTTATTTTTGTTTTTGATGTTGCCTTTGGATGTTCCAAATTCAAAAGTCAAGACAAATTGTTCAAACCTCCCTATTTGGAAGAGACACAGGCCATCTCTCTCCAAGCGTGGTGCTCCCCAGCCTCACTTCATAAGAGAAAGTTCAGATTTTAATGTTCTTGTAAGAATTGAAATATATAATCGCTTCACACATTTTAAAAAATTCATTATGGCTTGGTCAAATCACATCATGTCTGTCACCTATACCCTTCCTATTCCAGGGATTACAAGTTATTTAGGTGATATCAGAGGTGTTGAATCAGTAAAGTAATTTGTAAGCAATTTCACTCAAATGCTGAACAAGTGAACACAGTGGCTGTTTGGTGACAAGCCCTGGACTTGAAATTTGAAGGCTTGAGTTTCATACCCCAGTTTTGCTACTTGTCAGCTTTATGAGGCCGGATAAATCACGGGACAAACTGAGTCTCAGATTTTCTTGCAAAAAATGGGAATAAATTTTCCCACCCCATCTGGTGGTTGTAAGCCTTAAATAAAATGGCATCTATGGGAAAACACTTGGTAAACTATAAAGCATTGTATGAAAGAGTTGTATATATTATGTGTACATGTATTATGTTATAGGTTATACATATATATGCATATATGTATATATGTGTGTGTGTATCACAGTCCTGCCCCCTTCCACAGACAAAAGTTACTGTGATCAAAAATGAGTTGCTGAGATGGGCCAAAAACCAATCTCTCCCTAAAGAGATCTCAGCCTTTCCCACGATTTCCTGATGAAAACAGAAATGCATCATTAACTCTGTCTCTTCTAGATGAAAGCTAAAAGCCATCCAATAAGCAATAAATAAATAATTTCCCAGGAAATACACACACTAGCTTCACTAAGCTGAGCTCAGTTTCTACCCAATGAAAATACACAAACACACGCAGTTGATGGAATAAAATGTTCTCAGCTTATGCTTTTAGGGAGAATCATTTTGCATGGGTGATAATCTTGTTTTTATGCACAAAGTGTGGTGTACTTATTCAGTGATTTCAGCCTTTAACAATCCAATCCTTTAGAGATTGATACTCATTAAAATCTAATGCCTTTCCTTTTCATGGAGGTTCTATGTGCCTCTCCCAAGGGGTGTGGCTTCCTTATCCATAGCTAAGAGAGGCAAAAGCACTCTATCTCCTGCTTAACCAGGGAGTTTGAATGAGTTTGCTGAGCTCTTGTCTCCATGGTTTGCATTTACTCAGATCAGGGGCTGGAGTCAGTTTGACTGAGATCAAATCTTCATTCTACCATGCATTTCTTGCTTGACCTTGTGCACACAAGTTACTTAAACTCTTGGTGCCTGTTTCCTTATCTACAAAATGAGGATTTGACAGCAGCTACCTTATGGAGTTGCTGAGAAGGTTAAATGAAATAATGAATGTGAAGTGCTCAGCAAAGTTCCTGGCTCATAGTAAGCCCTCAGTAAATATTACCTTTTATTATTATTACTAGTATAGAAATGAGAGATGAGAGACTTCAAAAAGCTTTTTAGATAGAAAATTATATTATAATGTTCTCTATATCTTGTCAAACTTCAGACACTATTGAAAATTCATGCCCATGGAAATAAGGCTTATGCCCTTTGAAAGCATTTTAATAACTGATTCTTGCTTTAAAGGGCACAAAACCCACCAAAATAATTTACACAACTTGAGAATATGAATGTTCTCATTTCTTCTCTATTCTCTCAAATCTTATCCCAATGCATGCTTTAGGGGTATTGGTCCAATACCTACTGACTATGATAGTGTTTATACGTAAGGGTCATTGTCAGTGTATGAAGTCTAGAACTAGAGAAATGACATAGATCTTGGCAATGATTCTTTTATAGCATTGACATCATTAGACAACAAAGCATCTACCAAGGTTTTCCTGCATGCTAGGAACTGTTAGATGCTGAAGATAGATAAAAAAATTGTCTCTGTTCATGAGGTGGTGATAGTCTAGTGGAGACAAAAACATATACCAGTAATTATCAGATAATAAGTGCTATATCTGAGAGCAAAATTAAAATGCAGAGGGAGAAGTAAATTCTAACTACTGGATAACATTAGGAAAAGCTCTGAAGAAGAAGCAACATTTGAGCTGGGCCTTTAAGGATGAGCAGCAGTTGGCCTGATAAGTTGGGGTCTGGAACAAAGGGAGGGCTGCCCAGGCAGAAGGAACAGCATATGCAGGGGCATGGAACATTGAAGGGATGATTCCATAGAAATTTATGGAACTGGTGGGTAATCTGTTATGTCTAGAACAAAGTTTAGTAGGGACTCTGTTATTAATTATACCTACTAAAAATATGGTTATAGCTCTCTTATAGTAATATAGAGATAATATAAGATATACACAACTCATATTTTGTGACACAGACTAAAGATTACGAAAGGTGCCATCTTAGATAAACTTGCTGTTAGGATAGTAAGGTAGGCAGGGTAATTTAGGAAAGGCATCAGAATGAGTGGCTTGAACAGCACATGACCTTATTTGGCAAGGAAAGGAAGATCTATGCAAATGCATTTAGCCCTGGAGCTCTGGGGAGGTATCATGGGATAAACATTGGTCTGAGAGAAAGGAGATTTTTCTGTTACTCACTGGATGGTGGTTTGGGAAACTTAAACTTGTGGGCCTTAGTTTCGTTATTTGTAAAGTGAGGGCTTTGGGCTGGGTGATCTTGAGTATCAGAATTTAAGGATTTATCATATTGGCAATGGCTATCTTAGCACTGGACTATATTTGAATGGCCTGCCTGCTTCCCAATTGAAAAATGCCCCATGACTAATGTACACTGGTAGGTCAAGTGGTTGGACAGGTACCAGTGATTAGTTCTAGATGGTTGGAAATACTACAATATCTCTGCTTTGATTCTCTACCTCCATTGTTCTTCTTGTAAGTTCTAGGTTCTTGGGCATTCTGGGTCCCTACCCAGAATGTTTCTCCTACTCTGAAATTCTGGTTGCTTGTGGCTTTGCCAGTTACATGCCTCTATTTGCTCTTAACCTATGGTGAATATGAAGCACTAAAATAATTTCCAGCGAAGTTGGTTTGGCTCTAGTTTCTCATCCCATTAAAGAACAGTCACTATTTAGATCATGAGCCATGAGGCTGCTGTCCTTGCTATCATAATTATAATTTGGCATATTGGTACATATTAAAGTTGAGCAGATGGTGCCAGGATTTAAACCTATGTTTATCAGATGCAGATGACCCAAACAGTGGCTTATCTGTTGGTAATTTTTATTTAGATCAAGTTAAACATAAATGACTTTGCATTACTCTTTGGTCACTTTTTCCTAGTCATTTCAAATAGTCTGTCTTATTTCTCATGGTTTTTTGGACAAAATTTTGTATTTTAATTAGTACAGCATTTCCTTCTTTATTGACACAGATTATTTTCCCTAAATCTATTACATTTGCTTTCCAGTTTTTCTGGAACAGGGAAAAACAAAAAACAAAAACACCAACCACCAACAACAGTCCACGTCGTTGATTAGTCTTGAAGAAAATGGCTTATGCTTGCCCAGAGTTCCTGATCATGTTCTCCTCCTACCCTCCACCTCCATGTAAGTTATAAGTCCCACAGCAGAACTTAGCACAAGGGATCTGTAAGACCCACACTAAGTTCAGAGATGAGAAAACAAAACAGAGTACTGGAGAAGCTGAGTGATTTATCTGAGGTCATATTGAAGTGTGTGGAAGAGTCAAAGCCAGAACTGCATCTTCGAATTGCAGTTTGGTCCTCTTCTCAGACACTGCACAACCTCCTGGAACCACTCTGGTTGCTTAGCATCAGACACTATTACTAGTGACTGGCATTTTTCCCACATGGGGAAATTGATGCCATCACTGTGGAGAACAAACCCTCTGCCAACTTTATGAAAAACCACAAGTTCTGCAAATGTTTCTCATTCTGATTCTGAAGGTGGGGCTTGTGCAGCCAGATGGCTATGGCTCGAGAGAAGGAGATATTTTTGCAGTGAAGGAGGTAAGAGCAAATATCAACATGTTGACTTTGGGTGTAGGAGAACAGGAGAAATAGGCCATAGAACCTTATAGCTAAAAAAGATTCAAGAAAGAAAATATTTCAGATAGGTTTCTGTTGTCCTCTTGAAGATTTCAGGGACTTCTTTCTCAATGTCCCTTAAAATTCTAGTCTGTGTTTTATTACCTGGAAACCTGGAGAATCGATGAGCTCATTTGCCTTTCATTTAGGAGTATTAGATCCCTTTAGTTTGGTAACTTTACGTCAAAGCCTGTCACTTTTATACTTTTCCTTGGTGGAAGTGAGAGTTGCCTAGGAAGTGTAGCAGAGTCAGGATTGAAACTTCTACAGATAAACTGCCTTCTCTGGAGACTGTGATGGTAACCGGGCTTTATCTTATCATATGCCTCCATGATCACCTGGTCTTGATTCATTTCAGTGTAGGCTTTGCTCCTTAAGAGTGCAGTGTGTATTAATCTCTTTCACAGCTGTGTTCTCTATTGGGATCTGGGTTATAAAATGCTAAGATATGGAAAAGGGATGCTGTAATTTGCATTTATCCAAAACAACTCATTTGAGCTTTTTTGGCACATCCTTCAGCATCATTTTTTGAGCTATGCCCATTCATCTATTCACAAATGCTTATTGAGCGCATCCTTATTGCTAGGCACTAGGGATACAACTAGGAAAAGACAGATGCATGCCTACAAGGAGCTTAAAGTTCAGGGGAGAAGACAAACAAGTTGGTGGATGATTATAATCCTTTGTGATAAGCACAGTGCTCTGATAGGAGCCAGCATGTGGGCTTGAGAGCACACAGGGGAAGCCCACGAGAAAACTCAATAAATGGTTGTTGAATGAGAGAAGAGTCCTCAATTGCCACTTACTTGTTGTGTGATTTTTAGCAAGTCTAGACCTCAGTTGTCTTATCTGCAAACTGGGGATAATAATACTTTCCAGATAGCATCTCAGAGATTTTATGAGAATCAGTTGAAGCAATAAACTTAAAAGCCCTTAGGAAGCCATGATGCTATGCAAGGGAATTGTGAAGAGAAATAATGTGCTCTTCCTGGTGCTGTGTAGCCATGATATCTTTCTTAGAATTTGAACATTATTAAGAAGTTTGGGTAAGTTTCTGAGAGAATAGATTTCAGCTAAAGAAATGTGTCTATTGAAATCCCTGAAAGGCTTTATTTTAAATTGTCTTCTTTACAAGACAAAAACCACATTACATAGGCCCCAGAGACAGTTGCAAAGAATCTAATTTAGTTTGCATTTGGAGTGAAGAAGATTCTGAGACTTTTATTTCTTCTTCAAAGGGCTTTTAATTATGTTTACCTCTTTAAAACCTGTTTTGACAGGCCTCTAAATTCCTAATGACTACATCCATGGTGTCACCAGATTCTCCTAGAAACACATAAAATATCATAGTTATAAACTACCGTGACTTTTCAAATGCCTACTTTGTGCTCAGCATTAAGGAAAATATAAAAAGAAACAAGGTTATCCCTATCATCAAGTATCTTATAGTCTGATGAAAAACCAATTACTACACATAAAATAATAGTGAATGATAACTATACAACGCATAAACTATATGTAGATTTTAAGGCTGGAAAATCTATTTGGGTTTATGGAGGCAGTGAGATTCCACTGGTACTTGAAGGATAAATAAGATTTGGAAAATTATTAATCTCTACAAGTGAGAGGAAATGAATGAATTTTGGAAATGTAAAATGCATAGTGTCAGCTTCTGGGATAATAGTAATTGCTTCCATTTTTTTAAGTGCTTTGTATATGCCAGACATAGGCTAAGATCTTTACCTGGATTACCCCCTTTAGTCCTCATAGCAGCCCTATGAAGTGGGTACTATTAACACCTCTATTTACATGTAAGAAAATTGAACTTCAGAAAATTAAGTAATGTAACATCAGACACGTAGCTAATAAGTGGTAAAATCAGATTTCAAACCCAGATATGTCTGTGTCTAAAGTCCATGGCATTTGCCACCATATTATGTCACTTTCTGACTGCATCAGAATGCTTTCAAATGAGTATCTGGAATCTCCTGAGGAATCAGTCAGCAATTATGAAACCTCCCGATATCTCTTTAAATTCGAATTGTGCTTCCTTCTTTCATTCCTTCTTCTTTCTCTTCTTCATTCCTTTCTTTCTTCATTTCAGTGTGTATTTTTTCTTTGTTTTTTTACTTTTTAAAATTTTGAGATAATGTAAGTCTAACAGAAGAGTTGAAAAAATAGTACAGAGTCCCTGTATTACCCTTCATCCAGCCTCTTCTTTTGTTAATATTTTGTACAACCAGAGGACTTAGTAAAACTGAGAAGTTAAATCTCAGTATAATACATTAGCTAAAGTATACAACTTAACTTGATTTTCACAAATGTTTCCGCTAATATTCTCTTTCTGTTAGAAAGTCCTGTCAATTTTTCCCACATTGCATTTAATCCTCACGTCTCCTTAGTCTCTCCTCCCATCTGTGAAAGTCCCCCAGTATTTTCTTATCTCTCAGGACCTTGACACTTCTGAAGACTATTGGTTAGTTATTTTTTCCAATGTCTTCCAATCTGGGTTTTTCTGATGTCTTCTTAAGATTATATTGAGATTATGAATTATTGAACAAGATACCAGGGAGGCGGTTTGCTCTTCTCAGTGCTTCATACCAGGGGTACTTGATGACAATGTATGGTTTTGAAACATCCTTCAATGCTCTTAGATTGTTTAGGCTGGTGAGGAGATACAAGAAGTATATCTCTGAAGTGAGCAAGGATGGGATCGAGACACCAGGACTGAAGAGGGAGGTGGCAAGCTCTCCTCCCTGTATTATATCTTTCATGCTTGGAAGCTACTACAATGTAGAACAGGGCAGAATTCTTCTATGAAATCATGCATGGTGCTTGAGGTCCTCCTCTTAACTCTTAAACTCACTCGAAGTGTCTTGAGCTTTAGTCTGAATCTGATTTTCTGCTTCTATACCCTGGGAATAATGACACTGGAAAGAAGGGCACTACGTGAGTAAAAAACACTCCAAGTAATGCAATTCCTGACTTTACTCATGTTCTCAAAACATTTTTCAGAAGCATTGAAAAATAATGTTGAAAACACAGCTTTCATGATGGGTGAGGTTGAAAGTTTACATTGAAAGCACTCATCATGTTTGGGAATAATAAAACATTGTAGTAGAGTCACTCTTCTTCTCACAAGACCCTTTGGATTTTACATAGAATGTAGACTGGAAATTGCAATCAGATCAATTAAAGGCACAATATTTTATATTATTGCCTTAGTCACTGACTTCGATGGATATTTTAATTGTATTCAAGGAGGCAAACAAGTCTTGCATGTGAATAAATATGAAAGGATTGTAAGTATAAAGACTTTATTGCTATCACTCCCCTGTTGAATACAGTGATTTTCTGGTTACCTGATCTGAAATGAATTGTAAGTAAGCATTAGGAGAGAGCACAATGCAGTAATTCAGGGCACCATATTTTGCCTATGAAGCATAAATATTTGAACATTTGCATTATCATTTCTGAATGAGTGGATTAGTGGCTATGAAAAATTAACTCATGTTCTTTCAAGTATGATTGAAATATTACATTCAATCTTAACCCCCTAGGAAAAAACAACACAAATCCCTGTGTTTCATGAAATGTGAAAAGAATCTCATTTCAATATCTTGCTTCATTTAACTGGTGCCACATCTATGATACAAAATGGCAACCATGGTGTAGCTAAGAATTGAAGACTCCCGTTCTGTTCTTGAAAGGAATAGTGCACAAGTGTACCCTACTTTACTCACTTTCTCTGAAAGTTGTTTGTAAGTTGAAATTTATAAATTCAGAAGCAAAGCTGACAACTGAAAGAGGCTTAATTTTATTTTATTTTTTTTGAAGGGGAAGCTCTTTTTGCAATGTTTTGTTTTTAAGCTTATTATTTTTAAGTATGAAAAGATGTTAAAGCAAGACACATTGTTTGGATTTTTAAGTCCAAGAACTCCTTAATTATCTAGGGGCCATGTACTGACATTCTAGTGTACAGACAGAGGTCATGTTAGTCTTGTCTATAAAAAGATGTACTTCTTAGCAAGTGTCTTTTTGTAGAAAATGATAAGCATTTCACCATATGGTAATAAAATATTATTATTACTATTATTGGATAAATAACACAAACCATAGAAAATTATATACTTTTTCCCTATGTATAACACCTTTACCAAGTTCCCAACTAATATGTTATTGTTGTCACATATTTTATTCTATGTGCATTTTATATCTCACCAGACAATATAATTCATACAGTCAATACTAATTAATGTATTAATATTGGTATGTTATTGTCTTAGTCCATTTTGTGTTGCTATAAAGAAATACTTAAGCCTGGGTAATTTATACAGACAAAAAGGTGTATTTTGCTCATGATTTGGCTGGTTGGAAAGTTTATGATTGGGTATATGCATTGGATGAGGGCTTCAGGCTGCCTCTACTCATGGCTGAAGGTAAAGGAGAGCTGATGTGTGTAGAGATTGCATGGTCATAGAGGAAGCAAGGGGAGGAGGAGGCTCCAGGCTCTTTTTACAACTAGGAACAAATAGAACCAGAACTCACTTAAGCCCAAGGAGAGGCATTAATCTATTCATGAGGGATCTAACCCCATGACCTAAGACCTCCCATTGGGCCCATCTCTAATATTGGGGATCAAACGTGAGGTTTGGAAGGGATAAATATCTAAATCATAGCAATTATTATTAACTGAAGTCCATAATGTATTCAGGTTTAGTTTTTACCTACTGACCTTTTCCTGTTTCAAGATTCCATCTGGGATAACATATTACATTTAATATTTTATTTCCTTAGGCTCCTTTGGCTGATGTTTTCTCATAATTAGACTAGGGTTATGGGTATTTGGGAGGAAGACCATAGATGTAAAGTGTCATTTTCATCACATCATATCAAGGGTACACATTATTAATGTGACTTATTACTTTTGATGTGGATCTTGATTATTACTTTTGATGTGGATCTTGATTATTTGATTGAGATAGTGGCTGTCATGTTTCTCCAGTATAAAGTTACTCTTTCTTTCTCTTTTTCATACTGTACTCTTTCAGAAGAAGTCACTATGTGCAGTCCACACCTAAGGAGAGGGAAGTTGTGCTCCTCCTCAAGGGGAGAATATCAGCATAAATTATTTGGAATTCTATTATCTCTTTGTATGTGGTAAAATACTCTATGCCTGATGACCTTATTATTTGGATCCCATGTGTATTTGTTTATGTTGTGTATCTGTTCTATCTTTTTGTTATCCTTTTTTCTTTTCTCTTCTTCTGTGTGGCTTATTTCTACTAAATCCCAGACATTTATTTGAAAAAACTTCAGAGTAAAGTGAAGTCTAAGATGATTTTCCTCCACAGAGGATTTATTTTTACTTAAAGCAGAAGACTACGGTACTAGCTACCCTGGGTTACCTTAACCCAAATTCAAAGGTCCAGATGACTTGAAGAACTTCTGTCCCCATGAATACTCTTTTTTTTGTTTTGTTTTTTTTAGAGAGAGAGAGAGTCTCGTTCTGTCACCAGGATGGAGTGCAGTGGCACGATGTTGGCTCACTGCAACCTCCGCCTCCTGGGTTCAAGTGATTCTCCTGCCTCAGCCTCCTGAGTAGCTGGGACTACAGGTGCACGCCATCACGCCCGGCTAATTTTTTTGTATTTTAGTAGAGACGGGGTTTCACCATGTTGGCCAGGAGGGTCTCGATCTCCTGACTTCATGATCTACCTGCCTCGGCCTCCCAAAGTGCTAGGATTACAGGCATGAGCCACCGCGTCCAGCCCCCCATGAATACTTTTCTATTTATGGCATGTAACTCTTTGGGAGTATTCTAACCAAAGCATGGAGAGTTTCTAAGACTCCCCACTCTTTGGGGGATTCAGGACTGTAATTTATGTCTTTGTGTAGCTCAAGACCCTCAAAATCTCTTCTCAACATCTTGGCAATTTATTTTGGGATTGTCATGCTTCTATAAAAAGAGATGGTTTGGTCAAATGATCTATAAGATGCTTGATTATGACATACTGAGTTATGCTAAGACATGGTTCCTGCCTACTTCTATTTTAGTTGTGATTCTAAAGGTATACATAGGAAGCATTAAGAGCAAATTTGATAACAAAGTGCTAAATTGCATTGTATAGATAAATAGAGATAGGAAAGTCTATTTGCAGTTGGCTGTCATGCAGTAGAAAGAATAATCACAAAACAGATATATATAAAGGACAAATTGGTGAGGGTTGCTAAGTCAATTCCACAGAATTGGACTAACTGTTTTTCTTTTCATTTTTGCACTTCCATATCAGATATACTTTATGGTCAGGTCAATGTGTGATCCATTATATCTCCATATTAACAAAATAACCTCTTTAACACATTAAACCTGTGTTTTTGCTTGGGATTGGAGAGATCTCTATTTTTAGATATCTTTCCCAATGTACCTTCAAAGTAGACCCAATTCCTAGTTTCTCACTTTCCCTAGACTGATCTGCCAGGAGCCTTTTGTGGTCAGAATTCTAACCTTAACTTTGTATCATTTTGAGCTTCAGATTCTTAATTGGTAAAAATGAAGCCAGTAACAAATCCCCTCCTAGGATGGTTTTGAGAATCAAATGAAATGTAGTAGTGACTATGAAAGCTCCTTGAAAGCTGAAAATCATGGGTGAACTGTAACATCATTAGGCATTATTTTGGCTTGTCATCAGATGTGAACCTTGGAGATTATTATAAGATTAGAAAGCTCCAGATATGAGAAGACAATGATCAATATTCTATTACAAGCTGATCATGACCCTCAGAAATTTAAACTGTATGTTTTGTTTATTCCATTGTACATTTATTTATTTATTTGACAAATAATTACTAAATATCTTCAATGGACCTGCTATTGTGCTGGGTGATGAGGATTAGGGAGAAAATACACACACAATCTTTGTCTTAAAGAAGCATACAGTCTAGAAGGGAGATAAAAATTAATCAAAGAATCAAACTAATAAATGGAAAGATACAACTGTGGTAGATACTTTGAAAGAGAAGACTATTTTAATATAAGAGTGTATAATGAGGGAATAGAGGGTTTAACCTCATCAGAGAAGTCAAGGAAAACATCCGCAAGGAAGTTATGGTTGCGGTGCGACTTTAAGTATAGGAGTTAACAAGACACATGGAGGAAATAAGAGTATTCCAGGCAAAAGGACTAAAATCTGCAAAAGTCTTGAGGGAGGAAGAAGAATGACATGTCTGAAGAACTCAAAAGGGTCCAGAATGGGAGGAAAGCAGAGGACAAAGAGGAAGTGGGGCTGATGTGGTTTGGATCTGTGTCCCCATCCAAATCTCATGTTCAACTGTAATCCCCAATCTTGGAGGTCAGGTCTGGTGGGAGGTGATTGGATCATGGAGGCTGTTTCTCATGGTTTAACATCATCCCCCTTGGAGCGGTTGTTGCAATAGTGAGTTCTCATGACATCTGGTTGTTTAAAAGTGTGTAGTACTTCCCCCTCCTCTCTCTTCATCCTGCTTTGGCCACGTGAAGTGCTGGCTCCCCCTTCACCTTCTGCCATGACTGTAAATTCCCTGAGGCCTCCCCAGAAGCAAATGCTGCCATGCTTCCTATGAAGCCTGCAGAACCATGGGCCAATTAAACCTTTTTTCTTTATAAATTACCCAGTCTCAGCTATCTCTTTATAGCAATGTAAGAATGGACTAACATGGGGACACAAGATGGCATTGAGATTCAGACACTACAGGGCTTTTTGGGCTATGGTAAGAATTGTGGTCTTTATCCTAAGGACAGTCAGTGAGCACTCTTGAGGTGTACAGGGCAATGATGTTATGAGTAAGGATGCTGCATCACAGAGATCAGCTGATGTTTGGGCAGAGAGTTGGTCTTCATCAAGCTTCATATTAGTCAGCTGAGTCTCCACTTTTCTATCATTATGTTTATAGGGAAGAGTAATTTAATGTGAACTCTTCAATCCAGAGTGGGGCTTGTAAGTTTTTGTTTGGGAGTGCATTATCAAAAAAGCACTGAATATAATTCCAGGTAACATTAAAAAATTATCAGGCTATGTCCATTTGCTCAATAAATGGTGGCTATTTTGCAGAAGCCATTAGGATACAAATAAGGGAAATCTGGCTTTGAGTTACATCTGATAAACATTTATTTAGGGGACAAAATATTGGGAATATCCAAACAATAGAATATCTTGTTTCATTCTGTTTAAAATCTAATAGAATAAAATAATTAATATAGAACTTTTATGGCATGTAATTTTTAAATTAAAGTTTTAAATACTTGTTGTGTGTTAACTTAGGAGAAACTGGATATAGGGTATTGTGTACCCTATCTCCATATCACCTCAAGTAAAACACAACAAATCACCAAATGATAATTTAACATTGACAAGGTACCATCATTGACAAGGTGCCAACATTGACAAGGTACCATAATCATTAAAATCAAGCCTTTATTGATCTCCTTCTCCTCCTCCTCCTTCTTCTTCATCATTGTCATCGTCCTTGTCATCATCGTCTCCCCTTTTCAGGCCCTCTGATTTCTGTGTCATTCCTCCAACTCCCACATCATGTTCTTTCTTGCCTCCTCTAGCCATGGAGAAGATGTATCAGGGAGAGCATGAACTTTGGAGTCAGTTATACATTGGTTTGGCTCTCAGCAACACCTGTCAACAGTGTGATCTTGAGCAAATCATTTAGCCTTTTGCAGTTCATGTTCCTTTTACTGTAAATTCAAGATAATGGCATTTCTCAGGGGTATTGTGAGAATTAACTTAGTTTATTAGGTAAAGCACTTATTCTAGTTTCTGTGGGATTATGTTTTTCAATGATGGTGGTTGCAATAGCTCCCATCCCATACACTCTTTTACATGACCAGCTACCCTAATATTCAAAGATAGGGATTATTTCTTCTCTGTGACTTGTGACTGCTTTGACCACAGAGTATGATGGAAATGATGACTATGACTTCCAAGACTGGGTAATGAAAGACATTGAAGCTTCTGCTTTGTTTACTGAAACACTTCCTCTGGGGGCCCTGAGCTGTCATGTAAGAAATCTGATCACCCTGAGGCAACTCAGGCACACAGAGAGACTACTGGGAGGCTCTGTCAACAGCTTCTGTTGAGATCCCAGCCACCAGCCTGCATTAGCTGCCAGTTGTGTGAGGGGAGAGACCTATAGATGATTTTAGTTCCCAGCAATCAAGTCTTTCCAGCTGTGGCTCCAAACATGGGAGCACAGATAAACTATTCCCACTGTGCTGTCTGAATTTCTGGCCCATAAAATCTGTGAATATGATAAAATAGTTGTTTGAAGCTGGTTGTGGGGTAGGTAAGTGTTGGTAGCAACTGGAACAGTTTTCAATAAATTATAGTAATTAATACCATGATCATGATTATTATTATTACCTACTTTACAGGGTAATTTTTATGTAATACATTACCAGAAAAGTAAACCAACCAATACTGCTGATTATGAACACACTTAAAGCCTAGAAGATGTTGTAGACTATTTCTTAATTTTCCCTCTAAGTCATTGTTTTCAATGGGTGTCCAACGGTGTCTTCTCTCTCAGGACTTCCTCCTACTTCTCTAATTTTCCCACCATCTTGTCTGTCCACTGTTCTTCCCTGCAAGCAACACCTGATGAGCAGGTCCTGGGCTATTTTCCATGCTCAGTGACTCTGACGTTAGGAGGAGGCATGTGATTTCAGATTCTTCATTTATGTCATAAATATTTATTGAGCTTCTTTTATGTAGCACTGGGAATGTGGCAATGACTGAGACAGATAACCTTGCCCTTATGGAGCTTTCTTTCCATTTTGGGGAATTAAACAATGTGTCAGATAAATAATCAAAATATACAGTACGGGAGAAGGAAGTAAGCCCCTTGGAGGCAGAGACTTGAGAAAGGGAGAGTAGGGGGCAGTAGTGCCATTTAAGAGAGAGTTACAAGGATGATGTCATTGAGAAGAGGCAATTTCAGTAAAATCTTGAAAGAGGCAAAGAAAGAAAGCTTTATGGATATCTGGAGAATGTGTTTAGTGCAGAAGAACCAGGAAAATCAAAGATCTGAGCTGGCTCATGGGCATGAGTGTTCAAGGAACACCAAGAAGGCCGGTGTGGATGAAACAAACTGGCAGGAACTGTGGACAGTGAAGCAAGTGAACTAAATACTGTCCAGTCTCGTAGGACATTGTGAGGAATTTGATTTTGTCTCTAAGATGGGAGAACAATAGAAGATTTGGACAAGAAAGAATATTATCTGACTTTCATTTTAACAGGCTCCCTCTGGCTGCTCTTTTGAAAATAGACTGTCGAGAGATGTGGTTGGGAACAGGGAGACCCATTAGGAGGCCATTCCAACCATTTAGGCAGGGAATGAGTACTACTTGAAGCCATGATAATAGGAATGAAGAAGGTGAGAAACAGCCTCTGGCTTTGCTGATGAATTGGATGTGTCACGGATGACATTGTGGTTTTTGTTCTGAAAACTAGAAGCCTATCATGACTATTTCTGAAAGAGGGAAGGCTGTGGGGGCAGTAGGGTTGGAGAGAAATCTTAGTTTGGGACATGTTGAGTTTGACATGCCTATTCGTTTCCACCATGGAAGAATCTTTCAAAGGTAAATATTTCCTGCTTCTCTTAAAATAAAAACTCAAGGTGCTAATATAACAAAGACTCTGCCTCTTTACTTGGTCTCAGCAAAGATCCTGATCTTGGAAATCAGATCGAGTCACTCTCTCCTTAAAGCTATCCAATGGCTTCCCTCTTCATTTAGAATAAAATACAAATTCTTTACTACATATCCCAGGACCCTTCCTATATGTATTACTTGTCCAGCCTACCTTGCAACACCCTCGTCTTCATTTCTCATGCTACTTCTATAAGGACCTTATTTCTGTTTCTTGAACATGCTAAGATCATTTGGTCTTAGGGACTTGCAGTTCGTGTTCTCCGTTTCTGTAATATTCTTATACTCTTCCCATTTTTTTTCTGCGTCAGAGGCTCCTTGTGATTATTCAGATTGCAGCTCATGTGTTCACTCCTTAGAATGCTCTTTTGTAATCATTATAATTATCTCCATATTACTTCTCATCCTCTGAAATGATTCATTTATTTATTTATACATTCATTGATTGTCTCCTTCCCCTCCCCTCTCCCACAAAGTATCTTATCTGACTTGTTTGCCACTGTTTACCTAATACAGTGTCTGATACATCTTAAGCATTCAGTAACTATTTATTTAATAAGTTAACGGGGGTAGGAAGGAAAGGAGTTGGTGGAGAGAAAGCCTATTCTCTGTTATAATAAAATCTTTAAAAATTTAATACTGTCTTTATGTTGGCTACAATTTTGCCTCCGTTGCTTAATTAATGCATTTTATGTTGTAGAACTTACAAATTGCAAAGTATTTCATGTGGGTTTTTGTATTAACAATACAAGATCAATAGGTCAGGCTATCCGTATTTTATATATGAAAATGAGGCTTACTAGAACCAGATAACTTTCTCAAGGTTACTCTGCATTTAAATGACAGAGCCTGACTTTGAACCTATGTCTCATGACTTTGAGTCTGATGTTCTTTCCAAATAACATGCTAGGTCTCTATGATATCACAGGCACTGATACTGTCAGAAGGAGCAGCATTTAACTAAATGGGTCAGATAAAATTAGAAATGGTCTCAAATTTTGCTGACTCAAGTCTTTGCCCACTTTTAGAGCCAAATCAGATTTATTAATATCTTCTGACTGGTATATTTAAATAACTTTCTTTAATTTACATACATATTTCTCAGACTCCGGCTGCTGGCAGTGTAACAGGAAACATGCTTCTTTTCACATTTTTACCAAATTTTAGAAACTCTGGGGGCTTTATCATATCTGAGAAGCCTGAACTAATGGTTGGTTCTAATATGTTCCACAAACCACAGCACTTTCTACAGTACTCATTGCAACGTGAGGAATTGTGAGCCATTTCCACCTTGGGTTATTTCCAGCAGAGCTGCACAGAAGGGGACCCACCACACTCTAGCTCTTTCTGCAATCATCTGCTGCTGTGTTAACCTAACCATGGTCCAAAATAATGCACACTTTAACAGAAGTGGTGCTTGGAGGTGAGTATGGGGAGGGAAGTGGGGTCCTCCCAGAGTATCTGTAGCCCAGAAATCACAAAATTGACATTTTACATTGGAATTCTTTGTTTTACTTGCTACACTTCCAGAAACGTTTTTCTCAGAACTGTGGGGGATACAGAAATGCAGAATCTAGCCTTTGTTCCGAGAAGTATACAGTTTAGTAGGCAATTTACATTTGCTCTCAAATAACTATAGTGCAAATTAGGATTTAGAATAGATGCAGCCTAGAGTGTATGGTTAAAGGCTTACTTTTTAGAGTCAGACATACTTGGGTCCAAATTGTGACTCTACCACTTATTAGTCAGAGTTTTTTGGATAAGATATTTAACCTTGCTAAGCCTTTGTTTCATTTCATAACATTGGGCTAACAATATCTATATGTCATCTATATGTGTCATTTCATAACATGGGGCTAACAATATCTATATGTATTATTATGCATAATTGCATTCATGATATATTTATGTAAGTGGATTAACACAGTTTTTAGCATATGGTAATTGAAAAATAAATGCCAACTTTTACAATTATTATATATATGTATATATGTTTTAAAATGGTATTGTTATCTAGTCTCCTGCTCTCGATAAGTAGCCACATTTTTACTTTGAGGAAATATTATTGGTAAAATTTCAAAAGAGAGAAAGTTCAGGATGTATGGGGAAGTGGCCAGTCTCAGTTTGGCCAGAGTTTGGGATCTGTGTAGAGAAGTCCTGAAATATAAGAGATAAACCTGGTAGGGTCAATTAAGGCGAAGCTTGAAGAATTAAACTTTTTTGAAGAATTTTAGCTTATCAAGCTAAAAAGTCTGCATGTAACAGATACAGAAAGGTAGTAGGGGGTGGTGTGTTGTTTAAAAGGGAGTTCTGGAGGCAAAGTACCTGGGTTCTCACTCAGCTCCACTATTTACTGCTACATAACCTTGGGCAAATTATGTAATCTCTGCCTCAGTTTCCTCATTTACAGTGAGATTATAAACATAGGCTTATTTTGAGCATTATGAGATATTACATATTCATTAGTAGCTGAAAGCTTGGCAAAGCATTAAATCAATGGTAACTATTATTATCTGAACAGAACTAAATAGTTGATTTAAAAGTAGCAGAAACAATAGACAACCTTTTCAATGCTATTATATAACTAAAATGGACATGCTGATGAATTTTGAGCAAGGCAGCAATAAAAAGTGACATTTTAAACCTACTCTTCAGTCTCCAAAGATGTGGCTTTTCTTCAGGAGTTTCCTGACCATTTACGCAGTCACCTTCTGACTGGAGGTAACCGTAAGAATTTCTATGCAAAGTGGAAGGTTCAGATGCAATTTATATATACAGGCATGCCAATGGCAGCTTATAGTTCATGATACATCAGTATAGTATATGTAGTAAATCTATTCTTGAAAAGTTAGGTGTTCATTAGTTTTTCATAAGTTGAATATCTTCAGCATATGAAGAAGTCTTTCTTTTGAAAAATACTATCATTAATTAATGTTTAAAATGTAAAGGAGACAACCATCCCATTTATCATCTTTCCTTCTTTTTCCTACATCTTTATTAAAGTATAATTAACAAATAAAAACTGTGTATATTTAAGGAGTGCAATGTGATGTTTTGATATGTTTATTTGTGAAATGATTACCAAAATCAAGGTAATTAACATATTCATTGCTTCACATAGTTATTATAAAATATTTTATGTGTTTGTACATGGTGAGAATATTACAGATCTCTTAGCAAATTTCAAGTATACAATATGGTATTATTAACTACAGCCAGCGTGCTGTATATTAGATCTCCAGAACTGATTCACCCAGCATATAACTGAAATTGTTTACCCTTTGACCAACAATAAAATCCAAGTGTTCATTTATTTGGATGAGTATAAATCTGAGTAAATAGTACTTACTAAATAGCCCATGTCTGGGGCTATCTAAAACCAAAGCAGAGTTAATCTTGATTTCTTTTCCTTTTCAGGAAATCCACAAATATTTCAATCTGCCATTATTAATTTTCAGTGTGTCACTTTTCTTTCGATGCAAACATTTGACAGGTGGCCTTAGCACTTTTCATGAGAACTCAAAGTAGATGAATAATAAATAGAAATGTCACTTCCCTAGAAAAACTCAAAGAGCCAAAAGTGTTCACCTTTGAATAGTACAGGCTAGGGTGACAATTGGCATCTGCAGTCTCACAGGTGAATTTTTTTTTTTTTTCAGTAGGGGTTCAACCAGATCACTAAGAATCATTCCATTGAGTTAGTTGGATTTCAGGAAGATAATGAGGCTCATGTCAGAAAACCTTAATGGAACATTTTGCTGGAAAAAACTGTGCAACTAGATTATGTACATCAGAGAAGCCTTGAGATGGACGCTGGTGTCAGGAAAGTTTCATCTCTCTCTAATTATCTTTAACTCAGTAATTAGAGCCTGGCTCTATCACATCACAGCTTAGAGGAGGGTTGTTTTTTTTTCTCTCATCTTGCCTTTTTTTTTTTTTCTCCTTCTCCCCTTTGTCTCTTTTCCCTTTTCACTGTGAATTGATTGCTTTAAAATCAGTAGCTCTTTTGGATTTCCATGACCTATTGTTTGAAGCCAGACCTGCTTGGAGCCATTTCTAATTCTCTTAATAAAGTGAGTAGTGTTAAAAATATTATAATTTAGATATATCCATATGGAAAGGGATCACCAACTACATTTAGAATATTTTATGCTTCTCCCAAATGAAGCCCCCTTTCGTTGTCATATTTATCCCCAGGCCAACATGTTGTCTTTTCCCTAGCCCACCACTTGCAGGTAGATACACATCTACCTGAATTACATATTTATATAGTGCATAATTATAAATTACAGATAGATATCCCATGTATCACTTTTCATTTAGTCATGTAATATTGGAATCTGGGCTTCCATAAAATATCTTCTATTATGAAAATTCTCAAGTATATATAAAAATTGAGAGTGTAGCATAATGAACCTCATAGACTTATCACAGGCTATGATGTTTCCTGTGTTCTTGTATCTTCATGATGCCAAGAATTGTTACTAGCACAGAGCAGATGCTTTATTCTGTTTTCTCACCAAGCTGATAGCTTATTTATCAAACATATTCCTTCTTCAAATATAAGGACTAGCTTTGTGTAACTTTACTACTTGGATCCCTCTTTTTTGGGGGTTCAGAAATAAACTTGGTGCAGACATGTGTCTATAGAAAATAACGGAATCATTTAAAGAAAAAGAATACCGTTTTGGGCACCTTTCTGTATTTTTTTAAAGATGTTTTACCTGTTTAGTGGAGAGAGACTTAAAAGAAGCATTTTTCCTCTCCTGAAGTGTGTCTTTTATTACAAATTGAAATTGTGATTGAAGGTACTTAACCCTGAAGGAATAAATGCCTCCAAAAGAGAGAAAAAATACATATACCTAGACCAAATTAAGTGCTAATAAAATCTGAAACCATGTTTTATACTTAAACTTTAAAAAATATGTTTTTCATATAAAAGTTTTTAGATATTTTTCCAGGGGTAAAAAATAAAAGGTTGTTGTCAGCTATATTTTTACTAAATCACTATCATGTTGACTCCCGCATGGGACTTGGGAAAGAAGTAGGCAGCTGATTATGAGTGTCTCTAGGGTAACAATTTGTTGTCTCCTGACCCGTGTATCTAAGGCCTGGATAGGTCTTTGGAGAAAACCAATCTGGTTGGCAAATGCATATTCTTTTTTTTTTTAATTTATTTTTATTTTTTTTGAGACGGAGTCTCGCTCTGTCGCCCAGGCTGTCGTGCAGTGGCGCGATCTCCGCTCACTGGAAGCTCCACCCCCGGGTTCATGCCATTCTCCTGCCTCAGCCTCCTGAGTAGTGGGGACTACAGGTGCCTGCCACCAAGCCCAGCTAATTTTTTTTTTTTGTTTTTTTAGTTAGAGATGGGGTTTCACAGTGTTTGCCAGGATGGTCTTGATCTCCTGGCAAATGCATATTCTAACACTCATTGCATTATCTGGGAAACAGTTTCCTTGCATTTGAGAATAAGCTGATCACCCAACCAGAAGACCTTCTTCTTCCCTTTTTGAAATATGCTGTATTTTATTGACTTACATGCCCTTAAAAAAATGCTAAAAATACTTAACATGAGATCTGCCCTCTTAACAAATTTTAAGTTTACATTGTTGTTGACTGTAAGTATAATGTTGTGCATACAATCTCTAGGGCTTATTCATCTTATTTGAGTGAAACTTTATGCTCATTGGTTAATAACTTTTAATTTCCCCCTCCCACAGCCTCTGGCAACTGCCATTCCACTCCTTGATTCTATGACCTTGAGTGTTTTACATACCTCATATAAGTGGAAGCATGCAGTATTTGTCTTTCTTTTTTTTTTAATCACTCTGTCATCCAGGCTGGAGTGCAGTGGTGTAATCACAGTTCACTGCGGCCTCTACCTCCTGGATTCATGCGATCCTCCCACTTCAACCTCTCAAGTAGCTGGGACCACAGGTGTGCATGCACTACCATGCCTGGCTATTTTTTTAAATTTTTGTAGGGATGGGGGTCTCACTATATTGTCCAGGCTGGTCTTGAACTCCCAGGGTCAAATGATCCTCCCACCTTGGTCTCCTAAGGTGCTGGGATTACAGGCATGAGCCACCATGTCCAGCTCAGTATTTATTTCTGTGATGGCCTTATTTCATGTGGCATAATGTCCTCAATGTTCATCTATGTTGTTTAATGATGTAGAATTTCCTTATTTTTTAAGGCTGAATAGCATTTCATTACATGTATGTGTATACTACATTTTCTTTATGCATTTTTCTGTCAGTGGACATTTAAATTGTTTTCACACCTTGGCTTTTGTGAATAGTGCTGCAATAAACATAGGAGTGCAGGTATCTCTTTGAAAGCCTCAAATTGTATTGATTTCAATTATTTTGGACAGATATCTGTAAGTGGGATTTTTTTTTATCATATGGTGGTTCTTTATTTAAGTTTTAGGGGAACCTCCATTCCATTTTCCATCAGCTGCACCATTTTGCAATCCTACCAACAGTGTGCAGGTTCCAATTCTTCCACATCCTTGCCAACACTTATTATCATTTGTCTTTTAATGATATGCATCCTGGTAGATTTGAAATTATGTCTCACTATGGTTTTTATTTGCGTTTTTCTGAAGTGACATCTTTTTATATACTTATTGGCCATTTGCATATCTTCTTTGGAGAAATGTCTATTCAAGTGCTTAGCCCATTTTCCCTGTCTAATTTTTGATATTGAGTAAAAGGCCAAAGTGCCTTTGACTTTGAAAAAAATTTAGTACCTGGGAGCTCAAAGTGAGTGTAATTCTGAAATTACTTCACTTTGCTCCAGACAATCCAAGGTCATGTAAAACTATCAGCATTTAAAAAGAAGAAATCCTAACATAATCATCAGATTTTAGAGAAAATAAAACCTTAGAGAATGTCTGATTCTTTTACAGATGATAAAATAGAAATTTGGAGAAATTAAGTGACTAGTTGAGATTACCCAACTACTTAAGGGCAAATGCAATTCTAGAAGCAGTGTCCTGGAGCATACTGAGTCACTCAGAGAGACAGTATTAACACTTTAAATACCAAGTCAGTACCGTACCTGTGCTTGTTCTCAAAAATTGTACCAGGATGCTTTCAAGTCTTCATTGGATAAAATGAGATTATGACTGTTACGTTACTGTTTTCTGGGTTTGAATACAGGCACTTTGGATCTACATACCTTCTTTCTTAAACTAAACTCCTTTCCTCACGAACTGGGCATTGCCTGTGGGAATAGATGCAGCATCATTTGGACAAAACAAAAAAGGTGCAACGATGATTCTTTGTACGGATATAAACATCACATTCTACATTCTTTTTCTATTATTTGGAGTCTAAAACCAAAGAAATTCTTCCACTACTATAAACACTGTGACTTCAGCCAAAATAATTGACGGCTGTTTGCTTCTTTTTTTCCCATTAAAGAAAAAATTTGCAAAGTCTGTTGCTAAGAGAAAGACGGTCAAAACACCGGTTTAGTGTGACTGTTTGGAGTTTGTCAAACAGAATCACCCATAGGTTAGTTTTTTGGAACAAAGAGTAAACATACCCATAAGGTTCATTACTTCTTGTGCTGAATTAAGAAGGACAATATCAAGAAAGACTAGTAGCTGATACCTCCAGAAAGTCCCCAAGGAGTTTTTTTTGTTTTTTTTTTTTTAATGTTACAGTCTGCCTGACTTCCCCTGGGGCTAGCCCGAGAGGGGTGCCATCTTAATAGCACTACAAAAGCAACAAGACATTCTGGAAGATCTAGTAACCAAAATGGGAAGTTTGGGAGCCATTCATCATGTTGCTAAAGGAAAATTATTGTATACCAAAAACTTTAGGACTTTAATTTTTTTGCAGATTTCAAATATGAGTAATCAGTGTGATTATATATTGGGTAGAGGACAGATCAGATAAGGTATGATCAACATCTTCAATCCAGAATTTGAAAAGTGGTTTAGTGATATCTTAAAAATCTCCACCCCTTAACTGTCTTTCTGAGAGGGGAGTAGTAAAATCAGAATGTGGAAGGTAAATAATGTGGCAATATATTTTTTCTTTTGCAAAGTAATATGTATATCATAATCACCAAGATACTTTTTGTGTATCTCACTTTTTCTACTTTATATTTGAATTACTTATGTATGTATCTGTATCCCTACTAACTGGTGAGTTTCTAGAGGGCAGTGATTTGTGCATTGTTTACCTTGATATTTCCCAAAGCACAATACTTTGTACATATTGAACAATTGAAATCTAGGACTCATTTTTATTCTAGAACACTCTTGTCACCACTGTAGTAGAACAGTCTCAATTTCACATAAGTGTAAGAGAAAGTTTTTTTGTAAATGCTCAAGATGACAAGATCAACCACTTTTGATCTACAAGGTGGGACCAATCTAAGAGCTCTTACAGCTACTGAACCACTAAGAATGACACATTTGTTTCAGGTTTGCAAATTCTAAAATAATTCCAAACAATGGTGTTTGGAACTTCTCATCCCATGGAGTAATCAGCAGATATTTAGTCATAGTTTCTTTTTTTTTTTGAGACAGAGTCTCGCTCTGTCGCCCAGGCTGGAGTGCAGTGACGTGATCTCGGCTCCCTGCAAGCTCCGCCTCCTGGGTTCACGCCATTCTCCTGCCTCAGCCTCCCGAGTAGCTGGGACTACAGGCGCCCACCACCACGCCTGGCTAATTTTTATATTTTTAGTAGAGACGGGGTTTCACTGTGTAAGCCAGGATGGTCTCGATCTCCTGACCTCGTGATCCGCCTGCCTCAGCCTCCCAAAGTGCTGGGATTACAGGCGTGAGCCACCGTGCCTGGCCTGTCATAGTTTCTTATTAGATTCTTGGGGAATCAGCTTATCATAATGAGTAGTGCAGTGTTTGGGATTGATTTCTGGGACAACACAGCATTAACTACCAGTACCACCAAGCTCTAAGAGTTCAGTAAGACCTAAATTGCCTGAAGCTTTTTCGATAAGTTATAAGGATATTTCTCCCTGGACAATATGTATATCCATTTTAATTCATAGAGCTATAGAGCTATACCCCAGTCTTTCAATTTCACCAACATTGATACTATTTAAGACTATTTATTGTTGTATGCATCAATAGAATGTGAACCATTTTCTAAGTGCAAAAAGACACCATGCTAAGTCCTAGGAATGCTGAAATGAGTAATATCAAGACTATCATAGCAAATTAGATGAAAAGAACATCTATATAAAGACAGTGTCCTACATATTCTAAGTCTTTAGTGAGTACCAATGCATTGTAGTTCCTGCTGTCAAAAGATTATTACACTATATATTATTCTACTACATATTATTATTACTAGATAATATTTAGAATAGTATAGTAATAATAATCATATATAGTATAATATAGAGTACAGTTATCTAGTAATTATTTATCATGGTATTCAAGTTAGTCTAAATGTACCTTAAAAAGTGAATGTATAAAAGTTGCTAACAGGCTTTGTGCTTAACGATCTTTTGTTCAGCTGAAGAGACAATGTTTAGTGTGGTTAAATATATAACCAAAGTGTAGTGTGATTAAAACATGACATAACACAAGAGATGATACATGATTGTGTACAGTTGCAATGGAATTTAAGCAGACCTTAAGCACAATATGCACATTCAGAACAGGAAGAGATAACAATTAATAAAAGTCATTGGGTTCTTCATTCACTGACATATATACTTTAATTCAAACAGAGGAAAATACAAAAATTGCTCATTTCTCTTGAAAACAGTATTTTTTCAGGCTATCTGCTAGTATGTTATTTTTATAGTTGATCTAATTTCTTTTGCACAGCTATATGAATTCAGTGCTATTATGTCATTTTATAGATGAGGAAATGGAAACAAGCTTCATTTGCTTACCTGCAGAGAAATGACTCTCAGTAAGTGGTGGAAGTGGACTCATGTGTGTCTGTCTCAAAATCCTACTTTCTTGCCACACCACACTCCTACCTGAAAATTTTTGATGAGCCATAAAAAAAGGGATGAGGCCGGGTGCGGTGGCTCACGCCTGTAATACCAGCACTTTGGGAGACCGAAGTGGGCAGATCACGAGGTTAGGAGATCGAGACCATCCTGGCTAACACGGTGAAACCCCGTCTCTACTAAAAATACAAAAAATTAGCCGGGGGTGGTGGCAGGTGCCTGTAGTCCCAGCTACTCAGGAGACTGAGGCAGGAGAATGGGGTGAACCCGAGAGGCGGAGCTTGCAGTTAGCCGAGATCGCGCCGCTGCACTCCAGGCTGGATGACAGAGCGAGACTCCATCTCAAAAAAAAAAAAAAAAAAAAAAAAAAAGGGATGAAGCATGTCCTTGGGAAAACAGTCAATGAATGAGCAGATCAGACATGAACATAATGCTACTTGATTAGTATCAAATTGAAATGTTCTTCTAAACACACAGTACATTTTATTTCCTTTTCAATAGGCCTTGCAGGATTTTGATGCCATTTCTAAATGTATGGCATTCGAAAACAATTACAGAACCAGTACCTGGACTCAAAGATGTGCCCATTTGCAGACCATGTAGCTGGCTCCCTTTATACAGTCCAAACCTGTCTTCTTTTATTGTACTCAGACGAGTGGCTAAAGAAATGGGTGTTTCCATTTGTTTGGATTCATCCTTTCTTTGCAGAGAAAGATATATTTTCTTAGGGCATATTGTAACCTGCTTTGCACTCAGTGGATGCTCAGGAAATGTTTGATGTTGGCTGACTAGGTGATGGTGATGATACCCTGAATTTCTTTCTTTCAAGTAAAGACCGTCAGGCTCTTTCTTTGACAAACAGATGCAAGTAGGTGACCTGTCAAAAGCTAGCAAAAACCCTGTGGCCATCAAGAAGCCACTTATTTTAAAATAGTAAACATTTTCTTTATAGTACCTTAGTCTCTGTTTAGGATGCCTTGCCCACAGGAATTTAATGGTTCAACCCCGTTCTGTCATGTCATAATGTTCAATACTCTATTGTCAAGGTGATGAATCAAAGAATGGGACAAGAGTTTGCAAATCAGCCCCTAAGCAGGTTGCATTTCATCTTTCCAGTCTGCATGAAATGAAAGGCATCTCTTAGGATAGTTAGCTCAAAAGCTAAGCAAACTTTGGCATAAAAAAGGGAAATAAGAGATAGAGCAATTGTTCTCACTCCATTCATGCAGTTCGTGTATGAGCAGACAAGAAAAAGTCCTGAGAAGTAAGACTGTTTGTGGAAAACCTCTCCTGTGGCTCCATATGCAGTATTCATGTAACTGGGATTGTGGATATGGTCTAGGATGCACTCAAGAATGAGCTGTCGTGTGCTCATTGACAGCATGCAGGACTTGACCTGGAAATAATTAAACTCTGCATGGCCTCTGAGCAGCTAGAAGGGGCCCAGCTGTCTGCTGAGGAAGAAGAGATTTCAAGGGTAAAGTAGTTAAAGAAAATTCTGAAAGATATGATGGAGAAAGAACACCAAGCTCTGCAGCCTTCTGAAGAAGCAGTTTCCTAGGACAAGTGTCTTGTCTAGATCCATTGAAAGGGACAAGGAGCTTCAGTCCTCTTCAAGGAAGAGCAAGGCACAGTAAGGCAAATAAATCCTTCCTATTATTTCTGAGAGCAAGTAATAAAGTTGTTTATTGCTTCCTCCCAAAGAAATAAGAATTATAAGGTCCAAAAAGACATAAATGAAACTATAATGTGAGATTTATGGTCATTTGGGCAGAATCGCAAGTGTATAATTGGTGTAGCATGTCGAAAAAGATGGTTGCCTGTTTTTTTTGTTGTTGTTGTTGTTTGTTTTTTTAAAGCTTGGCTTTTGCCTTGACAGTTTTAGCAATTAATGTCTTATATTTGAGTCTCTATTTATCTTGCCGAAAGAGACTATTATTCTAATTTTTTTCTGTTATATTGGTATTATTTCTTAAGTAGCTATTAATATCATTTTTTATGTAAATGGATATAATTAACTCTATAGGCTGGCAGCTTTCTTTGAAATTTTCTCACTTTTCTCCTTCCTGAGCTTACTTTAATATCTGACTGTAACTTGTAAATATCTGTCTAGAATTGATGAAACGACCCCAATTGGGTCCCAATTAGCTTAGCAACAGAGGCTGTCATGCTTAAGATTTGAGTATCACTGATACAGGCTAAAAATGAACAAATGAAAGAAGGAGCTGTATTTCAGCTCTTTGGGAACAACAACAAAAAAAAAAAAAAAAAGAAAAAAAAAAAAGGAACAGTTGTAGAGGGAACACCTCCCAGGAAAATACCCTAAAGATTTCCTTTACACAAAGCTGGAACTTTAGGAGAAAAATGTTAAAGGAAAATAATTACCAGATTAGTATCTTATAAATTTATTTAAAACACTAGATTTACTGAAAGTAGGGGGTTTTCTTAGAAGATTAATTTGAAAAATAATGTGGCAAAGGCACCCCTTAAGTCACCTCAAATGTGCCTGCACCCTCTCTGCTTCTATAAAAGGGGAGAATTTGACCGAGCATATTACCTCACCCTTTGTTCCTCTCTGCAGCAATTCTTTCATCCAGATATTTCAAAGTGTTTTTACAAATGTAAATTAACAAGCCTCATCACCTCTCTCCATAGAGATGGTTCAATTAAGTAACTCAGAAACGTACCTAAATGGCTTATTCAAGGTCACCTGAGAAGTCCTCTGTGAAATCTGGAAATGGATATTCAAAGTGTAAAAATTCCTTGCAGTTTCACTGCACATCCGGGCTTATTGCAACCCTTGGCAAGTGCCACTGGAGGGACAATTATTTTTCTTCTTTAATCTTTACAGTGAGTCTTTCACCAGTTGGCCTTCTCCCAACCTCATCAAGTACCCACAACCCATGTACCTGAAGCTTCAGTCCTTTCCTCTTCTCACTTATCTGTCCCAAAAGCTGAATGAGGACAATGACTTTTTTTTTAAAGAATCATTTTGATTAAATAAGTACTTCACATACTTATTTTCTCTCAAACTCTTCTATTTATCCATTTCATAAATATTTACTGAATACTTCATTTGTTGCCACTCACTGTGCTAGACACAGGGAGTGCTACAATCATGTTCCTCCCTTTCTGAGAAAGAAAGACAATAAAAAGAAATAGATACCTAGTGGTCAATGCTATGAAGATGGCAAATGTGGCAGGCTGGATGAGATGGGTAAGAATTAATGGATCGGGGAAGGCCTCTCTAAGCAGGGAACATATGAACCAAGACCTGTAACCTGAAAATACATCAGACTTTTAAAGTACTGAAAGAAGAATGCTCCAGGCAGAGGGAACAGCAAAAGTAAAGACAAGAGCTCGGCTGGGAAAGAACTTGGCCAAAGCCTCATGCACCAGGGCAAGGATAGCAGGAGATGAGGCTGCAGAGGAAGGACAAAACTTGTGGGCTATGGGACAAGGTATATAATTCATTGATAAAACAATAATCAACCTGTGAAGGGTTTCAAGCAAGGAAATAACATGACTGACCTGATTTATGTTTTAAAACTAGCAAATGGTGAAGAATATTCTTGCTCTGCAAACATTTTTTATCTTTATCTAATATCAGATGATTTATCAGGTTGAACAGGTTTTCCTATACCTTATAACCACTTGAAGAAACATAAGTAGGAAAACTATGTGCTCTTCTCATTTTAATCCTTTCCACACCAGTTCTTTGAACTCATGAACACAAAACATTGTCTTAAAAGAGAAAGACCTTCCTACTTCTTTGGAGCTGATTTGTTAGTTTTTATATTACTGATCAGTTAATATTCATGCCCTACTCATTTAGAAATCTTCAGTTTATTTGATTCATCTGTCCTCTGTGATCCCAATAGCACAGACCTCTGTGTGACTCTTATCACTTTATTTTGTCTTCAAGTGGTTCCCTTGCCCTGTCTATCTGTTCATGAGCTCTCTGAGGGCTGGGAACTGCCATACTCACCTTAGTATTTCCAGACATAATTCAGAGCCAGGTCCAGAGTAGGTGCTGGTGGACACCTTCTAACTGATAGACAGATGAATGATGATGACCTGGTGACTATATATAATGGATTTTCCCAAGTCAGGACACATTTGAATGTGAAAATGGGTGCTATTAATGATTATGCCTGGGCAATGGGTATAAAGTTGGGCTGGCCCTGGTGAACTGGGACATATGGTCACCTTAGTAATCATTATAATGAATTATCAGAAGAATTGTAAACATTCTAATTCTGGAGGCTTTTATAAGACAATATTATTCTATTTGTCCAAACTGGTTTACAGCAATAGTTCCCACAGCATGGGAGATGTAATGGTACAGGAGATGTTTGTTGGTGGCAAGGGCATCAAGATTAAATAAAACAGATTCACATTTTCGTAACTAAATTCTCTGTTTGAGTCTTCTTTATTCTGATTATTATTATAATTATTAAGTCTCAGTGTGGTGCTAAATTACCTTTAACTCCTCAAACCTCTGCTAATCTTCCTTTTCTATGAACAAATGTTAGAATCGGAGCCTTTGAATAGAAAATGGTATCTGGTTAGAAGTCAATATTATTAGGTTAATTATAATTATTTTTAGTCTTTCCTTCTTTTCATGGCTAATTATAGTGATTGTCCAGGTAGAATTGGGATATAAAATTCAACATTTAATGAGTTTTTAAAAATAAGTATTAGAAGATTAAAAAAATGATAAATGTATACAGATTTTGGCAAAACACATGAAGGTCATGTACAAATGACTGCAGTTTGGGAAAGTAGTTCAGACCAATTATTCCATCTGTTTTAGTCAGCCCATGCTGCTTTAAAGAAGACCATAGACTGGGTGGCTTAAAAAACAGACATTTATTTCCCACAGTTCTGGAAGCTGGGAAGTCCAAGATCAGAGTGCCACCATGACTGGGTTATTGATGAAGGTTCTCATCCTTTCTTGCAGGCAGCTACCTTTTCACTGTATCCTCACATGATGAAGAAGAGAGAAAACTCTGGTGTCTTTTCCTGTACTTATAAGGGCATTAATTTCAGCGTGGGGTTCCACCCTCATAAACCTCATCTAAACCTTGTTACCTCCTCCCAAGAGCTCCATCTCCTAATACCATCACACTGGGGGTTAAAGCTTCAGCATATGAATTTCAAAAAACATTTAGACTGTAACACAAGCCTTATTTCTGAATTTTAGCTTTGGGGTCCCCATGTCTTTTGAACATATTCATCTGAAATTAATTTAAATTAAAATAATTTATGTACTTCTATTTACTTTTACAATCTTTCTCTGTATAAAGATTATGCATGCTTACTGTTTGTGTATGATCCTGAAAAATACATAACAGAATAAACATGAGAATTTAAATCACACAGTATTATAATTCAGGGACAAACACATTTGATATATGAATTTCACGTTTTTCATTTTGTACTTCTAGAAATGTAAGGATTTTGGATCTCTAAATGTTAATACATATGTAAATTTGGATTTACATAAAATACATAAAAGGGTTGTGGGTTTTCATTAAATTAGAAACAATGAACAGGTCAGGAGCTGTGATAGGTCTGGAGTGGTGACTATAATCCCAACACTTTGGAGGGCCAAGGTAGGAGGATCTCTTGAGCCCAGGAGTTCGAGTCCAGTCTGAGCAACATAGGAAGACCCCATCTCTAAAAAAAACATAGAAAATGTAAAAAGTTAGCTGGGCATGGTGGTGCCCGCCTGTGATTCCAGCCATTCAGGAGGCTGAGATGGGAGGATTGCTTGAGCCTAGGAGGTCAAGAAGCAGTGAGCTGTGATGGTGCCACTGCACTCCAGCCTGGGTGATACAGTGAGACCCTGTCTCAAACAAACAAACAGAAACGATTAACAATAGGATGACTTTAAGTCTCAAACTTTTCCTTGTGTACTTAAAAGTTTAATTTAGTCAAAACTCATATACATGTAATATTTAGCACTAATCACATAATTTAAGGCACATGTTTACTAAAAAAACTCCATACAATTTCAATCAGTTATAATGAGATAAGTGCAACAGAAATGAGTAAATCTTCCTTGGGAAATTTGGCATTTAAACTCTTGCCAGAGACATATACTTCCTAGCTGTTAGCAATCTTAACTCTCTACTATAGAAGAATAAAACTATAGCAAATTGAGTTGTGTTCTAATTTTCCGTAAAAGGAAATTGTTCCATTACCTTATCAATCCAACAGTTGTAAGGAGAAAATTATCTACTTATGAGAACTTTACAGGTGTCAGAAATGTGTATTTACATTTTTTTTTCCAAAACAGAAGGACATTAGCATGGTTTAATATTATTACCTTAATCACAAGCAGGTAAGATAGTTAAAAACAGTGAAAACAAACAGCAAAAATAACAACTGCTGCATGCCAGTATAATATCCTGCTTTTCCACTGACACTTTTATTTTCATCTCCCTCTCTAAGGATTTCTTTATTCATAAGGAGAATGACTATACCGTCAATTGATTTTATATTATGAGAGTTGTTGGAATAATACGATCTCCTTGTAATACTTTGTCAGAAAACACACTGAAGTTAAGGAAACAACCCAGGATCTTGAAACAAACTCCTGCCCATGCCTCTGGCTTTATTCAACCTAAATGCTAACAATTTTAAAGACTGTAATCTCCAAGAAGACTAGGAATTCACGAAGTTGGCTGTATCTTCTATGCCCAAAACTGTGCTTGGTTCTTAGAACACTCTTAAATATTGTTGAATGAATGAACCATCATCATAAAAGCTACTATTTAGGAACATAAATATATGTCATGTGTGATAATCAAGATGTATTTGAAACTGTCATTTAATATGCCAATTCTAGTCCTGACAGCAATTCTAATCTATGGTTATTACTATTTGTATTGTCTCATTGAGAAAACAAGCTCAGAAATATTACGTAATGTGCCAAGTTCGTACAGGGATACTATTAGGAATTCAAAGCTAGATATATCTAATATCAGTGCTTCAGCTTTTTTCTCCTATATATGGCCTCAAAAAGGGTATTATGTATGAAAATGGAAAACTCAATAGTTTACATTCAGAATCAGGTTCTTTCATGTGGTCAGAGGATATTAACATTACTTTTAAAAACATTGAATCCAGATGTGTTTCTGGAATTGCGAAAACAGATTTTCCCAGTGTGTTGCCTCTGAGAGGTTGGGGACAGCCTTTGATGAATGACAACATTAATAATACTTTTAGGCTATGGTTAAAAAACAACAAATATATGTAAGTATGTATGCATGCATGCATATATGTATATGAGTACATTGTCTTCAATTCTCCTTTGTCACTGCCTAACTTTTCTCAATCTGGCACCTGGGGGAAATAAAAAACTGAGAGAGACACCTTGACTGGATAGCTCCTTTCCACAACCTGTATGGAAAGGAGCTGGGCTGCCTTTTGAGGTGAATGGACAGCTGTAGCCAAAGAGAGCCTAGAATATTTGAAGAAGGCAGTAGAGGGTAGCACCAAAACAACGCTGCAGGAGATGAGAGCATCAAAAAGATTTGTTCACCAGAATTTGCAGTTTCCTGCAACTTTATAAATAATTCACTTGGGTAATGTTTCATCAAGAACTGCACAATTGACCTCAAAGCCTGAGAATCTAATGGGCTTATTTAAAAAATGTCTAAATAGAAGCACATCAAGGCTTTGACCAAATACCCTTCCCTAACCTTGTTATGTTTTCTTCCTTCTTGGAGATAAATCTGTAAAACACAAATGAGTTTGTTGTAATTGCCCACCTAGTGTTTAAAATTACAGCTTCAGAGTCATGCTTAATAGGCAATGTGCACAAAGTATATGAACCCAGCTAATCACACAAGATTTCTATTTTTTTTTTATAGCCAGCAGTTGGATACTGTGCTCATCTCTGGGAAAAAATTCATTGAAGCAGACCTTTATTTTACCTCTTTGCTGACCTATTTTTTTCTGTCCTATGATACAGATATTTTAGTTCATCTGGTCCTGAAGCATGAATTTTGGCCAAAGCCTCTTATTCGGTTGGTGCAAAAGTAATTGCGATTTTTGCTAACTAATTCACTGGTTTATATATATTTTTTTCCTTGACACACATACCTTGCATGCAGTAATTATAAAATTAAATCTTCTGGTCATGAGGTGAAATCAGCAGAAAAATGTTGGATGATTTATAAAACTCTATCACCATTCTCAAGGATAGATCCTAAGTATTTGCCAAAGATGATGGTTCCTTACAGAAGATGAATAAGATTGGCTAAGTGGTACAAGAGTGAGATCTGTGTCAGATGGCCTGGTTTGAACCTATGCCCCACCGTATATGAACTGTGTGACATTGAGCACCTTCCTTAACTTTCTGTACCTCAGTTTCCTTGCTTATTAACTGTGGATAATGATTGTTCAAACCTAGGGAGGTTACTTTGAAGATTAATTCAGTCAAAAAAATGGAAGGCACATAGGGAAAGACTGGGGCATGGGAAGCACTTTAAAATGCTGGTTGTTCTTAATTATCCTAAGCATTATGTGAGACAAGCCTCACTTGCTATGTGAGGCTCTTCTTAGCATGCAGAAGGCAAGCAGCAAATATTAATTTAATAAATGAATCAGTGCTTCCTGGAGTTTATACCCCCAAACTGTGGCTTTATCCATTTTTTTCTGATTTTCATTCTGCTTTCCATATCTGTAGGTTGTATTTAGGGGTCAACATTTTCTTTCCCATTCTTCTTACAAAGTTTCCACAGAGGATCTCCTTGATCAATGGAGGAGGCAAAACAAAGAAGCAATTTGTCAAATGAGGTACCATTCTTTCCCTGCAAGTCACAAATCTATGGTGATATGTTTGAGCTGACAAGATTTTGAATTTTCACTTTTCTGCTTGTTTACAGATATCACTTTATACAAAAGCACCATTTGCAAAATAAACTCATCTGAAGGCTTCCACAGGGAATTTCCCCCAACAAAAGGAGGTATTAGTTATTTAAAACTACATGAGTGGAGAGGATTCTGGGAATTCAATGGAGTAGTAAGCACCAGGACTCCATCGCCCCACCTAAACAGTAATTGCACTGGTAGAATGTGTTTGATGTAATAATTTTGAAACTCTGGAGTGTATTGCACGCTTCAGACTTCTAAGGGAAAGCTTGGATAGTAAATTCTGGTTAATTTTAGTTAATTTCAGCTCTTAGCACAGCAGTAGCTATTCATCTCCCACTCCCAGCTCTGTGGCAGGCAGCTGTGCAGGTGTTACTGGAGCAGCTTGCACACAGCCTGAAGGAGCCAAAGTGGGAAAAAAAAATACTCTATCCTCCAAATGTAGATCAGTGCTATGATTGCTGATTCCTGCTTCTGGCCACAGAGGTATAGGCAGCAATATTTGCTACACATCGCGCTATTGTTGACAGCCCTTCCCCCTCCATCTGAGGTGACCTCTAAGGGATTTAAAGGGCTAGAGCACCCTTTTTTTCTACCCCCTTTTTGTCTCTTCCCAGTTGGGAGATGGATATCAAACACAGGACAGTCACAAATAACTTTATATACAGGGAAAGTTAGAAAGTAACTGCACATGCACAGAGAGAGGCACAGCCCAGAAAAGTTTTAAAAAGACCTTAGATTTCCATTTTTTGGTACAGAGACTGTCTACAGTATTAAAAATAAAACCCCCAAACAATAATTTTAAAAAGTAGACCCTGGTTTATAGAGTTAGAGTTATCAGTTTATTAGATTCAAATGTCCACTTTTCCAAAAAAAGATAATGACAAGGCATCCAAAGAAACAGAAAAGCATGAAACATTCAAAGGAAAAAAATTAAACAACAGAAACTGTTCCTGAAAAAGACCTAATGGCAGTTCTATTAGACAAGGACATTAAAACTACTTTCTTAAAAATGTACACAGAACTAAAGAAAGATGTTGGGAAACTCAAGAAAACAATGTATGAACAAAATGAAAATATCAATAAAGATAAGACTTAAAAAGAAACCAGAAAGAAATTCTGGAGCTAAAAATTACCGTATCTGAAATTAAAAATTCACTGGAGGGTTTCAAAGGCAGATTTGAACAAGGAGAAGAAACAATCTGCAATCTTGAAGATAGGACAATGGAAATTATCAAGTCTTAGGACCAGAGTAAGAAAAGATTACAGAAAAGTGAACAGACACTAAGGGATATGAGGAATATCATCAAGCTGGCTGGTTTACACATTGTGGGGCTCATAGAAGGAGAAGAGATGGGAAAAGGGGCAGAGAGAATATTTGAAGAAATAATGTCTGAAAACTTCCCAAATTTGATAAAAGACATGAATGTAAACATCCAAGGAGCTCAAGAAACTAAGTAAGATGAATGCAAAGAGACTCACACTGAGACACATTATAATCAGACTTTCAAGCTGAAGACAAAGACAGAATTTTGAAAGCAAGAAAGAAGCAACTCATTGCATACAAGGGACCCTCCATATGATTATCAGCAGATTTTTGAAATCTGAAACTTTGGAGGCTAGAAAACAAGGGGGTGATATATTCAAAGCATTAAAAGAAAAAAATCAACAAATAATCCTATATCTGGCAAAACTGTCCTTCAAAAGTGAGGGAAAAACCATTAATAATAAATTTCCAGTTAAACAAAAGGTGAGGAAATTTTTACTACTAGACCCGCCCTGCAAGAAATGTATAAGGGAGCCCTGCAAAGTGAAGTTAAAGGACAGCAGACAGTAACTCAAAGCTGTATGAAGAAACAAATACCTCAATAAAGGTAAATACAGGGGCCGTTATGAAAGCAAGTATTATCATAAAAATGGATTCTAATTCTAGTTTTTGTTTTCTATATAATTTAAGAGCTTATTGCATTTAAAATAATTATTAGTTTATGTTTTTGGGCAGAGAATGTATAAGGATGAAATTTTGTGACCTCAGCAATTCAAAGAGGTGGAAACAGAGTTGTAAAAGAGCATAGTTTGTGTATGATATTGTATTAAACTGGTGTAAATTGATTATAAAGTGTTACAACTTTAGGATGTTAAATGTAATTCCTATGGTAGCTACAAAGAAAACAGGTATAGAATATACACGAAAAGAAATGAGAAATATATTTAAACATTTCAGTATTAAGGATCAACTAATTATAAAAGAAAACAGTAATGCAGAAAATGAGGGTGAAAAAAGCCATAAAGTATTTAGAAAATAAATAGCAAAATGACAGAAGGAAATCTTTCCTTATCAGTAATACTTTAAATGTAAGTGAATTAAACTTTATATTCAAAAGAGAGGTTAGCAGAATGAATAAAGACACAAGATCCAAATACAACAGCATATGTATTCTTCTCAAGAATGGGACGTGGGACATTTTTCTGTGATTGACCATATGTTAGGACACAGACTCAGTTTCAATACATATTAAAAAATAGACATTATACAAAGTATCTTCTCTGACAACAATGGGATTAAATTAAAAATCAATGACAGAAGTAAAACTGGAAAACTCAAAAATTTGTGGAAACATACAAGCAATGGATCAAAGAGGAAATTACAAAGAAAATTAGAAAATACTTAGAGACAAATGAGAACAAAACCACAACATGTAAAAACTTATGAGATATAGTTAAAGCATTGTAAGAAGAAATTTTATAGCTATAAAATTTTACAGCTATAAACACAGTAAAAAATAAGAAATATCTCAAATCAACAACCTAATTTTACAAGTAAAAGAACTAAAAAAAAAAGGGCAAGCTAAACTCAAAGCTAGTAGACTAAAGGAAATAACAAAGTTAGAGAAGAGATAAAATAGAAAATGGAGAAAAATCAATGAAATCAAAAGTTGGTTATTTGAAAAGATCAATAAAATTGGCAAACCTTTAGCTAAGTGTATTAAGAAAAAAAGAATACTCAAATTACTAAAATCAGAAATGAAAGTGATGACATTACTACTGCTACTACAGAAAGAAAAAAGATTGTAAGAGAGTACTATAAATAATTTTACACCAAACAATTGGATAACCTAGATAAAAAGAACAAATTTGTAGAAACACAAAACTTACCATGACTAAATCATGAAAAAATAGAAAATTTGATTATACATATAACTAGTAAGGAGGTTAAATGGTAATCAAAAGTCTTTCAACAAAGAAAAGCCCTGGACCTGATGGCTTTGCTGATACATTCTACCAGATATTTAAAGAACAAACGCCAGTTCTTCTCAAACTTTTCCAAAAAATACTGAAGAGGAGGGAAAAATTCCTAACTAATTCTATGAGGCCAGTATTACCTTAATACCAAAGTTAGACAAAAATACTTCAAAGAAGTATAGACTAATATCCTTTATGAAAATTGATGCAAAAATCCTCACCAAAATACTAGCAAACAAAATTTGGGATTATTTTAAAAGACTTTGATCAAGTATGATTTATTTTTGGAATTCAAGGATGATTCAACATATGAAAATCAATCAATGTCATACATCACATTAATAGAATGAAGGAAAAAAGCACATGATCATCTCAATGCAGAAAAATTATTTGATAAAACTTAATACCTTTTTGTGATCAAAACATTAAAAAAACTAAGAATAGAAGGAAATTACCTCAACATAATATAAGCCATATATGAAAAACCCACAGTGAATATTACACTGAATGCTGTAAGACTGAAAGCTTTTTCTCTTAAAGCAGGAACAAGGCAAGAATACCTGCTTTCTTCACTTCTATTTAACGTAATACTTGGAAGTTTTAGCCAGAGCAGTTAGGTGAGAAAAATAAATAAAAAGCATCTAAATTGGAAAGGAAGAAGTAAAATTATCTCTGTTTACAGATGATGTGATCTGGTATGTCTAAAAGACTAAAAACTACACACACACACACACACACACACACACAGAGTTAGAATTAATAAATGAACTTAGACAGCAGGATACAAAGTCAACACACAAAAATCAGTTGTATTTCTATATACTAGAAATCAACAGCCTGAAAAGGAAATTACAAAAGCAATTTCATTTATAATAGCATCAGAAAGAATAAAATACATAGGAATCAACGTAACCAATGAAGTGAAAGAACTGTATAATGAAAATTACAAAACCCTGCTGAAATAAAGAAGACTAAAATAAATGGGAGCACATTTCATGTTGATCAATTGGAAGATATAATATATTAAGATGCCAATATTACTCAAAGCAATCTATAGATTGAATGCAATGACTATCAAAATTGTAATGACGATTTTTGTAGAAAAAAGTCTTTCCTCATGCCTGTAATCCCAGCATTTTGGGAGGCCGAGGTGGGTGGATCACCTGAGGTCAGGAGTTCAAGACCAGCCTGGCCAACATGATGAAACCCCATCTCTACTAAAAAAAGATACAAAAAAATTAGCCAGATGTGGTGATCCATACCTGTAATTTCAGCTACTCAGGAGGCCGAAGCAGGGGAATCACTTGAACCCAGGAGGTGGAGATTACAGTGAGCTGAGGTTGCACCATTGGACTCCAGCCTGGGCAACAAGAGTGAAACTCCATCTCAAAAAAAGGAAAGAAAGAGAGAAAAAGTCCTTCCTAAAATTCTTATGGAATTTTAAGATCTCAAGAGACCCCCAAAAGCCAAAACAACCTTGAAAAAGAATGAAGCTGGAAAAGTAATACTACATGATTTCAAAATTTACTACAAAGCTACAGTAATCAAAACAGTGTGGCACTGACATAAAGACAAACATATAGACCCATAGAATATCAGAATGAAAATCTTCAGATATCAGAAATAAACCCTTACATATATGGTCAAATGATTTTTGATAAGGATGCTGAGACTATTCAGTGGGGGAAAGGATAGTCATTTCAACAAATGGTTCTGAGAAAATTGGATATCCATATGCAAAATCATAATTTCCAGCTCTTCCCCAACACCATATACAAAAATTAACTCAAAATGGAAAAAAGATCTAAATGTAAGACCCAAAAGTATAAAACTATTAAAAGAATACACAGGGCAAAAGTTTTACAACACTGGGTTGGGCAAATATTTTTTGGGCATAACATCAAAGGCATAGGCAACAAAATAAAAAAATATATACTCCATGAAAATTTAAAAAATTGTGCATAAGAAGACAATATCAACAAAGTATAAAGGTAACCCACAAGATAGGAGGAACTATTTATCAATCATGTATCTGATAAGAGATTAATATTCCAGATATATAGTGAACTCCTAAAACTCAAAAACAAAATAAACAACCCAATTTAAAAATGGGCAAAGGACTTGACTAATTCTCTAAAGAGGATATAAAAATGGCTAGTAAACACATGAAAATATGCTCAACATTCCTAATCACTAGGGAAATACAAATGAAAACTACAATGAGTTATTATATAATCCCCAACACAATGGCTACTATCAAAAATAAAACAAATCAGAAAACAACAAATGTTGGTGAGGATGTGGAGAAACTGAAACCCTGTGCACTGTTTGTAGGAATGCAAAAGAGTACAGCTGTAAAAAACAGTATGACAGTTCATCAAAAATTAAAAATAGAATTACCATATGGTTCAGCAGTCCCACCTTTGGGTATTTGCCCAAAAGAATTGAAACCAGGGCCTCAAAGAGACATTTGTACAACCATGTTCATAGAAGTTATTCAAAATAGCTAAAGCATGGAAGCAACCTAAGTGTCCTTTGACAGATGAATAGATAAGCACAATGTAATTCTGACACATGATACAACATAGATGGAACTTAAGAACATTCTACTAAGTAAAATAAGCTAGTCACAAAAAGACAAATACTTTATGGTGATTTCACTTATATGAGGTACTTAGAGTTGTCTTAATTATAGAGACAGAAAGTAGAATGGTTGTTGTCAGGGGCTGGGGGGAGGGGGAAATAGGGAGTTACTTTTTATGTAAATACAAAATAGTTTCAGTTTTACAAGATTAAGAGTCATAGAGATGGATGGTGGTGACGGTTGCACAACATTATGAATGTATTTGTTAACACAAACTTGTATACTCAAAAATGGTTAAAATGGTAAACTTTATGTTATGTGTATTAAAATATACGTAACATATTATATTAAAATATAATAATATTTTTATGTTATGTGTATTAAAATATACATAACATATTATATTAAAATATAATAAAAAATAGAAAAAAAATCCACTTGGGCATTTTAAGAAAAAGGTTAAAATAATTTCAGGAGAATGAATTTCTGAAATTTTTCTTCCTTCTTCTCTTTTTCTCTTTCTATTTATTGTCCTTTTCTCTTTTCTTTTTATCCTTCTCTTTTTCATTTTTACTGTTTCCCCCTCTTTTTCTCTGTATCCTTTTCCTTCTTCTTGTCTTCCTGCAACATAACCTGTAGGTTGTGGTATTCATGGTAGGAGGTCTCTCTAAACTTAAGTGTGTAGGAATAAAGGTAGCTTGGCTAGGTTAAGGGTTACTATAGAGTAGAGCAATGAATAGTGGACAAGTAGGTAGGGGATAGATTAAAGAGGGTTGGAAATGCCTTACCAAGGCATGGTGATTCAGTCATTAAGAATGAGAAGGCAGAAGAAATAAGATATATAACATTTTTTCATAATTCTGAATGTGAATTTAGACCTAATCAGTATTTCTCCAGAATCCTGAAAAACAGAAATGTTTATTCAGGGTCATGACTACTCTGGTGAAACTATTAAGTGATGATGGTGAGCAGTAGCATTCATGTTGTAAGGACTCTACCTGTGTCTGAATTCAGCCTTCAAATTCCAGTAGATAAGAAAAGGTGAGGTGGGGTGCTGGCAAGGCAGGATAAAGAGAATTGTACCTTTCTATTTCCTCCTTGAGAGTATGTTCTTTTCTTATAATGAACCCAACCCAACCCTTGCTTAATGACATACTTCTCTACTTGGATTTATGTACTGAAGGTATCAGTTCTATCTTTAAGGCTCCCAGATCAGAAGGTTTCCTTTCTCTTTTGGACTTTCTGCCTTACAAAGAAGTTTTAGCAAAGTCCAACAAAGCCACAGTGCTTTTTAGAGCCAGCTCCGTTTAAATTGTACCCAGGTAATTATAATTTCTTTAAAGGTGGCCCTTCCTCTGGTAATATGTATTCACACTAAAAAAGATATTTTGAAATTCTTTAACCGTATATTAAAATGCAAATCGGTCTTCCTATTAAAGATTTCTGGAAGTTCTCTGACAACACATTTAAATGCAAATTGCTACAGTGTAGATGCTAAAATTAAAATGGAGAAACATAATACACCTCCATAAAGGGGCTGAAGATTTTATAGGCAGAGAAGAAAGTGCCCACTGGTCTCTTGCATTCTCATCACTGTCAGAGGCAGTGATCAGGTCTGGACAACCACACACCTACAAAAACGATCCCACCTCCCATCTGCTCCTCCTTTTTTTTTGCACTTAATTATGCAAAATGGATATGAGCATAATTGACTCATTGCACCTAATAACCAGAGCACATTCTCTTTCTTCCTCCCATGTCATGTTGCCTGAACAGATACGGGAAAGCAAAGCTACAGACCCACTGGTACTATTTACTTCTGCAATGCTGCCTTGCCCTATTTACAGACCTTTGGAGATTTCTCCCCTTTCTCCCACTCTCTCTAAAACTGTATTGTTACAAGAGGCAGATCCCCATGGCAACAACACAAGTGAACGCTTTCCCAGTTCTGCTTTTGTGACACCACAGGGTCCTTCTAATTATTCCAAAGAGTGTCATGGGATTCTCAAAACAAAATTAGTTTTAATTTACTCTAAATTTAAAAATAAATACGTGCCATTCTGGTTTGGGAACACTGAACGGCGAGGGATGTGGGCTGTGAGAAGGTGGTGGTGGGAGTGAAGTTAAATAATGAGATGAGGATCTGCTCAAAAAACTTGAAAATGTAATGTTAGAGATCATTTCAGGACTGTGTGCTTTCTTAAGAACAATGTGAAGTGTATTTCTAATCCCTAAAACGTGGCTCCCAGATTAATATTCTTACAACAAGCTGTACCATGACGAAAGCCTTTCTTGACAAGGTTGGGTATTCTATCCTGACATTGTCATTCCAGGTTACGTGCCTTTAGGACTTTTCAAAGTGGCCCCAGGAAAATTTTCTGATGAAATAAACAGGTTTCTTTGGTGCTCTTCATTGGAACTTTTGTTTAAAAAGTAATTTTTAGTTATATAAATAATACATGAATACATTTTCCCTTAAAGGCTCCTTTGCCTTAAACCCTTCTCTTCTCCCCAAAGTAAATCCCTGTTATGAATTTGGTATGTATCATTGCAGATAATTCTGAGACACATCAATAGACAATATTATAAGAATTGTGTGTTTTTTTGTAAAAAGAATGACATCATTCTGTTATATAATTTTGTCTCTCAACAATATCTCTTAGGAGGTTACCTATATTAATGTTTATAGCTTTAGTTCACTTATTTGCCTTTAGTATTATATTCACAGTTTATTCAGCCAGTCCCTGAAGGGTAGACATTCAGATTACTTATAATCTTTCACTGTTACAAATAATACCACAAGGAATATTTTTGCATGTGGTTCATATTAGGGTAAAATCTTAGACATGGAATTATTATGATGCTAATTTTTAAAGGAATTTGTTTATTTCTCCTAGTCTTCTAGTTCTGGCAGAGACCTAGAAACATTCCTTTTTGACCACTAACTTGTGGTTTACTGAAAAGAAAGGTTTCATTCCCTATTGAAACTCTATCTCGCCGGGCACGATGGCTCACGCCTGTAATCTCAGCAATTTGGGAGGCCAAGGTGGGTGGATCTCTTGAGGTCAGGAGTTCAAGACCTGCCTGGCCAACATGGTGAAACCCTGTCTCTGCTAAAATACAAAAATTAGCCATGCATAGTGGCTTACACCTGTAATCCCAGCTACTCGGGAGGCTGAGTCATGAGAATCTCTTGGACCTGAGAGGCAGAGATTGCAGTGAGCCAAGATCAAGCCACTGCACTCCAGCCTGGGCAACAGAGTGAAACCCTGTCTAAAAAAAAAAAAAGAAACTCCATCCCATAATCTATGTAAATTAAAAATAACAGTATTGCAATAAATTATAACATAATGACAGTCATATCCTGTGTTTTATACACAATGTAAATGACAAGGTGTGAAGCAGAGCTCTGAGTGTAGAGTTAATATCATTTTTTTCAGTGTTGCTGCATATCCATAGATTTTATATTCTTCCCTGTGGGTGAAAAACTCACTATCTATTTTTCCCTTAAGTGTTTCATTTCTCTTTGAAAAGTTTGCTGTAGGGCAGAAATAACAATTTACAATTGCATAGTTCTTTGTGCTTTTTGGTGACCCTCCTAGTCTGGAAGTGTTGAATTGTCTTGTGAATTCAGGAAATGTAAATAGCTCAATGCTGCTGCTGATGATGATGACGACGATGATGATGATGGTGATGAGACTGCTCCATTGGGCTGATCACAATCTTGGCTGAAGAAAAACATCACAAACTGCTAAATAACTTCCTCTTGTAGGGTGCACACTAAGCTTAGTTAGAGAAAAGACAAGCATGTTCATGATATAATTTCAATTATTGACTACTAAACTTGGAAAAGAACTCAGACCATCTAACAACCTCATATTATATCCAATAAAATTGAGTATCAAAGAGATGGTATATCCTGCCCAAATCACTTAGCAAGACAGTGGCAGGGCCAGCATTATCAATGTGATTTTTTTAAATTGATTTTTGAAAACATTTACATTGTATTTTGCAATCCTATCAGAATAAGAGATCTAGTTATCTCCAACCTTGTTAGTACTTGCTGTTGTTAATGTTTAGATTCTAACTATTTTAATAGGTGTGTAGTTATAGCTCATGGTGGTATTAGTTTTCATTTACCTAGAGACTAATGATGTTAAGCATCTTTCATGTACTTCTTTGCCATATGTATATCCTCTTTGGGGAAATATCTGTTAAAAACTTTTATCTAGTTTTAAATTGAGTTATTGTTGCATTTTTGTTAAGTTTTGAGATTTAAAAAAATATATATTCAGAATATAAATACTTTGTTGGGTATGTTATTTGTGGCTATTTTCTCCCAACATGTAGCTAGTCTTTTCATTTGCTAAATTTCTACGAGCAAAAGTTTTAAATTTTGAAAGAGTCACATTTATCAATGTTTTCTTTTATGGGCTGTGCTTTTGGTAGTGTATCTAAGAACTCTTTGTCTAACACAAGGTCTCAAAAATTTTCTCTTATGTTGTCTTCTAAAAGTGTAATAGTTTAACATTTTCATTTAAATATAGAATTCATTTTAAGTTCACTTTATTTAATGTGTGAGGTGGAAACTTTTTTTGTATATGGGTGTTTAATCGTCAAACACCATTTGTTGAAAAGGCTATTTCTTCTCTAGAGATTTTCTTTTGGACTCATCAAAAAAATTTGTGTGTGTCTATTTCTAGAATCTTTAGTTTGTCCTATTCATATATATAATTTTCCTTTTATCAATACCACCTTGTCCTGTTTACTGTCGTGTTAAAGTGTTAAAAAAGTGTGACTCTTCCAACTTTGTTCTTATTTTTCAAAATTGTTTTGACTATTTTTGTTTGTTAGTCTTCTTTTTTTTTTTTTTTTTTTTTTTGAGACGGAGTCTCGCTCTGTCGCCCAGGCCGGACTGCGGACTGCAGTGGCGCAATCTTGGCTCACTGCAAGCTCCGCTTCCCGGATTCACGCCATTCTCCTGCCTCAGCCTCCCGAGTAGCTGGGACTACAGGCGCCCGCCACCGCGCCCGGCTAATTTTTTGTATTTTTAGTAGAGACGGGGTTTCACCTTGTTAGCCAGGATGGTCTCGATCTCCTGACCTCATGATCCACCCGCCTCGGCCTCCCTAAGTGCTGGGATTACAGGCGTGAGCCACCGTGCCTGGCCGTTAGTCTTCTTATTAAAAAATTAGAAACAGCTTGTCACTACCTCCAATAATAATCCTGCTGAAATTTGCATTTGGATTGTATTATACGTATAGATCAATTTCGGGGAGATTTGAGGAAAATTAAAATTTTAAAATATTGGTTTCCAATTAATGAGATATCCCTCTACTTAAGTTCTTCTTTAGTTTCTTTCATCAGTGTTTTGTAGTTTTCAGGAAAAGATTTTGTACATATTTTGTAAGATTTATCCCTAAGCATTTCATTTCTTTGAGATTTTTAAAAAGTTGTTTTCCAATTGGTTATTGCTTATTGAAAAAAATGAGATTGATTTTTGTGTTTGGACCTTGAATCCATGACCATGTTGAATTCGAAGAGCTTTTCTTGTAGTTTAAGAGCTTTTCTTGTAGACACACTGATATTTTTTATGTAGACAAATATGTTGCCTATGAATAGAGACAGTTTTATTTATTCTTTCCTAATCTGTGTGCATTTTTTTTTATTTTTTGTACCAATCGCAATGACCAGGAATTCAATTATGATGTTGAAGAGAAGTGGTAAAAGTGGATATCCTTACCTTGATCTCCATTTTAAGGAGAAAGTATTCATTCTTTGGCTGTTAATTATAATAGTAGCTGCATGTTTTTATAGAGATCCTTAACCAGGTTAAGAAAGATGTTTTAGTCCATGTTGAGCTGCTAAGACAAAATACCACAGACTGGGTAATTTATAAGAAACAGAAATTTCTTTCCTCGTAATTCTGGAGGCTGAGAAGTCCAAGATCAAGGCATTGGCATCTTGCAAGGACCTTCTTGCTGTGTTATCTTGTGGAAGATGGTGGAAGGACAAGAGAGTGTGAGAGCAAACAAGAAGGAGCCAAACTCACTTTTATAACAAATCCACTCTAGTGGTACTTATATTAATGCATTCATGAGGGCATAGCCCTTGGAACCTAATCACCTTTTAAAAGTCCTACTTCTTAACATTATTGCATTTGGGATAAGTTATAAATAAGCATATGAATTTTGGGAGACACATTCAAGCCATAGCAAGATCTGTTCTATTTCTCATTTGCTAAGAGTATTTTAATCATAAATGAACCTTACATTTTTTCCCCCATCTATTGATATGATTTATATGACTTTCTTCTTTGGTGTATTAATATGATGGATAAATTGATTTATTTTCAAATAATGGATCTGCCCTGCATTCCTGAAATAAACTTCACTTTTCTCAACCTATACTTGTTTTAATGTGTTACTGGATTTGACTTTTTAATATTGTGTTGAAGTTTTTTTGTTTATGTTTATTAAGGTTATTGGTCTGTAGTTTTTATTTCTTATAATTTCCTTTTCTGGCTTTGATATATCAGAGTAATGCTGGCATCATAAAATGAGCTGAGTAGTATTCCCTCCTTTCCTATTTTCTGGAAGAGATTGTAAGGAATTTAAATTATTATTATTTTTCCTAACTGATTAGTAGAATTTACCAGTATAACCATCTGGGCCTGGAGTTTTATTTGTTGGAAGTTTATAATTTATAAATTAAAGTTTTTTTTTAAAATAGCTATATAACTATTATAGTTATCTACTGTGTCTAGAGTAAGTTTTGGCAGTGTATCTTTTAACTGGCACATTTTATCTAAATTGTTGAATTTATGACCATAAAGTTATTCTTAGTTTTCTCCCATACTTCTTTTAATGTCTGTGGAGTCTGTAGTGATAAATTCTGATATTGCTAATTTGTGTTTTCTCTCTCTTTCTTTTTCAGTCTGGCTAGAGACTTACTAATTTTGTTGATCTTTTCAAAGAATCTACTTTTAGTTTGGTTGGTTTTAAAACATGTTTTCCGGCTGGGCGCAGTGGCTCACGCCTGTAATCCCAGCACTTCGGGAGGCCAAGGCGGGCGGATCACGAGGTCAGGAGATCGAGACCATCCTGGCTAACATGGTGAAACCCCATCTCTACTAAACAAAATACAAAAAATTAGCTGGGCGTGATGGTGGGAGCCTGTAGTCCCAGCTACTCGGGAGGCTGAGGCAGGAGAATGGCGTGAACCCGGCAGGCGGAGGTTACAGTGAAACCCCGGTCTCTACTAAACAAAATACAAAAAATTAGCCGGGCGTGGTGGTGGGAGCCTGTAGTCCCAGCTACTCGGGAGGCTGAGGCAGGAGAATGGCGTGAACCCGACAGGCGGAGGTTGCAGTGAAACCCCGTCTCTACTAAACAAAATACAAAAAATTAGCCGGGCGTAGTGGTGGGAGCCTGTAGTTCCAGCTACTCGGGAGGCTGAAGCAGGAGAATGGCGTGAACCTGGCAGGCGGAGGTTGCAGTGAGCCCAGATCGCGCCACTGTACTCCAGCCTAGGCGACAGACCGAGACTCCGTCTCAAAAAATCAAAAGTTTTCCATTTTATTTTTATTATTTACTTCCTACTAATTAGTTTAAGTTCCATATGCTGTTCTTTTTCTTGTTTCTTAGGGTAGAAACTTCAGTTATAGATTTGAGAATGTGTTTTGGTTCTAATGTAAGCATTAAATGTATACATCTTCTTTGAAGCACTGCTTTAGATGCACTCTGTACATTTTGATATGTTATCTGTTCATTTTCATTCAATTCAGAATATTTTCTACCTTTCTTCCAGATTTTTCTTTGGCTCATGAACTATTTAGAAGTGTGTTGTTTAACTTTTCAAATATTTGGGGATATTTCAGATATTTTTCTGCTATATTCCTTTTCATTTTTTTATTATGATCAGAGAAAAAGACCTTGCATTATTTCAGTTAAAATGCTTTGAAGTTTGTTTTTCTGACAGCATATGGCCTGTCTCATTGAAATTTCCATGTGTACTTGAAAAAAAATTCATTTTGCTATTGTTGAGGGGAGTTCCTAAGGTTAATTAGGTCAAATTGATTGATAGTGTTGTTCAGGACTTCTATATTCTTGTTGATTTTCTTTCTACTTGATCTTTTGATTACTGAGAGATAAGTGTTAAAGTTTCCACCCGTAATTGTGGATTTGTCTTTTTCTTCTTTCTGTTAAAGTCCATTTGTGCTTCATGTATTTTGAATATCTATTATTAGGTACAAACATACTTAGGATTTTTGTGCCTCTTTGGTGAATTTTATGTCTTCTTTTATCACTTTGTAATGTCCCTCTTTATCTCTGGTGTGATATTGTGAAATACATATTTGGTCTTTCTCTTAGTTTTCTGGCATATAGCTCCTAAAATTCTTAACATCTCTGAAATGATAAGAATGATAAGAATTTTGTAAGCTAGTGAGATAACTGGTGGATAGTGGCTGGTCACCAGAAAGACCAAGGCAAGATTAGAGGGTTGAGACTTTCACCCCCACCTCCCAACCTCTAGGAAGTAGAAAGGATCTGAAGGTTGAGCTGATCACCAATGGCCAATGATTTAATTAATTATGTCTATGTAATGGAGCCTCTATAAAACCCAAAAGGACTGTTTGGAGGGCTTCCATATAGCTAAACATGGGAGATTCTTGGAGGGTGGCTCCCCAGAGAGGGCATAAAACTTCATGCCCCTTCCCACATGCCATGCCTTATCCATTTTTTTTTTAATCTGGCTGTTTATCTACATTCTTTATTATATCCTTTATTAATAAATCAGTAAGTGTAAGTAAAGCACTTCCCTGAATTTTGTGAGCTACTCTAGCATATTAATCATATCCAAGGAGGGGGCTGTGACAATGTTGATTAATAGCCAATTGGTCAGAAGTATAGGTGACAACCTACTATTTGCATTTGACATCTGAAGTTGGGAGCAGCCTCGTAGGACTGAGAGGAAGAAACAACCTCCACACATCTGGTTTCAGAAGTGTTTAGTGTTGTGTTGAGTGGAGAGTAGAAAGCAGGAAAAGCACTTTGGTTTTTCCTATCTCTTATCTGGTCATTTTCCTCATCCTGAGTCTACTATGTCTAATATTTATGTAGCCCAGTCTTATGACTGGGTCTGACTTTATGACAGAGGAGCAAGAGAGAAGTAAGAAAGACTCTTCAAATCACAGGGGCTCCTTTTTCCAGTTCTCTGGTAATAGAGAACTATATCCCCTCAGATTATCTAAAAATCTGTACAGGAGTGTAGGCTCATGCCTGAGGCTTGCCTGGGCCCAGCCAAGGAGAATAAAAAGAAAAATTAAACTAAATCATTATTCCCCTCACCATATCCATCCTACAGTGGTACCCTTTCCTGGTACCCTGGCCACTGAAAGAGGGGGAATTGGATTTCTCTTTTTTTCTTTTTTTTATTATACTTTAAGTTCTAGGGTACATGTGCACAACATGCAGGTTTGTTACATATGTATACATGTCCCATGTTGGTGTGCTGCATCCATTAACTCGTCATTTACATTAGGTATATCTCCTAATGCTACTAATTACATCTGCTGCATGGTCTTAGGATTCAGGCTTTTGTGGAGTTTAAGTCAGGAGATATGAGGTAAAATAAGTAGGAATGTCTCCACCCTGTTGGTTAGACCACCAGCTCTATTATTTACTTTTAGTGTAATCAGATAGTTGCCTTATGCATGCTGTCTAACAGTTTTAGCCATAATCAGTGGGAGAGAAAGTATGGAGTGAATTTACTCCATCTTAGTTGGAATAATCATTTCATAAACTAGGTTGTATTTTCATTTTTATCCCATACTATGGACAACTCAGAAGACTTTCCCACTACTGTATGTCGCTTTGGTCAAAAATATCTTCTTAACTGGTTCTGTTATTTTGCCTGAAGTCCCTATATTATGTACTACTTTAAACAAATATAACGGATAAAAATGCAACACCCAAATATTTTCAGCCAATTGTGCCTTTTTAAATTAGCTTGATAGATAATTACTAGCATAGATCATAACCTAGTGATAACAAGAACAAAACAAGGGACAGAAATTCCTTGATGGAAATGAGAAAGAAATCCTGGAGTCTGGTTTGCTGAATACTACTGTTTGGTAAGACATGAACAAATACATTCCTGAGCAAATGAAGGGCAAATAAGGACTTTCATTACCTGGAGGATATAAATCAATAGGTACTAGGTTGTATCAGTAAGTATCCATTTGGTTGTGATCACAGAAATCTAACAATATATTTGGTGTAAGCTAAAAAGGAACTATATTTACAAACCCAAGAATAATATGGCCTCAAAAATGGCTGGATCCAATTACTCAAATTATTCAGCCAGGAACCTGTCTTCCTCCTTTTCATGGCCTGTGTAGCTTTCTGTTCTTTTAGGTGGATTATTCTCATGATATGATAAAGTCACTAGTTAACTCCAGATTCCTAATCTCCCCTTAGAACAACTTTAGCAAATAGAATATCTTTCTGAAAATTGTAATTGAATTTCAAAGACTTGCCTTGATTGGTCTGGATTGGGCTATTTTCCCACTGGCCAGGCCTAGGTCTAGAAACAGGAAGTGGATTCTGCTGTTGCAAATAGCATGGACTACTAGTGAGAAAAGGGCAAACACTCCAGGAAATTTGAGGTCCTGCAGGCATAGGAAGAGAGCATTGATTCTGGAAAGACAAAACAAGAGCTATCCACTATGTAGGCAATGTTGAAAGAAGGATAGAAAACTATGAAAAGAAATCCTTCCTACTTCGCAGCGTGGCTTAGAAGCCTATTTTATGTTAGAAGAAAAGCTCAAAGGCTGGTTTTCTAAAACTCTAACAGTAACAATTCTCTTGAATCCAGAGGAGGAAGTGAATATGCTGAGTTTTTGTAGTCATTGATTTTAGCACTGACATGTATAGTAAATGCCATTCTCCAGTAATATTGAATGGCATATACAAAAGACAGTCCGTGCCTCTTTTTTTAAACTAATTGCTACCTGCTATATTTTGTTACTTATAAAAACTGTAAGGAACATATTTTAAGTTAAATAGACTGCTTTTCAAGATGAAAAGTATATCAGATCCACTTTTTATGTCAAAATCTTTATAGCTAAGGAAAAAATCACTAGGAATTAGAAACAGAACATTGGTTAAAGACAAGAATTTGGAAGAAAAGGAGATTGGGCATTTCTAAAGTTATGGAAGCCTCTTTTTCCTCTTCTAAAACTCTCACCATAAACTGGTTTCCTCAGGATTCAGAGTCGAGGGTCACAGCCAGAATCCCTAAGTGACCACCTGAAATATGCCATCATAGAAGCACCTCGGGTAAACCACCACCATTTCATGCCAATAGACACATGGAGGTAAAGAACTTGGAGACAGAAATTGCTTCACAAAAGATCTAGTCCCTACACATCAGAGAAGTTTGTAGGATGGTGTGAGAAGGTCTTGGCAAGAAGTCATATAAGATTGTTGCTGCAGCTGCTGCATCACAAAACAATTTCCTGAGAACCAAGAAAGAGACCAGAGACTGAAGTAAGTTTCCTGCTGCAAATGCCAGGGTGGCTGTTTAGCACTTGAGAAAATCTGGGAACCTAAAATTAGTTTTCAACATCTTTGCCATAAGAAGAAAAAGAAAAATAACAATGACACAAATGCTTGAACATTTTATTCAAAGTATGCCATATAGAGTAGTTGGCATAGCTATCTTTAACTGTCTGAAAGCATCTCAGAATGAAACTTACTTACCAGCCTCTTAATGTTCTCTCTTTTCATTTCTTCTCCAGCCCTTCCCATTTTCTCTGCCAGTTCCTTCTGTCATACAGCCCCTCTTTATCCATCCATCGCTTATGTAGCATCAAAGGGCCTTAGTGTGATTTGTATGCTCCAGATATCAATATGGGAACACATTGACCTTGCGTTTTTTGTTTTTCTATGCATAGCACAAATATACTGTGGGTCTTTCACTGGGGTCTATGTAAAACACTTTGATGATGGACATGTGCCATTTCACCCTACAAATATGGAACTAATGAGTCATGAAAGAAGCATTTCTATTTTAATTAAAAATTACATTCTACATTGCTGTCTGTTTTGCAAACGTAGAGCTATAATCTCGAATGATGGTATTTTGTGATTGGCATTCTGGTAAGCTGACACTACAACACACTTGCAGGAAAAGATCTTTGTCAGTTTTCACCCATTTTTCCAAAACTCAAAATACCAGACAGAACAATTCTAAGATGCACAGAATTTTTCGTTTCAACCACAGGCCTGAGTCTTTGAAAAATGTGTGATTTTAATGGCTGCCATCCTAATCTTTTTTTTTTTTTTTTTTTCAGATAAAAGATTTAAGTCAGGATATCATCATGATATTTTTGGCAGGAAAGTTTTTTATTTTGTTTTCAATCATCACCAATTGCCCAGCAGAATTTATTTGATCTGAAACCGGGAGGTTTCGGGATTTATTTGTTTTTTTCGCTTTGTTTTTAGATAGCTCTCTTTATTTCTTTATGTCCCCTGCTACTTTATTTGAGATAATAGCAAATCTCATAGACATTACAAGTGTGTGAGTGAAGATATCTTGTCACCTTCTAAAAAATATCTTCACTTTATATTTTTTTTCTCCAACTTAGTGAGTTATAGGTGTGGGTGAACCTATAGATTCTCTGACAGAGGCATCACTGTAATTTCTACTGTCATTTTTGAGAATTATCAGGCTGTACTTCATCTATAAAAGTGTATGTCCTTTCTCAAAAGCCTCTAAGATTTGTGATGGAAGAAAAGTCACTTAACAAATAATATATACTTCTACAGCTTATACTGCAAGCCTTAAATTGAGCTGCACTACTTAACAATTCAATTCAACAAATAGTCATGAACATTCACCATGACCCACCTGCTGTGAGGGATGTTACTACTGTGAAGTTGAATTAAACATTGTTTAGGCATGGGGGCTGGTGCTGGAGAAACAGACGTTATCACTTATTGACATTCTGCATTGTACTTTTGAGTATGTCATTTATTTTTACTCTAAAATACTTTTTACAAGGAGGAATTATGCCCATGTCTCCATGATTAATTTTAAGAATATTGCAAAGTCCTTTCATATATATCGAGTTACCTAGAATTGCATTAATGATATCATGGTAAGTTACTTAGCATGGTTGGTGAGGAAAAAAATCTATCTTCTATGATAATTGTAGTAATGCCAGTGGTAGTAGCAATAGTAAGAACAATCGTAATAATAGGCCTGACACTTATTGAGCACTTACTATGTACCAGGTATGATTCTAAATACATTTTATGATTTACCTCACACAATCCTTATGTATTAGTTTGGGTTTTCCCAGAAGCAAATATTATCCAAGACAGAATTAAACATGTAAGCATTTTGTTAGGGGAAATGCCTGTGAGAGAAAATGGGGAGGAGCTGGGAGTGGCTGGAAGGTCCGTCTGGCCATGACACAAGTTTCACCTCAAGTGAAAGAGAGAGGGAAGGAGGTTAGATGGAAACATCCTAGATTGCCATCGGTCTGTGGAAGATTAGGCAAGATCATCAGAAAGTCTCTGAGTCAAAATTGGCCATTAAAGAAGGCTCGTGTCTTCCACAAACAGGCCTGCCTTAATGATCTTCCTGTGTTTTGTCATCAGTGGGGAGAAGCTGGTGTGAGGCGGGACACCAGTTCAAATGCTGCTGTGGATTTCAGAGCACAGCTGCCAGGCCCCTTGGCCAATTGATCGTTATGCTCCTTGTGGTTGGAAGACTGTTCATGCATTCTTACAGCCACCACACCTTACAGCAACTCCATTCTATAGACAGGCAAACTAACAACAGAAAAAATATCAGTAAGTAATCCATCCAAGATTAATGGCTGATAAGTGAGAGTCAAGATTCCAATCCATGCAGTTGGTTGTCAGGTTCTATGCTTTAATCTCAAGGTCAACTCCCAAGGTAATACCTGATACAAGGTTATAGTCTTTAATAATAATATTATTATTATTCTTTTTGAGACTGAGTTTCACTCTTTTCGCCCAGGCTGGAGTACAGTGGCGTAATATCAGCTGACAGCAACCTCCGTCTCCCGGGTTCAAGTGATTCTCCTGCCTCAGCCTCCCGAGTAGCTGGGTTAGAGGCTCGCACGACCTCATCTGGCTAATTTTTTTATTTTTAGTAGAGTCGAGGTTTCACCATGTTGGCCAAGCTTGTCTCGAACTCCTGACCTCGTGATCCCCCTGCCTCGGCCTCTCAAAGTGTTGGGATTACAGGCATGAGACAATGCCTGGCCCTTTAATATTATTAAAACAAAAACCTTTACAGTGATTTACAAACTGTAAAGTACCATATGAGGATCTAGAGCATTGATTTTTAAACTTTAGTGTGCATAGAATCACTCAGGTATTTATTGAAGGTGCAGAATAGCCCCTCACTCTACAGATTCTGGCTTCACAGGTCTGGAGTAGGGCTTCAAAATTTACAGTTTCAAAAGCCATCCCTGGTGATCCTTTTCAAATGATCCTTGGATCAGACCTTTACAAATGCTGCCCTAGAGAAAGAATCTGGGCTTGGGGACAGAAAAGAGTGGCTTAAATTCTGATCGTGCCAATTTCTAGTTGTAAGACCTTGAACAAATTGCTTAAATTTGTGAAACTCAAATTTGCAAAACTGTGAATAGGGATGATGCTAACAGCAATAATTAACTCCACAGGGCTCATCAACGTGTTGTGGGTTCTCCCTGTTAGATGAGATGTGGGAGCATTGCTTGGCACCCTGGGGAGCATTGGACAAATGTAGGTTAGGATGGCTCCTGCTTGCAGGAGTGCTATCACCAATGGCATCACCAGATTGCTCCAACAGATGGTTGGTGGACCCTGGCTATTTGTGGGTATATCACATACTTCAGATTTAGGCATGTTTAGTACTTGTCCTTGAATCTAGGTGAGAAAAAAGAGGAATGACATTTAGGTAGCCAATAAATCAGAGGATACATTCCTCTTTTATTTCTGCAGTAAGTTACATTAGGTCTCTAGAAAGCATCCTGGTTGGCTGGGCATGGTGGCTCATGCCTGTAATCCTAGCACTTAGGAAGGCTGAGGCAAGCGGATCACTTGAGGTCAGGAGTTCGAGACTGGCCTGGCCAAGATGGTTAAACCCCGTCTTTACTAAAAATACAGAAAGTTAGCTGTGGTGCATGCCTGTAATCCCAGCTACTCCGGAGGCTGCCTGTAATCCCATCATGGCACATGCCTGTAATCCCAGACACTTGGGAGGCTGAGGCAGAAGAATCACTTGAACCCGGGAGGCGGAGGTTGCAGTGAGCCAGTCGCGCCATTGCATTCTAGCCTGGGCAACAATAGTGAAACTCTGTCTCAAAACAAAAACAAACAAACAAACAAAAAAACAAGCAAGCAAGCATCCTGGTTATGTGGAAAGCTCAGGAATGGGATCCTTAAAAAGGCATTTCATTGGTGTTTTCTTCATGGCATAACTACTTGTACCTTTAAAAAATTAAGGATGATAGTAAATTAGAATGTGTTGGAAGATGAAGAAAAATTATCATTTATGATTTGTTTCTTTCTCAAGCTTCCTATGGGAACCAGAATGTGCCCAGAATCTGAAGCCTACTGCATTTCACCCTGGGATATTTAATGTTCTGACACCCCATGAGAGCAAATTGCAGGGATCAGCTCAAATACCTGCCTTCTAATGATTTAAGAGGACTGAGGTTTAAAACAGTGATGTGTCTGTCATTAATAAGTTTTACCTGTCTGTAAAGATTGCTTATCACTCATCTTGCATTACCTTTCTTTTGTCTGCCTGGGAAACACCATCTGGTAGGAGAGGGCTGCCTGTTGAGAGGGCACTGCCACACACATTCCTTCTACTGATTCCATGCTCGTACTTTCCTCCGCCACCTTATGTTCTTGAGCCAAGAATCTTAGCAAAGTATAAAGCCACCTAGCCTTCCTGAGCTTCTGTCTTTTTATCTGTAATTTGAAGGTAATAACACATGCTCTATTTCTTTCCTTTTTCTTTTACACAACCAAACGAAAGCTGAATAACCTATCTATTTCAATGAAAATCAGATAAGATAGAGGCAACTCCTTCCTTAAGAACCCAATTGGCTACTAGATTATGATTACACATTAAGGTATCTTTAATACTAATCTCAGTTTCCAATAAGCAAAATATTATAAATTAAACTCTTATTTCTGGAAATGCATCTTATACCATAAAATTAAGAGAGCTATCAAAAAGAAATACAATTTAAACAAATCTAAGTGGATTTGTTAATAAACATTTATTAATAAACATTTTAAATAAACATTTATTAAGTGCATAAGACCAAACAATAGGCCAGGTGTGGTGACTCATGCCTGTAATCATAGCACTTTGGGAGGCCAAGGCGAGTGAATCATTTGAGTTCAGGAGTTCGAGACCAGCCTGGGCAACATGGTGAAACCTTGTCTCTAAAAAATATATATATACACAAATACAAAAATTATCCAGGCAAGGAGGCGCATGTCTGTAGTCTCAGCTACTTGAGAGGCTGAAGTGGGAGAATTGCTTGAGTCCCTGAGGCAGAGATTGCAGTGAGCTGAGATGGCACCACCATTTCACTCTAGCCTGGGCAAGAGAGCAAGACCCTATCTCAAAAACAAAACAAAAACAAACAACAAAAAAACAGTCAATAAAAAACTCTATCGTATTTCTTTGGGGAAAATTCTCCGAATGGACTGAAGTGGCTGAGATATACTAAGATATATTCATTAAAATTATTCTTTTTGTATTGGAATCTTCCTTTGCAATGATAGGTATTCTTCAATTTATTAATCTTAAGCATGTTTATGATTGAGTTGTTGTGCTTTAATTCTTCCCAATTACAAGAAAAGTAAAAGTCCCTGGAAAGGCAGTTTCCATAATGACTTAATTTTTAAAGATCCCTTGCTCTTCTATATCAATAAGATCTTTCCTTCGGAGCATCCATCAATGATGTCCCTTATTGACAGATATCAAAATTTCTCTTTTGGCAATGTAACATAGCCAAGACATTTGCTTCCCCAAAGGTCCCATTTTTATTTTCTCTTAATGCCTGTCAAGAAGGGTAGTTTTTACCTTTCATAATTTCAGCTGATGTTCCTGGAAATCACATTTGGATCATTCCATGCAGCATCCCTTGAACTCTGACTTCATGAGAAGCAATTATCTTTCTATATGTAGTTATACAGAGCTACAAATGTAGTTATACAGAATTATAAGGATTTTAAAGATAATTTATTAACTTATTTATAACCTTCTTGGTTCAAAAGTATTTTAATATGGATTACAAAGATGTAACAGTGCAAGACGTTAAAATAATCCAGAAAAAGAGAAAGAGAATGGTGACCATATGAATTTGGGTGGTGAACGAAGACTTTGTATAAAAGTGTTGGGTCTAAAGCCAAAAAGCATCAATATATGAGTTAACACACGGGAAGGGGAATGGTGCCCTGAGCTGATGGAGCAGAAAGAGCAAAGACATGGGTTCAAGCATGCCCTGCCTAAAACCCTGCCTCATGGGTTAGCATTCTTATGTCCACAGTATCTGGTTGACACCAAGACATCACATTCACCTCCTGCTGCTTTCTTAAAGCACTCTAAATTCTTACCATGCCATTATCAGTTACCTCCATACTGGTATACACTTTGACTTTTTGTTCAGCTTATTTGTTCCCTGTGATTTCTTCCTCAACTCTCTCAGATCAATTTTATAGTTCTGTTCTCTGTTTCTCTTTAGAACTCAGCATATACTACTAATATGGCACACAACATATTATTCATATTGTTTTATGACTTATTGAAAGATCTTGTACCCTCATTAGGCTATGCACCCTTTAAAGACAGGCTGTATATCTTTAATATTGTCCTTTATATATGGTAAGTAGTTGTTCACTGAACATTTTTATTGAGTTGCATTGAGGACCTGTTTGAAAATAAAGGAAACTATTTTAAGGAGGAAAGTTTTGTCTACTTGAATGGCTTCCAATGAGGTACGCCTAAAAATCATTAAACCAGGGACTAGTAACATGAGATAAAATTCAGCGCATCTGGGAACTTGAATGAGAAAAAATTGCATCTTTCTTGTTATTAACTACTATCTTAAATTACACATTTATTTTAATTATGAATGACAGCTACCACATACCGTGTAATATTAGCAGTATCTTTGTTTTTGGCATCAACATAAATGACAAATATTTGCGCATCATGTCAGTTATTTCAGATTCTCAAAATATTGTTTAAAATTACCTTTTCAAAATTAGGGTAATCATTAGACTGTTGCTAAATCTTAATTAGACTGCATTAATGAAGGAACTCATATTTCTATACAGATTTTTAAACTATTTTAACTATTTTTCAATATAATTGGTTTCTTTTGTATTTTATTTTATGCATTTAAAAATCTTATTATGAGAAAAAGTTGGAGGGCTCTTCACCAGATTGCTGAAGGGATATTTGGCACAAAAATACTTAAGAGCACTTTTGTTTTAAGCCCAGGAGGGGCAGGGCCTGTGAGAGCATTGGCAGTGTTCCTGCAAACCCAGTTCAGGGGAGTGGTATTTTGGGACATGGTGAGAATGTCCTTGCTGTGAAAATGAATGGAGGACTGAGTAACCCAGGATACTATTGAGCAGAGCATGGTTTGGTGAAGTCATTTTTGTAGTGAAACAGGTCTGGCTGTTCTGTATAGGGTGGGGTGAAGGTAGAGCAATGTAGGAATTTATTGTAGCCCATGTAAGAGATGAGGAGGCCAGGTCAAAGGTGGTGGCCATTAGGATTTAAGATGAAATTTTTTTTTCAGTGCACATAGGTGAAATGAAAGAAATTGTTAGAGGTGAGCCCTAGACGTGCTGCTTTGTGTGGGAAAGAGAAACTGTTCAATATGGATTACACCACGTTTGAACTAACATCAAAATTCTGTAACTTTAGGTGCATATTTGGAGATTCAGCATGAAGCTAGGAATTTGAAAGCCATCACTACAGAGAGATGAGGCAAAAATCAAAAGAACAAAGTGGTTTATCAATGGAAAGAGCTGAATGGGAGAAGAAGCTGAGAGTTAGGGAGAAAAAACTCAGGATCAATAGAGAATTCTCAACTTCCCACCCCTCAAGAGCAACCAGTGATCTTTGCCTGGTATTTACCCTCTGAGAAGCCAGAATCCACAGAGAGAGCGCTAGGATTCCGGGTTGCACATGTTTTAGAAGAGAGTTGGGCTGCCCAGGAAGGGCCAAAGTTCAGCAGTGACCAAGGACGCATGTTGACCTCAAGCTGTGAAGCACAAGGCGTAAATTTCTTTGCCTTTTTGTACAGAGACTTGGTGACACTGAAGGACAAGTCTGGTGCAAATTGTTACTTAATTCATGAGAAACTTGGTAATTTATCTTTACTGAACTTTGCTTCCCTCAGTTCTCACAGCATCCAAATTCTACTCTTCTTTCCTCTAAGGCTACTCTCTGACTGATAGCTTTTTCTCTTCCCTTGCACTCTCCTCTCGGAAGTTTTCCTTTCTCTATTTGATGGTTTGTGGCTCTTTCCAGCTTGTCTACTTTTACAGTCTATCCTAATTCTTTGAAATTTTTAAAAACTTGTGTTATGATATGGAAATCCTCAAACCTCTGAAATTAGCTGCTTCCCTAATTTGTTCCTGTTGTGAATGTTTAAGGAACCTTCCAGATGTCTACTATTTAACACTTCCCCAATCATTTAATGGTCCATGTTCATTGTCTCTATAGTTCTTTTTTAAAATTATGGCTTTTCTAGAAATTTAAATTATTGTTTATAAAGGGTTTGTTCTTATAAAAATGCACTTTTTATTCTTATGGCATTACTCTCTCTGACCATATCCATTGCTGAAATTCTATTTTAAAATATCTTATAATTTTCACTGAAACTTAATCCATCTATAGAGACCTTCAAAAGCATTCATATTAAGCAGGGAAGATGGTAACCTACTTAGTAGACTGCATCTGGAATTCCAATTCCCCTAGGTCCATGACAATTTCAATGATGAACTAACCACAAAAGCATAGTTTAATAAGACAAAATATCCATTTCATTTTATTAGTCAGTTTTTGATGTAATTAAATGAGAAGCCAGTTACATTTTGCATATAATGTTGAATGCTTTTTAGAAAATTATCTAGTATTTTAACTAGAATATAAACCATGCATCCCCTTAAATTAAAACCGCAGGGGCTGGGTGCGGTGGCTCACGCCTGTAATCCCAGCACTTTGGGAGGCCAAGGCAGGTGGATCACAAGGTCAGGAGATAGAGACCATTCCGGGACAGCATGGTGAAACCCCATGTCTACTAAAAATACAAAAACTAGCCAGGTGTGGTGGCACACACCTGTAATCCCAGCTACTCAGGAGGCTGAGGCAGGAGAATCACTTGAATCTGGGAGGCAGAGGTTGCAGTGAGCCGAGGTTGCCCCACTACACTCCAGCCTGAATGACAGAGTGAGACTCTGTCAAACAAACAAACAAACAAAAAACACAGCAACAAAAAACCACAGCGTTTTTTGAATAAATGCCAATAAATCATATCTTATTTTGCTTTTGCTGACACTAAAATGAAAATAATGGTAGAATAATTCAAAACACATTTTAATGAATTTTTAAACAGCTATTGACTTACTTTCAGTTGATACTAATCAAAGATATGGTGGTAACTCTATAATTCAGTACAGTTTGCTTTTTAACTAGATGTCTAAGGTGTATCTTTTGTAAGATGCATAGAGATGTTTAATGGTGCTCATGTTCCCAGATACTCTCTGGGTGTATGTAAGCATTTTGTATATAAACTTATTTTTTTTTTCCTTGTGGGAGAGATTTTTTCTGTACTTGTTATATTAGCATGTTATTTGACTCATAGTTTGTGTATCCATCAGCAATTTATAGAATTGTGTTAAATATGCTTGTTCCTCATTCCTTCCATGTAGTGTCTTCATCACAATGTTCTTTTTGGATTGAAAGTGAATTTGGGTGGCAAAATAGCTCAGTTAGAGCATGGGACAGAATTGAGTGGGCAGAACTGGGTTCTAATCATTGTTTCAATATTTACAATGTGCATATGCCATCTTAACCCCTCCAGACCTTTATCAGTAACGGTTGTCCCTTCATTAAACTACCAGTTGTTGAGCATTTACTGTATGGAAGTGAATTTAGGTGACAAAGTAGCTCAGTTAGAGCATGAGCATTTGAGTGGACAGAACTGAGTTCCTGTCACTGCTTCAATATTTATAATGTGCATCTGCCAACTTAGCTTATCTAGACCTTTATCCGTACTGTTCATCCCCTCATTCATCCACCAATTGTTGAGCATTTTCTATACAAAAAGCAGTATGTAAACTGCTGGGGATAGGCATGGTCTTTGACTTGATGGCGCTAACATATAAAGGGGGATAATAACAGTATTTGTCACATAAATTTATGCAAGTTAACTGCTTTTAATCAAATAAAGTGCCAAGCAAAGTGTCAGATGCATAGAAAGAGCTCAGTAAGTGGTAAGCATTTTAGCAGTAGTAGTACACGTAAGTGTCCTGTTTAATGGTACATAAGAGTCTTGGAGCCACCATTTGTTTGCTCCAGTGCCTAGCATACTGCCTGGCATATGTAAAGCTCTTGTCTTAGGTAGGGTTCTCTAGAAACAAATTCTGAGAAAAGAATGTGTGTGCAAATAATGAATTAAGAGTTTTCCCAGGAGAAACTTGTAAATAATCAGGGAAAGCAGAATGAGAAAGCAGAAGAAATCAAGCAAGGGTGAGATTCAGACAAACTCCAGGGGAGGCAGTGTGACCCTTCAGGGGTTTCTGGAGGGTAAATTACCTCTCAGAGCAGTCTGACAGGAGAGGTAGTTTTCACACCTCTGTACCTGTCAGTCATTGACTATGGGCCACCATTGGGGACTGTGGTGGGCAGAATAGTGGCCCCCAAAGTTATCCATGCCATTATCCCTGGAATCTGTGAATATATTACCTTACATGGCAAAGGAAACTTTGCAGATGTAATTAAGGGTACAGACTTCTAGATAGGGAAATTATTCCAGATTATCCAAATGGGCTCAATCTAGTTACATGAGTTCTCAAAAGTGGAGAATCTTTCCTAGCTGGCATCAGATAGATATAAGTGACACTGCTGACTTTGAAACTGGAGGATGAGAGCCATAAATCAAGAAATGTGGGAAGTCTTTAGAAGCTGGAAAAGGCAAGGAAATGAACTCTCTCCCCTATAACCTCCAGAAAGGAACATAATCTGGCAATATCCAGTGAGAACCATGTCTGACTTCTGACCTATAGAGACCTGTAAGGTAATAAATTTTCATTGTTTTAAGCCACTAAGTTTGTGATAATTTGTCAATGTAGCAATAGAAAACTAACATAGGGACAAACTCCTGGTACTTCAGAGTCTCTGCTTTCTGCTATTGCATGCAAAGCAACTTCAGTAGCTCATGGAAACTTCTCTACAGAACAGTTACAGGTACAGGAGTTGGAGGCAAAAGTGCACTCAAGTAGAAAGAGCCCAGAAATGGTAAAAAAAATAAAAGGACCCCAGGAGGTCTGGGGAGCCAGCAATAGCATCTGCTGCAGTGCTCAGTAAGAATTTATTAACTGAATGAATGCATTTATGAATGAATGAATAAATACATTTATGTAAACTACTGGAATTGAAAGATTATGTAAGAAATGGCTTCTAATTAGAGGTAGGCATGTTGGCAACTCTCATTCAAACAGAGCATTTGGCAATCAAGACTTTCTCCCATGTTCAATTGCCTCTTTCTTATTTTCCAGTTCTCTGGGGGCCAGTGGATTAGAAAAGTAAGAATGTTCTATAGATATAATAAAATAATCAAATCTTAAAACTGTGTCTATGCTATAGGGATCCTTTTAAAAAATTCAACAATTATTTGGAGAACTTCACTGTATTCTAAGTGCCTGAGTTGTAAACTACTGTAACTAGCTAGAGAATTCGTCATCCTCTGGAGCATTTGGGTGCTTAGCAGAAAAACAAAAGAAAACTACTAGATATGGAAAAAGAGCAGCCTTTAGAAGCAAATGTTTTGAGAAGTCAAGGTTAAAAAAAAATAGGCTAAAAAGTAGTTCTCATTTTTCAATTACTAACTTTCCTTCTCACTTTCTCTTCCCCACCTTTTGTACCTGGGCAAGAATTCTAGATGAATTGTTCTTCTTGTGGATAACTTAGAAGAAAATCTACATATGTGAATAATGGATTTCACATCTGTCTATTTAATACCCAAGGAAAAACAGCTGATTAGAATATAAAAATAATTGAATTGAATTTGCTCATGTCCTGAACTTTGAAACCTGATTTCTGTAACTTATATGGTTTCAGATCACCTAAACGCAAGATGTGCTTTAAACGTAATAGGAATGGAAATGAGATTATAAGAGCCAATCTGGAAGATGCTATTAGATGTATCAGATCAATATTTCCTTTGATTCTAGCTCCGCTTCTTTTACACGTTTGAGTTTCTTCTTCATTTTTCCTTCATAAAATGTTTAGTAATACTTTTCTTGCTGTAGGAAAAGTAAAACTATACTACCATGGGTGTGCCCCTCTTTGATTTAAATGCTACATCAGCAAGAATGTGTTTGGCTGCAAGTAAGAAAAAATACAGCCAAAACAGCTTTAAGCAATGAAAGATTTATTGACTCTAAGAAGAAGGTCTGAAGTCAGGATGGGTTCAGGGTTGGTTAAGCAATGCAATCAAGGACAACTCTACAAGGCCGGATATCTCTCCTTATAGTCCCAAGTTGGCTACAGAGGTTCAGACATTTCATCAGATATATACTACATATGTTGCAGAAGAATTGTACTTCAGTAGGTCTCCTTTTAATATGGAGTAAAACACTTTCAAGATATTCCTACCATATCCCAGCGAGAGATAGGACTAACTAGATTTCCTAGGCTAAGAATCCCTAAGCCTAGCTGGGAAGGTGATCGCATCCACCTTTCAACATGGGGCTTGCAACTTAGCTCACATCCGACCAATCAGGTAGTAAAGAGAGCTCATTAAAATGCTAATTAGGCAAAAACAGGAGGTAAAGAAATAGCCAATTATCTATCGCCTGAGAGCACAGCGGGAGGGACAAAGATCAGGATATAAAGGCAGGCATTCGAGCCGGCAACGGCTACCCTCTTTTGGTCCCCTCCCTTTGTATGGGAGCTCTGTTTTCACTCTATTAAATCTTGAAATTGCACTCTTCTGGTCCAACTCGGCTAGAGCTGAGCTTTTGCTCACTGCTCTTTGCTGCCGTCACAGACCCCCCTTGACTTTCATCCCTCTGGATTCGGCAGGGTGTCCGCTGTGCTCCTGATCCAGCAAGGCGCCCATTGCCGCTCCCGATTGGGCTAAAGGCTTGCCATTGTTCCTGCATGGCTAAGTGCCCGGGTTCATCCTAATCGAGCTGAACACTAGTCACTGGGTTCCACGGTTCTCTTCCGTGACCCATGGCTTCTAATAGAGCCATAACATTCACCACACGGCCCAAGATTCCATTCCTTGAAATCCGTGAGGCCAAGAGTCCCAGGTCAGAGAACACGAGGCTTGCGACCATCTTGGAAGTGGCCTGCCACCATCTTGGGAGCTCTGGGAGCAAGGACCCCTCGGTAACACCAGCATACTTCTTTTTGGATCACATTGGCCAGGATTACATCACCTGCCATGCTCAAGAAGTAAGGCAAGCTTGAGAATTGTTCATAGCAGCTATTTTCAGCCTTTACAGAGAGAAGCTGGTTCTGCCAGCCAGATGGAAGGTTAAGGGATGCTGGTGGCTATTGGACACACAGGCCTAGGTGTAGGTACTCAATTGTGACAGTGAAATGAAATAACATTGGTAAGTGAAGCGCTTAGTACTGTGCCTGTAAGGTAACTGGTCTCAAGATGCCTTCAGAGACATAATTCCTTGGGAGGTGGTTTTCTACTGTGTTAGCATGTTTAAGGCCCCACAGTAAAGCCAGTCTAACATCTAGACAAACATGAGAACATTTAACAAGTCTCTCAAAAGTGACACAAGGTAATTGTTTTCAGATGCGACTGAGAAATATCTGAAACTTCTTTACTGATTTACCTTCATCTCTCTGAAGTCCTCTCATCATCACAACTTCTTTCCATTCCACTTTGGTCTCTCCCCAACTCCAGCTTATTCTAAGTCCTTTCTCTTTTCCTCCTTTCAGATGCAGCGCTTTATTATTATGTAGATGAATTTAGCCTCTCCAGGCTTCTTTCACCCAGTATCCTGATCAGCACAATAAAGTCTCGGGAATGGGGCAGGCTAAGAAAGAATTCTCTAAAGAGGCCAGGAATAAAAAAAATGCTATGAATAAGTAAAACAGATCACTATATATATATATATATATATATATATATTTTTGTATATATATATCACTATGTATATATATATATATATATATATATATATATATATATATATATATATATATATTTTTTTTTTTTTTTTTAACCTGTCACTGAGCTGTTTAATGTTGCCCGGAGTTCCTGTGCAATATACCACTAACACTTTGACAAAAATCTTCAACCTCTTTCATTTTCAACCTTTTCCTCAAAAAGAACCAAGAAGGGAAACAAGTCCACTTGGCTGTACATAATAATGATCCATCCTGCTTTGCTGAAAGCATTTCTCTATCAGAATAACAACTTACGACATAGACAAAAATAGTTTGACAAAACTGCAGGGAAGGAAGAGGTCCCCTGATCTTAAACATACTCTCTATTTTCTATCTTTCATTCATCTAATACTGTCTGCTTGAAAGTATTTTTCCATGGGAGTAATTGGGAAGTTCCCTCCAATATTGGAATGAAAAAAATAGGTTTTGTTTTGTTTTGAGTATAGGCAAAGGTGATACAATACACAAAAATTTGGTGTGCTAAGCATTTCACATAAATTATATCATGTAACCTTATTGAAAGCCTTGGACAGTGGCCTTATTATTACTTTCATTTTATTGTTTTGGTAAGGTAGGGCATTATGTAACTTAATGAAAGCAACACAGTTGGTACTAACTACTACATTATTTGGCCTCCTTAATATGTTTTAGGATTTTTAACATCTTTATGGAGGGTAAAATTGGAAAACCTGTAATTAAGTATGAATAACCTTACTTTTAACAAACTCATTGTCCAGGACCAAAGCATTCACATATCATTAGATTATCTGATTCACCAGAATCATTTAAAAAAAAAAAAAAAAACAAAAAACAAAAAACAAAAAGACCCATTTTCTTCTTCTGGATTACAACCCAGAAAAACTTGTCAGTAATCATTTATAGCTGTCTATCTTAGAAATCGATACAGATTATCCTATGATCAGTATAACTGCATTGCTTCTAAACCAGTTGAGCCTAGTAGCTGTGGTTGACTCTAAGGGAATTATTCTGCCTCATTCAGATATGATCTTAGCACATGTTTGTATTATTAATATTACCAGAATAGTTTTTCACTTCTCGGGTGGAAGAGCATTGAATCAAAAGAGATATAGACGTATTCAGTGAAGTGTGGGAAGTAAATCTCCTGAGTCCCTGATCTAGCCAGTTACTCTTTTGCAAAAATAGATCAAGATATTTTGTATCTGGCATCACAAAGCATTTTTGCTTCACTGTCACCCTTCAAGTTCTCACTCTATATCTCTTCTCCCGAATTCTTGCAATCTGTCCTGAATGCTGCTGCTAATTTTGAAAACCCACTTTTCAGAACTTACCAGCTGTACCATTTAATAGGGTGCAAATTGTCTCATGCTATTTCACTGAGACAGTGTAGTAGAAAGTATCTTGTAGCTCACAGGGTATTTTGCAATAGAATTTATTACATATATGCAATACACAAGTTATAACTGACCTTATACACCAATCATGCAATGAATACTTGTTGATTATCCAACTCATCACAGAGATCATGGTAATTATAGTGGACATGAGATAAAGAAAATATGCCCCACTAGTGAAGACATAACACTCTATTGAAGAGTACGGCCATATAAACTCATAATTGATATACAATGTGGTTGGGCAAAACAGGAGAGTCCACCCAAAGGATTTCACATTATTAAATACTTTGTCTTAAGCACTAAATGAGAGTTTGCTAGGATAAGAGGAGAAAGACATACTCAAGTGATGTACCTCACAGGTACAGAGTAAGGACAAACCATGCTCAAGAAATGGCAGGGAGTTTGATTGGACTACAGGATGAAAAGGATGGGAGAAGACAAGCAAGTAAGGTAGAGTCATAAAGATTATTACGGGCACGGCACAGTGGCTTACTCCTGTAATCCCAGCACTTTGGGAGCCTGAGACAGGAGGATCATAAGATCAAGAGATCGAGACCATCCAGGCCAACACGGTGAAACCCCGTCTCTACTAAAAATACAAAAATTAGCTGGGTGTGGTGGTGAGTGCCTGTAGTCCCAGCTACTCGGGAAGCTGAGGCAGGAGAATCCCTTGAACCTGGGAGGTGGAGGTTGCAGTGAGCTGAGATCGCACCATTGCACTCAAACCTGGGTGACAGAGCGAGATTCCATCTCAAAAAAAAAAAAAAAAAAAAAGATCGTGAAGGACATTGAATGCAATGCTATAGGAAATGGAATGTTTTGGAAGGCAGTGGGAAGGATTTTAGGCAGAGAAATGGATTAGAAGCTGCATAGAGATTGAATTGAGTAAGACCAGAGGTAAGAAGAAAAACTGTAGGCTATATAAGTAGGTAAGAAGAGAGATGGTGAATTCTTAAATAAGACAAGTGTGTATGCCCTGACTCCTCAGCAAAACTCTAAGCTCCTTGTGTTAAACATAATTTTTGTTGTGCTTATATCTTTCTTTGTTTCTAGCGAAATTCTATGTATATAGTAGGTGCTTGGAAAATTCTTGCCTTAAGAATGGATTAAGAATCCATCTCTACTTTAAAAATTCACTTGCACAATGCCGTCTCGACATAGTGAACAGGATATCTTTGGTAACGCTCTGTCATTTTTAACAACATGGAAATTACCACTTTGCTAATCAACCCATGAACAAAAAAGTGTCTTGATGCTTCCCTTAGCAACCAAGTGCTCAGCAGTTTGCCCATCCAAAATCTTGTATTTTTGGTTCTTCAACATAGTAGCTTTTGATGTTTTAGATACTTTTAGGATTCATGAAAGTGGAAACAAGAAAATTCAGAAGAAGAATTTTATTTCATGTTTATTTTATTTTATTGTTTCTAATGATAATGACAGATTTCAGTTATTGAATACTTATTCTGTGGCAGTCACTCTTCTAAATAGTTTTGGGATATTTTCTTTTTTAAATTTTACGCAAAATTAAGTAAGTTTTATGTAAAAATTAGGTTTTATTACTATCCCCTTTTAAAAATGAGAAGATTGTGGTGAAGATAGTTTAAGTGACTTGCCCAAGAGCAAATAGCTAGAGGCAGTAGAGCTTCAAACCCAGCTTTTCTGACCCCAGAGCACATTCATAGGTGATCATTATAAAAAGTGAAGAGACAGGCAGGTTTAGCACTGCACAGTGGTCAAGTGTCTTCAAGCTTAATAGTATCACTTTATGAATTTCAAAGTACTCTGGGCAGGTGTCAGGGAGAAGAAAAAAATGAAAAGAAACAAAAGGAGAAAGAGAAATAAGTTTAAAACAAGAATATATGTTGTCACAGTAAGTGTGTAATAAATATTTTTGAATGAAGTGAAATATGAAAGACAAAAACAAAGGAGGATTTTATGGCAGGTGGTAGAAGATGGTGTTCAACCATGACTTTGGGTTCTATCTTTGGTACAGAAGAACTACAGACTTCAAGTATGATTGCTTTTCTAGGTTGCAGCTTCACTCATCCCTGGCTATATCTAGACTTGTTAACAAATTTATAAATCTTCACCCACTGATTTTTCTTTCTGGTTAGAATCAGCCCAAATGACTTTTAGCTTCCTGAATACTTATTATCGTACGTCAAATACAGTATCAAAGAAAGAATAACTTAACTGTAAAACACCCTGTTTTTCTGATTCTAGCTCTGACATTCAACATCCTTGGAAAAATCAGTTGCTCTAGTGTATAGAATGTTTTCAAATTGCATGAGAGATTATGCCACAGTTGTATGTGATGAAAACAGTTTTTAATAATTTGATATGGACAGAATGATTAAAAAGCCCACTTGGCCTCTTCTTTCCTCATTGTTCTGTCTCTTTAAACTTGGATCCCTTTGGGTTGGCTGTAAGCAGTGGAAAAGAAATGCAGCCTATAGAATGAGCAGCAGGATATTGTGGAATATGGAAATCATTTCTATATTGTACAGGGAAATCTAATTACCTCTATCGATCATTCATCCAGTCTTTCCTCTCTTCTGTTTTGTTGAGTGTTTGGTTGTATAATTGACATTATTAGAGCGTTAGTGCCTCCTTTCAAAAGGCCTGTGGTTTGCTGGCCATTAGCAATCTTGATAGACGTGTCAAGGACAGAAGACCTCCAAATGCAGTCAAATTTTCTTTACACAGTAGGGTGGCTGGCTGTCTCTAGTTAACTCATGTTTTCTGCAAGTGTTATTAGAATTATATCACTTCATATGCAAGCCCTCTATGTTTCAGCTGACTCTTAATTACCTAAGCTGGGGAAGTGATTCTTTTTCTAGACTTAGGAACAAAGATGAATAGCTTTATAGGCTTGTGAGATCTCTGTAAAATCTTTTATGATTTGTTAAAGATCAAGTACAGCACTTTTAAGATTCTTTAGGACCTTGAGGTTGGGCTGGGTTGTTCAGAGATGGAAATAGAACCCTTGGCTTTTGTGTGGCAAGAGCAATGGAAATGACCAAAGGTTCAGTCTCTTGTCAAAAGTTTCAAACATGATTAAGCTTTTTGTGCTCATTATCTCAGAGTGACCTGCACCTGTTTAGTTGTTATCAGAAATATCATTTAAAACATCTAAAACTCTTCATTATCAACTCTTTATTTTTCAGGCCACTATAAGGAAACAACAAATATGATAATGCAAGGACTAGGTGGGGGTGGGAAATGAGGAGATCCAGGTTGGGGCTCAGGCTCTCCAGTAAGTGGCTCTGTGAGGCTGGGGAGGTCATTTCTCCTCTCCTGCCTTCACCTTCTGTTTCATAAGTTGGTTGGATTTGGGAGTTCAAACTTAAATGCCATTAGAGGCCTGGAAAAGAGTTTAAGACAAAAGACAGGAATTAGTTCTGTGGTCATTGGAGAGTGCATATCAACCTGGCCTATAGATGTCACAGCCTTAAACACACTTAAAGATATCCTGGCACAGAATATACATCTATGACACTTTTTGGCCCATAATTGCCATTTTACCACTCCCGTTTATATAATCTAAACTCCTCCCCTTCTTTAGGTATACATTTTCTGGCTCTACAAAAATATTCAAATAAAAAGAGGAAATGAAAGACCTAAAAGAAATGTCTTATAGTAAAGAAAAAAGAAACAAGTAAATCATGTGAGGATAAAAATTCACTTATTTTAGATAGAATAAAAAAAGACCAGGGTGTCATAGTTAAATCCAAGTTGACTGCGATGAGCCAGTGTGGGTAATAGTGCTGTGGGGAAAGGAAAGGACAGTGTGATCCTGAAGTGCAGCATGAAGCACATGTGACATAGCAGCAATAAGTCATCTTTCTGCTGCACTTAGCTTTAGTCTGACTCTCATTCCAGGGGAGTCCAGATGTGGTCAGTGGCCCTTAAAAGGGATATGAAGAATCTGGGAAGCACCTAGAGGTTAAGGGAATGGGAAATTGTTTCTTCGGAGGAAAGCCTAAAAGAATTTGAATTGATCAGCCTGGAGAAGAGAAGGAAAGTATTTGGCTTAATTACGCTTCACAGACAGGTTGCATTTTTTCATTGAGGGTATAAAGCAGTTTCCTTTCTGTCTGTGAGTAAAAACATTATATGGAAGAAGTGAGTTCAAAGGAAAGTAATGGAGACATGATTGGGGATGAGGCAGAATAATGACTTGCACCGTCCAGTGGCAAAATGCTAGGGCGATCTACTGAGAGATATTGGAACGTTTTGGTCCCAGGAGATCATCAAGTAGAGAAAAGGCAAGTGATTGATCTGTTTGTCCTGAAGGTAAGGAGGGACTACTGTGCACTGCAGGTCTGTCACTGTCTTGACTAATGTCATTATCATCATCCTTCTCATTAGCACCACCTTTTGGTTGCCTCCCTTAACCATAACAGGTAGATATCACAGAACACTAGGGCCAAAGGCCCTTTTGTGGTACTGGAAACAGAAACCTCGAAGCCACTGAGAATATCAAAATCTTTTTTTTTTTTTTTTTTTTTTTTCTGAGTTGGCTTTCCTGGGCTTTTGCCTCATTTTCAGTCTCCTGGCTGCCTACTCTGTCTGATTCACCTGACATGTGGGACACTCCACATTTAGAGCTTCTTAGAGCAAGAGAGAAAACTGATTAAGGTTAAGACCCTCTCTTAACCTCAATCCCAAATTCCCAGGTGAGATTCTGTTATATCTTTTTTAGAGTGAGTGTTCACCTCAATCCAATGAACTGTTTCTTGGAGTAGGGTGGGAGTTACTTGGTTCAATGTTGATAGGAAGATCTACCAGCAAAGGTTGTGTTATAAGCTGCAGAGTGTCCATCTAAAACCCATATGGTGAAGCCCTAACCCTCAATGCCTCAGAATGTGACTGTATTTGGAGATAGGATCATCAAAGAAGTGACTAAGTTAAAATGATGCCATAAGAATGGGCCCTAATTCAATCTGACTGGTGTCTTTATAAGAAGAGGAAATTTGAACAGACAGAGAAACCAGAGAGGCATATGCACTAGGAAAAGACCTCATGAGGATAAATTAAGGAGTAGGCTGGGTGCAGTGGCTCACGCCTGTAATCCCAGCACCTTGGGAGGCCGAGGTGGGTGGATCATGAGGTCAGGAGATCGAGACCATCCTGGCCAACATGGTGAAACCCCATCTCTACTAAAAATACAAAAATTAGCTGGGCATGGTGGTGCGCACCTGTACTCCCAGCTACTCAGGAGGCTGAAGCACAAGAACCACTTGAACCCAGGAGGCGCAGGTTGCAGTGAGCTGAGATCGTGCCACTGCACCCCAGCCTGGAGACAGAGTGAGACTCTGTTTCAAAAAATAAAAATAAAAATAAAAAATAAATAAAAAATAAGAAGGAGTCCACCTATAAGCCAAGGAGAGAGCCCTCAGAAGAAAGCAATCCTGTGGACATGTTGATCCTGGACTTCTAGCCTCCAGAGTGTGAGAAAATAACTTCTGTTGTTTAAGCCATCCATTCAATGGTGTTTTGTTATGGTAGCCCTAGAAAATTAAAACAGATGGTCAGTGTAGCTCTTGGAGCAATGAGGTTTGTTGTGAGCCAACCAGATATCCTACAAAATCTGCTATTATCATTATCATGACCTACATCAACAATAGTTGATGATTACACAGAGGTTTATGTAGCTACAGTCCTCCCATGCTCAGAGTTTATAAGTGGATCCAAGTATTGTACCGTTCTAGGGCTTGAGCAGAGAAGGTAACAGTTCGACTTCACTCCTAAATCATTCTGTATATTTTCTGTTGTGTACTTGCCTGGGCAAAAACTTTAGGGAAGGGAAAAGTCAAAGCAGTTTGCGTTTTTGCAACCCTGGCTGCTATGCTAGGAAAACTTACCAGAACAGTCTCTACTGTGAAACCTCCCTTCCCCACGACCCCCACTGCCTGCCCTGGCAGCAGCCCAGCCACTGCAAGAGTTGTTCTTCTCTTTCTGCTTCCCTGCCTTTGACTACCACTGGTGGAGCTAAGCTCAAGGGCCAGGAAGTACACATCCCACTTTATGCCAGTGATGGCTTCTGAGACTGTCTTTATCATGCAGTGGGCTTTACAAACTCCTTGGCAGGTGTCAACCTATAAGGACTAAGTGACTTTCCCCTGGGCCTCATTGGCTCGCATTACCTCTTCAGTGCTCTGTTTGACTTGGGCTCTGAAGACCTAAGACCTACCTTGGGATCACCTGGTGGTGTAGAGAGGACTGTGAGTGTTAGCAAATCTTACCTGCTAACTCTACCACCCCTCAGGATCTCTTTCATTGCTAACAAACCTTTCTAAATTCCTGAAAACAGGATTAGATACTCCAGTTATTATTTATGGAGGTCAGAGTTTCTTCCTCCTGGGAACTTCGTTGCTGTACTGTGGGACAACACGTTCAAGTCCATAATTATTGTTAACACATACCAGAACCAAAGAAAAATTCTCTCTCCTCTGATCTCATCTGAACAGGTAATTGATTTATCCTGAAATAGTTTATGGCTTTCTACCACTTACAGAATGAGGCCCTAGTTTTTTTGTTGGTTACCCAAAGGTTTCTGATCTGACACTAGCCCACCTTTCTGGCCTTCTCCATACCTGCATGCCAGCTTCACAGGTCTTCTTGCTGCTGTTCAATCATTCCTACCCATGCCTTTGCTTTTCCAAGGTGCCCTTTCTTCTCATCCCCATCTCTCTAAATTCTATTCATCTTTGAAGGCCTAGCTCAAGTGTGATCTCCTCCATAGAAACTGCTAAAACTTGCAAATTGGAGTAATTCCTTCTCCTTGAGTTATCATCGTATAGTCTTTGTAACTCCATTAGAGCAGTGGCCTCGCTCACAGCAGCATTATCATCATTAAAAGTGTTTCAGTTGGAGTCCTCCACTAAACTTCTTGAGGACTGAGACAGCATCTTGCTTTCCTCCATACCCCCACCCTCAGCACCCATCTAGTGCTTTTAGAATAATAATGATCATTTATTGGGTATTCACTATGTGCCAAGCTGTATGCCAAGTGCTTAACATACATTATTTCATTTAGTAGTCAGTGTTTATCAAATGAAGTACTAAGGCTTGGTGGTTAAATAACTTCCCCAAGATTATACAGTTTGCAAATGGTGGAGACAGAGTTTGAACCCATTTATCTCTGACTTTAAAGTCCATGCTTCTCATCACTAGTCTAGAATGCTGCCTCTAGGCACTCAGTATATGTATGCTGAATTGATTCAGATTACATAGCCATTTAATTTTAAGAATTTATGTACATTAAGGTGAGCTCATGGACTGTTGTTGCTGCTGCTGCCGCTGCTACTACTAACTTCTTTCTGAAATTCTTAGCCAAGAAGATTGCCTAATAGAGGCTCAGGGAGATTAAGAGCCCCAGAGTGTCATTAGGGATCAAGGTACATCGCTGATCTTGGCCCAGCCGTGTGGTAGCTGAACAAAGGTGATGTGTTGGATGCATTTGCCATGCTAAGGAAAGAACAGCCGAATGTTAACCAGCACATTAATCATGCTGACAGATGGTCTGCCTGGCTTGGGCTCTTAAACAGGCTCTTTCTATCTCACAAGCTTACTGCTGTGTACCTATTAGTTTGAAGGAAATAATATAAGATATGGGCTTGGTTGGGGTACCAGGGCAGCCTTATTAATAGCTAGAAGAAAAGAGGAGGCTCTCTGAAATTTTAATTGCCTTTATCTTAGCTTGCCCAGGACCTTGACCCTTTCTTTCTGTCATAGCAGCCCACTCCTGTTAGTACAGTTAAAATATATGCTCACATTCTGGTTCCACACCCAGGATGGTTACAGCTTCACACATAGCACTGAAAATGGCTACCGCCAACCAGTCAGGTAAGCGCTCATTCTGAGGTAATTTGCTGTCCCTTGAGCTTTATTTTCGTTGGCTCAGTGGGCAGATTCTAATTTGAACTGGGAAAAATTTAGCCCGCCTGAGGCGGGTGGGCAGGTGTTGATTTTTTTGTGACTGGGCTGCTTGAATTGCTAGGACATCCAGATATACCAGGCTGACATTACCTCAACAGGAAACTCAAGTTCCATTTTATGGGGATCTGGAGTCTTGATGAATCCCATCCTATGCTGGTTTGACTGACAGTGCCTTGACCTATCATTTGTGGAGACATATGTCTATATGTTGGTATTGATATCTATATATCTGTTTGTCTGTCTGCATTGCTGAGGCCCACTAAACTTAATGGGCAAACCTAGTTAGACTCAAAGATAGATAAACCTGCCTCCATCCTCAGATTGTGGGGTGGGGTGGGGTAGGGTGGGTGCAAAACCCTTTTAATAAAATAATAGTGAAAGCAAAAGAGGACAAAGTGTGATGGCTTCTCCCTCCCTCCCACTTTTTTTTTTAATAGGGAAGAGTATTATATTGAGCACCTAGTCAGTGTTGAGCATGGGGTCTCATTCCTCACACGTGGGCTTTGAGATAGCTTTCATAGCCCCTTTTTATAGAAGAGAAGACTGAGAGCTGAGCAGGCAACAGAGCCAAAACCACACAGATTGTTAAGTGGTGTGGTTGGGATCTAACACAAGCTAATTGGATCCTAATGCTCACCTACATCTGCTGTGATGAACTATCACATTTCTCATCACATTTCACGCTGCCTTTTTTCTGAAACAAACCAATTAGCAGTGAGAAGAGGTGAAAGGTTAGACAGAATCAGTACTTTCTCCTTTGTTACTGTGTTTAATGGACAGCTCTGTGCCAAACTGCTCAAAGGACTTTATGCACTCTTAGAATACCCAAGTTTGAAACTCTTGATCAATATGTCCTACGACTCCAGGAGGAAGATAACTACTCAGAGTAACATTTTCTTGACTGGAGACCCAGGGCATTCATATCTCCTCCACATTTTTTTTTTTTTTCAGGCCGAAAAGATAATAGCAGTTCAAGGTCAAGCCAATTGCTTGTAAAACTCAGGCGGTGCAAAATGAGTTGACACATTCTTGGCATATTTGAATGAAGTCTTCATTGGTTGTTAATATTTGAGTCTTCCAAGCCTTGTGAGATTGGGAAATGGGCCAGGGCAATTTGTAATCCTAATGAGAGAGACCAGACAAACTTCTGTTACTGTTTTGGGCCAAATATTAGTATTCAATCCCTTGGAGTTCTGGATACAGATGGCAGAATAGACCTCAAAGGCATAACTAGAGGCTACGTATCTGCTTAGCCAGTCCTAAAACAGTAGCTTCTTAAATAACTCACACACTGGTCCTAAGTTCGAGAGACTCCCAAGACAATCCTATGAGAGATGGACCATTTTGGGACATTATTAGTTGGAGATACAGAGACACAGTTACTTGAACGAATTCATTTCCTTGAGACTTACTGAGGAACAGGGAAGCAGAAGGGTGGGTGGGGGGACGGCAGCAAAATTTGTATACGGTGCAGTTTATTTTTAGTTTTACATGGTGTCATTGTGTATATTTAAAACATAATTTGTGAAATCTTTTTTGGTCTTTTATAATTTTTTTTCTTTCTTTCCAACTATGTTTTGTTTTAAGCCAGCAGAAACACAAGTTGTTTTTTTTTTTAAATACTGTGTTGCCTTAATGATTAAAACTAGATATTATTCTCCTCTCTACCTCCATAAGATCCACTTTTTTAGCTCCCACATATGAATGAGAATATGCAAAGTTTGCCTTTCTGTGTCTGGCTTATTTCACTTAACATAATGACCTCCAATTCCATCCATGTTGCTACAAATGACAGGATTTCATTTTTTATACGGTTGAATAGTATACCACTGTGTATGTGTACCACATTTTCTTTATACAATCATTGTGTTGATGGCACTTATGTTTATTCCATATTTTTGCTATTGTGAATAGTGCTGCAATTAGCATGTGAGTGCAGGTGTCCCTTTGATATACTGATTTCTTTCCCTTTGGACAAATACCCAGTAGTAGGATTGCCAGATTGTATGGTAGCTCTATTTTTAGCTATTTTGAAAACTCTCCACACTGTTTTCTATAGTGGCTATGCTAATTTACATCCCTACCAACAAGGTATGAGTTTATTATACAACCTATGTATGCAAGAAAATATAACATATGTAAAATATTATATATTTTTTTTGATATATATATATTTTTTGATCAATAATATTAATCAAAAATAAAACCCAAACAACCTAGATAATAAAGTCTGATTCATGATTTATTTCTCAAACATACAGAGCTGTTCTATAAGCTTAGAGCTCATTGAGTTGGCACTATTTTTTTTCTGCTTCTCACTTTATGTAGCTGTGAGGGGTTAATTCTTAATTGGCTGGTGAGAAAGGAAAATTACCCAAACTGAAATTCACTGACAGACCTCAGGGTTCTGTTTACTTCTTCCCACCTTTGTTTCTGTTGCCACTCAATGCTCATTCCCATCAGGCAGCTCTGAGGAGCGGGAAAATACATTATCCGCAGTGCTAAGGTTCACTCTTCCTCATGGGACTGCAGTAATAATTTTTTAAAGAGTAGTGTAGGTTGGATTGTGCTAGATTTCCTAATGCCCATTGAAGTCTGACCTTTACCACTCAAACCAATCATGGTAATTCCATCTCCTTTACCATCTCTTTGCTTTAGGTGTGTACAGGCTAGACCAATTTGGTCTCTAAGATTTGCTTGAAGCTCTTGAGATACCAGTCCCTCTGAGACTCAATTGTCCCACTTATAAAGTGGAGACGAGTTAATGGGTGCAGCAAACTAACAGGGCACATGTATACATATGTAACAAACCTGCACATTGTGCACAAGTACTGTAGAAATTAAAGTATAGTAAAAACAAAGTGGAGACAATAGTAGTAGTATCTAACTTATTGATTGTTGTGAAGATTATGTGAGTCATTACTTAGTAAATACCTGGCATACAGCAGCACTCAGTGAAAGGATAATTATTATTCTTTAAAATTTGTCCAACTTTTGATCCAGGCACTCTACTTCTAGGAAGTATGCTGAAAACGTAATTAGAAATAGATGCAAAGATATATAGATATAGATATCAAGAGGTGTTTATTACACTATTACTTATCATAGGAACCCTAATTATCCAAGAATATGGGAATGGTTAACAATGAAGTCTTTACCTCAAAGAATACTCTGAAGCCATTACAAATTATGTGGTAGAATTTTATTTAGTGAAATGAAAAGCAGTTTATGATATATTCTGTCATAAACAGCAGATTGTTTTCCATAAATACAACTACAAATAAAAATATAAATACAGGTATATGAAGTCAGGCAAAATACCTACCAAAAGTAGCAAAACGATACTTTATAATATTACAGACTTTTAAACACTCTACCATACACAGTTAACTGTACTTTTTAATCTAGGAAAAATACCTATATTAGAGAAGGAAATAAAATCATCTCTAATGTTTCTAACAAAAAGTTAATGAATATTCTGGAGAAATAACTTTCAAATCTTAAAAGGTGATTTCTTTTTTTTTTCTATTACTAAGTGTTTTAAAACTTCTTCCCTCTGAACATTGTTAAAGCCATTTGCTCCAGATTTCCTCTGAGACTCTTTTTTAGCTCCATTCAGCAAACATTTATGAAAGGCCCTGTAGGTGCCGGGCACTTTGCTAGATGGCTCACAAACACATATGCAGACTGCTCTCTTAGAATAAAGACTGCTCCGAATTATCCCAAATCAAAGAAATAGGAAATACATTTGACTTGGGTGGCCCTCTTGACATGGGTAGGAACTGGAGATTCTGTTTATACGTGTTACTCTGCCGTACAGACCATGGCACACAGACCGTGCAGGACAAGTGCTTGGCCCCATTAGTAATGTCCATGAGCCTTTATCCTTGGCATTCATCACTCTGATTAAACATATACAGTTGGAGGAAAAATAAAAGTGACTTCCAATGCAGCTTCAAGATAAGCTCCCTACCTCCCTTCTAATCTGATGGCTGTCCCTAAGCCCCTCCTATATAGAAATTCTGGAGCTGCCTGTACTTGTGGAAGGAAGCCAAGTCTATTTTAAATTAACTTAAAATAAATGAAGAATTTAACTGAAGTAAAGTAGTTAAGTATATAAATTCAGTTTGTTCACTACAAGCATGTGGTCTCAAAACTGAATGCCACTTGCAGTCTAATTTTTTAGAATGAGCACATAAAAAAGGAGAAGAGGAAATTCTTTCTTGATTTTGCTCTTCTTCAAATGAGAAGGTGTCTGCCACAAAGAAAAATGTAAAATAATGTATCGTTGGCAAAGTGCTAGAGGAACCTCCACTGGAAAAGGGTGTGAAGGGTTCCTTTTTATCCCTTTCCCTCGCACTTCTCATGGTATTTGGAATGGTGTTGAAACTCCCTGTAAAAATACAATGGCAACATTCTGTAAGGGGAAGTGACAAGGTGAAGAAAACTTGTTTGATTCTTAAGAAAAGCTGTCACATAAATGTCTCCTAAATAGTCTCTAAGGAAAGTTTTTAATAACTATATCTCCGCTAATCGCCTTGAGTTGAAAAGTGTAGGTAGGAAACGAAGAGTGGTAGTGGTAGTAAAAGATGGAAAAAACCAAACGAAGAGTGAAGAAAAAAGTTATTAAAAGCATAGCAGTATAGTTGCAACCTATATTCAGGGCATTTTTAGGATATGGAGAAAGGTTGATGAACATTATTTAAATTGGCAGTAAAAGTGAGTAGGAATGTTTTGGGGTTTTGTTTTATATGACTGTGATATGAGAGATCAGTATAAAACAAAAAGCAGAAATGTCAAATATATTAAGTTAAAAAAGCACACTAGCATTAATGGGTCAGATTCATATAGCATCCATCTCCTGCTAGACATAACCAGCCATTCACAAAGATCTGAACTTTTGCCAGCTTCAGTTTTCTGCCAAACACACCCTGTTTGCAGCACTTTATAGATGAGCACTTTCACTGTGACCAGACATCTTGGAGCCCCTGTTTCATGAATAACCCTTAGACTGTCACCTGTGATTGGACATGAAAATACTAAAATATTGTAAGGTTTTGTTATCAGAGAGTAGATTAAAGTTTAGAGTTTAGAAAGTGCAGCTACAATTTTTTTAAAACTGTGAGAACAGAGCAACTGATTCAGATTTACGATGCTTTTTCTTTAATTTAATGGCACTTAAGATGTAGTTAAATTTTATAAACAGTACTACTCTCCTCTGCTTATAAACCATGGGGTGATGTTTGCCTTCTTTACAATTATGCCTTCATTACAGTGATGAGCTGACAATTTCTGGGATAAAATTTATATACATGGGTAGTCAATCTGGAATATCCAGAGCCCCTTAAATACTTTTGCTCTTAGTAGTAGTTGCAGTGGTGTTATCAGTATTAACAATACTAGTATTAGTAGTAGTAATAGTACTTATTAAGCCTGCAGCATGCCAGGCACTGTCAATTATTTTCACATTGAAAAGAATCTGGATTTAGTATATATTATCATTGATGAATATACCAGTATTATTTCTGCATTTTGGAGATCAGAAACTGAGGTTTAAAGAGGTCATTTAATTTAAGACCATACAGTGGTAACTAGTGGATTTGACTTAGAAAGTCTACTATGAGGCACTATATAGCTAAACCCTATTTACAAGAATCACACAACAGAATGGAATTGTTTGAATAATTTCCTCCTCACTTTCATTTCACTTAGAACAAAAGAGGCTTGACAATTAGCAGGTTTATTAACCAATGCACGAGATCAATACAAATATTATAACCATACCCCAAAGTATTTGGGTGGTAATGGAAGTACATTGTTCTTTTTTTAATTTTTATTTTGTGACTGAGAGATATGAATTCCTTGGAACATTGGGGAATGCTCTGCCACAGCAAATTGAGATAAAGCGTAACTGTCTTGGGAGTAATGAAAGCTCAGGCAGGGGAAATTTCTCACAAAATGAGTTCCTAGGCTGTATCATTTGCTGTTCATGGAGTCTACATGCTTGGCAAGAAACTACAAAAGTGTATGTTCTTCTCCAGTTTAGGAGAGGTTGGTCAGGTAGCCCAGTAATAAAACTGTGGCTGAAGGCTGGCTCACAAACGCAGAGAGTGTCCTGTGTCCAGACCTCTGTTTATCATCCAGCTTTTCAGGATTTTTTGGGGGTAGGCAGGGAGGACTGGAGGATGGTAGGATGTCAGGATTATGTATAAAAGGAATCCAGCTATGTTCTTCTCTTAGTTATACTTCCTTAAAAATAGGGACTTCATTATTTTATTTGAATACACAAAGCTTTATTATTATACTTATCCACCGAACTGCTCTTAATGCATGTAAAGAAGTGCACACGCATACACGAAATGGAAAACAAGACAGTACATTTAAACCTTGAAAACTTCATGCCCCCAAAATCTGATAGGCTAATAAAAAGACCTAAATCACACATCTTTGCCTATATTTACTCCTCAGTCTCACTTTACTGGTCAGACTTCTGTCCTGCTGAAGCTTCAGTAGAGACCTGTGATAAACTGCAGTAGTGTTTCAGGATGGATGTTCTAAAGATCATGTTGGTCTTTGTGGCTAAGAGACAGGATCCAACCGTTGTCCTTTATTGGACTAATTGTTCTGCACTTTGGGCTGTCTTTCTGGGTTTCTGATATTCAAAGGTATTTTAAAGACACAGCATATCCACACTATGAGATGCTTTGATGGCAAGATCCATGTTTTGTGAAGACCAGAGAACTGCCTCTTACATCATGCCTTTGACTTTGGAGCATTAGAGTTGCACCTAAGCACCTCTCTCAAACCTTTCTTCCAGTAAGTCCCACTGTGATCGATTATCCCTGAACAATCCAACGGTGTATAAACAACAAATTTGTTTCACTTTTCTATCGTTTCTTCTTTTGAAACAATTTCCTAAAGTGCCCTAACATTTTTATTTATCTGTGCTAAAGAAACATTTCTTTACACTTATTTCTAAAATATAAATATTTTTATTTTTGCCAAGCATAAATTATATACTTCTTGTTGTAAAAGTTAAAACAATGGAGAAATACTAAAGTAGAAAATGGAAGTTCCCTGGAATCTCATCCCAAATATAATGATGATTATAATAAAAATCAAAATAACATCTTTAAGTGTTATGTGCCAAGCAAAGCTTTTCATATGCATTAGCATATATATTTCTCATAATAGTTCTGTGTGACGGGTACTATTATTTCCCAGTTTAGTACATGAGAGAACTGAGGGATAGAAGATTAAGTTATTTATGTAATGCCATGCAGGTAGTAAGTAGAAAAACTGGAACTTAATTACTATATTCAAATAGTAAAGTCTTAATTACTATATTTAACTAGATAAGGGCTGATCACTGGAAGCACTTTTTAAAAAGTTAAAGAAATTATGAAAGATGAATTACACATGACTTAAGATTTTATTTTAACTTAAAATGTACATTCATAAATTCATTCCTTAACCATTGATGTAACACCAAGGCACACCTGTAATATAAATTTCAATTGCTGTAACTTTATAGTGGGGTAAATAAATTCTTCAAAGCCTTTTTTTTTTTTTTAAAAGGTCAGCTTTATGGAGTTTTTCTAAAACAATTAATTTCGTTTTCGTAGGAACAACTCTTTTTGTTCTTATGTTTTACTAGTTGTGTAATTTTAAAATAAACTGGGTTGTTACAACAACAGGTACCAAACTAGCTTTAACCAGTTTGGGGTCAAAATCCACAGACTCCTGGTAAGCAAACAATGCAGCAGGTGAGGTTGGAAGTGCCTGGGACTTACTAGGCTCTAAGCATTCAGCACTGCCCTGGGCATCTGCCTGGACTTCTTACAGAGGGAAACCGAGCTTGTAGGTGAATTGGTAAAGTCAAAATCGGTGAAGAGAACTCTACCTACTAGGTAACGTGGAATTATCCAGCATGTGAAGAGGCATCCATGCAGAAGTCATTTGCCAAAGAGAACTTGTTTCTTTCTTTCTATGCCTCAGCGGTATCTAAGAGCATGTATTATCAAAGACTACTACCCTGCGTAATTTTTCCCCCATCTTCCCATTTTTGTTTTTTGTCTTTTTTTTTTTTTTTTTTTGAGACGGAGTTTCACTTTTATTGCCTAGGGTGGAGTGCAGTGGCGCGATCTCTCCACTCACTGCAACCTCCACCTCCCGGGTTCAAGTGATTCTCCGGCCTCAGCCTCCTGAGTAGCTGGGATTATAGGTGCCTGCCACCATGTCCACCTAATTTTTGTATTTTTAGTGGAGAAGGGGTTTCGCTGTGTTAGTCAGGCTGGTCTCAAATTCCTGACCTCAGGTGATCTGTCCATCTAGGCCTCCCAAAATGCTGGGATTACAGGTGTGATCCACTGCACCTGGCCCTGGCCAGCATCCCTTTTTTTTTTTTTTTTTTTTGATACGGAGTCTCACTCTGTCACTGGGCTGGAGTGCAATGGTGTGATCTCGGCTCACTGCAACCTGCACCTCATGAGTTCAAGTGATTCTCCTGTCTCAGCCTCCCAAGTAGCTGTGCCTACAGGTGCACGCCACAACGCCCAGCTAATTTTTGTATTTTTAGTAGAGATGGGGTTTCATCATATTTGCCAGGATGGTCTCGATCTCTTGAACTCGTGATCTGCCCGCCTCAGCCTCCCAAAGTGCTGGGATTACAGGTGTGAGCCACCAAGCCCGGCCCGGCCAGCATCTTTTTAATGTAAATTCATATACCTGATTAATTTCAGTTTGTTTTGGCAACCAAGTCTTCAAAACATAAACATTAAGGAGTGCAGTGACTTCCCCAGGAAGGAAAAAATCTAAAGCCACTCCCTTGAGACTGGGCCGGCACTAAAAAAAAGAAATAGAACTGAATATGAACTGCTTTGGAGGGAAGGTGCTGTTATTTTCACTGGTTTTATCAATAGCAGTATTTCTCAAAGTGTGGTCTATATACCACCTGCTATCGGAAATCACCTAGCTACTTATTCAACAGTAGATTTCTGGGCCTCAGACTCTCTGGGAATGGTTCCTGGAATCAGCATACTAGTGTAGGCACAGTAAAATTTGTGAACCATTGGTCAACCGGAGAAAGCCCAAACTTCTTAATGTGGTCTATAAGGTGCCATATAAGCTGGCCCTGCCCCACCATTTAGCCAAATGAGCGTGCCATTTTGTTTCTAGTGTCAGTTCCTCTGCCCTTATTTCTTCTAGGAATGCATACCCTCACGTTTTCCTTTCCTATCCTACTAAGAAAATCCCTTCAAATCCTTGGTTGGGTCTCCTTCTTCTGATTCCCTCCTGGATGGCTTATCTCCTAAAGCAGACCTGGGGAGTTCCTCCATTCTGACTTTGTTGTCACTCCCTCTCCCACTGACATGTACGTTGTATTTCTATCATAGTATGCATCACCTGGATTTGCAATTACGTTTTTACCTGCATGGTGCTCCTATTATACTGTGAAATCCAGGAGTGCAGAGATGGAGATTTATTCATCTGTATTTCCCCGGAGTCTATGCCCGCACTTGGCAAATAATAATGGTAACAAATATTTGCTGAAAGAATGAACAAATGATTTGGGGGAAGCATGCTTTCCACTCAGTCTCCCACCATACTAGCCTGGAAGCATGAATGTTCTCTTGCTGTGATGCATTCTCCTGGCTATGCAATGTTTCCTTTCAATTCCAAGTTGAGGAGACTGAAGGAGAAGGGGTCCTCTTGCGGTGACCATTCTTGCAAATCTCTTTTTGTTATTGAAAGAGGGATCAAAGGCACAACCCCGAGCGGCCTGTTCAAACCTTTGTTATTACTTTCCTTTTGCAGCTTGGGACTAAGAGGAGGAATTTATGTATATATTAGTACACACTTTGATCTACCTTGGTACCTTGATCTACCTTGATGTGCAAGGTACCTTGTTCACAGTTGTTACCAGTGAGACTATCATATAATGCAATAAGGGAATGTCTGTGTGACAGCCAGGTGATGTTGAAGAAACGTATGGGTTTATTTCATTAGGAGTAATGTTTTCTCAGCAGATACCAGTTTGCATGCATAATGTGATTCTTAGGGTGCCACAGCAGATACTTTTTGTTAGGATAAAATAATTGCATTACTTTGCTACTTGCAGATTCATTAATGAAAAGCCTGAGATCTCCCATCAGTTTTGTTAGTCCTTTTCTCATTCAGGACTATTTCCCTGAGGTCAGCTTTCGTCAGGCCATGTATCTCATCGGCCCTGCCTGACCGCTAGAACTTAAATGCCTCTTAGCAAGTGCCTAAGCCTGCCCTCTGTGACTGCGGAATTACTTGGCAAAGAAAGAAAAGCTCTTTGGGGACAGATAGCTTGTCTCTATATTCTTCACTGGAATGTTCCCCAAAATGAGGTGCCCACCACCTCATGGGTTTACATGGTTCACATTTTAATTGCTACATATTTATTTTATTAAAAATAATTAAACTGGCATATAAAACTTGTGATTTAATGTTTAGAGGGAGGTTAAAGTAGGAATACAAGTTTGAAAGTGACACTGTTTAAAGAAAAGTTTTAAAAATTAGTATTAAAAATAAGATGAGGAAATGACTAAAATAATTAAAGCAATATTCAAATAACTAATGCATGAGAAGTACTATGATATAGTATAGTTCCTGATACATAGTAAGTGCTTAATATAAATTTATTGGAATGAATAAATAAATAATAAAAATATTAATAATAACTAAATTTTGTTATATGGTTGTTTTGTGTCCAGGTATTTTTCCAGAAGTTTTACATGCAATATTATATTTGATTCTCACTTTTAGTAGTCAGAATCCATTGGGAAAAGTTCCATTTTATTTACATTTTGTAGATGAAGAAACTAAAGAATAGAAAATAACTTACGCAGACTCACACAGCTAGTTGTGTGAGATCTACTCTCTGCTACCAAACCCATGCACACAAGTGTACTTCTATGCATCTCAAATATTATAAGTTAAAATGAGTTTTTTATTTCCATTTCCACCTAGCTTCCCTAAGGTGTTAAAAATATTCCAACATGTTAAAGGTTAGCTCAATTAACTCTGCTGTGATGAGTGTGCTGCCAATATTTTACATTTGATAAATTACGTTGGAGCTTGCCTGGTTAAACAACATGCATTTTTTGAAGTCTTAAGTATTTGCACAAGCCTAATTTTTGGTTCCTTCTTTTGTCTTCTCATCAAGAACTTTTCTTCAGTTTCACTGTCAATGTTGTAAGAATGTTATGTCATGGCTTAAGATTTCCATGGATTTTATCATATACCGACCCAAACCATAGTCTTTCTAGAATAAGTCTAATGGCAGGGACTATGCTCTATTTTGGAAAACTGTGTTGCTTGAGTAAAAATGGCTCTGATAATCATCAAGACATGAATGCCAAAGGTGCTTGTGAAAACTTTGACCGTGAGTGAAATGAGTTTTTCAAAATTGCTACGCTATTTTATGTTGATAATTGTATATATAAAGGTATAAATATACTTATAAATATTATAAATTGATATTTGTATATTTCACTTATATTAGCAAAGAGTTATACATTCAACTTGACTGAAAGCTCCTCTTTTACCATTGCTTTATATTTAGAGTATGTCTGTTCAGTACCAGGTACAATGACCTATTAGCCAGGACAGTAGAAATGGGCTAAATATTGATTAAGTCTCACAACCTGGTAAATAAAACCAGGTAACAGTCTCAGAAGACTTTCTCAGATCTTTGGGGAATCTCAGAATACCAGTAGCTTCTAATTTCCTGCAATTATAATCTTTTAAAATTTAACACTATGTACATTCTCTATGCATAGTCCCCCTCTGTGAAATCTGAGGGCTAAAAAGGAAAAAGGTATTTGGAAGAAGAATGTATTATAGAGTTTTCTTAGTTTCATTAAAATTATAAATTCTTAGCAAGTGCCTAAGCCTGCCCTCTGTGACTGCGGAATTACTTGGCAAAGAAAGAAAAGCTCTTTGGGGACAGGTAGCTTGTCTCTATATTCCTCACTGGAATGTTCCCTGAAATGAGGTGCCTACCACTGAGATGGGTTTACATGGTTCACATTTTAATTGCTACATATTTATTTTATTAAAAATAATTAAACTGGCATATAAAACTTGTGATTTAATGTTTAGAGGGAGGTTAAAGTAGGAATACAAGTTTGAAAGTGACACTGTTTAAAGGAAAGTTTTAATAATAATAAACATTTGTGATTTCTTTGGTGCAACTCATTTGCTACCTGTGATAGGACATGAGTGTTATGGTTTAGAATAATTTCAGAGCTTAGTGACAGTCTTAAAAGCTGAAAATGGTTATTTTTCTTTTTATTTGTTTTTTTTTTTTCACTTTTTCCATACTAGCTTTAGGGAATAGATGGTTCAGACCATAAGTAGATAATGGGGATTATGGGCATTTCATATGTAATGTAAATGCCAATTCTTTTTGAGACGGAGTTTCACTCTTGTTGTCCAGGCTGGAGTGCAATGGCGTGATCTCGGCTTACTGCAACCTCCACCTTCTGGGTTCAAGTGATTCTCCTGCCTCAGCCTCCTAAGTAGCTGGGATTACAGGCACATGCCACCACACTTGGGTAATTTTGTATTTTTAGTAGAGATGGGTTTTCACTATGTTGGTCAGGCTGGTCTTGAACTCCTGACTTCAAGTGATCCACCCATCTCGGCCTCCCAAGGTGTTGGGATTACAGGCATGAGCCACCATGCCCAGCTGTAAATACCACTTCTTGATGAAAACTTTGCTACTCTATTGGGAAACCCAATGATCTCATCATTAATTATTAAAACTGTAAGGTTCTTTGGAAACCTTGTTTTCTAGAATTTCTCAAAATGTAGGTCATGAATCACCTGCTTCGAAATCACCTAGGGTGTTAAAAATGTGTATTCCTAGTCTCCATTCTGCAGCATGATATCTCCAAGGGAGACCAGAGAATATAAATTTTTCAGAAGCTCCCCAGGCAATTCTTATGAACCCTAGATTTTGGTAATTACTTCAATCCCTTCGTAGTACATAGAAATTGAGGCATGATACAGTGAAGTGACTTATCAGTGGCAAACTAGGCAGTTAATAACAAACTTCTCTGCTTGGCTGTTTAAAACCGTCTAGGTTAGCTGCAATGTTTTAATTCACTTGACATGCATCTTTCTGTCTCAGCTGTGTAGTTATGTAACTTAATTACTTCTTAGTTTGATTTGACGGCCTTATTCTATTAGATAAGATGTGTTAATTACCCTGATGGCAATATGTGATAATAATGGCTCAGTGTTACATTAATAATTTCAAGATCATGAATAATATGCAACACCTCTGTGTCTGAGCCATTATTAATTTGTTTCACCAGTGGTGAAGTGTTTAAAATTCAGTTTCAAGCATGTCTTCTCAGAGGCAAAAAGAATAATACATGTATTGAAAAACCTGTCCTTTATTCTGTTCTTAACTTTGTCCTTGCTATCAAAATTAGCTATATATTTTACCTAACTAATCAGGTAAAAATTGCATTTATTTATTTTTTTAAATACAGGTAAATTGAGAGTGAAAGGAGTAAAGAAAAAATACAGATAAATCAAAATAAAGTATTTGCTAATACAGATGGAGAAAGTGTAGAAGCAATATAAATTTTGTGAAATTACATCACATGATTGATCTCGAGGGATAAGAATAATTCTAAAAGCAGATTTTTTTTATTGTCCTGAGTTTATGAGTAGCCATAAAATCATAGTTCCTCACCTGCTCCTTATTTAGATTATGATTAAGCAGTTGATAGGTAGGCAGAAGAGAATGTCGTGGACACCTGTTCTATCTACCTGCCTAGCATCCCCAAGTCTATGAGGGAACCATCTTCACTGTCCATAGTTGTGCAGTCAACTCAGGATTGATCAATCAGCATCTTCCATCCTACTGTTTGGTATAAAGATGACATGTGATATAAGTTGATCTAATCAGAGCTAATCCTGGGACTTTCTAGAGCAGTTGGGAAATATATGTACTGAGAATGGGGGTCATGAACTTGGAGTGACTGACACCCAGCTTACCACCATGAAAGAAAAATTTACCATCACAGAAAAAACAAACAAACAAACAAAAAAAACAAAACAGGGCTAAGAGAGGGTCTGTGTGACTGACTCCTAATGAAATAATTTAAATCTCTGAATCTAGCCATGCCTGACATCACCTAATACTGTTTTATTTTTTTAAACCACTATGCAATCAAGATATTCTATATTTTGCTTAAGCCATTGTGGGTGGTGCTTCTCACAATAACAACAAAAGGACATAAACTTTATTAAAAAAAAAAAAAACAAAAACTTCTGAACTCATGAGCTTCCAAGAATAGGAATGAGTTTGCATTGCTGTGCATGCATTCTCTCAAGTCTCCATTGTGACCAGTAAAACGGATTTGCAGCTGGTTTGGGCTAGGGGTAAGGTAACCATAGAATGCATATTCCAAATTAGAAGACTTTTCCTTCTTATCCTTTTATTGTGGAGAATTTTAAACTGACACAAAGGAAATAGAATGATATAATGAACTCCTATGGGCCCATTGATCCATTGGTCAATTCTTCTTCATTCACACCTCATCAACTCCTCCCAGTATTATTTTGAAGTCTTTTCCAGACATCATTTCACTGAATGAAACTAACAGAAAAAGGAAGTGCTATTATGATAGAACTGCAAATGCAAACTAAGACTGTTCCAGAGCCACTGAGACTGATAGTGTGAAATAGATTGAAAAATCAATGGATTAGCATCCATAACCTCAATACTATACTTTTACCAACTGAGACAGTGGACCAACTGGGGCGCTAAAAAGCCTTGAGATATTTTTCTTTTCTATCAGCCTTTTTGGCTATAGATGTGTTTATTGAATACCATGTAAGTCTGGGTTCTCCAAGAAACAGATGCCAAAACAGAATAAATGTGCAAGTTTCATTAGGGACACATGCCCATGAGAGACAATTGGTAGGAAGCCAGGAAAGGCTGGGAGAACATTAGATCATGATACAAATCTAAATCCAAGTAAAGGGGAAAGAAAGAAAGAATGGGTAGATGTGTACTAGGTTTTGCAAGGCTACCAGGAAATTGTTAAGCCAAAGTCAGGCATGAAAGGAGTCCTATGTCTCTTAGGAATCAGCCTGCTCTAATATGGCAGCTGACCTCAGTCCTTGACTGGGGAAAGTCCATGGAAAGTACAACCTCATTGCACAAAAAGAGTTGTAGATTTCAGAGGGTAGCAGCTGGGCCCTTGGGTAATTCTGCTCCCCATAGTTGGAGGTCTGTGAGGCACATTTTCACAGCCACCACATATAGAAAGATTTTCTTCCAAATACTATCAATTTAGTGTACCAGTGTAGTAAAAAGCATGGACTTGGGCATTAGATCAGCCCTATTAAAACCTTAGCTCTACTGCTTAGCTGTGTGACTATAAACAGATCACTTGAATTCAAGATGTAGGAGCTGCTTCACTAATGTTTTACAATTGCATCTTCATGTACTGTGACTACAAGGACTCACTACTATTGAAATGAAAGCAGTAGCATTTGGAGATTTAAGATACTTGGTTATGGCTCTAAGTTGCTTCCTGGCATTAGTGACAAGCAAATTCTGTGTGCCTTTTGTTTTTCATTTGCTTCCAAATTCAATCTCTTCCCATTGCTTGAAATGTGGGAAGTTTAGGGAAAAAAGGTCACAGGAAACACACTATCTTCTCTCTCAACTGCCTCCTTCCATCTCCTACATTTACCATGATGTAACTAAATAGTACCCCAGACTCCAGCCAGTATTTTCTGAGCAGCCTGAGAGTCAATGTGCATGTTTAATTTCTACCTTTGAAGCAATCTGATAATTCTATTTACCAGCAGTAACCAGTCAAATGGACTTTTAGAGAATTCACCAAGAAGGCTTTAGTTTTTCAGAAACTATCTTTGTCTGTGAGATACCATCTCACACCCATCAGAATGGAGATTATTAAAAAGTCAAGAACCAACAGATGCTGGTGAGGCTGTGGAGAAATAGGAATGCTTTTATACTGTTGATTGGAAAGTAAATTAGTTCAACCATTGTGGAAGGCAGTGTGGCATACCTCAAAGACCTAGAACCAGAAATACCATTTGATCCAGCAATCCCATTACTGGTTATATACCCAAAGGAATATACATCATTCTATTATAAAGATACATGCACTCGTATGTTCACTGCAGCACTATTCACAATAGCAAAGGCATGAAATAAACCCAAATACCCATCAATGATACATTGGATAAAGAAAATGTGTTACATATACATCATGGAATACTATGCAGCCATAAAAAGGAACAAGATCATATCCTTTGCAGGGACATGGATGGGGCTGGAAGCCATTATCCTCAGCAAACTAATGCAGGAACAGAAAACCAAACACTGCATGTTCTCATTTATTAAGTGGGAGCTGAATAATGATAACACATGGACACAGGGAAGGGAACAACACACACTGGGACCTGTGGCAGGGGTGAAGGGAGGGAGAGCATCAGAAAAAATAGCTAATGCATGCTGGGCTTAATACCTAAGTGATGGGTTGATAGGTTCTGCAAACCCGTGGTACACGTTTACTTATGCAACAAATCTGCATGTCCCACACATGTATCCCGGAGCTTATAATAAAATAAAATAAAAAAGACTGTCTTTGTGTGCTATCCATGATGGCAACGAAAGAGTTTTATAGGTTAGATCTCTTCCCTCTGATTATTTGGACAAAAAATGATGGCTATTATAATAGACATGCACAGACACACATATACACAAATCTTTTCACCACCTGCCACTACAATAGTTCAAGCTACCCTTGTCTCTTATCAAGATTTCTGATGGACTCCTTTCTAGCCTGTTTGGCTCTAGAAGAACCTCCCTGTGTCTAATAGGACATCTGATCAAGTCACAAGGCTGCTTAGAGTCCTGCAGTGATTTCCCATTGCTCCCAGGATACGGTCTAATTCTTCAACAGGAATCAAAGGCCTTTCATGCTCTCTGCTTCCACCTCCTGATGAACCCTCTCCTCCTTCCTCACTTGCCCTCTCCCCCTCCCCTTAGATTTTACACTCAACCTACTGTCATGTGCTCTCCCAGTTCTGGGCCTTGAACAGATTATTTTCTTTGACTGGAAGCTTCTTCCCTCTTTTCTTATTCTCTATTCTCCTTTCGGCCTAGCTATTTATACTTCTCTTTCAAGTTTCAGCCTGGGTATGACGTGCTCTGAAAGCATTCATTGGCAGTACATCCTGAAGAGGCACCTTGACCACGAGCTTCTGGAGCACCAGTACTTTCCCCAGCAAAGCCCTCATCAAGCTGTGTCCTAACTGCCTCTTGACTTGCCTGTTTCCCCTCACCCCTTGATTGTGAACTTAGGAACTGCCCCTGTGCACTGCCAAATCTTCAGTGTCTAGAACAGTGCTTGGTACAGAGTAGGCATTTAATAAAACCTGTTCAATTAGTAAAAGATTCCATGTAGGGGCTCTGCAATATGTAAATATGTTACTATGTATTCCATTTCATTTTTATGAAACACCTTATCAGGAGAAGATTAATAATTAATGATAATAATAGTGGACTCAGTAAAAGGTATTTTTAATGTGATTATTTTAATTATGTAAAATGTAAAATGTCTTGTTTTCTCAGAGAACTCAACTCAGGTCATCCATGAAAACAAGTATATTTTATAAAATATTTGGCAGTTATTAAAGGGAAGACATCAAAATGAAACAAATCTGTGACTATTTTTCCTCATCAGTTACCATGGGAGGCATCCCTTCAAGAACACCATCTCTAACATGGATGCCTAAGTCTGTGACAATAAAGTCTGTGAAGTAAATTGACTGAGAGGGTAATAGTAAATACAGAATATCAGTGGATGCCTGAAACTAGCAGGAGAAAAATAGAAAATAATTATCTCATCGAGGAACAAATAGATCTATTGATAGTATAAATTTTTAAAAAATGTTTGTAACCTTTTCCATTAAGTATACTAGTTTATGATAAGTTGAAATATTTTGCCATCTGCCTTATGAAACTCCACTCAATCTGTGCAATTCAAAGTATTAAAATGGAAATAAAATAAATACTGTTTCACATATAAAACAAATTGGACCTTATAACTAATCATTTCTTCTCATTTCAATACCTCCCACTATTCTCTTCTTAACTGAAAATGACTGCAAGGAGGCTTTTATGGGGAGTTGGATTTTCACCTAGTTGAAAGATCAGTTTGTAATTCACAAAAAAAAAAGAAAGAAAAGAGAAGAAAAAAAGAAAGAAAGAAAAATCCAGTTCCTTTTATTTGCCTCTAGGACCTAATTCTTTGTCTTTTGGGAAATAAATTATCCTTAACAAAGTGCTTCTTAAAATTCTTATCCTCAGTAATGAAAGACTCTTCCAAGCAGATATGTTGTATTTGTAATTAAAAGGTTTCCTGTCCCTATATTATAACATTATGGCCAGCCTTCAACATATTTGAAGTAATTAGAGTATAAATTCAGTAACTGAGCGTTCTGAGAAAATTCTGAGGAAATTGCAGAGTTTTGAGGAAAATTTAGCATTTGATAGAGTGCGGGAACTAAACGATCCATTTGGAACTTATTGGTGTGGAAGCAAAACTATTTACCGCTGGAAGCTATGGTGGCAATGTTGGCAACGGTGAAGATTTTGCCTCTAGGTGCAGGTATGACAGTATTTCCTCAGACAGAAGTACATATAGTATTTTTTAAGGCTACATAATATTGGTGGCCTGCAGCTAAGAACCTATGTTCTAGTGATCTATGGAATTTGGATATTATTTCTAAGTAAGCCCTTCTCCTTGCTATGAGTGACATATACCTACTAGATTTGAAGATTCAGTCAATTTCCAAAAATGCATCTTCTAGAATAGCTTTGTGCCTTCCTGATTGCTCCTCCAAGTCTAATGCTGGCTCTGTCTTCAACTATTACCTTTTTTGGATGGTTTTCCTGATCTTGCCTATCTCTTCCCATTAGAATTCATGAACCCTTCTTCCTGTTTCCATGGTATCCAATATAGAGCTGTGTATGCTTGCCACACAGTATTTTGAAATAATTAATTTTATTTGATGTTTTTATATGTGTACCTCAGTCTCCCTTTCTACAGATAATCACTGTTAACAGTTTCTTGTGTTTCTTTCCATAAAACAGAAATTTTGCATTTTCCGATGCACATGTGACTAAATATACACATGAATTAAAAAAATGACCCACAAAAAATCATATTTTTGGAAATATTTTTCATCCTGCTTTTTATTTAATATATGTAGGATGTAATTCTATGAACACATGCAGGCTTGCGTCATTTTTTAAAACAGCTATCTAATAATTCCATTTTATGGATGTTTTATAATTTATAATTATTTGGGTTCCTAATTACAAACACTTTGCTGGTTTGCAGCTTTCCGATGTTATAAACACTGCAGTGAAGAATCCCTGGTGAACATCTGCAAGTATGTCTTCAGGATACATCCAAAACAGTGGGATTTCAGGGTCTGAGGGCGTGTGTTTATTTAATATTGGTAGATTAACTCTACAAAATGTTTCATCAATTAGCCTCCCACCAACAACATCACACTATGTATAAAAATTGGTTTACTTTCTCTCCTCACTTAGAAAGTGAGAAAAGTGAGTGTAGAGCAGTGCTTTTTATCTCAGGATCCCCACTGCACCTAACACAGTACTCAATAAATATTTTTAGAAAGGAGAAATAAAGAATGAAAAGTTCTGCTCATATTTTAGCCTGTTTTAACACCATCAGAGTTATGTTGGAGACAATATTAAAGTCACACATTAATATGATACTCAGACAAGTTTGACAATTCATGGAAAGGTGCATATGTGGTTGTGAATTCACTAGGCAATTACATAAATCTCCTCATTAATCTTATTTAGAGGCCGAGGAAGAGGAAGAAGAGATCTTACCAGAATCAATCTGTATCTCCTCTCTTTCGGAGTAGGCCTTCCCCTGAGACTAGCAATTGTTCTGCCTGTTGATTTGAGTGTGTGGGATAGGACCAGGAAGCGAATATCCTCTTTTTTTTTTATTTTTTTTATTTTTTTTTATTTTGCAAGCAGTGAGTGTGTATTCCTGCGAAATTAAGTGCTGAAACAATTTTATCCTGTTGTTTTTCATGTGCATTACATCATCTATGTGTAAACTAACTGTGGCTCCTAAGGACCTCTAGACTCTCTAGCCTGAACATCAAGGCCCTCTATCACAGGCCTCCAGTGTGTGTCCAGCTGCTGTCAGCTACACCCTGCTACTCATAGCTGGAGATCTACTGTGGGTTTTGCCCGCCTGCTTTATGGAATCATTCTGTCCTTCTCCACTGTGAAAAGCACTCTCATTTTCCTGCATCTTATGGCTGGGAAAGACTTTGCTGTAGCTTTTTTCTTTTTTTTTTTTTATCAGCATCTGATTTCTTATTGCCTGATTCATTGATGCCAATCGTTCTTGGTTCAGATTGGCTGCTATAGTGATTTTAAATCTGTATTTAATTTTTTATTGAATGAACTATAAATATGATCACCCATCTATATCCCAGGCTTGAGACTCAGAGCAGTTTTTTAAAGCCCTCTAGTGCTTTTCAAGGCAAACTTATTTGAAATATTGTTTGCATCCCACAATGTTGACACCCTTGGGAGGAAACAAGGTGAATCTTAGAGGTGTTTACTTTCTCCTGCACACTCACTGGCCTGATGCCTATTTGGCTGATCAGGCCTGACTGGCTCAGCACAGGTGTAATGAATGTCTTAGATTACCCAGTGACTTTGAACTTTAATTTTTATTTGCTTGGTTCACTCAAAGAACACCTCTGTGCCACTGTAATCATTAGGATGCTTCATCTCTGCAGGCTGATAGGATTTATGACCCCAGGGTTGGAAAAGCATAAAGAGGAGATGGTCCTCCTGAGAGGTTTGTCTCTTCAGGTTAGTGTTAATGCAGAAGCTGTATTTACCCACTAGATCCCAACACCATAAAAAGTAAACCCACAGCAGAGTGCTAAAAGATGACTCTTGTTTGGAGCCCTTGCAGCATCTAAAAGTGACACTGCAATCAATGAAAGCATTTTATTGGACGCTTGGATTTTACTACAGGAAATCACAAAGCTCTATTATGTACCAAAACAGCAACAGATTTTGTTGGTGGCCTTGAATCAATCTGTTAAATATATTTGAAGGAATATGGATATTAGTAAAGTTGGATAGGAATTTTCAGGTGGTGCCAAGAAATAAGCTTCTACAAATAAACACTCAATCAAACAAACAGAAACACAAGTAGTTGCCTAGTTCCCACAAGTTTGCAGAATACTTTCACATATATCATATGTTCAGTCCACCAACCTTAGGAAGGACATCAGGAAGTCATGATTTGTAGTCATTCTGTTTTAGACATGAAGGTATTTGAAGTGTAGAGGCATTGAGTCATGAGAGGTTGAAATTCTCATAGGTGGTTTTGATGTCTCATTTGTGTTGCATTCCATGACTTCAAAAATTACCAGGAAAGCTATAGTTGCTCCAATTCTAAATTCACCAAGTCCATTAAAGTAGGCTGAGTATCTAGAGTGCAAAATAAAGTCACAATTTGTAAGATATTCAGCTTATTGAAATAATATGTACATTCCACATGGATAGTTCAATCACTTAAAAGAAGACATCTAGGCCAGGAGTGGTGGCTCACGCCTGTAATCCCAGCACTTTGGGAGGCCAAGGTGGGTGGATCACCTGAGGTTAGGAGTTTGAGACCAGCCCGACCAATATGGTGAAACCCCGTCTCTACTAAAAATACAAAAATTAGCCACGCGAGTTGGTGCACTCCTGTAGTCCCAGCTACTGGGGAGAGTGATACAGGAGAATTGCTTCAACCTGGGAGGCAGAGGTTGCGGTGAGCCGAGAACATACCACTGCACTCCAGCCTGGGCAACAAGAGCGAAACTCCATCAAAAAAAAAAAAAAAAAAAAAAAGACATCTAAGGCTTTATTTACTGGGATTATAAAAATAATCTGACTCTTACAGTATTACCCATTCATTCATTTATTTGTTTAAAATTTATTAAGCATTCTCTTTGTACCAGGTATTGTGCTATAATAGATATACAAATGAGTAACATTTAATTCCTACTTCTTAAATACAATAATAATAATACTAGATAATATTTACTGATGCTAGCTTCTGATATGTCAAGCAATGTGTTAATAACTTAAGACATATTACAACATTGATTACCAATAGCCTCTTATGGTATAGGTTATCTTATTATCCCTATTTTCCAGATAAGGTAATTGAAGCTCACATCCAAGGTAGGCTGTTAAATGGCAGACTTGAACTGCATTCAAGATCTGGTGTGATCCCGAAGCACACAGTTTTTAATCTTTCCGTATCTTTTTCTTCCCATGCTCTGCTGCTGATGGTCTGGGATAGACAGGCAAAGAAACAGATGACTTAGTAATAAACTGGAGGGACTTTAATAACAACGGAATAAATGAAGTGCTGTAGGAATGTAAAGTGAGGAAAATTAGAGAGGACTGGACTTAGTAGATGGAACTGAACTTGGTTCTTAAAATAGCCATAAACTTTTTCTAAGCAAAGAAAGAGAAAAGCCATTCCAGGAAGAAAGGAAAATAGAGCAAAAGCATGGAGTTACATCTAAGAGTTTCTGCTTTAGGCAGTATAGAAAGTATTCCTTGGTCGCCAAAAGTTTAGTGAGTCCTTGTAGAGTTCCTGGTACTGCATCAGTTACTTGAGGCACTGACTATGGAGTGGGCCTGGTCTTGTGGACATGGTCTTTTGCTTTAAGCTAAAAAGAACTCCTCAAATTTGTATGATAATCAGACCTCAAGGCACAGCACCATTACAGGACTGGCCATTTCAGTAACACATAGAAGTATCCTGAGCTCTGAATTCCAATGCATTGGTCTTAGGTTTTATTAGCTCTCAACAATGTGAGGATTGCTACTTAAATATGCAAAAAGACTTCAAGTCATCATCTAATTCACACAAGAGATAGTAGCATAGGTTGAAAAGCAGGGAGTATATAATTACCCAGGAGCAGATAAGTGAGAGTTGACAGCTGTCAAACAATGTGTTACCCTAGATGTGAAGCATAGTTATGGATGGGGAATGGGAGTCTGTCCATTTCCCTATAGATTTGAAGACTCTGAGCTCTCTTAATTGAAGGTACAATGTTACTGTCACTCACCAATGGTAGTATCATGTTATTAAGAGTCTGAGAGAATTCTAACAATATCCTAGGAAGACTCTCTATCCTTAAGGAGCAGTGGGAAAGTCTCAGAGCTTACTGGAAAATGAAGAGGGATGCACTGAATGTGATTATCTATAAAAGTGCTTTGGTGCCCTTGAATTCAACTCTTATTTCTAAACTGGAACTGCCCCCTGAGTTCTACCCAGGAAGTAAGTAAGAAAGCTCCTTTATGCTATTTAGGGTTAAATAATAATTCTTAAACTCAGAGCATTCATAATTGTGACCCTCTTGACCATTGATATTATAGAAAGATGGCAGAAATTCTTAGAAAAAGCCCATGCATGTTAAAAAGTAAAGGATAGGGACTGCTGGCAAAAGACAACAGATTAAAGCAACAGGTTTTATTTTCTCCCTCTGATTCCTATCAAACACCTCTAAAATGACAAAAGAGGAGTAAAATGACATAAAAATATAAAAGCAGAGAATGGTCTGCAAGATGACATTGGATGAGAAACAACAACATTATTTTGGAAGTTAGAAAGTAGATGCACAAGTAATGATTGACTTGATAAAGAAGAGAAAGCTGAACCTAAATAGAAGGGAAAGACAGCAAAATGAGGCTGAGTCTATGACTCAGGCAAGGCGCAGGGGGCCTGGAGATTCTGGGTTGCTGGATACATTGGAAGGGAACAGGGCTGTAAACACAGGCATTCTCTGAAAGCCTGCATAAGGAGCAGTTAGCTACCTGATAAATCACCCACCTTGTGCAGCCAAACAACCCACTCTCTCTACCTGACAGTAGCAGAGAGGGTTGTCTTCAGATAACTGAACCAGGGACAACATGCCCAACAGAGGGCAATGCTGAGATACTTTACTGGAAATAGAAGGATTAATTTAAAGTCTACACACTGGCTGACAAGACCCTGAACTTCTGTTCTCTGCATATCTCCTAGAACTTCAAATAGTTCAGTAAGAAATTGAAGAAGTTTTATCTAGAGAACCAATATGCCCATAAGGAGTTAGGGGTTGAGGAGGGGCACTAAAAATACTAACACTTGGCATCCTTCAAAGAAACAGCCAGATCTCCATTTGATCTTATGTATTAGTTCTCACGCTGCTAATAAAGACATACCCGAGACTGGGTAATTTATAAAGAACAAAAGGTTTAATGGACTCACAGTTCCACATAGCTGGGAAGGCCTCATAATCATGGCGGAAGGCAAAGGAGGAGAAAGACATGTTTTGCATGGTAGCAGGCAAGAATATGTGTGCAGGGGAACCATCAGATTTCGTGAGACTTATTCACTGTCATGAAAACAGCATGGGAAAGACATGCCACCATGATTCAGTTACCTCTCACCCTGGCCTTCCCACAACTCGTGGGAATTATGGGAGCTACAATTCGAGATGAGATTTGAGTGGGGACACAGCCAAACCATATCATCTTACTATTTTAAAACCCATCAGTAAATATGTTATAATGCTACTTGTGCTTTTTTGCTAAGCAATGACTTTTAAAAAAGTAATTGCATTATGAGCTTTAGGACTTCCAGGGTGAGATTATTAATATAAGAACATTTTAGTAATCTATTCTATAGCATTGTAATCACTGAACAATTGAGCAGAAGGAGCTTCCACTCCAGTGGAAAGCTCTTGAAAAATAATATATGTTTTTGACAATGTGGCTGTTCTTCTGCTCTTCTCATTTGGCCCCTTGTATATCAGTTATGTATTTCCACAATAATGCTGAAAAGAATCCACCCAGAATCTCAGTGACTAAAAATAATAAGCCTTTATGTAGCCTGAGAGTGTGTAGCTTGGCTAGGTAGTTATTCTGGTGTTGACTGGGCTCACTCAGTTCATTTGTTTGTGGTCAGCTGCAGGTGGTCCTGCAGCTCTGTGTGTGTGTCTTTCTGTGTATTTGGGGGTCAGCCAGATGTTGGCTGGGCTAATATTGTTCAGGCTGGGATAATGAGGGACAACTCAGCTCTGTTTCATGTGTCTCATTCCCCAGCATTCTTGTCTGGGCATGTCCATGGCAAAGGCAGAGGAGCAAGAGTGAAAGCAAGCCTCAAGATGTAAGTGATTTTCATGCCGCTGCTTACATCATGCTTGCTAATGTCCCAGTGCCCAAAGCATGTCACATGGCTGGTTCCAGAATCAGGACAGATGAAGAACTAGGTCCATCAGTGCCATCAGTTTGCCACATCTGGCTCCCTCTTTTCCCTCCATCTTTTCTTTGTGTCTGGAACCTACTCTAAAATTCAGGGAGTATAATATTTTGGCCTACCGTTATCCAACAATTTGCTCTTGACTTAAAGTTTCCCAAGCTGTATACTTTTTATCACTTTACTAAACATACAACTCAGCTTGAAACCAGAGTATATTTGCCTTAGAAAGCTACTCACATAAAAAGAAATCCCTCAGAGGTTGAAGGGAACCAGCTTATACAACAGACTCTGTGTTCTTTGAAGTGTGGTTATGAAGGGTTCATCAACATGGGACTGAATTTATAAATCTCCACTCAGAGTTGACATGATAGAATCACTTTGGAGCTTCCTCTGATGTGTCTTGGAAGTTCAAATTCTTGGACACATAAAGGATGGTGTCCTGGTGGGGTAGATATATTAGTTCTTGGTTTTGGGACTCAAGGTGGGTGATCTTGACCAATCACTTGACTTCTGCTTCCTTTTCTGAGAAAGACTGGTAATTATTCTTTATGAAGAATACCTATCTCATAGACTTAAGGATTAAATGGCACAAATGGATGATGATACTAATCTAAAGGTATACAATTCTAAACCAGTGAACCATTTTTATAGTATTCTTATGACAAAAAGTTGCCCTTCTGGTGGCATTCACAGTAATAATAGCTTTCAATTGCTGAGTGTGTGCTATGTGCCAGGCATGATGTTATGCACTTTGTCTCCACGATTTAAATTAATCTTCATGGAAATGCTATGGAAATTAATATTTTTCTTGTTTGACAGAAAACTGAGTTTTAGAAAGGTCAGCTAACTTACCGAATTTCACATGGTAATGAAATGAGTGCAGTGAAAGGAACCTGGCAGATACATTCCAGAGCCTTGCCTTGCCTTTTTCTTTTTTGTTTGTTTTGTTTTTAGACAGGGTCTCACTCTGTCACCCGGGTTGGAGTGTGATGGTGCAGTCTTGGCTCACTGCACCTTCAAACTCATAGGCTTAAGCGATCCTCCCACCTCAGCTTCCCTAGTCACTGGGACTACCGGCATGTACTACCACACCTGGCTAATTTTTTTTTTATTTTTTGTAGAGATCTGGTCTCACTATGTTGCCCAGGCCAGTCTCTAACTCCTGAGCTCAAACGATTCCCCTGCCTTGACCTTCCAAAGTTCTGGGATTACAGAAATGAGCCACTAGGCCCCACCCAGATCCTGTTTTCTTAATTATTTTTCTTGCACTGTACATGGTGTCAATCTTTAGCAATTGTGAGTGAGCCTTCAGCACTCTCCAAAGCATTCACCCAGAATTAACTCCCATGACATAGCATCATACCTTAACTAGAAGACATGTTACTATTAATGATCTTTATTAAGCACCTACTGTGTACAGCATACTGCTAAAAGTGAGGGTATAAGAAGAAGACAGAGAAAGACTCTTTAGAAAAATGTGACCCACACCCAAAGAAAATAAATAGCTTATAGCCAGGATGGGTGGAGGACAGCTGACAGGTGGGACTGAGTGGAGACTGGAGAACTATACGTGTGATAATGGCTTCTAATTGTTTGTTCAATGACCATATATTGGAAGTCTACTATGAGAAAGATGCAAGGGGTAGAAAAATGAGTAAAGCTGTCCTTTTCCTAAAAGAGCTCAGGTTCTAGTGAAAGACACACACACACACAAACACACTACAATGACACAGCATGATAAAGGGCTCTAATAGAACTTTGGTTTGGGTGTGGGGTCTGGGACAGGTGCTGAGTCCAGGGAAGGCTCCACAGGAGGTGACAATTGAGCTGAATCATAAAAAATGAAGCAGAACCTCTCAGAAAGAAAAACCAATATTGAAACAGAAACAGAAAAGGCTATGTAGTGTGAGCAAAGCTCTGGGAGAGGAACAGTCCATGGCAGGTGCGAGATAGAGTTGGAGGGTGAAGGCAGGTGGGAAAAGAGCATCAGGAGGTGATTAGGGGCCAGATCATGAAGAGTCATGCTGAGAAAATGGAGTTGTAGCTTAGAAAATGGGAGCTGCTCATTTTAAGAACCTGAAATTCCCTCATTAAGTAAAAGTTAAAATGGTAAAATGCTTCAGTACCCCTGTTGGGCAGGGTTTTCTTGTGCTTTTTGATAGGACTAGCAGAGGCACATAATGGAGATGCCCCATGTCCAGTGCCATCCATCTTGCTGAAAAGGCCTTCCTGTGAGACCACATGACTTTCCCACTGACAGAAGCCAGGCAGACAGGCTGTCTTGTGCATTGGCCCTTGGAAAAGCAGAGCTGCTACAAAATCTGTTCCTGAGAAGTTCTAATTCATTTTCCCCTTTGCCAATGCTGAAGGAGCTGGGATGCCAATAGGGCAAGTTCCAGACACGGCTTCTGACCTTACTCCCTGGTGCCTGTAATAGCAGCACAAGCAATGAACAAAGCATAAAGGTGTGTGCAAGCCTGAACTCCAGTCCACAATTGTGCACAAAGTCTGCTAATCCAAGACTGGAACGGGCTGTGCACAAATGAGGCAATTCGGAAGCCAGGAAGAGCATCTGCATGTGCATGCTGTGAATTAGTAAGCAAGCTGCCACTGTGGGTTCCCTCTAATGTCATCTTTTACTTCTATCAGCTTGAAAATACTTCAGAAACCTCTTTGCCCCTGGTCCCATGCCTGATGAATGGCCTGTGATCATCAATGCTATGCTCTGCTTACATCCAGGATATTATTTTAAAATCCTCTGTGTTTCCCACGTTTTTAAATGAAAGAAGTTGCCAGGTTTCAACAGTAGGCACTTGGTAAGCCTGTTTCTAAGATTTCTGGATGAAAAAGACAAATTGTTCTACCAGAGTTCCAAGAAAGAAAGTGATTATTCACATCCTATGAATCTACTTCCATCCATATGCTCCCTCCTTCCCTTTGAAACCTGACCTGCTTACTCTGATACACACATCATACCCACACACAAACCCACACATACTCCTACATGCCTCTCATATTCATGAAACTACCTGGAAGGTTGCTGAGATCCCGGTAATTCAAAATTATATAAAATCTAAGAGAGAAGTCTGTGTGGATGGGTGTCAGTGTTCATATTCATACATAATTGTAGTCATATATATATATATTTAATATATATAATGTTATATTTTGCTATATTAACATACTGTTCATAAATATTTTCCCAAGTTTCTTCCTTGTCCTTATAATTACTGTCCTAGTAACTACTACATAATATTGCAATGGGTTGGTGTATCATATTCATCTTATTTATGGTCTAACTTAAGGCATTTTAATTTTAAATATTTATGATTATTACTAAGGCTATAATGGGCATTTTTGCGTTGCGTGCTGTAGAATGATTTCTCCAGGATACACATCGTAGAGTGGAATTATTGGGGGAAAAGGATATGAAAAATTTTATAGTTCCTAATAATAATTATCATGTTGTTTTCTAAAATAGGTGGTACAAACTTTTTATATCATTAGGGGTGTGAACGTGCCAATTTCACAAGAATTTTCTCAGTAGTAGGCTATGATTTTAATGCATGTTGTTTGTTCTACTAATCTGTTGGGCGTAAAGTATTATAGAAAATTTTCTTAATTTGAAATTTTATGATTGGTAGGAAGCATAAACATTTTTCCAAGAATTTACTTAATGTGATGTAAGTGTTACATTTACTTTTTATGTGATGTACATTGTTTATAGTCTTATATATTTGGTGTCTATGGGTTTTTCTCATAACTTTAATGAATTCTTTAAATGGTGTAGATATTAACCACTTATATGCAATATTAGACATTTGCAGACTGTAATAATTTGCTTTTGTGAAATGTTCTTTACTCAACTCTCGACAAGACCTACTTCTCATCATCATTCAGCTCTCTGTTCCATTACCATTTTTTTAGAGAGAGTAGCCCTGATCTATCTATACATAGTGAAGGGAGAAGAGTGGGTGAGAACAAGACCTTTAGAGCCAGAGTGTCTAGGTCCAGATCTTGGCTTGCCACTTACTGTGTAGCTTTGGGTGACATATGAAATGGGGAAAATGATAATATCCACCCTTTAGGATTGTTGTGAATATTTAAAAAATTGATATAAGCAAAGTGCTTAAAACCATGCTGGCCAAAAGGAAAAACAATAAAAACATAGCTATTTTTATTTAGGAGTATAACGTCAGAGGGCAATGGAACTGAGTTTTTAATCAGTGGAGAAGAGATGAGAAAGTAAGCTCGGACTTTCTTCCCCATCGTTTCCCAGACCTAGCCCTGCTGGTATGGTTCTCTTTGATGCTTCAATAAACATTGATCAAGATCTTCTACATCAAGTGACTATGATAAATTATTGCGTCCTGGGAAAAAATGTTCTTAAAAAATGAGTCCTCCAGAGGCATTGATTTGGGGGATAAAATATAAATATGCATATTAAATAATAGCATGCCACAGTGGAAAGAACATGGATTTTGGAGACTGGTTGACCTGGGATCAGATCCTGTCTCCACCTTGGGCTGGTTGTGCAGCTTTGGTCAAGTTTTTCGATCTTTCTGAGCCTCATCCAGGCCCTACTGGCTTGATAGGAGAGTTAAATAAGTTGACATATGTATGTAGTGCATATGGATCATAGTAGACATTCAATATGCTATAATAATTGTATTAAAAGGAGGGCAGGGGTGATTATTCTTTGAGAAGTGGAATTTCTTTTACTGCCTGATGAAAGAAAAAACCCTGGGGGTTCAGACAACAGATGAGTTTGAACAGATCCTTAAGTGACAAATTTAAGGGTTAGTGAGAGACCTCAGTTGGTATAGCATGACATGAACCTATTTTATGGGCATATGCAGGTATATGGAGAACATGGGATGAAGATCATGTACTTGGAGTGAAGTGGATGGCTGAGGGATAGGAGTGATGGAAAATGAGCTGAAAAGGCAAGGCTGAGCTATAATGGTGAAAGGCCAAGGGGTTACTCTCAGAGATTCATTGCAGTTATTCAGATTCTCCTCACTTTTATGAGATCCTTTGGAACCAGAGAAAAGGGGCATTTGGAAAGCACAGAAAAATTTGCTAGTAGTTAACAAAAAAGATGTTAGCATTGTGCTTTATAATGCACTGAAGAGAGACTGTCTTAATTTATCCATCCCCTGGAACGTGAGGCAAGAATTGTTCCAGAGAAATGCTTTGACACATCCACACACAGGACAACTGTTTGAACTACCTAGATTAGCATCACGTTTGATCAGCAGCATCATCACCTATTATTTATCAAGCCCTTACTCTGTACCAGGCACTCTGCCTAGTGTATTCTGTGCATTACCTCATTCAATCTTCTCAATAGCCCTAAAAGCAAGTGCCAATTTTATTCTCATTTTACAAATAAGCAAACTGAAGCTTAGAGACATTCGATAGCTAGAAAGTGCCGAAGCTACATTTGAACACAGGATTGCCTGTCTCCAAAATCACTACTCTCAGCAGTCTCTGACACTAGCTTTACTATCTCTTTGTACAACTATTATTCGATCACTGCCCTCTCTCCTTTTTTCCCCATGTCCTCAAATGCATTGCATTTTCTTTCTTTCTCTCTCTGCCCTTCTACTCTTGCCCTTGCCCAAGCTTTCATTTATGAACTCAATGTCTCAACGTTTATGGAACACACAGTGTGCCAAGTGCTCTGCTAAGTGATTTTACTTCTCTATGTTATTCTTTCTCCATAATGCCTGACATGTTACTAGAAATGTACTCAATAAATACATGATCTTGTTAGGTGTGGTCTAGTGCCTCAAGGAATTGAATAAATACAGGATATTTTAGCTGAAATTCCAAGAGTTGAGATGCACTCATGCTTGCTTTCCTTCCTCTCCTTCTTTCCCTCCTTCCTCTTTTCTTTCCTTCCACAAATATTTGTTGTATGAATGTCTATATGAAATACTTTGCTAAGTGCTAGGGCTACAATAAAATACGCAGAAAGGCAAATACATTTAATTAAAACACATTTGTGATCCAGGACCAGGCTGCAATGGACATATCCTGGAGGCTGCTGCTCAATACTTGCCCCTCTCTCAATAGTGAGTAATATAGTGCTTGTCACTGCTGCCCTTTAAAACTCCAAACAGAATCAACTATGGACAAGAAGGGCAACCTCAAAGATTAAATAAGGGGGAAAGGGAGGGGGCCTGTGGGTAAATCTCATCCATTCCATTCTATCCAGTGATCAGATATTTTGAAGCAGAGGGCAGGTAAGATCCTGTGGTCATGCTTAAAAATCATGATCTGAGGCCAGGCGTGGTGGCTCACGCCTGTAATCCCAGCACTTTGGGAGGCCGAGATGGGTGGATCACGAGGTCAGGAGATGGAGACCACAGTGAAACCCCGTCTCTACTAAAAATACAAAAAATTAGCTGGGCATGGTGACGGGTACCTATAGTCCCAGCTATTCGAGAGGCTGAGGCAGGAGAATGGCGTGAACCCGGGAGGCGTAGCTTGCAGTGAGCCTAGAGTGCGTCACTGCACTCCAGCCTGGGTGACAGAGCGAGACTCCATCTCAAAAAAAAAAAAAAAAAAAAAAATCATGATCTGAGAGGCAGAGTTGGAGAGGGGGAGCTTTTGGAAAACCATGGGAGCTGGATGAGACAGTTCTGGTGATAAAGCAGTGTCTGAGTGTGTCCAAGTATTATGAAAGAGGCATTTGTGTCTCCCTGAATTTCATATGTTGAAGTCTTAACCCCTAATATGATAGTATTAGGAGGTAGGGTCTTTGGGGGATAATTAGGTTTAGACAATGTTATAAGGGTGGGATTAGTGTCCTTATTAGAAAAGACACCGGAACTTCTCTCTCCACCCTGTGAGGACACAGCGAAAAGGTGGCTGTCTGCAAACCAGGAAGAGAGCCCTCATTAAGAACTGAATCTGCACCAGGTGCGGTGGCTCATGCCTGTAATCCCAGCCCTTTAGGAGGCCGAGGCAGATGGATCACCTGAGGTCAAGAGTTCGAGACCAGCCTGACCAACATGGTGAAACCCCGTCTCTACTAAACATACAAAAATTAGCCAGGCACGGTGGTGGGCGCCTGTAATCCCAGCTACTAGGTGAGGCAGGAGAATCGCTTGAACCCAGGAGGTAGAGGTTGCAGTGAGCCGAGATTGTGGCATTGCACTCCAGCCTGGGCAACAAGAGCAAAACTCTGTCTCAAAAAAACAAACAAAAAAACAAAAAACAAAAAAACTGAATCTGATGGCACTTTGGCTCTTTGATCTTGGACTTCCCAGCCTTCCAAAACTGAGTTATAATTTTTGTTGTTTAGCCATGCAATATATGGTATTTTGTTACAGCAGCCCGAGCTGCCTAAGACACCAAATTTCTCTAACAACATGACTAAACGGCTTCTGTGAATGACTGACAGGAGCAGGCAGCACCCTTTTTTCCTTCTGGATGGGGTGGTAGAAGGATAACAGGATGCCATCCCACCTTGCTCACTTGGGGAGAAACAGTGTTTTCCAAATCAGACATATATATGCGGGGGATTTCTCATGGGGATTAGGCAATGGATCTAAAAAGGTGTTCTCCTCATGCCTGACCTCAGCTTATCCCATGGAGCCCTCTCTATTGTGAATCTGAAGGCTTAGCAAAAACCCTCAGATTCACAGTATTTTCTCAGTAAAGATCTGAACATCTGCAATGAACAGGTTTCTATGTTAGACAAAGTGGATTAATTTTATTATAAACAAAAACCACCTTCAAAAGAGTATTCATTGTTGGTTTTTGATTTTAAAAAGTAGAACCATTTGCACAAGTTCACCGATTCCCAACTGGTTGATTCAATGCATTACAAGAGAGGAACTCAGCAACCCTGGCTCATATTTTATCAGCCATAGCAGGACATAGAGTTTGGATTTGGGGGATCAAGGCACTTTCAATTTCCAGTATCAGATGCTCATTTATTTATTAAATGAACAAATTGAATATGCTTAGCCCCATAGGAAATAGAAATGTTACTTTCTCGTTCTTTGTCACTCATTAATAAATAGTGCACATTTGTGTAACAGTAGGATCAGTGAGTTAGTTTCAGTCTTGTATGTAAGCCATTTCATGGAAGTTTTTCAGTAGTACATTATTGCTTTCACCTTATTTTCAGAGATCTCCTGCGAATATCTGAAATATGGGACTGTTTTATTATGTTAAAAAGTTTAGTTAGCAATGCGGGCTCTTTTTTGGTTCCATATGAACTTTAAAGTAGTTTTTTCCAATTCTGTGAAGAAAGTCATTGGTAGCTTGATGGGGATGGCATTGAATCTATAAATTACCTTGGGCAGTATGGCCATTTTCACGATATTGATTCTTCCTACCCATGAGCATGGAATGTTCTTCCATTTGTTTGTATCCTGTTTTATTTCATTGAACAGTGGTTTGTAGTTCTCCTTGAAGAGGTCCTTCACGTCCCTTGTAAGTTGGATTCCTAGGAATTTTATTCTCTTTGAAGCAGTTGTGAATGGGAGTTCATTCATGATTTGGCTCTCTGTTTGTCTGTTATTGGTGTATAAGAACGCTTGTGATTTTTGTACATTGATTTTGTATCCTGAGACTTTGCTGAAGTTGCTTATCAGCTTAAGGAGATTTTGGGCTGAGACAATGGGGTTTTCTAGATATACAATCATGTCATCATCTGCACACAGGGACAATTTGACTTCCTCTTTTCCTAACTGAATACCCTTTATTTCCTTCTCCTGCCTGATTGCCCTGGCCAGAACTTCCAACACTATGTTGAATCGGAGTGGTGAGAGAGGGCATCCCTGTCTTGTGCCAGTTTTCAAAGGGAATGTTTCCAGTTTTTGCCCATTCAGTACGATATTGGCTGTGGGTTTGTCATAAATAGCTCTTATTAGTTTGAGATATGTCCCATCAATACCTAGTTTATTGAGAGTTTTTAGCATGAAGGGCTGTTGAATTTTGTCGAAGGTCTTTTCTGCATCTATTGAGATAATCATGTGGTTTTTGTCTTTGGTTCTCTTTATATGCTGGATTACATTTATTGATTTGCATATATTGAACCAGCCTTGCATCCCAGGGATGAAGCCCACTTGATCATGGTGGATGAGCTTTTTGATGTACTGCCGGATTTGGTTTGCTAGTATTTTATTGAGGATTTTTGCATCAATGTTCATCAAGGATATTGGTCTAAAATTCTCTTTTTGGTTGTGTCTCTGCCAGGCTTTGGTATCAGGATGATGTTGGCCTCATAAAATGAGTTAGGGAGGATTCCCTCTTTTTCTATTGATTGGAATAGTTTCAGAAGGAATGATACCAGTTCCTCCTTGTACCTCTGGTAGAATTCGGCTGTGAATCCATGTGGTCCTGGACTCTTTTTGGTTGGTAAGCTATTGATTATTGCCACAATTTCAGAGCCTGTTATTGGTCTATTCAGAGATTCAACTTCTTCCTGGTTTAGTCTTGGGAGGGTGTATGTGTCGAGGAATTTATCCATTTCTTCTAGATTTTCTAGTTTATTTGCATAGAGGTGTTTGTAGTATTCTCTGATGGTAGTTTGTATTTCTGTGGGATTGGTGGTGATATCCCATTTATCATTTTCTCTTATGTCTATTTGATTCTTCTCTTTTTTTCTTTTTTATTAGTTTTGCTAGCGGTCTATCAATTTTGTTGATCCTTTCAAAAAACCAGCTCCTGGATTCATTAATTTTTTGAAGGGTTTTTTGTGTCTCTATTTCCTTCAGTTCTGCTCTGATTTTAGTTATTTCTTGCCTTCTGCTAGCTTTTGAATGTGTTTGCTCTTGCTTTTCTAGTTCTTTTAATTGTGATGTTAGGGTGTCAATTTTGGATCTTTCCTGCTCTCTCTTGTTGGCATTTAGTGGTATAAATTTCCCTCTACACACTGCTTTGAATGTGTCCCAGAGATTCTGGTATGTTGTGTCTTTGTTCTCATTGGTTTCAAAGAACATCTTTATTTCTGCCTTCATTTCGTTATGTACCCAGTAGTCATTCAGGTGCATTTGTTTAGTTTCCATGTAGTAAAGCGGTTTTGAGTGAGTTTCTGAATCCTAAGCCAAAAGAACAAAGCTGGAGGCATCACGCTACCTGACTTCAAACTATACTACAAGGCTACAGTAACCAAAACAGCATGGTACTGGTACCAAAACAGAGATATAGATCAATGGAACAGAACAGAGCCCTCAGAAATAACACTGCCTATCTACAACTATCTGATCTTTGACAAACCTGAGAAAAACAAGCAATGGGGAGAGGATTCCCTATTTAATAAATAGTGCTGGGAAAACTGGCTAGCCGTATGTAGAAAGCTGAAACTGGATCCCTTCCTTACACCTTATACAAAAATTAATTCAAGATGGATTAAAGACTTAAACGTTATACCTAAAACCGTAACAATCCTAGAAGAAAACCTAGGCATTACCATTCAGGACATAGGCATGGGCAAGGACTTCATGTCTAAAACACCAAAAGCAATGGCAACAAAAGCCAAAATTGACAAATGGGATCTAATTAAAGAGCTTCTGCACAGCAAAAGAAACTACCATCAGAGTGAACAGGCAACCTACAAAATGGGAGAAAATTTTCGCAACCTACTCATCTGACAAAGGGCTAATATCCAGAATCTACAAAGAACTTCAACAAATTTACAAGAAAAAAACAAACAACCCCATCAAAAAGTGGGCAAAGGACATGAACAGACACTTCTCAAAAGAAGACATTTATGCAGCCAAAAAACACATGAAAAAATGCTCACCATCACTGGCCATCAGAGAAATGCAAATCAAAACCACAATGAAATACCATCTCACACCAGTTAGAATGGCAATCATTAAAAAGTCAGGAAACAACAGGTGCTGGAGAGGATGTGGAGAAATAGGAACACTTTTACACTGTTGGTGGGACTGTAAACTAGTTCAACCCTTGTGGAAGTCAGTGTGGCGATTCCTCAGGGATCTAGAACTAGAAATACCATTTGACCCAGCCATCCCATTTCTGGGTATATACCCAAAGGACTATAAATCATGCTGCTATAAAGAGACATGCACACGTATGTTTATTGCGGCACTATTCACAATAGCAAAGACTTGGAACCAACCCAAATGTCCAACAATGATAGACTGGATTAAGAAAATGTGGCACATATACACCATGGAATACTATGCAGCCATGAAAAATGATGAGTTCATGTCCTTTGTAGGGACATGGATGTAATTGGGAATCATCATTCTCAGTAAACTATTGCAAGGACAAAAAACCAAACACCGCATGTTCTCACTCCTAGGTGGGAATTGAACAATGAGAACACATGGACACAGGAAGGGGAACATCACACTCTGGGGACTGTTGTGGGGTGGGGGAGGGGGGAGGGATAGCATTAGGAGATATACCTAATGCTAAATGAGGAGTTAATGGGTGCAGCACACCAGCATGGCACATGTATACTTATGTAACTAAGCTGCACATTGTGCACATGTACCCTAAAACTTAAAGTATAATAATAATAATAATAAAAGTTTAGTTAGCAGAAAATGCAGTACAACATGCATGTTACACAAGTTTATAGGCTGCCTACATATTAGATATTGAGAATTCCTGGGTAATTTCAGTCTGTAAGTTTGTTTTTCTCAACCACATTATTTATCTTTTATTCTTATCCAGGATGAATGTAAACCTTTTGGGTTTTTCTTCCTCTTATCCATTCACTCAGAAGATATTTACCGAGTACCTATCTATGCCATGCACTCTCTTAGAGAATGGGAATACAGCAGTGAACAAGATAGGTAAGAGTCCTGCTGTTAGGGAACTTAAATTCTAGATTAGTGCTGTCCCACAGACATTAAAAAAAAATTAGATTTTATTTTTGTGGGTACATAGTAGGTGTATCTATTTTTGGGGTACATGAGATGCTTTGATACAGGCATGCAATGTGAAATAGGTACATCATGGGGAATAGGGTAACCATCCCCTCAAGCATTTCTCTTGTGAGTTACAAACAATCTGATTATACTCTTTAAGTTATTTAAAAATGGACAATTAAGTTATTATTGACTATAGTAAACCTATTATGCTATCAAATAGTAGGTCTTATTCATTCTATTTTTTTTTTTTTTGTAGCTGTTAACTACCTCCACCTCCCCCCAAGTCCCTCATTACCCTTCCTAGCCTCTGGAAACTATTCTTCTACTTTCTGTGTCCATGAGTTCAATTGTTTTGATTTTTAGATCCCACAAATAAGTGGGAACATGCAGTGTTTGCCTTTCTGTGCCTGGCTTATTTCACTTAGCATAATGCTCCCCAGTTCCATCCATGTTGCTGCAAATGACTAGATCTCCTTCTTTTTATGGTTGAATAGTACTCCTTTGTGTATATGTACCACATTTTCTTTATCCATTCACCTGTTGATGGACACTTAGATTGCTTTCAAACCTTAGGTATTGAAAGCAGTGCTGTAACAAACACAGGAGTGCAGATATCTCTTTGATATACTGATTTCCTTTCTTTTGTGTGTATACCCAGCAGTATGATTGCTGGATCATATGATATCTCAGTTTTTATTTTTTTCAGGGGCCTCCAAACTATTCTCCAAAGTGGCTGTGCTCATTTACATTCCTACCAACAGTGTACACCGAAGATTCCCTTTTCTCCACATCCTCGCCAGCATTTGTTATTGCCTATCTTTTGAATATAAGCCATTTTAACTGGAATGAGATAATATCTCATTGCAGTTTTGATTTGCATTTCTCTGATGATCAGTGATGTTGAGCACCTTTTCATATGTCTGCCATTTTTATGTCTTCTTTTGAGAAACGTCTATTCAAATCTTTTGACCATTTTTGATTGGATTATTAGACTTTTCCCTATAGAGTTATTTGAGCTCCTTATACATTCTGGCTCTTAATCCCTTGTCAGATAGGTAGTTTGCAGATATTTTCTCCCATTATGTGGGTTGTCTCTTCACTTTGTTGATTGTATCCTTTGTTGTGCAGAAGCGTTTTAACTTGATGTGACCCCATTTGTCCATGTTTGCTTTGGTTTCCTATGCTTGTTTCCATACTCAAGAAATCTTTGCCCAGACCCAAGTCCTGGAGATTTTCAACACTTTTTTTTTTGTGGTAGTTTCATAGTTTGAATTCTTATATTTAAGTCTTTAATCATTTTGACTTTTATTTTTGTATATGGTGATACATAGGGGTCTAGTGTTATTCTTCCAGCAGAAGTTTCTTAGATGATGCAAATGCTCTGATGTGATTAGATTACATTAGGAAATGATTTACTGTTCAATGTAGTATCCTCTAGCCCCATGTGGCCATTGAGCACGTAAGCTGTGGAGAGTGGATAGAATTATTCGACTTCAATACATTTAAATTTAAATAGCCACATGGAACTAATGGCTACTGTATTGGACAACACAGTTTGGTAGGAGAGGCAGACTTTAAAGAAGTAAATGCAAAACCGGCTGGGCACAGTGGCTCACGCCTGTAATCCCAGCACTTTGGGAGGCTGAGTCGGGAGGATCACCTGAGGTCAGGAGTTCGAGACCCGCCTGGCCAACATGGTGAAACCTCGTCTCTACTAAAAATACAAAAATTAGCCAGATGTGGTGGCAAGCACCTGCAATCCCAGCTACTTGGGAGGCTGAAGCAGGAGAATCGCTTGAACTGGGGAGGCGGAAGTTGCAGTGAGCCGAGATCGCACCATCGCACTCTAGCCTGGGGGACAAGAGGTAGAGGGAGGTTGGTTTCAGGGAGGGGTGTCAGGACAGCCTCTACATGAGAAGAAGCCAGACTCATGAGAAGCTGAAGGAAGAGGATTGCAGGCAGAGGAAACAGCAAGTGAAAAGGCTGAGTCTGGGATTTCTCGGAAGTGCACTGAATGCGCTGACAGCTGTCCCTTTCCAGGCCCACATCGAGGCTGAAGGCTTCTACTTTGGGATGGCAAACTTTCTCATCTGGGGGGATCTCTTCTGCCTGGGAGCATGCGTTAGGCTCAAGAGTGACCAAAACGACCCTGCTGAGATCTGCCCCAGGTGAGCTGCCGTCTCTTCTCTGCACAGCAGCTGGTGCGGTAGCTGACCTCATGTCCTAGTGCCTCCAGCCGCATTCTTTTAGTTTCTCATACCCTAGGTATACATAGGCAGCACAGTAGCTGTTTGCTGCCTAACCTAGTTTCTGCATGTAAACCTTTTCTGGTTTTTCTGGGGATATAACTTACTTCCACTCTTTGACTCTTTTGTTTAACCACATTCCAATGCCTGTAACTTTCCTATCTTTCTACCTCCTTCACCCAATTTGTGTCCTCTCATTTGTTCTGCTCACCAGTTCGCAGACTCTTCTCCCTTCAGCATCTCCCACAAGGCATATATGTGTTTCTATTTCTAGTGTTATCTGTCTACAGCACCACAAAGCACTTGAAATACAAGACAACATTTGATATTTGAGATATGGCTGGCCTTATTATTATTATCTCTATCATAGTTATTATCATCACCATCATCCCAATTTTTATAGATGGGAAATAAAAATGAGGCCTAGGGAAATGCAGTGCTTTGCTTTAAGTCACCAGCTGGTAAATAGCCCAGCCACGATGTCTGACTTTGAATTCAATGCTTTTCCAAAATACTCTACCCATCATCCTCATCGTGTTACTTCAGCCTATTGAGCGGGTCAGTAGTTGAACTGCCTTTCAAGTTTGAGAACTTGAGGAACTCAAATAAATTGTTTCTTTTCCCTGTTTGAGAAGCCCTGTAGCTTCTCATTTTTCCGTGCTCACTCCTATGGCCAGAGTTAGTTACAAAGATATTGTATTCTGAATAATTAAGAACATGCTTTGTTATTTTCAAAAATTTTAACTGAAATTAAGATGCCAAAAATATTATCCTGGAGGATTCTAGCGTATCAAAGTATATTTTTTAATAGACTCCTTGAGCTTAAGAAATATTGACTTGTGTTTGTTTATTCTAGTTCACCATCCTGTTTAGAGAAGGCCAACCCTTGCTGCAGCAATCTTGACTAATACCTACCAGCCCCACTATCTCCTATTGTAAATGCAGTTTCCAGAATTTGGAAGAGAGAGTAGGTTCAGGGGGCTAAAGAAATCCTGTGGGAAAGGCAAAAACGGGCCTGTGTAGGTGAGGGCTTCTCAGTTTTTTGCTTTCAAAGCTGGGCTGTGACTGCTCTTTCTTGTCCACATCGGGAGCCTCTGGTTCACAGGAAGAGGGTTTAGGATCATATTAATCTGGGCTGTTGGGCCTTAGGTTGCAGACCTTAAGAATAAAACAAAATGTTTTATACATCTCTCCTAATTCTTTCATAAACATTGAAACTCAAAACCATCTTGGGAGGAAGGCACTCTCCTTTAAGCCCAAGAGGTGGTGCTTTGCATGGTTTACATGTGTGGCCTCTGTAATTCTGACCACCTGGATTTGAAGTCTGACTCTACCCCTTTGCCAGCTACATGACCCTGGGCAAGCTCACCTTTCTGTGCCCCAGTACTGGCATTTAGCAGGTAGAGTTTTTCAATATTAAATGTAGTAATATATGTGAAATACACAAGTAGTTGACAAATGGCAGCTATGATTTTTATCATTCCTGAAAAAGTTATAGATGCTATACAGTGTAGGAATATCACAATCATTTCTTTTTTTCTGAATTGAATTAAATCCAGCATAAGCCCTCATTCACTAAGATTGGCAAAGATGTCCAATATTAGGCAATTGTATGGATCTTCTCGCCTCTTTGAATCCTATACCTACCTCCAGACTTAGCCTAGAAGATGGAGAAGGGCCTGGTCTTCAGTCTGTGCTAGTCCCACTGTTTGCCTGCCATGCTGAGAGCTGGGCCTTTCCCATCTGTCAGGCATTGCCCTGGGGTCCTATCCCTGGCCCAAGGATTCCATGCTGCCATCCCCACTTGAGCCACTACCTTTCCCCATCACACTCTATCACATTCAACTGAAGTCCTGCTCTCTGTGACCATGGAATCCTAAAACCCCAATCTTGGACCCCCAAATGATCTCCTACATGATTAGCACCTTGACCTTCTCTAACTTCAAAACCACACAGCTGCCAATCCCTTCCTGTAGCGCAGGCAGCTTTATCCTCTTGATGAGACTCAACACACTCCAAACAGGCAGCAGAATGCCAAATTCTGCACATTTTATTAGGAAGGTTATGGTAAATATTTGAACTTGAATCCTTTAAGACAGAAATTGGACTCCCCAGTTTGGGCCACAGGCTCGCTACAGAATTATCCAGAATAATTGGCACATTTGTGTTATGACCCCTGTAGGTATTTTAGTTTTTAAATACTAGCATTAAGAAAGCCCTGAGTGGAGGTTTTCTTTAAGCTTCAGTGCTCTAGTTACCCTACATTCTCATGGTAATGCCTGTTTTTAGGTTTCAAGCCACATAAAAAAATTAATTACTTTCCAGGGCAGGGAGTCCAGAACTGCAAACACAAGGCCTGGTTATTTTTCTTATAAGAAGAAAAATAAATATTATCTCATTCTTGTGAATGGCACAGTGAAGGCATAGGACAGAGACACATATTATAAAATAATTTCAATATTAAATTATAAAGCATCCTGATATGTTAATTTTTTACAGAAAAGAAGTCTGAATTATACATTAGTGACTTTCCCCAAATTCCCTGGTAAATAGCAGAGTTTTTAATCCCATATTGCCTCTCTTGGCTGCAGTAATTCTCCAGCAAATGAAGCCCTTAATGATAGATACTTCATTGCTTATAGAATTAATGATAGACATTTTAGTTTGGGCTGTTAGAATCTTGGTACTGAGTTCTGTACCATTCTGTGCATGTCCAGAAAAGAAAACTTTTTTTCGCAGCATCAGGCAATTTATATTTTAATAAGATTATAATAATTCTCTTTTCAGGTAACCCTGCATTGGTGGTTTCTTTTTTTTTTTCTCTCTCTCTTTACTCTTCTGATATTTCCACAGACAGTGATTATTATTGATCTTCTCTGTCACATGCGGATATTTTGTGGTGAGACTCTCAGATTTTTTTTTTTAACTAGAGAATTGTCATGCAGCTTGTATAAATTTTCCATGCTGAATTCCATTAACCCCAAATCCAGGTATGTAAAAACACATTAATTTGTAAGAAGCAAGAAAATTGCATTTTAACTCAAAATCTAGGTCTGAACACCACTGAAATAAAATGTGCTTTAAAAATGAGTTGTTCAGTTGTATGTATGTATCTGGTAAATAACAGATGAGAATGCTTATAATCAGAAATACGTATTACTTCCCTTCAAAATGTTTTATGGAGAAGACCTTTGATCTTTGTCGTTTGTTCTCTGTCTCTGCCTCATCTTTCCCTTTTTTATTCTTTCTACGAATGTGTCTTGATCATATTGTGAAGGTGCTAACAGATTTGAACTTGATTCTGTAGGTAATAAGGAGCCAGCCACTGTTTTAAAGCAAGGACATATGACATCACTAGTCATCAGGGAAATGCCAATTAAAACCACAATGCAATATCACATCGTATCTGTGAGAATGGCTATTATCAAAAAGACAAGATAAGTGTTGGTGAGGATGTGGGGAAAAGGAAACCCTTGCACACTATTCATGAAAATTAAGTTAGTACGGCTATTATGGAAAAGAATATGGAGGTTCCTTAAAGAATTAAAAATAGAACTACTATGTGACCCAACAATCTCACTTCTGCTTAATATATATCCAAAGGACGTGAAATCAGTAAGTGGAAGAGATATCTGCATTCCCATGTTTATTGTAGCACTATTCACAATAGCCAACATATAAAACCAACCTAGGTGTCCACCAATGAATAAATAAAGAAAATGTATTATACTGTATATACACAATGGAGTACTATTAGCCTTAATAAGAAAGAAATCCTGTCATTTGCAACAACATGAAGCTAGAGGGCATTATGTTAAGTAAACCAGACTCATAAAGACAAAAACTGCAGTATCTCACTTATATGTGGAGTGTGAAAAAGTCAAACAGAGAGTAGAATGGTGGTTATCAGAGGCTGTGGGGTGGGGAACTGGAAAGATATTGGTCAAAGGTCACAAAATTTCAGTGAGATAGTAGAAATAAGTTCAAGAGATGCACTGTACATCAGGGTTACTTCTGTTAATCACAACATATTGTATATAGAAATTGCTAAGACAGTAGATTTTAACTATTCTTAACAAAAAAATAAGTATATGTGTTCGTGCATGTGTTAAATAGCTTGATTTAGCTATCTCACAATGTATACATCTATCAAAACATCATGTTGTATACATCACTATATGCTATTTTTATTTGTCAATTAAAAATAAAGAAAATAAAGCAGAGGCATAATATGATAATGTCCTCTTCTTAGGATTGCAATAATATCAATGGCAAACAAACTAGGACTGTTGATTCTCTAGGCTTGGGGACTGGTACCAAGGATAAGAGAAGGGAATAAGGGCAGACATATGAAGAAACCGCAGGTGATAGGACATTGTGAGGTTCATTCATATTGAATACGAAGTGGGGATGTACTGGCAGAGAATGATAACTGAATGAATACTAGGGAATAAATGGTGTCAGCTAATACTCCTCCCACCCCAAACACTGGTGACACACAAACTCTGTCTCTGGTTCTCTCCCCTGAAACTGGTGCTACTTGGAAAAGAGTTTCATTCCAGCTTGTCTGCCCTGGAACTCTTTGTTCTCTGGTTTCCGTGGTTGCAGAATCTAGCAAATTGAACACAGTTCCTACAGAGCACTGAATTGTGGATGTTAAAATTTACGATGGAGCAATTTGGTTGTGCCCTGTTCCTGAAGAAATGGAGACACTTAATTTTTCACGTGCTTCAGTGGCAGCCACTTGTTATGACTTCAGATCAAAAGGTGGTGCAAAGTTAGTTTTGAATTATTTTAACATGTGAAGTCAGAACATTGAGATGATTTATGAAAACAAATGATCTGAGTTGGCACTAATGGGTTTTGAGACTCATTTTTCAGCCATTTATTTTTAATCTCTCTGAATATCTTCGGCTCTGCTGATACCAACACTCACTTCTGAAGCCAACAAGCCGTCTGCTTATAAATACTGAATCAACTGGTAAATCACATTTAATTTGATTTTGTTCATTCCACTCAGCTTCTAAGAAGGTAACATGCCTTTTAGGCTGCACAGACCTTGGTAATCTAAATAGGAACAGACCTGACAAAATCTTAATTAGATGCAGACCAGGGCTAACGTTTGCCACCTGCTGCTGCCAAACTTGTAGGAACCTTTGGAAATAGTGTTGTTCCCAAGGGGCCCTACCCAGACACTGGTGCATTCTGGGGGAAGTAGGGCCTCATGAGCACATTTCCTTTTGAGAAATCTTACAATAAATTCCTTACATGGGTCTCCTTTGTGTTGCTGCTCATTCTTCTGTGTGGGGAATACTCTGGCTAATCACAGGTGAACATAGACACGATTTTCCAGGTACATTTATACTATTTCTCTGATCAAGGGAGTGGAGCTGGAAGAAGTGAAAGAGAAGCAGTACAGTGGTTAAAGATGAACTCTGAGGTGGCAGAGATGGGTCAGATTCCTACCACTGCTTTAAACCAGCTATAGACTCAGCCTAATTTTTAATCTTCAAGCCTCATTATCTTTACTTATAAATTGAGCTTAATATACTGAATTTATTTTATGTCATTATTGTAAAAGTTAAAATAATGTATATAAAGTGCTTAGGCAGTTCCTCACATATTATAAGCACTCTATAATAATGTACATATTATCATGTATTCCTGTCCATGTGAAGATATTTGAGAGGTGACAGAAGGCTCTCTACTTCCAACATTTCTTGTTAGTGCTATTTTAACAATAAAGAGCTTTCCTAAGTTTAAGGAACTAGCATTTAATTATACTGAGTGACATGCAAATATATGCAAATAATGAATTTCTATAGGTAGATACACATTCCTGAGACTGACTTTATTTGAATATAACATGGAATCGCAAAAAGGGGTTTAAAACTTATCAACTCTGGTGTTTTATTTTTTTTTAAGTCACAAAATCGATGTTTGCTGACAGGTATACATATCTTTTTCATTTGAACTCACCCTCAATTCCAAGACTTATATATCACTAAGAGTTTTTTGAAGAGAGAACAAAGAAACATTTCACTGGATGCATATTTTGATTATAAGGTAAATTCTGATTTCATAAACATTAAAATGTGGGGTGAAATCAACTTATAATTGAGAAATGATCTGCCTGCTTAGAAATACTGGTATTTAGTAGATAATAAAAATATGTACCATAAACATGATTCTACAACTCTAAAAAAATTTTGTAACTCGCTTTTATCACTTAATATATCATAGACTTTTGTTCAATTCAATATATATATATAGATCTACCCAACTATAAGAACTACTACTGATAAGTTTATTATATATGTGTACCATGTTGATATGATCATTCTCTTATTAATATTGTTCAATAGGTATTTTAAGCTTTATTGCCATGGACTCCTTTGAGAATCTGTAGACCTTTTCCCAAAACCATTTTCAAAAATCCAAGATTTGTATACATTTTCAACGACTTCGTATTACCCCTGGGGTTCACCCCTAGACCCTTCCACCCTCTGGCCAGCCTAAGATCCTTAGAACCTCCACCTATGGCCAGCCCAAGATCCTTAGAGCCTCTAAACTCTGCAATTATTATCTGCCATAAAGAAACACACATGGAAACAATAATAAACTGTAAAACAGAGCTTTATTTTATGTTGAAATTAAGATCTTAGTTCTAAACATTCCGACTGCAAAATTCTGAATACATTTATTGAATAAATGATATGTCATTTTTGAGGGTTCCTGCTTTGCTGAGCCTGAGCATGTGTTCAGTCTATCTATTCGTTAATATAAAAATAAACTTTATGTGTTAACTAGAAAGCAAAGTCAGTTGCTAAGTGAATTTCATATGAGACATACAAATCAGTATAGACTGCTATTCTAGGGTTTAACTTTCAAATTTTCATTTAGAGTGTCATGTATTTGAAGATATCATTAATAATAGGTAACATTTATTTGATGGCATTATAGCTAATAATAGCTAACATTTATGGAGAACTTGATATGTGTTAGACCCTTTACTAAGTACTTTAAATGCCTTGTCTTATTTGGTCTTCACAACATCCCCAGGAGGTGGGTGATTTTATCAACCTAATTTTACAAATGGAGGAACTGAATTTTATAGAGATGAAACAAGTTACCCAAAGTCAGACATCTAGAACATTCTGGAGCTGGGAAACAGACCTACTACCGCCATGTTTACGGCTTGCCCTCCAGTCATTATACAGATAGGAATTTTCAGATGACAACAATATCAACCTTTTTTTTTGAGATTTAGTTATCAAGTTAGCTGCTCTCCATATGGCCTTAACTTTGCAGATTAAAACAAAAATATGAACAGCATCAAAAAAGAAAAATAAATTCCAAAATTTATCTTCTTGCTTTTAAGTTCAGAGACCTTCAGAAGGAATATTCAGAAGACAGCAATTTACATTTGAGGGATGTCAAATCTCTGAACTCTCAAACTAAATTTTGATGTTAGGAAAGGTGAAACTTCTGGAGGAGTACCACCCATTGGGAAGAGACAGAGACAGGTAGTGGGAACATGGTGGGCTAGCCTGAAGACCCTGCCTTGCATAGAGTGTCTCTCACCTCTGTGGGCCTTAGTTTACTTCCGTAAAATGGCAGGCAGGGAGAAAATCCAATATCCACTCATAGTTCTCAAACTCATATCTCCTCCTACTTATCATTTCTTTTTCTTTTCTTTTTTTAGCCTACCATTTTACAGATAGTTTCTGACAGTTGGTCCTTCATCGCCAATCTCCACTCTGCTTCTCCCTTTGTTTTCTTCCACATTTGTTCAAGGCATTCTCAGGGATGTGTTAGGAAGACACCAGGCTGATTTCTGGCTCGCTTTTTCATTTGTTCTATCTACTCCCCTTGCTCAGAATGTCCTTTTCGCTCCATTCTTGCTATAAAAATCCTATCTATTCTTGTAAATCAGCTAAAGTCTAGTTAGGTCAACCCATTTGGGAGAAATATCTGTGTAGCTTCTGAGATATTGAAAGGAGAAATTTTAGCCCTTGTTGACCTCCCTTCTCTGGAGCTTGTAGAACACAATTAAGCTGAATTCTACTGAGTTTATTGCACTCCTGTTTCATATGTGATTGTCTTATTCCTAAGAAGATTACAAAATTGTTAAGCCAGGGCCATGTTTTGTTCTTATAACACCCACATAACATGGTTAGAAGCTACGACGGTCTCACTCAATGAAATATACATGCCTGGCTATGTTTATTTTACACTGTCCATATTTTAGCTTTTATACCTTTATGTCTCATATGAGAAGTTCGAAAAAGATCTCTCTGAATATACAACTCAGGAAATTTTAAGGAGTATGCTTTTTCTCTGAGTAAGTGTGTGTCCGTGTACATATATAAGTATATACAGGTTGAAAAGCCACTCATTCAAACAAACCTTTAATCTCCTTTGTATATTTGCAATATAACAAATGGTCTTCAGTTTTTTTTCATGAAACCCATCTAAATTTCATTGTGCAAGGAGAAAAAGAAGACAAGGGGGCAACCATTCAGAAAGATTCTGAAAGGTCAGTTTCAGAATTTTCACTTGAATTTCAGTGCTGGGTTTACTGCCCATTGGAAGAAGGGGTCCAGTTCCTAATGTGTGTTTGTCTGCATCCCAGGAGTTTTTATTTACTTAAGCTGCTTTCTTTGCTAATGGTGATTCATTTAGCTTAATCCTTGTCAAACCACTGGAGATATAATTGAAATGTAAATTTTCTTCCTTTATTCCTCTTTTACCTGTGGGGAGAAAGGCTGGGAAAGGACAACATAGTTTCTCCCCAACACCTAATGCTGAAAACAAACAAGACAATAAGCTCCCCTCCCGCTTTTCCCCTTCCTTTCCTTCCTTTTCATGCCTTTCTCTCCATTCCCTTCCCTTCTTTTCCCCTCTCTTGTCTTCATTTTCTTTTCTTTATTTTATTAATAAGGCACACAGTCACATTTCTTGTATATTAAATAACTCAGATCAAAGAGATTAGGTAACAGCCTTTGGCATTTGATTTAAGCTCTCAGTGGCTTTTCCATTTCATGGAAACAGTAATACTTAGAAGTTTACTGCACTTTGAGTATCCCTTGGCCCTTTGAACCTAAGGAAAAGGATCCCTGGATTAGGAGATGAGTTACTCTTATAGGTTACAACTTCTTATACTCTTATAGGTTGCCAACTTCAGCTTTGCCCATGTAAGGAAAAAAGAGGTACGTCACAAGGCTGCCAGTCACTTATGAGTTTTCAGGGTGTTCCCTGCTTAATGGCATTCAGCTGAAGAGTTAAAAAGGGAGGAAATCCAGCCTATTGCTCCATGTGCAGCCACTGCTTCCTAGTAGGAGGGCATGGAAACCAAGTCAGGTAGGGGTGAGACCTTTACCTTTCTATAGCTCTAGAGCAATTCCTGCTCATCTGGGTGTTGCTCCAGAATATAATCTTAGGCGATGTAGGATCAGAATCAATGAGCCTTTCTTGAAATCTGGAGTCTTCTGGGATGAATTGTAACAGGGAAAAAAGGTATAAAATAAAACACTCTAGCCATCAAAGATATTGAATATGCCTGGTGCCTGGTGCTATAGTAGAGTCTGGGCAGACAGAGATAAATTAAATATAACCAAGGTATGCTCTCTCCAGAAACTCACAGCTCAGTGGATGGTGCAATAACTGATGAATAGAAGACTGTCTAAAGAACTTCACAGAGGACATAATATTTGAGCTGAACCTCAAAGAATAGGCAGGAGTTTGCTAGGTGGAGAAAGAGGTGAAGGAAAATATTACAGCTTTAACTTTTCAAGTATGCACAATTCTCTGTATTTCCCTTTGTCTAACTTCCTAGGAAAGGTATTATTTTCTAGGAAGGTCTTTTGAGCCAAAGCCCTCCTTGTTAAAGTGTGCTCCAAGAACACCTGCTCACCTGCTCAGAATCACATAGAATGCTTTTAATTAATTAATTTTTATTTATTTATTTATGTTTTTAGAGATAGGGTCTTGCTCTGCCACACAGGCTGGAGCACAGTGGTGCAATCATAGTTCACTGCAGCCTTGAAGTCTTGGGTTCAAGTGTTCCTCTTCTCTCAGCCTCTAGAGTAGCTGGGACTACAGGCATATGGCACCACACCCGGCTAATTTTTTTTTTTTTTTTTTTTTTTTGTAGAGACGAGATCTCACTGTGTTGTTCAGCCTGGCCTCAAATTCCTGATGTTAAATGATCCTGCAGCCTTGGCCTCCCAAAGTGCTGGGATTATAGGCATGAGCCACTTTGCCTGACCGCCTAGGCTGTGTTTTAAAATGCAGAGGCTTAGGCCCTGTTGAAGACCAACTAAAATGGAATTTATAGGGATTGGACATAGGCATTTGCAGAAACACAAAGGTGGTGAGAGGTTTAAGCTATTTCCATTTTTTAAAGCTATTGTCATATTGAAATTGAGGAAATGCCACCAACAGAGGAAACAAAACTGACTTTTAATGTGCTTATATTTATTGAACTCATATATTTATTGAATGATAGTATATGGAATTTCAGTTGGTGATAGTTCAAAGTTAACATTCGAGGCCTTTTGTAAAGGTAAGATCCTGGGGCAGAAGGTACACTAAATGTCTGCTCCTCTTCCCCATTGGCCCTGTTAGTAAATTCCACAAAAGTACTGTCTCAGTCCTTTCAGGCTACCAAACCACAATGCCACAAACTGGGGGCTTATAAATGCATAAATTAATTTCTCACAGTTTGGGAGGATGGGAAGTCCAAGATCAAGGTGCCAGCAGATTTGATGTTTGGTGAAGACCTACTGACTGGTTCATAGAAGGCTGTCTTCTCACTGCACCCTCAGATGGTAGAAGGAACTAATGAGCTCCTTTGGGCCTCTTTTATAAAGTCACTAATCCCTTTCATGAGAACTCTGCCTCCCATAGGCCCTACCTCCCAGTTCTGTCACCTTGAGGGCCAGGATTTCCCCATATGAGTATAGGGGGTGGATATAAACTATCTGACCATAACAGGTGTCCTGTGCAGCTTATCAAATACTAATCTGCAGACCCACATTTGGGACTTGCTGTCTAGCTGCCTACTCTGAGTACACAGAGGGCACTGAGGCTCAGAAGGTTCAGAAAGTTGCCACTCCCTTATTTTTCAAATGAGAAAAGACTGACGACGCAGTCATACCCAATACATACTTACTGCATCGGAAATTACATTTCTCCAGGTGCCTACTGTGCCCTGTCTCTATAGGACTGATTATAAATGGAACAGCCTCCCAGAATGTTTCTCACAGTTTAGGTTACAAGTTCTGTTCATTATAAACACTTCAGAATGTTTTCTGTAGAATCATTTCCACTCAACACTTGTCAGATAGTGGCATGAAGTGGTAGAAACTCTTCAGTGGAGCCAAATTGTCCTAAGTAGGTCATCATTAACCCTCTCTTTTGAAGAGAATGGCCATATCAGTCATGAATTAAAGTCACAGACAGATTGAAAGGGGAGTTTTGGGGATTTTTACATTGCACTGCCATTGCTTCTTATTATACTAATAAGAAGTTTGCTGTGTGTGTTATCACAGTAAGTTATAACTGCTTTTTAATCCGTTACATGCAATTTTCATGCTTCTATCTCTAGAACAATGATTTCAAGTGGGGGCAATATGACCCCTCCAACACTTGGCAGTATCTGGAGACATTTTTGGTTGTCATAACTGGGGATGGGGTGCTATTAGCATCTAGTAGGCAGAAGCCAGGGATGCGGCTAACCATGCTACCTTGCACCTTACAACCTCCAATGACAAAGAATTGTTTGGCCCCAAATGTCAATAGGGCCAAAGCTAAAAAAACCCTGATATAGAATCAGGATTCTTTATCTAGGGGTCTTATTCTAGAGTCTAGAAGTCAATGGATGTGCCCCTCCGAAAACTTGTGCAAAGCCTTGTGTAAATGTGCATTTTCTGGTAGAGAAGATCTGTGATTTTAATCTGATTCTCAAATTCCTCAAAGGTGACAAATCACAAAACTTCTGTCCTTGCCCTGGTCCATACCCAGAATGTCTTCCCCAGTGATTTTTGGAACCATATCCCTTACCTTCAATGAAAACCTAGTTAGCATTACTGTGTAAATGTGAACAGATAAAAAGCGTGACCATCATTCTTTTTTTTTAAATTATACTTTAAGTTCTGGGATACATATACAGAATGTGCAGGTTTGTTACATAGGTATACACGTGCCATGGTGGTTTGCTGCACCCATCAACCCATCATCTACATTAGGTATTTTGGTATTTCTCCTAATGCTATCCCTCCCCTAGCCTCCTACCCCCCAAGAGGCCCCAGTGTGTGATGTTCCCTGCCCTGTGTCCATGTGTTCTCATTTTTCAACTTCCACTTATGAGTGAGAACATGCGGTGTTTGATTTTCTGTTCCTGTGTTAGTTTGCTGAGAATGATGGCTTCCAGCTTCATCCATGTCCCTGCAAAAGACATGAATTCATCCCTTTTTTTTTTTTTGAGATGGAATCTCGCTCTGTTGCCCAGGCTGGAGTGCAGTGGGGTGATCTCAGCTCACTGCAACCTCTGCCTCCCGGGTTCAAGCGATTCTTCTGCCTCAGCCTCCCAAGTAGCTGGGACTACAGGTGCACACCACCACGCCCAGCTAATTTTTGTATTTTTAGTAGAGATGGGCTTTCACCATATTGGCCAGGCTGCTCTCAAACTCCTGAGCTCGTGATCCACCCACCTTTGCCTCCCAAAGTGCTGGGATTACAGGCGTGAGCCACAGCGCCCAGCCAAACTCATCCTTTTTTATGGCTGCATAGTATTCCATGGTATATATGTGCCACATTTTTTTATTCAGTATCATTGATGGGCATTTGGGTTGGTTCCAACTCTTTGCTATTGTGAACATGGCTGCAATAAACACATGTGTACCTCTGTCTTTTTTTTTATTTTTTTTGGAAGTTTTTATTATTATTATTATTATACTTTAAGTTTTAGGGTACATGTGCACAATGTGCAGGTTAGTTACGTATGTATACATGTGCCATGCTGGTGTGCTGCACCCACTAACTCGTCATCTAGCATTAGGTATATCTCCCAATGCTATCCCTCCCCCCTCCCCCGACCCCACAACAGTCCCCAGAGTGTGATGTTCCCCTTCCTGTGTCCATGTGTTCTCATTGTTCAATTCCCACCTATGAGTGAGAATCTGCGGTGTTTGGTTTTTTGTTCTTGCGATAGTTTACTGAGAATGATGATTTCCAATTTCATCCATGTCCCTACAAAGGACATGAACACCTCTGTCTTTATAGTAGAATGATTTATAATCATTTGGGTGTATACCTAGTAATGGGATTGCTGGGTCAAATGGTATTTCTGGTTCTAGATTGTTGGGGATGTTATAAGATAGACAGTGTTTTTGTGGAAATATTTAACCTCTTGTGGTCTTCCACAAAAAGACCATCTGTCTTATAACAACCCCTTTCACTCTCAACTGTGTCCTGGTCCTGGTTTGAATGATAAGTTGCAAAGTAACGATTCAGATGTATTATGTCCACTTCAAGTCTCCATGATTTCAGGAATTCCTCACTGCTGAGGCATAAACTCTGTGTTTCAAAAATAAATTCTTTCATGAAAATATACAAATATACAGAACCCCTTCGTTGCTTACTACCACCTCAGGCTATGCAATCCTTTTGGGGTATAGAAGGAGAAAAGACTGTATGACAAGTGCCACAATTATGTTAAATATTTTACTCAGGATATCTTTATGTACTAAAAACAGATAACATTTAGAAATCTCATTATGGATACAAAACACTTGCCAAATTAGGGTGTGTTCTCATCACAATCTGTGGCCTATATAGCTAAAAAAGTCCCATAAAATATTCAAAATATATGTAAAGTCTGGTCCCAAGAGAGTCACGTTTTATATATTTTACTTTGTTGTTATGAGGCTGGTGTTATTTTGTGTGTGTGTGTGTGTGTGTGTGTGTGTGTGTGTGTGTGTGATATATTTATCTAGCACTTGTTTCTGGGGAAGTCACTTAACATTTCTCCAAATCCAGGAAAATAATTCTGTAAAATGTGGTAACTGTAATCAGTTTACTCTAAAGTGCCTTCCAATCTAGAATTCCATGCTTGTTCATTAATTCATCCATTCACTCATTCACTCAGTGATCTCTTCAAACTACTAGAGCAACTGCTCTCACGTAGGCTCTCTGCATGGCACTGTAGGTACAGAAATGAGAATTACCCTTTTAGACCCCAAGAATTTCAGGGCCCAGTAGGCAAAGTTGATATCCAGGTTGCCATGGGTGTATGGAGCTGAATCCCTAGCATAGCTGGAGGAAAAAGAGAAGATAGGTGATGCAGATATGGAGAGGAAGATATGTTCATTTACTATTTGAATATAATTCAGTAACGAATTCCTCTGGAAATGTGATAGATCCTCCTCTAGATATAAACTCTGTTCTGGCAGGAAATCACCTCTTCCTTTTGGATCTCTGGTATTAAGAGTGGTAGAGTGGGGTGACTAATGACAGAGGCTTTGCTATTAGCTCTGGGTTTGAATCTCAGCTTTAGGGCTTACTATAACGTTTTAGGTAAGAACGATCACTACCTTGAGGTTCTAAGTTTCCTCATCTGTGGACTGGGAATAGTAATATAATTATTGGTAATTATTTTAAAGGGTTATTTAAATTGATTGAAGAAAATGATGTGTGAAAATCACCTGGCACCTAGTAAGTACTCCTTAAAAGTTAGTTTAGGGTGTTGGTGGATGTGGTTGTCATAATTGAAAGAGCATAGGCAGTACCGTCTGACACACTTGAGCTGAAACCCAAGCCCTGCCACTGGCTAGGGGTATGATAGCAGGCAAATGACTTCATCAGCCCAGCCTCAGCTTCCTTATCAGTGTAATGAGAATAATAATACACACCACGGAGAGTTCTTGCAATGATTTAAGAAGATGGTGTATGTAAAGTGATTGGCACATAATAACAGCTACTTTGGAAGTCATTTCTCTTTCCCTAAGTTCTTTCCATTTGTTTTACGTTGTTCCTCCACTGAAAACTTCTATACGGCCTCTCATTTGGCCACTCATTTGTTCTTTGAAGAAAATGGTTTTATATGCCAGGCACGGTGGCTCATGCCTGTAATCCCAGCACTTCAGGAGGCAGATCACTTGAGGTCAGGAGTTCGAGACCAGCCTGGCCAACACAGTGAAACCCAATCTCTACTAAAAATACAAAAATTAGCCAGACATGGTGGCAGGCACCTGTAATCCCAGTTACTCTGGAGGCTGAGGCATGAGAATCATTTGAACCTGGGATGTAGAGGCTGCAGTGAGCCAAGATCGCGCCACTGCACTCCAGACTGGGTGACAGAGGAGGACTCTGTCTCAATTTTTTTTTAAGTGTTTTTTGTATGTGTGTGTGTGCTAAAGTGAATCCATATCTCAAAGGCAGTCTTCAGGGAGGCAAGGACCAATATTGTATCTGATTTATCTCATCACCGTCCTTCTGCTTATGGTGGCCCCATTTTAGTGACTGGAGCTCTCTAACCAGGCATAGATGCTCTCTGCACCTGCCTCTTACTGTTTTTTTTTGTGACAGATTCTCCCCTAGGATATGAATATGTGATAAGTTCAAATGATCTCTGCTCCAGGAACATCAGAGTCAAACTGGAAAGGAGGGAGTTTTCAGGGAGAACAATTGCCTCTGGAGAGGATGGGTGCTGGAGTGTAGGAAATTGGTGCTAAATCGCCTAGTCTCATTTCATTCTCATCTCACATGTGTATGTCAGGATCTGTGTCCCCAGTGTGACACCTCCCAGAGATCAACAGTTACTGCTGGGAGAGCCACTGTCTTTTCCCTTGTCTTCTGCCTCTTTGAACCTCTTTCCTGGCATACATTCCCTGCAACTAGTGGTACTGCTGTTATGATAAATGTGCTATCTATTGTTCTCAAATTTTGGGTAGTAGTCAAGGGATAATGCAGGTTGATGGGCTTTATTTAGTTTGGTGGTGACATATTTATTTTATTCAATTCAGTTTTTTTTGTGTAATTTAGTTCTATAGTTAAAGGGACTTTTTAATGTTTGTTAGATGGTTGCATTCTTAAGTCCTTTGTTCTCAGACATTTGATTTCCTATGGTCACTTTTGGAATGAAAATAATATCCTAAAAACATAAGCAACAAAATCATGGTCCAAACCAAATTCAAGCCCCTTCTATGCTTTTGAATCCAGGCATTTTGCATGCAATGACTAGGCGAAGGTACGGCTCTGGTGGCACGGTCAAGCTTCTGCACCTGCAATTCTTGAATCTAAGCCACAATTGCTGATGTTCCACTGGAAAGGACACACGCTAGAAAGGAGTGTTAGAAAAAAAAAGTTACTTTTCATTTTTTTGTTTTCTCTCTACCTCAGTGAGTGTACTTGGATGAATTGAAAATAGGTGGGCAATGCTGAACATATATTGTAGTCCACTGAGTTCCAGAAAGCTGAACAGAACAACAAGCGAGCATGACTCCACAGGTTATCACATCGAAGTAGATCCAATCGCATTTTATCGTACTAGATTCTGAAAAATAAAGTGGGACTTATTAATGTGTAACTACATAGTCATTACATATTTGTGCTCTGTAACATACATAATTAGAGTTATACTGACTGTTTAATTTATGGTTGGTAGGCACAGTTAAGGCTGTTCAGATAACCATGTACTGCAATTATGTAGTAATTGCTATTCTTTGAGTAAAAGTAGTAACCAATAATGTGAAAACTGGCAAGTAATTGCCTTATAATTATTTTGGGAAAGGAATTGTTCCAAGTAAAACAACAGAAGATAAACAGATGAATCTTTCATTTGATAGGTGATGCTAGCTAGTTATCAGAAGCTCTGCAGTCATATTGAGACAGGTTCCATGCTATTTTTTTCTGTTCTTTTTTTACTTTAAGCAATCTGGGTAGTAGGTTGATTTCATAGAACCTAAATGAATCCTACTTATGGCTGTTTTAGTAATTATCATTAGAGATTGCTTTCAAAATGGGGTGCAAGTTAATACAGAGCAGAGCAAATCCTCATTTTTTTTTTTTTGCTTTTATATCTCTCTTATTTCTTTGATGACAAGTTACCGTTGCTACAAGCAGAGAAGTGAGCTTATCTATCCTGGAAGCCTTTCAATTTGTTATTTTTAATAATTTCCAGGACAAATCTTTTTATACTTAAACTTTCTTGTTGTGAGATATTCTTTCTAGAAGAGGGCTTAAAAGATTTCCCTTGGAGATATTCTGATTTGCCATAGCTAATATTTTATTTTGTACTGGAGTGGGTTTGGTAGAAAAAAATAATTCATTTATACAGTCAAGTCCTCTAAACGGTCTTACGTTATACAATTGTGAAACTTATTTAAATAATATTTATTTATTTATTCAATCACTCTTCTAATTAGATCAATAGGGAACTTTGTGTTCTCAAGTTAGTAAAAGAGAGAGAGAAAGAGAGAGAGACGGTTGTAAACTAATTAAGCACATGTTGCTTGAACATTTTTTCTTACTTGCTTCCTATTCCCATTTGAAATTCAGGTAACCTAATTACATGCATCTTCAGGAACAAAACCAATAGGGATCAATACTCTTTATTTGTTGCTTGAGGTTACTTTAGCCTGTTGTTTTCTTGAGAAATCCTTGTGTTTCAGGTAATGGCAAAGGCAGTGGGATGTGAATAGCAATTAGACAGAATGCTGAATTTTCTCATGATTCAAATGAACGTGCCAAGTTGCAATCAATGGACAACTCAGTAAAGGATTAGAGTTTGTGGAGCAGGTGAAGGTATATTAGAGAACTTATTTATTTATTATTTGTTATAAAGACCTTAGCCTATCTGTGTGTACCAAGTTGAACAATTTTCAGATTTACTATTAAGTAGAAAAGACTGGTGAAGAAATGTGTGACTATTATTCTGCCATTGGTGTAAAAATTGTGAGCTATTTATTTATGCTTGTTTATATAAACATTAGTGCTAGAAAGATACTCAAGAAACTGGTAGCAAAGTTTGCCCTTGGGAGGAGATCATGGGGTTGAGATGGGAGGAGATACACTTTTTAATGTTTTATTTATTTACTTTTTACATTTGCATATTTTGCCTCCTTGGAATGTACACTCATACATATGTACATATTTACCTAGATTAGAAGATTACCTGATACCAAGAAATGCTCAGTAAAAATGTGTTATTATGGTTGCTGTTAGTCATCAAAAAGCTGGCCTATGACAAAAACTATGATAACACCTGCAATCTCAAGTACACTGTCAAAGATATGCCTGCTAGAAATTACTGATGCTCTGAAAACTCCTCTTCAGAGTCTTGTTGATCTGTGGATCCCAAAGAGGGATGTAAGGATATTAAATAGCCAACCACTGATGTTTGCACCATACATTACATATGCAAGCCTTTTCTCCCCTGACATCCTTTGCTATCATTTTTTGCTGTAAAGACAGCATAAAGTTGTGATCAGTTCCCATCAATTCCAATAACTTTTCTAAGATAGTGAATTGGGAGAATAAGGAGTTTGGAATTCCAAAACCTGGAGTAATGACCCAGCTCAGCCATTTGCTAACTCTATGTTTGCAGGCAATCTATGAAGCTTCAAGATGCTGCTATGCCTGTGACCCTCTTCTACGGAGCCCTGAGGTGGTCTTTTAAGCATAATCCCTGGGGTCTGCACTATGTGTCCAGAAAAAAACAATACTGCTATCCTAGTCACAAATGACCAAGTAGGCATGCAAACCAAGATCAGCCATATATGAGCTGGCTGTGAAGGAAACCAATCACCTCAAAGGCTACTCAACAAAAGTCGGTGGCATGATAGGGCCACTCAGATGGATGATGCCGATCAGATCCAATCAGACTCTCACTTGTAGGAAGTGGAATTGCTCACAAAATGTGCAGAGAGAGTGGATCCTTTTAGCCCTGGCCATATTGAGCAGAAATCTGAGAAAACCACTTTGGCAATGTCTAGCTGGCTCATGGCCTCTGCCTCCCTAAGAGGCAGGGCTATTAGAGGAGGGGTCAGCTCATGACCTCTGCCTCCCTAAGAGGAGGGCTATTAGCCCAGAATCAGGAGCCCAATCACAGTTCCTTACCCACATTCACACACACTCTTGGACCCAGCAATCCTGTCTATCCTGTGTGGCCTTGCCTCACTGGTCATAGCTGATGAGACCAGTAATAGATAGCCGACTTAAATTCCCTACCTTGAATTTAGAATTAGCCACTTGAACTTCAGACAGGTAAATTATGGATTTGGGGGAAGGGTGGGTGTAGAGCTGTGCAAACAAGCAGGCTGGCCAAGAGCAAAGAATGAAGCAGGTTTGGAAAGAGTGAAGCAGGAGTGGTGGCATGGATTTCGGAGGCTTTCTCATTCTTGGTTCCAGTTTCTAGATATGGGTTATGTGAGATTCCTTTGTACCCTTAACATTGTACGTTAAAATAGTTTTCCTTTTTCTTTTTAACTTATATTTTATTAAGGGAATTTCCATGATTTACAACCAAGAGAACCATGAATAAGAGATTTATCTTTCTATGCCTCTCAGTTTCAGAAATACTGAGACCTGGAGTAAGATTGTGTGTCCCCAAGGAGGTCACAACTTATAGCTCCACTATTTCTTGCCAAATATCCCACTCAGGAGAGTAATCTGTATCTTTCCCCCCATACTCTAGAATTGTTTTATTTTTAATTCTTTCATTTATTTTTTTTTTCTTTTTCAACTTTTATTTCAGAATCAGGGGATTCATGTGCAGGTTTGTTACAAAGATACATTGTGGGATGCTGAAGTTTGGGGTTTTTCAGCCCTTGCTTCCCTCCTTCTCTCCCTCATCTAGTAGCCCCAGTGTTTATTGTTTCCAACTTTTTGTCCATGAGTACCTGATGTTTAGTTCCCAATTATAATTGAGAACATGCAGTATTCAGTTTTCTGTTCTTGCCTTAAATTCTGAAATATTAAACTCTTCTGATACGTTCTAACATCTGTAGAATGGGAATAATAATGCTAACTCCCCCACTCAGGAGCTATTATAAAGATTTAAAAAAGGGATCGTTATTCTGTTTTTGAACTCCTGTGTGTTCTCAGCAGTCAGCGTAAGTAAGTTGCACTCCCTTGTAGAGGAGCCCATGAACAATAATTAAGCGAGAGTAACTCCTGCATATGATAAGCATAATTTTGGTCCCTTTGACCTTTGTACCTGGTGTTACACTCATAAATATGTTACATTACATGACAGAAGGGAATTTGCAGGTGAAATTAAAATTATTAGTCAGTTGACCTTAAAACAGGGAGATAATTCTGGATTATCTAGATAGGCCCAGCATAATTACATAAGCCCTTAAAAGCAGGAGAGAAAGTCAGAGAGGTGGGAGTCAGAAAAATATGAAGGGTGAGAAGGACTCAGCGCAACATTGCTGGTTTCAGGATGGAGAGAGACATGGGAAAAGGAATGTGGGTGGTATTTAGGAGCAGATTGTGGCCCTTGATTGACAGCCAGCAAGGAAACAGGAAACTCAGACCAGTAGCCACAAGAAGTAGAATTCTGCTAATTATCTAAATGAACTTGGAATCAAGTTGTCTCCCAAAACCTTTAGATAAAAAAGCCCAGCCCAGACAACACCTTCATTTTGACCTTCTGAGACTCAGAGTAGAGAACCCAGCTAAGCTACACTGGACCTGGAGTTCTGACCCATGCAAACTAGGAGCTAATAACTGGGTGTTGTTTTAAGTCAGTGAGTTTCTGGTGATTAGTTACTGCAGGGATAGGAAACTAATACACTGTCCTAGGCATAGTGCCAAGTCCTTTACAGTCATTCCACTGTAATCATCAAGAGGCCTTAGGAAGTACGGAGGTCTGTATCAGTTAGAAAGGAGGAAATCAAGGCTCAGATACGCTAATTCGTTCAAAATAATAGAGTTTAGTAATTGGCAAATCCAGAACTCGAACCCAGATTTATCTGTAAGAGGCTCAAACCAATGTTGTTTACCAAATAAGGTGTCAAATTTTGGCCAACTGAAAATGAGGACTGCCTCATCATCCTGGTGAGTCTCATGAACCATTATGCCAGGTATATAATTCATCTTATCTCCTTTCTGCTTGCTTTGTGTGAGAGAGAAAAGGAGCCAGACAGCAGCTCTGCACCTGCAGAAAGTGGCTGCACTGCCCCATAGGACCGATTTAGCCTCAGTCAGCCCGTCACAGCCTGGCTCCCATTCCCTTGGCAACCTGAGCTCTGTGTCACAGTCAAGGCTCTGAAGCATGAAATGGGGTTTTGTGCTGAAGCCTGAGAGACATGGTGCATGTAGCCTGGTTTGGCTATTCACCCTCTACTGTTTGTTTTTAGAGATGAAATAGCACAGGCATGGAAAAGGTCTCCCAGGTCCTCCGTATGAGATGGCAGCCAGCGGTGGAGGCAGGAATACAAATAAGATGAAGTAGGGCGGCTCTCTGAACCCCAACCTGTAGTCAACACGTAATATGCAGTGGTCATTCTTGTTATTATTACATCCCTATTACTATATGATTATTTAAGGGGCATGGAGACAGCTCCCTGACTCCAGAATGGATTGAGTCACAATTAAGGAATCTTTCCATTCTTTAAGACTAATGTCCTATAAAAATTTGTTTTTTTACCTTCATCATTGATCTCTTGACACCTCTGAAATACACATTGTTATAAGGAAATAGCAAGTAGTTTAAAAGATGTTAGGGATTTTCATTCAATCTAAATCTAATCTCCTTAGTAAGGAGAATTTGTGATTCATGCTTTAATACAGCATTTCCCAGGTGTAAAATGAGTACCATTGAAGGAAGTGTATGTGAGATGATTTTAAGTGATTCATGGGTGAACATATAATTTTAATAGTTATGTATTTTTAATAGGACTTATAAGAAAACATATGTAGTATATTAAGTGCATGATTTCTAATGAGGCTAAAGTTGGTAGGAGGTAAAAATAATGTGTCAATGAAAAAGAAAATAGTAAGTAGATAATGATCTACTTAATGTTAATATTAAAATACTTAACACTAAGTACATAATAGTAACATATGGGGGTACAAAGATAGGGAGAGAATATGAAGGCAGTTTGTGGGTGCTGGGAATCTGGGAATCTCTGCTTTAATGTGACTTCTCAGTTCATCAGATCGTTTCCAAAGAGGACATTAGAATAAGAGTAGAGAGAGGATCCTGATCCCCTGAGGAATAAAATGAGTACCAGTAGCTGTGAATGTCGTGGCAGCTAAGGAGGGGGTAGAAGGGGTAGAAAGTATAAAAAGCTCCTGACAGAGAAACTTGCGATCATTTGGATCAAGCGTGAATGCCTTCAAAGTTTTTCCTAGTTCTACCTAGACTGAAGGATAAATGAGTGTGATTTCTGTTGGCCTAAAAGAGTGACTATGGTTTCCAAAATAGCTTTGCCTGAAAGCAGACTGTGCACTGAGAGATTCCTTTATTTATTTTTTGATGGCAGAATTTACTTTGGCTCCACCTGAAAGAACAATACTCTTTACACAATGTTGGTGCCAGAAGGGACCGGATCAACTTCATCATTTTACAGATGAGAATCTTGGAGCATGGAAAAGTTAAATGATTTTTCCAAGGTCTCACAGATAACTAATGCCAAGGCACATAGCAGTTGTTTATAAAGGAAAGAATCTGCTACTAATCTTTAGGCATATATTTAGGGAAAAGGTGTTGCAAAGATTTTTATTTGTGGGAATATAAATTGCTTTTATGCAGCAATAAGGATCTGGGTGAGCTGGCTAATGACCTGTAACCACTCCCTTGCTTGCTGGAGTCACTTCCATTGTATTTCAGAAACAAATATCTTTTCAAGAAAATACAGAGTTGCTTAAAAGCTATAGGGGATTCCATTACTCCATTAACCATCAATCACAGTCCTAATATTAGGTTGGTGCAAAAGTTATTGCCGTTTTTACCATTAAAGTAATGGCAAAAACCACATTACTTTTGCACCAACCTATAATAAAAATGAGACCAGTCCATTTCCTCATGGATGCCATCATCTCAGAAACAAAGATGGAGATAATTCTGTTGGAGTTAAGTCTCTGGTTCTGGCTACTCCCACACCTCTCCCTTTCGTTTGGTGACATGAACTTCTAAGTTCTCCCTTTAAAGTCTAAGATCTAAGTTTGGGTGGTTTTTGCCACCTGAAATCCAGAATTCCTGCCTCACTCTGCTTCAACAAAGATGGGCGTACTAACCTTATATCTATTCTTCCCTTTATCTAAATTCTTTATATATTGTACTTTCATTTTAGGTTTTTGAGATCTTTCTGGAAATGCACTTTTTTCAAGTATAATTTGGGAAATAATGATTTTAACGGTCTATCATAAAGGAAATTGTCCCTGTTTGGTCATTTCTACCATGATGGAGAGGCAGGTCATTCAAGACTGTTTTGGGATTTGAGAGCCAAACATTAACTTACCGTGAAACTTTGCCCAAATGACAACCTCTCAGAGCTTCTGTGTCTCTCTTGTAAGATGAGTATGTGTTATCTGTTTCTCACACATTCCCACCAGGGAGGACTTCAAAATGTTCCACGTTCCTGGACACCATGCACAACGACAAGAAGCAGCTGATTCTGTATATCACTAAGTAGAAATGATTAATGAATGCCATTGCAATTGAAGACATTATCTTTAGGTTAGGTTCTGTGGCACTGATGTTCATGGAAAAACTCTAAGAAAATTAACACTGTGGTGAGGGCTTGAAATTCATCTTGGATGCTGTCTTTTTAATTTAGATCTAAGAAATACTTGATCAAAAACACTTCTGTTCCTTTCTCCTGTTATGCCATTTATGGGATAGCTGCTGGGTAAGAGCTGCAACTTACTATTAATGAATAATTAACATTCTACTTAATAACCTGTAGCCTTCTCTTGCCTCTTCTCCCTCTAGCTGTCAGTGGGTTCTCAACCTTATGCTCTGTTTAACCACACCCCTTCTCAATTTTTTTACTCTGTTATCAAAGCAAGAAGGAATAAAGAATAGGGGATTGGACATGTCTATCTGCTTGACAGGTTAAGGATTAGGCCAGTCTTACATGTTGGACACAAACAGGAAGGGTCGGGAGGTTGCTCATTCATTCAATTGCTGCAGTGTTGAGATTAAAATCCTGGAGTTAGACTGTTTCAGTTTATATGCAATTTCTAAATAAGTGAATTTGGAAAATTTGTGTAACCCCTCTGTGCTTCTTTTTTTTTTTTTGTCTACAAATGTGAATAACAGTGGTACCCATCTTATAAAAGTTTTGTAAGGATTCAGTTAGAAAATGTATACCCTATGGTGGTTTCAGAGTAAGCTTCCAATAAAAGTTGGCTATTCATTCATTTATTTGTTAATTCATTTAGCAACAACTTATTAATTGCCTATTTATGCCAGTCACTGTACGAAGGAGGATGCAAACATACACGGAAGATAGTGTTTTCTTTAGAGGCTCATCATTTGGATAAGGGTGGGACTGCCAATTCCATAAGCTGGTAATCATAATATAATGGTGGATGTTTTTGTTCACAGCTATACCATGATATGTTACAAGGTTCCATGAGAGTTTAGGGAAGAAGCCTGATTCAGCCAAGTCTTTACAGAGGAGGCAACTCCTCACCTGTGCCAAATCCTGAAGGGTGAAGAGGTACTGACTGGACAAGGTGGACATGCCAGGCAGAGAAACTGTATGTCTAAAGGCTTGGTGATGGGAGGCAAGGTCTGTGTGATTATAACAGTTGAATGTATGAGGCCTGGCCAGGGAGTAGTAAGAAAAACAAGACAGAAATATGGAAATGCCAGATAATGAAATACCATGGCAGGCCCTTTGGAGGGCTGTTAGCCCAGAATCAGGAGCCTGTGAAGAGCTGTAAGAGTAGAAGGGTGACAGCTTTATTTCATTTTTTTGCCACTGAAGAGAGGAGTTGGGCAAATATAGTATAGAGCCAATGAACCCAGTTAGAAGGGTTATAATAATCTGGGGTAGTCTAAACTTACTAATAATGGGAACAGAGGACAAGGGACAGATTTAAGAAAAATTGAAGACAGAATGGGAGAATTTGGTGTGAATGATGGAATGTGGGATGTCAAGAGTTAAAAACAACTCTGAAATCCTGGCTTAGGCAGCTGGGTAGATGGTGGTGCCACCAACCGAAATATTTGACAGACAGGAAGCAGGACTGGCTTTAAAGAGAGGATGGAGGCTCATATGTTAAATTTCATGGTCTCCTGACTCTTGATCTTGCCCTACTTTCTCCCATGAAATAGACTGGTTGTGATTTTGATAGTGATATGATGCAAATGAAGGACCCTGCTATGAGGGGTGGTAAGCAAGACATGGGTGTCAAGTACAGTGATCCTAAGTTAATTAAATTAACTCTCTGTGCAGAAATAAAATCTTTATTTTGTCCAAAAAATTTTCCATCAATTTTCAGCTTGTGAAAATAGTATATGTTCATTATAAAAAGAATAAAAGACTAATCCAGTATTGGAGAAAATGAAGGCCATCCTGTAATCCCACTATCTAGAGATAACTACACTTGTGTTTTTGGTCTATATCCTTCCAAGCCACTTGTGATGCACACCTAGTTCCTGAGTGTCTTCTGCTGCTCATTATTTTTTACGTGATATGTCATCTACAGCTCAGCATATAGGTCTGTTTATAGATCTTTGTCATTCTTTTTAATAGATGAGAGAAATCTTGTATAAATATCATCAGGAAAAATATTCCAGATGTGAAGTTACTGGCATAGGCATTTACAAATGGCAAATCACATCTTCCTGTTTGATTGATATTTAATAATTGGTAAGATGAGGTTAGTTAGCCCATGTGATTACATTGCTAATTGGAAGAATATATGTTTTCATTTCCTATGGCTTCTGTAGCAAATGAGCCACAGGCGTCATGGCTTAAAACAGCACAAATGTATTATCGTACAGTTCTGAAGATCTTTGGCTCCTAGCTGCATCACTGCAGTTTCTGTTTCAGTCACCACATCAAGTTCTCCCTTATATGAACCTCTTGCCTCTATGTACAGACCATTATGATTATATTGACAGCCCATCTGGATAATCCAGGAGAATATCCCATTTCAAGTCCTTACTTTGTTTGCAGTGCCTCTTTTGCTATGTAAGGCAACATATTCACAGGTTTTCTGTGTTAGAATTTGGACGTCTTTGTGGGGGCCATTATTCGGCCTATCACCTGACAAATATTTCAAAAATAAAATGCCAAATTTTCAGTAAAAAAGATTAATATTAGAAGCACCATCTAAACTGGAACCTGTACCATCCTATTGCTTTGAAAGAGATGACAAGGAATGATGTTTGATGCATTCTTCTAGGTACTCTGGGATGAAGTAGAGATGATAACCTCGGTCTCTGAAGACATTTAGATCTAGCATTACTAGGGGAAGGCGACAGTGAGGTTGGATAGCAAGGTTTATATTTGAAATGACAGAAAGATTCACGAGGTGACATAGTATCATCTGCTAAATGTTGTGATGCAGGCTAAATGGGAGGTAGCAGGTGAAAGAATTCAGGTTTCTTTAGAAAGCTAACTTTTTTGATAGAGTGAGATCTCACTCAAACTTTTAGTTTGTCATGATTACTAATAGAGGTAGTGTTTTCCTGTCCCTAGTAGAAAGGAAAGCAGAGCAGTACTGGACAATAACCTCTTTGACTTTTATTTCTTTCAATACTCTGTGGCCAATCTTGTGGCCTTTTGCATACTCCTAAGAAATGAAAATGGCTACTTTTTTTTTTCCTGATAAAGTACTACTAAGCTAACATGCATGATATGCCTGTAGCTCTCATTACCACAACATCTTTTCTCTGCTGTGTTTTTCACTGAAGTTTAGAACTACAGGTTTGTTTCAGTTCCATTTTCTTAGCTTCTACTCAGCAAAAAGTAGCATATGACTTCTCCTTCCCAGGGATTTTCACTTTGGGACTGCTGTTGTCTCCCGGTCCACACTGCCTTTTACATTGTTCCCCAGCAATTATGCATTTATTGCAACATCTCTTAGGTCAGTTGTGTGGCTAACTCTAATGCTAGTTAATTCTTGGCAAAGGGATTGACCACATACAGGTGAACGAGCCATGGTCTGCATAGGGAAGGCCTTCATTCTGAATCTCAAGGTTTATTGCTTTCCAGGACATGGTCTTCTGTGCTCAGCTCTTTGAGAAGAGACATATTATGAAGAGATACTACCATAACCTTTTACTAGCAAACTGGTTGGAATAGCTCATGCTCTCTGGCAAGTGTCTTACCTTCTTGATGTCTACACCAATCTGCTAGTAGTCTCTCCCAAAATATATTTCCTTTTTTCTATTATAATAGAATTTCAGTTGAACAACTGGAGCCTATAATCATACATATCTCTGCAGATAAGTGTGAATATGTGATCTAGTTCTCATCTATGAAATATAAAAACATGAGAAAAAGTCATGTCCCTGAAAGGAAGATGCTTGACCTGGAATTCCTGTGTTTCTCCCCTCCTGTGATCTGGGACATGGGTATGATAATGCCATATTGACCCTGCAGAAGAGGACAGTATTCCAGGTGATGCTGGAAATACCAGATGGGTGGAACCTGAGTACTTGAAAGGTTCATGGAGTAGAACTGCCCCTGCTGTTGTATGAGAGAAAATTCTTTCTCATTTCAGCAACTATATTTATGTGTCTTTTTGTTCCAGAGGGCTTTGCCTTGGTGTTCCCATTTGAAAATGGAGAGGTGAGAAACCAAGATGTGCTTCCTAGGACCAATATTCTAGGACCGTCACATCAAACTCCTTCCCTTCCTTCCCTGCCTCCCTTCCTTCCTTCCTTCCTTTCTTTTTTGTCTCGCTCTGTTGCCCAGGCTGGAGTGCAGTGGTGTGATCTCAGCTCACTGCAACCTCCGCCTCCTGGGTTCAAGTGATTCTCCTGCCTCAGCCTCCTGAGGCAGGAGAATTCCTAGCTTGAATTACAGGCACGAGCCGCTAAATCTGGCTGATTTTTTGTACTTTTAGTAGAGACGGGGTTTCACCATGTTGGCTAGGCTGGTCTTGAACTCCTGAGCTCAAGTGATTGGTCCGCCTCGACCTCCCAAAGTGCAAACTTTTTTTTCTTAATAAAATCTTCCTCATTCAGAGTCATGTCTACCTTTTTTTCCATTTTCTTATTATACATCCTTTTTCCTTCTGTTGTGATATCTGGGTCTCAATACTTTTCTTTTCGTTTATGATTTAGTTTCCTGCTGGTTGATAATTAACTCATTATAGATATATGTCCAAGGGTATTCATTGTATACTTTATTTATGAAAGGTATAGTCTTTATCAAAAAGAAATATACTGAATAATGTGTAATAATATGGACAAAATGTTACAATCTCGGTAGTTGGTCTAATAATTCCTTTGTAGAGAGAGATAGACTTTGCTGAGAAAATGATTTGATAAGACCTCCACTGGAGAGAAATGAGTTTCTGGATTCCAGGTATGAGTCTGGACCCAGGTTTCACACAAAAATTGGAGGCTACTCTGTGTCATAAAATAATTTGATGATGGAGGAGAGAATTTTGGTTCAAATAAGGGAAAGGACGGGGTGAGAAAAATTAAAGACTGATTTACAGAGCAGCCAGAGATTCTTGAGAGAAGCGTCATATGTCATATTTTTCCAAGTGAAATGCAATATATAGTAGGATATGAATCCTTCCTGTGAGTCCTAGATTTCCAGTTAGAAAAAAGGATCCAACAATATTCTTGGACTGTTTGGCTTTCTAATGGAAACTGATTAAAGGGCTTTGTCATGTTTTAAGGATGGTAGGATATTGAAAGTTATAAACTGGGAATCAATCTCATTGGCTGCGATCACTAACACTGTAAAGATGAGAACTGGTGAATGCTCTGGCATGACTGCAGTGCCACACCCCTTGTGCCATTCATAATTGAGCAGTCTTTCTGTTGGCCATTCAAGATTACAGAAGAAACCCAGCGGACTATTCCTTATTGCAGGCTTGGGTGTACATATCTACGCATTCAGACTTGGGATAACACTGGATGAGGAGGTGGTGTTTTAGGGATTGTTTCTCTATTTTATCAAACTCATTTCCTACCCCATTTCCTCCAACAGGTCTGCAATTATAGCTCTCCAATGCTGGCCATCCTTCATGGAGCCCTTCTCTGTTCAAGGAGAAACATCCCCTATTGGACTGTCTCTCTTTTTACTTTCTCTTGGGGTTCCTTGATCATCTTAACTATAACATTTTCAAATACATATTAATAGAGGTCCTGGATACAGCATACATGAGTCAAGTGGCTGGATATCAGGCTATAAGGAATGGAGTGGACAGTGGCAAACTGGTAAATTTATATCCTGGCTCAAGGGCAGCTGAGACTCAGCTCTAGCTAATTGCTGCCAGACATGAAAGTTGGCTAGAGTAGCCAGATCTGATATTCAACAGAACACACAAATTAGGAACTGCATGTGACACTTATTAATTTTATTACATTATACAATTAAAGAAAATGCCTCTCTGGGGCCAGAGTCAGTCCACAGACCAGCAGTTTATGACCCTTTGTTTAACCCTCTCTTCTCCAAACTTACCCAATCTGCTACATACATTTAAAACTCTGGGTTGAAGAGGGGAGAAGAGAAGCCCTCCCTAAATTTAAGCTTCTGAGAAGATTATTTAAAAATCCATCAGCCAAGAATGACATCCTGCTGACAAGTCTTCTGCAGGCTGTTGTGCTAAATGTGTCATTTCAGGTTCACTAAGTTCTCAGACCCAGGAGTGACTAGGGACATGGAAAAGAGAGCAGTGATAATCAAACTCTCCATCCCTCCACATCTGGTAAACCTCCCTTTCCACAATGCCATGATTTTGTGCAATTAGGTAGGTAATTATCTGTTGCATCTCTTTTTCAATCTTATATACTTTGTTTTCCTGTAACTTCCTTCCATTCCAAGTAAGGGAAAGCATGAATGTATGTGTTGTGTGTGTCCTTGTCCTTTCATATACATAGATATCATAACTTGAAATTGGTCAGAAGGGGACGTTAATTATAAGAAAACAAAGGAACTTAAACACTTAGCAGATATTCAGATTTCCATGCATGGTTTGGGATTTTAAGGAGGTTTTCCTGAATTTCAAAGAACACAGCCTTCCCTCCTTCTGTGCTCTCCCTCTTTTTCCCCAGGGAAAGGAAGACTACTAGCCTGGAGGTTGGGGTAGGAAGGTATATTTAGAATTGCAGGAAAAATCTGTAGTGAAAAGTAATAGAAGAACTTACAGCTATGAAATTCCAGACACAGAGATGAAATTAGACTAATATGTATATGAATAAGGTGGTGTATATTGCCAGATAATATACCAAATGTAGTTTCTTGCTTTGTCAGGTCATTGATAAGTAGTTTACAGGATTTGAATCAATACTATTTTTTATTTCTTCTAAAGATGCTAGATCATATTCTCTTACTCTACTGAAATGTCGTATCTAGCTAGTTGAAGAGTGGTTTTCATTTCTATAATAAAATTCTGGAAATAATTACTTAGTTTCAGATGTGTGCAATATGTTAAGGCCAATATGCAGGGCTACTTCTTTTTTGAACAGTTTTGGAATCCAACTTTATTAAGTATGTCATTTCTATGCCTTTGTTATATTCTTGTGTAATTTAAATAAGATGTTTAAAGTGCATTAAAATCATCTCACATGTGTCATCAATGGCAGGTTAACTTCATTAGATTAGCCCTAGTCAAGGCAACAGAATAGACTTGTGTTTTTCAATTATTCAAGTAAACAGCTAATGTACCAGGCATGGATTGAGCTGAACCAACGTGTTATTTGGCCTCTTCTCTCTGCTTCACTGCATATAGACAGATGGTTGTTTTGTATTAAATGACTTTTTACAATGCATTAATCTTATGCTAACATTCGTCATAGGAGAAAATGCAAGCATCCGTGAAATGGGATTTGGCGATATTAATTGTGGCCTTTCTCTTAGATGCCTTGGCTTCAGAGTGAATATTCATTTACAACTCATGGAGAAAGGGATGCATCCTGGAATACTGACGTTTGGCAATTGTCAGATGAACTTTCTGCTTTCAGCATATTTTGTGCTCAAAAGTAGATTCTTTTTATTATGAAATGTTTGAGGCAGGTATATGCCTTTTACGACTACCCATGTCTTCCTTCTCTCCTGCCCATAAGGTTTTCCCATTTTTATGCCTGCTCTTTGGCCTAACTCCCCACATGTTCCCATGGATGACAAGAAAGATATGAGAGGGAGTCTCTTTTCATATTTAGGCTGTGTTTACACATTGGGTTAGACTTTGGATAAAGATTGGAGGATTAGTAAATAGATATTTCACGTACTAGAAGAAGAGGGGCTTACTTGAAATGGGTTTAGAATTGTAATAAGATGAATTTAGGTGTCCTATAAATAAGCTTTGTGACTATAGGGACTGTGAGAGAACAGAGTGCATTACTGATGGAGGGTTTGGGAGTTACTTTTGGAGGATATCTTTAAGAATATCATTATAATAGATTAAAGACAAGGAGTTCATTTGGGAGCTTGGGGGCATGTTCCAGTCCTAAATATGGTTGTTATTTTATTTTCAAAGGTAACATCTTCAACAAGTTTTCAGACAGGTTTCTTTGTATGGGTATGACAGAAAATATATAATTATTCACTCTTTCTTTTAAATTAAAGTTTCACAAAGATGGCCTTTGCAAACACACCAAATAAGATCATCCATGCCTTTTTCTTTTTAGTTGGCATTTGATGTTGAGAATTTTAGCTAGGCTGAGTCAGTAGTTATTGTTTCAAATATTTATCACTGACTTGAGAAACATATTTATAAAAGTTATATTCAAATAAAGCAAAATGTAAATAAAAGAATAAACCAAACATCCATGTATTTCCAACACTTACATGTATTGTATTGTAAATGTAGTCTATATTTTTAATTTTTTTCATTTTCCTTACATACATACTCTGGTATAGACGGCAGTATGCTGGTTTTATACATATATGCAGTTGCAAGTGTGGTTTCCTCTGCCGAGATTCTATACCTAAAAAATATTCTACACTTATGGTTCTATACCTAGAAAACCCCATAGTCTCTGACCAAAGGGTCCTATAAATGATAAATAACTTTGGTAAAGTTTCAGGCTACAAAATAAATATACAAAAATCAGTTACATTTCTTTACACCAATAATGTCCAAGCTGAGAGTAAAATCAAGAGTACAATCCCATTCACAACAGCCACAAAAAGAATAAAATACCTAGGAATACAGCTTACCAAGGAGGTAAATGATATTTACAATGAGAGTTACAAAACACCACTGAAAAAAACCAGAGACAGCACAAACAAATGGAAAAACATTCCATGCTCATGGATAAGAAGAATCAATATTTTTAAAATGGCTACACTGCTCAAAGTAATTTACAGATTCAATGCTATTTATATCAAACTATGAATGCCATTTTTTACAGAATTAGAGAAGACTATTTTGAAATTCACTTGGAACTGAAAAGGAGCCTAACTAGCCATAGCAATTCTAAGTAAAAAGAACAAAGCCAGATGCATCACACTACTCAACTTCAAACTACATTATGAGGCTCCAGTTACCAAAACAGCATGGTACTGGTACAAAACCAGACACATAGATCAATGGAACAGGTTACAGAACAACTATATGATCTTCAACAAAGTCAACAACAACAAGCAATGGGGGAAAGACTCCCTATTCAATAAATGATGCTGGGATAACTGACTAGCCATATGCAGAAGATCGAAACTGGACTACTTCCTTGCACCATATAAAAATCAACTCAAAATGGATTAAAGACTTAAATGAAAACCTAAAACTACAAAAACCCCAGAAGAAAACTTAGGAAATACCATTCTAGACATAGGCCTTGGCAAAGATTTCATGACAAAGTCTCCACAAACAATTGTAACAGAAACAAAAATAGACAAGTGAGACCCCAGAGTTTCTGCACAGCAAAAGAAACTATCAACAGAGTAAACAGACAACCTATAGAATGGGATAAGACATTTGCAAACTATGCATCTGATAAAGGTCTAATATCCTGAATCTATAAGAAACTTAAACAAATTAACAAGGAAAAAACAAGCAACCCCATTAAAAAATGAGCAAAGGACACGAACAGACACTTTTCAAAAGAAGACATACAAGCATATGAAAAAAAAGTTCAACATCAGTAACCATCAGAGAAATGCAAATCAAAACCACAATGAGATACCGTCTCACACCACTCAGAATGACTATTATTAAAAAGTCAAAAAATAACAGATATTGGCAAGGTTGTGGAGAAAAGAGAACATTTATACACTGCTGGTGGGAATGTAAATTAGTTCAGCCACTGCAGAAAGCAGTGTATTAGGCTGTTCTTGCATTGCTATAAGGAAATACCTGAGACTGGGCAATATTTAAAGAAAAGAGGTTTTTGGCTCAAGGCTCTGCAGGCTTGGAAGCATAGGGCTGGCATCTGCTTGGCTTCTAGGGAGGCCTCAGGAAGTTTACAATCATGATGGAAGGCAAAGGGGGAGTAGGCATGTCACATGGCAAAAGCAGAAGCAAGTGAGAAAGAGTGGAGGGGGGAGGTGCCACACACTTTTGAACCACCAGATCTCGTGTGAACTCAGAGCAGGAGCTCACTTATCACCAATGGGATGGCCCAAGCCATTCATAAGAGATCCATCCCCATGATTCAAACACCTCTCACCAGTCCCCACCTCCAGCATTGGAAATGACAATTCAACATGAGATTTGGGTAAGGACATATGTTCAAACCATCTCAAGAAGTTTGGAGATTTATCAAAGAATCTAAAAGATAACTACCATTTGACCCAGCAATTCCATTATTGGGTACATACCTAAAGGAATATAAATAATTCTTCTAAGAAGCCACATGCACCCATATGTTCATTGCAGCACTATTTACAATAGCAAAGATATGGAATCAACCTAGGTTCCCATCAACAGTGGACTGGATGAAAGAAGATGTTTATATACATACATACATACATACATACATACATATGATGGAATACTATGCAGCCCTAAAAATTGAAATCATGCCTTTTGCAGCAACATGGATGTAGCTGAGGCCATTATGCTAAGTAAATTAATACAGGAACAGAAAATCAAATACTACATATTCTCACTTATACGTGGGAGTTAAACACTGAGTACACATGGAACCAAAGATCGGAATAATAGACATAGGTTCTTACTTGAAGGATGAGCATGTGGGAAGAGGGTGAAGGTACTCTTTAGTCACTTCCTGGGTGACTAAATCATTTGTACACAAAACCCCAGCAATACGCAATTTACTCAGGTAATAAACCTGCACATGCACCCCTGAACCTAAAATAAAACTTGAAAAAAGATTTTAAAATATAAGAATAAAAAGAAATAAGCTCAGACATCAGCACCTCCAGGAAGGCTCCCTGGATTCTATGCCCCTCGCCTCTGACACCATACTTAGGATCCTCTTATTGAGCTCACTATAGTTAGTTGTTCCATACTCAGTATTGAATGAATGAATATGGAATAGAAACATCACCTTTCTCCCATATTATATGATAAACTACAAGAAAACTGGAAATTTGTTTTATTCATATCCACATACCTAGCCACCAGCACCATGCCTGACATGTAGTAGATGCTCAATAGCCAAGTAGTGAATGAATGACCATTTGTCCTTGAGGAGGTGAAGTTTTTATTTAAAGCATCTCTGGATCCACTGCGAGGTTCTGGATGTTCATCTCTTTTACTTCAGCATTTACTTAAGCTCTTATTTGGAGGTGCATTGAGTTATTCATTCTTCCTGGATCAAGAAAACAAGACCATGGCAGTAATGTCACCACTAAATTCTCATATTGCTTTGCCCAACTTGTGCATTTTTCACATGCTATTCCAAATATTGTTTCCTTTCTATTCAAAGCACCCACAATCCTCTGGTAGGGAGCTTCACGTTGGTTTTCCTAATCTGCTCTGGCAAAATAGTTTTGGCACTTAACTTCTACTCATTTCTTTCCTTACTGTTACCTCTGCAGAGAAGCAGAAACCTGCAAATTCACTGTCTGCAGATAAATGGGGCCATTTCACCTTCCCTGGTACCTCACAGGTAAGTTTGAAAAGAGCAGAAGACGCATAGTTGAAGGGGACCTAGGGACTCTCTTAAATGATAAATGACGATTTAGAAAATTGCCCACCTTAGCTGTAAACTGTACTTACTGGGCAAGTTGAGGAATTAAACTGTCATCTTTCATCCTGTAGAGCTGACATTTCTCTGCGTCAGAGCTGCCATTTTGACCTTTCTTTTCACATTTTGTTGAGTTATTCACTCCCTGGCTCAGCTTTTTTGATTTGAAATATTCAGATCTACCTTTTTCACGGGATGGATCTCTTGTTTTCTCCCTAGTCTTTTCTCATGCCACTGAACTGCATCATATGTTAATAAGCTTTTTACTGTGCTAAATTGCTTTGTTTCTGTAGCTGATTTGAAGGCAAAAAGGCCCTAGAGGGTGAAGGAAAAAAAAAAAAAGAAACATTCTAAAGTAATTAGAATGATTACAGCAGCTGAAAACATTGCTTTCCTAAAACTGCAATATTTTTTCAGGAGATTTTTTTTTTTCTTTTACAAAAGCCCATGAGGTACTAGGATTAGTGTTTGCAAAGCAAATGGTGGCTGGTAGTTTTTCATTATAGAGACGAATGAGAGTCATACATTGGAAATTTTAAAATGCATTATCATGACCAGCCATAGGCTTATCTTGCTCATCCTTTATTTGGTTTCAGTTATGTCCTTTGCCTTCATGACCATCTGAGCCGAGGCTTAGCAGGCATTTCTGATGGGTTTGAAACACTTCGTTAAAAACCAATATTATAAAAAATACGTAAGAATCTATTCATTAAAAATGGTGAGTTGTAGACATCTTTTTGATCAGAAAAACCACAACAGTAAATGTGGCAGCTATGAATTAACACTTACAAATAGATGATTTCCCCCAGTGAAATATTAGTCTTTGTGCAATGGAATAAATAGCAGTTTTTTTCCTGAGGAAAAGCTGAACTTAATTTTCAAGATGAGTGGGAGTCATTGAAATGGGAGAGGATTTAAGATGGTGAGTTAATATATTTTATGCTCTTCTCTCATGCAGATCAGGTAGCAAGTGATGGAGCATTTCTACGTGTATCCAAACCTTTGCAAAATGGGTTGCCATCATTTCCTTGTAATGGATAGACAAAGTCCAGGCACTTCTTTGGCACCCTTATAGCTTTGAAAAGCTGGTAAGGGGATAGAACTGGAGGCTAAGGAAGAAGTGGGAAAGGAGCTTCGTCATTCTGTGTTTTAAATCCTTTCTCTGTTGTCTTCATCAGACATCTGACCAAAACGACAGCACTGTTGGCATTGCTGCTGAAATATACTAATACCTTACAATGAAGTTTTCAAAATAAATACATTTTTTCTAAGTAACTTTAACATAAAATTTTATTTATTTTTTCATTATAGCGAAATAAAATTTTATTTATTATAACATTGTTTTATTACATCTTCCAAAGTACATTACCTATTTTGCTACCATTTTAAAACAAAATATAGTAAACATAATTTAACCTCTTTCTGATGACTCAAGATAAATTTTACAAATATTCTATTGTTCCGTATTCATCATTAATGTTTGCACTATTATTTCTTTAATGTAGAGACCAAATGCTACAAAACAAATGAACTGTTGTGGTAATATTGGACAATTTTTAGGGTCTTATTTCTGGCTTCTAGCTTTTGTTTCCTAATGATGGTCACTTGGCTATTCTTTAAAGTTTTAGGATGGATAAGTAGGTAATTAAGAGTATAAAATAGCATGTAAGGAAGAGTCAATATAATCTGTAGGATGACCCCTTTCATGTAATGAAGTGCATACATTTTGTGATATTTATTTTGGATGTTTAGAAGCTCGTTCCCTTTTGGACTCACTGTTGGAAGTCTGACATTCAAATAAGTGGGACATTATGGCCTGTATTTTGGCTAAAGGGGATAATGTCTGCAGCTGGAATAAACAATCAGCAAAGTCATAAATCATAATTTCCTTCACACTTCATTGTAAGATAATAATATATGAGCGAAAACTATTTTCCTCTATTATAGCTGTCACTAAAGGAAAATTTCCATTCAGGCTATAACCTCTCAATAAAATATAAGGCACAAAAATTCAGAAAAATATATTTTTGTTTACTCGTAGATGCTGATGACTTCAGTGAAGATAGCATTGTTGCATAATGTCCACAAATCATTGATAATAAAAATATAACCAAGAACATGACATATGCATTTGTTACTTGTATTTTTATATTTAATTTTAAATAGTCTTCAGTAACATGCTTGGGGCCAAGCCATGGGGATTTATTTTTCATGTCCTTCACATCCACTTCTACTTCTTCTGAGTGGTTTCTTCATTGACAGTGGGTGGAAGGGACCAAATATGGACCATATTTCTTTTTCACATGAAATATTTTCCCCCAGATGTTGCTTCATTGTCACTCCATTACTATAGGACAATTTTCTTTGCTTCCCCTTCTCACAATAGAAAATATGGCCACTATAAGCTTTCAAGTTCATGTATTACTTGTCCAGCCATCTGGAAAGACTGAGTCAACTCTTGGTTCCAATCCCAAATTTGCAAAAATGTATATGTCTGCCTCTGGACCAATAAACTGCTTTGTAAGTAGGGCTCATGCTGCACAGATATGTTGGTCCCATTCAAATCATTTAAGAGTATGTGTGTCTTGTGGGGAGGAGGGGTGGTCCCTTAAAAAAAGAAGTGGTTCCTTACCACTTCCTTTTTGGCCTAACAGGACCTAATATTAACGTCTATTTTTAAAAGGCATCAAGATTGCCTTTTAAAAGTTTCACATGCCATCTACTCTTCATTAAAAATATTCATGGTAGAGAGTGAGGCTGAGCTATCTAGTAATCATTGCTTGGGATTTAAAATATTGTTCTTATGTTTTTCATGTAAGCTTGTTGCCACTCAGAGATATTATTTCCAGAAATGTGTAAAGACAGGATATGATAAAACAGATACGTGTATTAGATTGGCAGAAAAACTAAGTTAAGAGCAAGGCAAATAATCTTTAATCTCTTCTTTTCTACAGAGCTCAATAACTATTGACTTGCCCTCTCAGTTGATTGGAAAGGGCCCTCTGTTGTGAACTGAGTGTAGCTAGGGTGTGTACTTCATGCCTTCCGAATGGCAGCTCCATCACTAAAGCATCCCAGTTGCACAGTAACCAATTCCAGGGAACCCCAAATACTTTCATAAAGTTAGTAGCAAGAGGAGTTTCTTGAGATTTCTAGGCATTGTCAAAATACTGATGATTGGTCATTTAAGACTGGTATATTTTTTAGGTAGTTATTGACCACTCTATGGGTAGTACTGTGGATAGTACTGTGGTACTATGGTCACATTTGTTCTCTCTTTCTCTCTCTTTCATTTGTACAGTTCCTACTTTAGACTCTGTATATGCTCATGACTGTGCAGTCCATTGTAAATACTCAATACATATTTACTAAGTGAACAAATATGTATGTCTGCAATGACAGGGAACACATTTCCATCTTTTTATATTCCCTGAATTTCTTAGCTTAATGCACTGCTTATAAGAGACGCTTAGTTAATGCATGTAGGTGAAGAAAAAAAGAATGAAAATTGGCACATTCCAGAGTGCTTTGATGGTTTATTTGGTAAAACAAAAAAACAAACAAAACAAAAAAAACAGCCATTCCTCAAAGACTCAGAACTAACAATAACAACTCAGGCTCCATCAGTCTGAATGTGCTAATGCACATGAGAGTACTTGGTAAGCTTTAAAGTGGTATTATTGTTGTTGTAAAAGACAACTCCAGGCTCACCCAACTAAAATAGCTTACATCTGTAGAGCCCTTTACCAATTACAAAGCACTTTTTTTTTTTGAGACACAATCCTCCTCTGTTGGGGTACAGTGCAGTGGCTGGTTCATGGCTCACTGCAGCCTCAGTCTCCCAGGCTCAAGAGATCCTCCCACCCCAGCTTCCCAAGTAGCTGTGACTACAGGCATGCGCCACCTCACCAGGCTAATTTAATTTTTTTTTTTTTTTTTTTTTGAGAGACAGAGTCTCACTTTGTTGCCGAGGCTGCTCTTGAACTCCTGGGCTCAAGTGATCTTCTGCTTCAGACTCCCAAAATGTTGGGATTACAGGCATGAGCCACTGTGCCCGACCCAAAGCACTTTCATGTATAGTGTCTTTATCATTTTCTCACAACCTCATGGTGGTGGTATTTTTGTTTTCTCCATTTTATAGATGAAGGAGCTCCTTTTTTGAGAAAAAATAAGTCATTCAAGGTCACATATTTAATAGTGAAGTCAAAGTTCAAGCTCTGGTTTTCTGAACCTAAGCCTGAGTTCCTTCCTCCACACTAGAACTAATACCCAAGGGTAATAATTTTTCATTGTAAGGAGTAATGATGCTTCTCAACTTACTTAAAGCATAAAGAAAGAATCAGGTACTCTTTTGCTTTCCTGGAAAAGAAATTAACCACCCTCTAAGTGTTGGAGTTGTGCATAAGCCCCAGGCTAGGCAGGGAGGTCTCTATTGAGATCTGAGGGATTAGGGAACTCAGGAGTGTGAGAATTTATGTCACTTACATGAATGACTTTGTAGGTGTAGCTTTCAAAATGGGTTTCTATGCCACTTAGAAAATGGCCCAATAGGAGCTTTGCTGCCAGGTGGACACAGCTCTACTGTCCAGCCTATAAGGGGTAGGCACTTTAGCAACAACCCTATCATTGAAGAGTTTTTTAGAGCCCCTTCCCCCTTTTTAACTAATCACAAGGTCTAGTGTCAGAGCTGTTTAGTAATTTGCCTAAGGACACAACTCTAGTAAGAAGCAGAGCTAGCATTTCTACTGATTTCATTAATTTTTTCACTTTTTAAGGGTCAAAGATTATATAGAACCAATTATTTATTATTAATCGGGAAAAAAAATCCAGAGTTCAATTTTAGAGCAAGTTTTTTTTTTTTTTTTTTTTTTTTTTTTTTGAGATGGAGTCTCGCTCTGTTGCCCAGAGACTGGAGTGCAGTGGCGGGATATCGGCTCACTGCAAGCTCCGCCTCCCGGGTTCACGCCATTCTCCTCTCTCAGCCTCCCGAGTAGCTGGGACTACAGGCGCCCGCCACCACGCCCAGCTATTTTTTTTTGTATTTTTAGTAGAGACGGGGTTTCACCGTGTTATCCAGGATGGTCTCGATCTACTGACCTCGTGATCCGCCCACCTCGGCCTCCCAAAGTGCTGGGATTACAGGCGTGAGCCACCGCGCCCGGCCTTAGAGCAAGTTTTTAAATAAATGAACTTTATATTGCTTTTCTTTTATTACCAATCTTTACGTTTTCCTTTATTAATTAACTCTGAATATTGTCTTGAATGTAACACTGTTCATGAACTTTTATCTTCAATTTAAGCTTATTTGAGAGTTGGATACCATGGGATATGAATCAATCAATACAGAAGCAAAGCTACATTTTAACCCTAGAAATGTAATTTATGCAGTCTTGGCTGTCTATGCAAGCCATAAGAAGGTCTCAATTCACATTTTCAGCCTTTATGATTTGGGATAGAAAGAAGTTGTTTTTAAGCAATATGATTAAGCCCTGTTACTCTTTGTCTTAGCCATGCTGACAGGTAGCAACATGGAGAAAAATATATATTCTATATCCATTCAACGAATCAAACACCTACAATATTGAGACACACTACTCGAGACACAGAATACATCAGTGAACAAAACAAAGACTTTGTTCTCGTGAAACTCATTCTGATAGATAAATAGTTAAAATATATGTACATATATGTGTCTTAATATGTGTGTGTATATGAATATATAAGAGGTAGTAAATGCCATAAAAGTAAGTAAGGGTGATGTTATGTGGGTGTTTTATCAAGGATGGTCATAAAGGACTTCTTTGAGAGCCACAGAAATTTGGCTTCATCTGAGGGTAGCATCCTTCCCTCCTTCCCATCAGATAAGCTCCCTGTATGGTTGCCTACTTCAGCAGATGAAGTCAGTCCCAGGGTAGATGGACATCTCTGCTATGTGAGCAAGTCATTAGAAATAAATTGTTGCTGAAGGTAGAAATCATCATGTAGGGCAGGGGTCCCCAACCCCCAGGCCACGGACCAGTAGCAGTTTGTGGCCTATTAGGAACTGGGCCACACAGCAGGAGGTGAATGGCAGATTAGCAAGTGAAGTTTCATCTGTGTTTACAGCTGCTCCCCATCACTTGCACCCCTGCCTGAGCCCCACCTCCTGTCAGATCAGCAGCAACATTAGGTTCTCATGGAAGCTGGAACCCTATTGTGAACTGAGCATGCAAGGGATCTAGGTTCCATGCTCCTTATGAGAACCTGATGCCTGATGATCGTCACTGTCTCCTATCAACTTCAGATGGGATTATCTAGTTGCAGAAAAGCAAGTTTAGGGCTCCCATTGATTCTACATTATGGTGAGTTGTATAATTATTTCATTATATAGTGCAATGTAATAATAATAGAAATAAGGGACTCAATAAATGCAACACACTTGAATCATCCTGAAACCATCCCCACCTGGCCCAATCTGTGGAAAAAATTGTCTTCCACGAAACCAGTCCCCTGTGCCAAAACAGTTGAGGGACAGCTGATGTAAGGAACGGCAAGAAGAATCATAAGAAGTATGGATAGAATGTGATGCACAAGCATGCTGATAAACATTCTCTTGGTTGTGTCAAGCTGCCCTTTCTGTTGATCATAAATGTTTTAGGTTCAGAACTAATTTGACCCTTTCCCTGTTTGGGAAAAAGAAAAGTTAGTTTCTCTTTCTTCTGAAGGTCTTGATTATCACAGGAGCGATGACCTAATTAAAATTGGATTCCAGCATGTAGACTGTCTCTGAATGTTTGCTATCTCTATGGCAGCTCTTGAGGATATTCATTACTCAATCTCATATTTCAAAAACTTCTTTTATCAAGACTAATGAGTCTTTATCATTCATCTCTAAAGTGAGTGGCTACACACATTTAATATTTTATGCAGCTCTTTTATGTGGATGTGAACAGAATTAGAGCCAATATAACCATTTAGTACCCTTTTCTATATGTGATAATTTATCATGGCTATCTGCCCAGCCAGGTAGATTTCCTTGTTTCTAGTTCACTTCTACCTAACGTGATTTTAAATCTTTTTGAAAACAAGGAGAAGTGTGCACAGGGGGCACCTTGTGGCAGGAACTGGAAATAGTGATGTGTTTGAAGGAAAGGGGAAGGCTGGAATTGGATCTCAGAAGAGAGGGAAAGATGAGAGTCTAGCTCACAACTGTTGGAAGGTTGTGGGGTTGGGGAGCTGGGGGGTCAGGCTCTTTTTACAGTTGCTGAAATTCAGTCATTAAACTGAGCTGTTCAGGAGAGGAACTCAAACTGGCTGTAAGAAGTGTTTAATTTTTTTTTTTATTATTATCCTTTAAGTTCTGGGATACATGTGCAGAACATGCAGGTTTGTTGCGTAGGTATACATGTGCCATGGTGGTTTGCTGCACCCTTCAACCTGTCATCTACATTAGGTATTTGTCCTAATGCTATCCCTCCCCTTGCCCCCTACCCCCGACGGGCCCCGGTGTGTGATGTTCCCCTCCCTGTGCCCATGTGTTCTCATTGTTCAACTCCCACTTATGAGTGAGAACATGGGGTGTTCGGTTTTCTGTTTCTGTGTTAGTTTACTGAGAATGATGGTTTGCAGCTTCATCCATGTTCCTGCAAAGGACATAAACTCGTTCTTTCTTTTTATGGCTGCCGAGAAGTGATTTTTTCAAAGCAAGATTGAGTTGATTAGTCACATCTAGGGCATGAATGTGATATTTGTCTTCTGTGTTCTTAATTCCTTTTGTTCCAAGGTGGTTGGTGCCTTTATGAGTACCTACAGCTCCCCCGCCACAACCAATTGCTGCTCATTTCCCCCTCCATCCTTTCCCATGGCATTCTACTCAGACTTACGTTGTGCCCCCACTATAATCAGGTGCTTCCTGACTCCATTCCCAGCTAACTTGGCATATTGCATCATGCACAGTGTTCTGCATACAGTAGGTGTGCAAAATATATTTCTTGAATAAATGTGTTCATAGCTTAATATGTAACTCCTACCAAGCACCACAGGTATTGCAAAAGGCTTCTCAGAAATGTGCTTTGGCATGAACTAATGGTAGAGATTTCAAGGTCCTTAGAGATATGGGGAAGTGATATATTTATAAAGCTGAACCTTGATGAAGTTCTTTTGCCCGATCAATTCCTTTGGGCAGAGATTCTGAAATGAATAGTGAGACTGAAGGTCATCCTCTGCATATCTACTCAGAATCTGGCCCAGGTGTTGTATTAATAATTTTCCTTTCATTAACACTGTCCCCACATGAATACTTCCAGGGCTGACCTTCTTGAATCAAGAGACAGGATGGTTTGTGGAATGAGAAACAGATGTACAGTCAGGAGTCTCTAATTCACCTTCCAGCTTTGGCCCTTTCCAGCACTACAATATTGGGCAAGTCTCTTCATTTCTCTCAGCTTCCATTTTCTCCTTATAAAATGGTAACTCTATACCCTGACGTACCTACAATGAATTTGAAGGACCATTTGCAATAATGGATGAAAATATTCTTTGTAAACTGTGAAGTGTAAACAAAGGCATAAAGACGTGTTTAATGCTAACATTTGGATTTTCTGTTTAAATACCAGATCAGCTGCTTTCTGCTACACAAATGTTAACTGATCTGATGATCTTTATTAGACATTAATAGTAGAATTGTGTTGAATTTACTTATCTGTGTGGTTGTTGAGTGCCTACCCAATGACAAGTTGTGTGCTAAGTGCTATGTATAAATCTATAGATGGTGGGGAAAAAACCATTATTTCTTCTCTTGGTGAATTTACAGAGGAAGAAAGGTATTAGGTAAGCCTAATGACTATATAATTATAACTGTAAAATTAAACGTATGTTTTAATAGTTATATTAAATGTATGTTATAATAGTTGCCATGAAGGAAACAAACGGTGTGGGAGAGAGATACAGAGTTAGTGAAAACAGAAAGTCGTGAAATGAGCAGTGGTAAGCTGGCAAGCCAGGGCAGGAATCAGGAGCAATGCAGGGGGAAAAGCACATGGAAAAAGCCCCATGAATTCAGGAAACATAAAGGGGGCCAATGTGGCTATGAGTGAGGTGCGTAGTGCAAGTGCTTTGAGTGGCTCAAATAGTGAGTAGAAGGATCTGAGGGCACAGTGGTAGGCAGCAGTTACATTGTGAGCCTCATTTAAGATGCTCAATCTCATTATAAGCTAAATGCAAAGTCATTGAAGTGTATGGAAGCATGAGACCACTATGACCACTAGATTTGTGTTAAAAAGGACAAAATATTATGCTCTCTGGATGCTGTGTGACCAGATGAGAGGTGGACCTATGTGAAAACACGTAGACCAGCTAAGAGGTTATTGCAGTCATCCAGGCAAGAAATGTGGATGGCTGCGGTTGGCCTTGCTACTGTTTACCATGTATCTCTAGCGCTCCTTTTTCTGGGGGCACTGTAGGATTTAATCCCTCAGCTCCTTTTAAGGGTAGGCATGAACCTTTCAAAACTGACTTTGGTCAATGAAACTGAGAGAAATAACTTGTATTACTTCTGGACAGAACATTTAAGAACAAATGAGTGATTTGCTGTGTTCCCTAGCTTCTCTCTTGGTGTGCATGGAAACACATGCGCACGTGAAGCCTCCATCAACGCAAGCCCCTGAGTGGCTATGATGAACAGTTCCTCCGCTGGCCAGCATTAGATATGGCATAAGAAGGGAGTACACCTTTGTTGTGTGCTGACCACTGAAATTTTGAGGTTGTTTGTTATTGCAGAGCATAAAATTATATTAATTGATACTGTGCTCATATATAGGCATCATAATTAATTTAAAAATAAACTCCATTTTTACACATATGAGGATACTATAACAATACTATGATGAATGATAGTATAATTTTTAACCATTTATAGCCCTTTTTATAGCACTTAGCACTTCTGAATTCTGTTGGTAGAACTATAGCTCATCACTGTTGCCCCTACATCTTGATTCAGAGCAATAATCTTGTGATATTAGTTGGTGAAAGATATCAATATCCTGGTCTTTCTAGAAAGATTTTTTTGGAACTTTTGTAATTGCTTTAGTTACTTCCTTTACTCATTATTATTTATATGTCATTCAACGAAGAGAGAGAGCTAAAAAGCTAAACATATGAGAAGTTTGAAATGTTTTAGTTTCTAACTTGTTTTTTAAAGTGGGGGTAAATCTGTGTGTTTTTCTATGTGAATATTATTAAGACGCTGGTCAGGTGACTTTCTAGCCCTGTGTCATACTACTCAACCCCTAGGCAACAAGTATAATTTGGGGCACTCAAATATCTGTTCTTAGTTTTATGTGGTAATACAGTGTGTATATATATAGAGAGAGAGTGTGAGTGTGTGTGTGTGTATGTATACATATACATATATGTACTTAAGAAAGCCAAGTCTTCTCTGCCACCTGCATGCCTATTTCTTACCCACTTACCATGCTATAGGAGAGAGTAGGCTATATATTTAAAGCATTGGCCTATTCCCTGACAACCTGCATTCTGTAGTTTCAATGACTTGTAGGTTGCAGGAAGAATGGGAAGAGTTAATTGCCAACTTTATTTTGTTAGGAGAGGCAGATTTCATTTCACATTGATTTTCTGCATTCTCTGTGCCAATTTGTGACAGCTTGTTTCGCAGCTCCACATTTGTTTAAAGCTCTCTAACAGGCTGAATTTTATTATTTTTTTCATGCTGTTTTTTTCTTTTGCTTTTCCTTTTTTTCTTTCTTTTTTCTTTTTTTTTTTTTTTTTGTTTAAACTTAGGAGAACATGGCTTTGCACATGGTCGGGAACCCAAATAAGCCTCTCTCTCTGGAGTTGATGATTGGCAGCTCCCCCTGTCGTGCAGATGTGAAACAAGGAAAGCTAATTTTCCCATCGACTTTCTAGTTTCTATTACTATCTGTCATTTCACATTGGTACTCATTACAGCCATCTTCTTGCCAGATGGAAATCTACCTACTCACTGGGTGTCCATTTTCTGCCACTCATGGATCATGACAATGTCAGACAATATGTCAGTAAACTCTTTTCAATATACTTTTTTTTGCATTGGATAGATTGGTGACATTTTATGAAATGCTTGATATTGATGGAAAGTACCTTCATGTCATACATTAGCAAAGTAAAGAAAAGGCCAGGAAGTCCAGGTTTCTTGAGAAAAGTTGCCTATGATATAAGAAGAGATAAGTGGTATTGGCAACACAAATGAATCATTGTGTTGCCATAGTTGTTCTCTGAAAACTGAACTGGACATGACTAATGACCCATATGAACATACAAATTAAGTATTGATATATGCCCAAGTAATATGGTTTGGCTATATCCCCACCCAAATCTCATCTTGAATTGTAATCCCCATAATCCCCACATGTCGAGAGACGGACCCAGTGAGATGTGAATGGATCATGGGGATGGGTACCCTCATGCTGTTCTTGTGATAGTGAGTGAGTCCTCACGAGATCTGATGGTTTTGTAAGAATCTGGCATTTTGCCTGCTTGCTCTTCTCTCTCCTGCCACCATGTGAAGAAGGTCTTTGCTTTCCCTTCACCTTCTGCCATGATTGTAAGTTTCCTGAGGCCTCTCTAGCCATGCGGAACTGTGAATCAGTTAAACTTCTTTCCTTTAAAAATTACCCAGTCTTTGACCATTCTTTATAGCAGTGTGAGAATGAATTAGTACACCAAATAACACTAGAAGGTCCTATTCTTGATGAGATGACAAGTTATAGCCGGAAACTAGTCTTGCTTAACCCAGTGGTTCTCAAAGCCTGGTCCTGGATCAGAAGCAGCAATATCACCTGGCAACCTGTTAGAAATGCAGATTGTTAGGCCCACCTCAGTCCAACTGAATCAGAAACTCTGAGAGTGGGGCCCAGCAATTTATATTATTTTAGAAGCCCTCCATGTGATTCTGATGCTTGCTAGAGTTTGAGACCCACTTAAGGACTAAGGCAGAAATTGGAGAATCAGTGCAATCATGGAGTGTTTTTTAATTGGGTTAATAACCCAGATAGTTGTTTCAGTTATCGATTTCTTTTTTCACAGATAAGCATGGGGAGGCGATATGTCCGTGTCTGATATACTGAACTAAACAACTTATGTAATGCAATCAAAATGCAAGTTTATTTTTGTTTTTCAAGCTTCTTATAAAATGTATCCACTGAAAAGAGGTCTTGCCGCCTTTCATGGAGAACTCCTGGAGGCCTTCTCTGGGCATTCTGCTGCAATAAAGTTCTTATGGATATATTAAGGGCAAATAGGTCTCAGCACAGTTGTTTGGTCTTCTCTGCAATCGCAGCTGGGCCAGCTGCCTGCAGGAACCTGTAGTAGTCTTCTCTATTCTTCCTTACTCACAGCCTACCTATTCAGCACTAGCAGTTCCTGCTTACAGCCATATGTTTCAGCAATTCTCTCCACAATAATCCCCCTATTAGAGTTCTATTGTCCTCCCAGGTAGTCGTTTTGGGGAGAATTCAAGCAGTTCCAGGCAGGCCATCTCTTCCCACCATGGTCCTGATCTGGACCATGGGAGGCCATCAAGCATCTTTGCCTGACAGCTGTGGTCCAGTAAACTGATGGCAGTGCAGCAGCCACTCTGCTCTGCTGCTCAGGATGTCTGTCAGCCTCTACATCAGGTGTTGGCAAGCTCTGGCCCATGGGCCGACTCTGGTCTGCTTCCTGTTTTTGTAAGTAGTTTCATTGGAACACAGTCATATCTGTTAGTTTATGTATAGTCTATGGTTACTTTTGCACTACAATGTGCAAGAGACTATATGAATTGCAAAACCTAAAATATTTATTATCTGTCTCTTTGCAGAAAAAAATTGCAAACCCTGCTCTAGATTTTGGGGGTGGATGACATAATGGGGAGGGAGAAAATGGGAAATCAGACCCATTTTCTCCCACTTTGCCTGTCAGATACCAACTGCAGGGATTTATTAGGCTCTCTAGGTGTTCTCCTTGAAGAGCACTTCTGTCCCTCCCTTACATTTAAGGAGAAGAGGCGGCCAAACGGCAGCAGCTCTATCCAGATATTTCCTTTACAAATTCTCTCATTACTTTCCAGCCCTTGACATCTTTATCCTTTTGATGTAAGTGAGGTGTCCATGTCCAAGAGGCATAACTGATCTTAGCCACCCATTTTGGAAACACAAAACTTTGTTCCATTAACCTCATTTTGCCTTAGGTCAAAGCTCAGGATTTACATTCAAGGACATTTGCGTTTATATACTTGAATAAAACTCGGAACATATTCCTGGTCCTTGATTTGGGGGAGATGTGGGAAAACTATTGGTGGACTAAATTAAAACTTAGCTGATATTTTTCCTACTTAGATGATAATTGTGGGTCAGAGCCTCCAATTAAAGAGGTAAGCACAGAAGCTTTGTAAGATTTACACGTGACATATTCACATAATACATTTTAATCACCTCTCAAGTCCACATCAGGCCTCTGATCAAACCTAAAATGTAACATTGCAAATCAAAACACCCAAGAATTGCTCTGTTTCCTAAAACAGGCTCAAAATAAGTCTCATGCTTATCAATGCTCTAATGTCTCATAGAAAAATCAGTCTGCTTTCCAGTCCCCGAGATATAAACTGACTTGTGGCATCTTCCAGTCAAGTTCCTTGTTTATTATTTATGTATTGTTTTAGCATTGCTGAATTCACTTTATTTATTATATATATATATATATATATTTTATTATACTTTAAGTTCTAGGGTACATGTGCACAACATGCAGGTTTGTTACATATGTATACATGTGCCATGTTTGTGTGCTGCACCCATTAACTCGTCATTTACATTAGGTATATCTCCTAATGCTATCACTCCCCCCTCCCCCCACCCCACAACAGGCCCCACTGTGTGATGTTCCCCTTCCTGTGTCCAAGTGTTCTCATTGTTCAATTCCCACCTATGAGTGAGAAAATGCAGTGTTTGGTTTTTTGTCCTTCCAATAGTTTGCTGAGAATGATGGTTTCCAGCTTCATCCATGTCCCTACAAAGGACATGAACTCATCCTTTTTTATGGCTGCATAGTATTCCATGGTGTATATGTGCCACATTTTCTTAATCCAGTCTATCATTGTTGGACATTTGGGTTGGTTCCAAGTCTTTGCTATTGTGAGTAGTGCCGCAATAAACATACGTGTGCATATGTCTTTATAGCAGCATGATTTATAATCCTTTGGGTATATACCCAGTAATGGGATGGCTGGGTCAAATGGTATTTCTAGTTCTAGATCCCTGAGGAATTGCCACACTGTCTTCCACAGTTGTTGAACTAACTAGTTTACAATCCCACCAACAGTGTAAAAGTGTTTCTATTTCTCCACATCCTCTCCAGCACCTGTTGTTTCCTGACTTTTTAATGATTGTCATTCTAACCTGTGTGAGATGGTATCTCATTGTGGTTTTAATTTGCATTTCTCTGATGGCCAGTGATGATGATTTAAAGTTCATATGGAGCCAAAAAAGAGCCCGCATTGCCAAGTCAATCCTAAGCCAAAAGAACGAAGCTGGAGGCATCACGCTACCTGACTTCAAACTATACTACGAGGCTGAATTCACTTTAAGGAAGCAATTGTATTGTATTATCTTGGAAATGATGGAGACACAGGCTAATGGTCCATGAAAAGAATTTATCTCTGATGTTAGTGAGAAGAACATGTCTCAGATTCCCCTTGAGATGATCCCAAAAAATAAAATAAAATGACTGTGTTGGATAGAGCATGTCAGGTGAAGTCTTCAATCCCAGATCTTGCTCTAGCAGCTGTTTGTGTCCCCATGTAGGTAAGCTGGCTTGATGAACAAGTAGTCAAAATAGCTGAACAATGAGAGCATGGATTGATTATTTTGTGTTTTTAATACCACAACTTAATGGACTATATGGTGAAGTTCCTGCCTTGCCAGAAGTGGAAATCCCACAGCAAAACCTATTAATGATGCCTTGCTTGGCTTTTGATTTTCTAGTAGTGACTAGGTACTTTTCTAACTTATAGTTTTCAAAAATATTCAGTAACATGTTCACTACTATTTTTCATATTTACCATTAAAATGGTGGTAACATGTCAGGTAGTAAAGAGAAGAGCTGCTTGCATCTGTTATTATTATACACACATACTAACATTTTTATTAAATCCTAGTTTTCCTCAATCTTATTATGTTTATGTCCAGAATGATTTATTTTAAGCCAACATGATTATGAGCTTATGCTAATTTACATAGTTAGAGTACAGGCAGATTGTTAAGAAAAAGTGAGAATTTTCTTTACTTCATTGCTAATTCCCCATTAAGTCCCTCCAGCATGAGCTCTAGAAATATTAGTTATCTTATATCCGCAAGTTGTTTTTAAAATTTATTCACAAGTTTTGAAGCTTGGCTACATATAAAAATGCTTCCTTCTATAAAAAAGAGTAGTTATACAAATAACCTAATATAAATACCTTTGAATATATTACACACACACACACTCTCTCTCTCTCTCTCTCTCTCTTATATAAATGTACCCCAAAGGAAGACTCTGGTACAGACTTTCCTGTTTTTACTGTGTATTTATAATATTTTTTCTGAATATTTTTATTTCTTTAGGATTTAGAAAAGTTTTGCAATGTAAACACCACTGTGCTTTTTGTTGTTAAATTTTGGTACTTCCTTGCATTTACATCTTATATACCATGACTTTTAACACCTTTGCTGCAAGGTTAAATATGGGATTCTCAGTTGGTTCCTGTGAATTAAAATCTCCAAGGGAAATCTCTAAGTACCAGAGTGAAACGGCAGCACGTTTGCTAATACAGAGGAGCAATACACTCATTTGTATTCTCTTAAAGCTAGTGTTGACTGAACTCCTACTATCTATGAAGTATGACTCTTGGTACTAGAAGGAATCTGAAGATTAAAGCAAAACGGTAGTTGTGCATATTGAACTTTAGGAACATACGTGGCACAGATGTATTATCTTATACAGGTTACCTAGCATAAGATAATTCACATAAAATTTTGTTTTTCTCCCAAGTTATCTAGGTCACTGCTATCTCCTCTATTCCCTGAGTATAAGCAGCCTACCATTAACTAATGTTTTTTTTTCTTTCAATATTTTTTGTGTGTAGAATCTAGGGTTAGTGCAAAACCAGAACATTAATTTAAAAAAATAGACAGTGATTAGGCTTCTTTCAGCTTTGTAATTTGTTGTTACTGCTTATTTAGAAATAGAATCAGTTTCCCATTAGCAAAGTGGTTGTGTTTTACTTTTTTTTGGCCGCCATATGAATTACAAGTACATTTTTGAATTGCAACCATTTGATTAGTAATGAAAATATACCCTTTCCTCATTCTAAAAATCTGATTAAAATGTTAAAATATATTTCATTGATAGCTAGTCTAGTCCATGAAATACATTCATTGTAATCTTCACTAGTCTCATTGATACACCAGATGAACAAACAATTTTACACATAAAAATAAGTTGCTCATGAATATAGCAAAAATTATTATGATATTCTTACACTCATCTCATTTTCTCATCCTCTGCCCTTCTGGAACCAAAGCAGTTCTGCCTGTTTGAATTTTCTAGAGCTTGATGTGAGCAAAGATCTAAGATTGATTCTATCTCTGATAGCAGAGAAGGGAATTAAGGAGTTTCCGGTGCTAGAACTTCTTTTTTTGAGAATATAAAATTTGAATTTAAATCCTCAATTGTTTCAGAATTTTCTTTAAGTTATGCTCCTATTTTCCCATTTCAAAGGCTACAGCCACAAAGTAGACATGATGGTGGTCTCAGCATCTCTTTACTTTCAATAGTTTTACTTCCTAAATATATTGATTATTTTTGCATGATACAAATTAATCCTAGGTTTATAATAAAAGAAATTTCTTTCATCTCTGATTCAGACAGAGGAAGGTAGTTTGGCTTAACCAGGATACAGTTCTTGTGGGGATAGGTGCCTGCTGGACAGAGGAAGTACCTTGCAGGGAAGAAGGGAGAGCAATGAGGAGGCTTCCCTAAGAAATGCCCACATACATTTGACTCTTGACCCTCGTAGGTATGATATCTCTACCAGTTTGGAACAAGGGAGGAATCCAGAGCCTGAGAGGGAGGAAGGAGGTGGTTAGCTATCTCTCTGGAAGCCAATCAGGCAGAGTTCCAAAACATAAAACTTGCATCAGAATCTCTTGCCCAGAGCACAGCTGCAGGGACCCTCACACCAGATGAACCCTCATGCAACACATCAACATTTATTTAGTGTTATTATTGATCATAGTGTTTCAGGGAAATAGGGGTGTGGAATATGAGTAGCAGTAGATTATAACATGATATAGAACATTTCATGTGGAAGGGACCTTAGAAATTACTCCTTCAACACCATCTATGTGCCAGGCACTGTTTTACATGCTGAGAATTCAATGATGACTGAAGCAGATAAGGTCTCTACCTACATAGATCTTACAGTCTGATAGGAGGCAAGCAATACCTAAATAAATATCAAGAAAATATTATATTTATAAATGCAATGAAGCAAACAAAATGAGAATAGATGATAAGAACTGGTTGGCAAATTCAGATTGGGCAATCAGAAAAGACCTCTTTAAGGAGGAGGTATTTGAGCTGAGACTTGGTGGGGAAGAAGTCAGTGATGTGAAAAGCTGAAGGAAGAGCATTTCCAGGCAGAGGGAACAATAAGTGCAAAGGCCAGGAGCTATGCAAAAGCTTTACATATTGGGGAATAGAGAAAAGGCCAGGGCAATTGGGGCAAAATCAGTAGCGGGCCAAAGTTTGGAAAGGTAGGCAGGGACATATCATGAGACCTTGAAGACAAGGTAAGGATCAAGTGTGAATCTCTTCTTATGAAGAAGCTGAAGCTCAAAGAGGCAAACTGCCTTGAACAGAGTGGTGAGTGCCAGCTCTGATACGTGTGCTGACCTATACATCACATTCACATTCCTGCCAAGGATGGGATATGTTGATTTTAATTTAATTACAATTAATTAATTAACTAAATTACAGCACCAATCATATGAAATTTTTAACAAAGAATTGACAGCGATGGATAACTATTGATAACTAAAAGAAGTGAGACCACTCTTAGGAGTACAGGTGATACTGGAAAGGTGTATCATCTCCTTAATTCCAACTGGTGTAGGAGTGTATGTCTTTGTATGTTAGACTGAAACACACAGAGCATACATGCACACACATAAATGCACAAACCAATATGTATTAAAAAAAGTTAAAGACATACCAATCATGCTTTTGATTTGTTTCCATGTACCTCTGATTTAGCTGATGGCTCTTGGGTAACCTCTGGCCATCTTGAGTCCACCAACAGCATTGAGAAGTGAGAGTGGGCAGGGTTTCCTGGGCATTTTGCAGAAGGATGGATGTTTGCAATATTAGCATTGCTTTGGGGCAACAAAAATATGTCCAACTTGCCTTTACCATCTATCCCATCTATTCATCCAATTACTCACTTGTGAATATTTATTTAGAAATAATTTCTAGGCAGAATATCTTGCTAAGCATTGTAAGTCTACAGTGCTTTATAAGGTAAAGTTATTGCTTCTCAGATTTTAAATCTGTATTTCATAGATATGGAAAGAAGCTCAGTGAGATGAAGTGAATTACTCAAATTAACACAGGCTTATATGTGATAGAAGGGGATGTATGAATCTAGGCATGTTGGATTCCTGTTCTCTTCATTTATCAAATATTTGTGGAGCACTTACATCCAAGGGGCTGTGTTAGGCTTGAGAGCAGAAGTGAGACAACAGAGAAGGTGCTGTCATGAAGCTCATAGTCTGTTCTGGACATCTTCCAGGAGCTCAGAAATAACCAAAGAAAGAGGGAAGAGGGACTGATTTTCTCATATTCTGTCTTTAGAAGAACAGGTCAACTTAGTGTACAAGCCAGAATCCCCTTGCATATGCAGTGCCCAAGGCTGTTACTCTTCTTCTGCCAACTGGATACTGGCACCATTAACTGTTCGTTGGCTATAGAAGGGGCTTTTCTGGGCTAATTTATTAGCTCACAATAGCATCTGTGGCAGAAAGATGTTTTCTTGGCCTCTCCTTCCCCACCTCTCCTTAGGTGGCCAGGGAAGCAATGATCGCTTCCTTTGTGTGAAGACAAATTACAAGTGTGCCACTTTTGCACCCTTCGTAGGCCAGGCTTTCTGTCCTGTGTCGAGTGAGGTCGTCTACCTCACTGCAGATGGGTGCAAGAAGAGTACAGCTTAGTGATAAGGAAGAATATAAGTTAGACTGATGTGAGTTCAGGTTCTGACTCCACTGCTTACTAGCTACAAGTTATTGTTTCTTGACCTCAATTTTCTTCAGACTTTTATTAGGAATAATAAGAGTACCTACTTCAAAACGTTGTTTTGAAGATTTCATAAGATAATCTCTCAAGAGGGTTTAGCTCAGTTGTGTAACCTAATTGCTACAGATTTCTGGCATGATTTCAATGTTAAAATTTTACCACTCACCTATTTTTCCCTTTGTTAAGGGAACTATGTTCACAAATATCAATGGAAAACAAAATATAAATATCTGGTTTTTAAAATTACCTAGTGCATTCATTTTCTACTGCTACTGTAACAAATTGCCATAAATGTAGTGGCCTACAGTCCACAAATTTATTCTGTTACCGTTTGGAGGTTAGAAGTTCAAAAAGCCTTTTAAGGGGTAAAATTAGTGTCAACAGGGCTGATTTTTTCTGGAGACTCCAGAGAAGAATCTGTCTTTACTTTTTCCCACTTTTGGGTTGCTGGCATTTGTTGGTTTATGGCTACATCACTCTACTTTCTGCCTTTGTGGCTGAAAAGCCTTTTTCTGTCTGACTTCTAGTCCTCCTGCCTCCCTCTTGGGTTCTTGTGATTACATCGGGCACACCTGGATAATCCAGGGTTATCTCCCATCTCAAGATCTTTAATTTAATCACATCTGAAAAGTCCCTTTTAACCACATGTTGTTGATTAAATTGTGTCTGCCAAAAAGATAAGCTGAAGTCCTAACCTCTGGTACCTATGAATGTGACCTTATTTGGAAATAGCATCTTTGTAGATGTAATAAAGTTAAAATGAGATTATACTGAATGGGCCTAATCCAATGCATGGTGTTCTAATAAGACAAGGAAAATTTGGACACAGACACACAGAGAGAGTAATGCCCTGTGAAGACACATAGACAGAAGCGACACACAGAGAGCAGCATGTGACAACAGAGCAAGAGATCTGAGTGATATGTCTACAAGCCAAGGAAAGCCAGGGATTGCCAGTAACCACCAGAAGCTAAGAGAGGGGCATGGAACAGATTCTCCCTCTGAGGCTGCCAAGAAGGAACCACCCTGGTGATGCACTGGTTGTCGATTTCTGGCCTCTGGAATAAATTTCTATTGTCTTAAGCCACCAGTTTATAAAAATGATTATAGTAGCCCTTGGAAACTAATATAACATGTAAGACAATATATTCACAGATTCTGGGGATTAGAACATGGGCATCTTTGGGGAGCCACTGTCAGTGTACCTGCCACACATAGGCAGTGCTCTTTCCTCCCTCCCCAACTCTTCCCAAGTTCAGGGCTCTCTGGTAAGTAGTAACAAAGCATAAGCTATCATTCTGGAAGTAACAGTGAGGCTTTTGAAAACTCCACCCCCATTCTATTTGGTAGAACAAACTTAGGGTCTAATTACTCCATCAAATCCATGTAGGAGGGGCTGGCAATAATATGAGTGGCAGAGAGCTAGGCCTGGGAAGCAGGCCGTGCGCATCCCCCCAGGCCCTTATTTCATGGGATATGCCTCTGGAAGGGTGGAGCGTAGAACTCTATTTTTAACACACAGCACTCTCACACCCAACTTAAAAAGATGGCCTGAGAATGTCTCATGCTCTACTCAATTCATTTAATAACAGCACCTCTTTCTGGAAAAAGAGTAAGAGGATGGAAGAAAAGAGTTTACAAACTTTCTGTGTAGCAAGCCCCTCACCTATTGGCAGAAGGGAAAATGACATGCTATTCCCTATGAACTGACTTGGAATCATATAGCAAAGAGAATAGTTTAATACCATCCCTTAATAGTATTAAACAAACAATAAATATCAATTAATATTGATATTATTATCATTAACAGCTGTATTCTGTTTTTCCCTATATACTGAATGCTTGACTAGCCTTCGTATTCAATGAATATTTTCTCCCTGTTAATTTGAGAAAGATGTATATGACTTGGTTGATAAGTATCCTGGTGATGGAAAATATCCCTCAATCATCATTTGTGCAGATATCTCTTTTTCTGGGTCACAGGGATACTAAAACTATGATACATCTGAGTTGGCATATGTCGACATGCTTTGGAAAGTGAAAAGCAGAAATATATAATTATAAAGGAAAATTGAACAGGCAAAACCAGTAGGTCTGTTCATTTCTCCCTCTTCATTGAGAAGCCAGAACAGAGAATTTGGGCTCATGGCATGTTGGGAGTGTTCTATTATGGATCTGACTGTGGTAGAGAGGTGGCAGGTTTGCTTGGTGGGGAAATTTACCTAGAAATAAATGTTAAGGTGCCTTCCTGGTCCCTGGATTTCATCTACACAGGTGAACACAGATTATTTCACTTCCGAACTACTCCCCACTTTAGCAGGTGCAGAGCTGGCAAGAATACAGAGTGCTATCTGTGATGTCAGACTTTGGCTTCCATTCTATCTTGAAAGGAATTAAGACACATCTTTCCCATGTCATATGTAAAGTTCAGAAATGAATACTAATAGTAATACTAATATTTAGTTAACACTTATTGAGTGCATTAGGATAACAGGTACTTTCTTAAGCACTTTATACACTATTATTTTCCTCATAGGGAGACTGAACTTAAGTAATTTGCCCAGGATCACAGCTATGAAAGCCAGAATTTGAACCACAACTTTCTAACTCCAAAGGCTAAGCTTTAAATCATCTTATTATAATTACTTGTGTAAATTAACAATCCATGTTAAATCAAACCCATTTTGCTTTGTTACTACCTCGGTAAATTCTAGTATGAAAATTACAGTAAAGTCAAGGGAATGTTTAAGCATGGTTTCCTACAAACCATATTTTGCTGGAGATTGGATTGAATTCAGGCCAATGAGAATGTTGTGAGCTTTAAAGACTTTTCTAGGACCCTGCAATGTTTGGCAAATTACTTTCCTGGATACCTTGATCCCTGCTGTCACAGCGTGCATCTCATTCCTCTTGTTTTCTCTTCAGTAGAGATGGAGACCTGCCAGTAACTATTTCTGTAAAATAAACCTTTATTGTGCTTGAAGACTCTTCTTTAGACCCCTGTCTTAGTTTTGTTTCTCTGTAACACATGAGAAGCCTTATCCTGCTAAGGTGAGGACTTAGATTCTCTGCTTTGCACAGCTCACCAGATAGCTCTGAACTTGTAGCTCCAGGGCCAAACATTCTAGCAAGCCTTAGAATGCGGGAAGCTGCTTCCCTGATGATGCTGGTTTGGTTGGGCTTTTGTTGGCAAACAGCTATGTTTTTCAGAAAATTGATTGGAATTGCAGAAGGGATTAGTGGGAATCTCCAGTAGAATGACCAGAAAGACCCAAGACAGTAGGGCTCTCTGGGCAGGCTGTGAGTTTTATCTTTCCCAAGTAGCTATTTTAAAACCATTGGTGATACTAAGCCCCATTGGAAATCCTAGTTAATTTTGAGTTTCCAATGGAGTGGATGAAAAACAAAGCCATCAACTATTTATAGAACAGATTTGCTGAAAAGTAGAAGCACTATTGATATGCTTTTTAATTCTGGTGACATACTGAGGCTTGTTGTTAAGTACCCTGTAAAGAAGGCTATTTGTATTAGCAAATGATATGACTATCCTAGCCCCTGCGCCTGACTACCGAAGGACTTATTTAGATAACCAGGAAGCACCCTGAGAATTCCCAAAGTGATTTCAGCCTAATGAAAGGCAGCCCACAGCAAGCACACAGTGTTTTAGTTTGGACAAAGGCTGTTCTAGCCCTAAGCAGTGGCTGAGCGGCAATGATTTATGTTTTCCCATCATGAGGCACAGTTAGTTAGTTCCTTACTTTGTCTCAAATTTATTGTGGCTGAAGGATGTTAGTTTGTTACAATTTAACACAAAGGAAAAGAAAAGTCCTTAAAGGTCAGAGAGTTATTTATAATTTGAACTGAGCAAATAATTTAAAAATATTTAAAAATAACTCAATGGCAGGGTGTCTTTTGAATGCTTTACCAATGATCTGTTCTAGAAATGTCCATATATAAGTGACAGGTTTTCTCTACTAGTTGTCAAAAGGCAAGATTTTCCCCTTCCTTATTATTCTGTGGTCGAGATGCACCGGTTATGGTTTATCTCATTTCGTAATAACATTTACATCACATTTGTGAAAATAACGAAGTTGGCACCTGCTTCACAAACCTTGGCCAACGGCACTCATTCACAGCAACGAATGGAGAAGCAAGTATGGTGTGATGGAAGACAGAAAGTTAAAGCTACTGAAAAATGGAAAAGGCTGAAGATTCAGACAGTGGAGATTCCAACTAAGTCGGTGATATGCCAATCTATGCAAGCTTCTGCTGGGGTATTTTCTTCAGCTGCTGCCAGCCTCTGTATGAAACTGTAAGGCAGAGAAACTCATTGGTCATTCTCAGTTTATCTTTCCAGGATTTGGAGATCAAAATTATCTTATTCCTGATCCACTTCCAATACAGGGCACCAGGACAGGATTTTTAGCTGATCTTTAAAGGTGGAACTTGGTTCCCTTGGCCCTGGGATGAGAGGAACAAACAAGAAGAAGGCTTTTAATGAAGCTGGTGGAGGGCTCTTGAGTAGGCATTACATGGTAAAGTTCATGCCTTTGATAGGAGGGATGTGGGCGAGGGGAGTAGGAAAAATTATGTGTGTAGCCTTATCAGAGTCTCAGAAGTTTTCATCTTTTTTTAAAAAAATTCCTGTTTTTTTTTTTTTTTTAAACTATGTCATCAACTAAATTTTAGGTTGAAAATGTTAGAAGAGATAAGGCAGAAAACAGCTTCACTTAGGGTTTCTTTAGAAACTTATCACTTAAACTCATTAAATTCATGCTTAACATAAAGTAAAAGTTTGGGGGTTTGAGTGACTGTATTTTTTTTTTTGATTTGAAAAAACTTAGGTTCAGGAGTAAATGTTCTGGTTGGTTATATAGGTAAATTGCAATATAATGGGGGTTTAGCGTACATATTATTTTGTCCCTGTGTAATAAGCATAGTACCTGATAGATAGTTTTTCTTGTTTTCTTTTTTTAATTATGTTTTATTTTACTTTTAAGTTCTGGGATACATGTGTAGAATGTGCAGGTTTGTTACATAGGTATACATGTGCCGTGGTAGTTTGCTGCACCCATCAACCTTTCATCTAGGTTTTAAGCCCCACATGCATTAAGTATTTCCTAATGCTTTCCCTCTCCTTGCCTCCCACCCCCTCACAGGCCCTGGTGTGTGTTGTTTCCCTCCCTGTGTCCATGTGTTCTCTTTGTTCAACTCCCTCTTATGAGTGAGAATGTGCAGTGTTTGGTTTTCTGTTCCTGTGTTAGTTTGCTGAGAATGATGGCTTCCAGCTTCAACCATGTCCCTGCAAAGGACATGATCTCATTCTTTTTTATGGCTGCATAGTATTCCATGGTGTGTATGTGCTACATTTTCTTTATCCAGTCTATCATTGATAGGCATTTGGATTGTTCCAAGTATTTGCTATTGTAAATAGTGCTGCAATAAACATACGTGTGCATGTGTCTTTATAGTAGAAGGATTTATAATCCTTTGGATATATACCCAGTAATGGGATTGCTGGGCCAAATGGTATTTCTGGTCCTAGATCCTTGAGTAATGGCCACATTGTCTTCCACAATGGTTGATCTAAATTGACTGCATATTTTTAAGAGACGTTATTAAGATCTCAATTACTTTCTAATTGTTGCTCTTCTGCACATTGTTTAACTGGGAAAAAAGCACAAAGCCAGGAGCAGAAGGACTGGTATTTGAATAATCCTTGTAAATAATCACTGGCTCTGCAAACTCCTGGCAAAGAGAATTCTCACTGGGACTCCATTTTGAATACTATAACTTGGTGGAATTACAAAGCCTAGCTCCACAGTTACGGTTTAAGCACTTATGCACAGTCAGATTGCACTGAGTGTACAGTCAGATTGCATTGAGAATAAATTTTCACACAAGTATATTTATGTATAACTATAAAACCTTCTTGTTTCCAGAAAATACATTAGAAATGAGTCTTTGGCTCATTTGTTACATTAATTCCCCAAATTTTCACCCTGATCTGTGTAAGTCTACCATGATGACTGGGTTAAACAGACACAGTACTTTGGTAAAAAATGTCTTGAAGGTAGAGGTATATCAATTATATCACTCACTCTCAGAGCTTCCCAAGGCATTTAGAATAAATCCACATATGTTACCTTGGCCTACTGGGCTCTTTGAGATATCGCTCCTGCCTGTGACTCCAACTTTATATGATTATCCTCTTTGCTCCCTATACTCCTGTTATTATCACCTCCTTTCTTTTATTCTAGTGTCCCTTCCAACCGTCTTTACATTTCATGTTCCTTATTCCTCCCCCAGACCTTCAAATGTCTCCCACTTTCTTAACTTCAGGTCAAATGCCACCTTTTCAGAGAGGCCATCCCAGGCCACTTTACATAGTATCATGCTCTCTATTGTGTCACATTTTTGTGACTCACTTATTACCAGTCTATTGTCTATCTTCCCTCATGAGAATAAATGCTTCATGAGGACTGAGTCCTTACTTCTCTTATTCACCCATATATCCCCAGTATCTAGCACATGTAAATGTTTAATTAATACTACCAAATGGTTGAATGAACTGGAAGTCAAGAGATCTATGTTCTGTTTCATCCTTTCCATCACTGAACAGAGTTAGTTCCTAGAACTGTATAGGCCTTAGCTTTATTTTTCATAAAATGAAAACAATTTGAAGCCGATTTCTGTGTTTTTACATGTCTTTAAGTTTTTACATTGGTTATGCTCCATTAAATTTTGTTTTGCTTTACAGGCATAAAAAACTTGCCACAAAAGCATATTATAGGTTGGAAACTTTATTTCAGATCCTCACATCTATACAAGTAGTTTCTACTGACTGAACCTTTGACATAATTCTTGGGACACTTGTGTTATCCATCACTCATTCAACACATATCCTATGAGAAATAGGCACAATATTTGGCTTTGGGGAAACAGCAATGAGCAAGACCATCTCTGCCCTCAAGGCTCTTATATTCTCAAGGAGAAGACAGCAATGAAAACAGGCAATTGCGGGCCAGACGCTGTGGCTCACGCCTGTAATCCCAGCACTTTGGGAGGCCGAGGTGGGCAGATCACCCGAGGTCAGGGTTCGAGACCAGCCTGGCCAACATTGTGAAACCCCATCTCTACTAAAAATACAAAAAATTGGCTGGATGTGGTGGGAATTGCTTGAAAGCAGGAGGCAGAGTTTGCAGTGAGCCGAGATCATGCCACTGCACTCCAACCTGGGCAACGAGACCGAAACTCTGTCTCAAAACAACAACAACAACAACAACAACAAAAGAAATGAAAACAGGCAATTGAAATATAGTCATAAGTACTATGGTGGGGGAGTTTTGTGAGACTGCCACAGGCAGGGCATCTAATGCGAATATGAGATGCCATAGAGACTTCCTTGGTACTTTGACAGTTCAGATAGGACCAGAAGGGCATTGTTACTCAGGTGAGGGTGAGGAGGGGAAGGATGCTCCAGGAAGAGGCACTAGCATGTACTAAAGCCTCAATGGGACAGAAAGCATGACTTGCTTCAGTAACTTTGCAGTTAGAATGGCTGGATCAGAGGTTGCAAGGAGGAGATGACTGGGAAATGTGGCTAAGCTTTGCTGTGCATGGGCTCTGGCAAAGAAAAGGGGAGGCTGTCCTAGCTTGTCTGGTTCTCTGGTCCTGAAGCAGGAGGCCTTGATTAGTGCCTTCTCAAACAAAAGGTCCAGAATAGGATACATTGTTTGGTTTATGCAGCTGTTAAATTATTTATTCTTCATGACACTAATATATTAAATCTATTTCTGTAGAAGATATAGAAAACATTAGTACTGCTTTGCTATTTCATTTGACTTTCATGATAATGTCCTACCTGTATGTAACCTCATATGTAACTAGGATAATTTCTGAGGACTACTTGCAGGGAAGTTCTGGTTTTGTTTTTTCTTATGGACTATAGAAACTAATACTAGATTGTACAGTGGATTTTCAAACGTGCCAAGTTCCAATAACAATCTTATGTGTATTCCAAAGTTGGACCTATTTTGCTATTTATTCTGGGCTTGTTCATTACTTCTGTGACATTTGGTCTTTATCCTCCTTGATCTGATGTGTCAAGTTCCTCAAGTTCTCAGCTCATGTTGTCATGGTACTAGGGGTTGAATGATAGGCAATATACTGTTGGGAAAATAGCATTTCAGATATATATATTTTTTGCCTGAAGGTTTGATTATGTCTATAAACGCACAAAATAAGTTATCTTGTGCTAATTTGTAAATATTCTGCTAACTTGATACTTTGTTCTTAAGGCATCTAAATACAGCTCTGTTATAAGCTGAGTATTTGGGGGCTATCGTTCCCTACCCTCTCAAATTCATATGTTAAAGTCCTAACCCCAAGTACCTTAGAATGTGACTATATTAAGATATAGTGTTTTTAGAAAGATAAGATCTATACCCAAAATCTATAAAGCACTGATGAAAACATAGAAGAGGATGCAAAAATAGAAAGGCATTCTATGCTCATGATTAAAAAGATTAATATTGTTAAAATGACACTACTAACAAAAGCAATTTACAGACTTAGTGCAATCCCTATCAAAATGCCAATGACATTCTTCACAGAATTAGAAAAAAAGTCTTAAAATTTATATGGAACCACAAAAGTCCTTGAATAGCCCAAGGAAACCTGAGTAAAAAGAACAAAGCTGGAGGCATCACACTATGTGACTTCAAAATATACTACAAAGCTGTAGTAACCAAATCATCATAATAGTGGCATAAAAATGCATGAAGAGACCAATGGAAAGAACAGAGAACCCAGATATAAATCCATGCATTTACACCCAACTCCTTTTTGACAAAGGTGTCAAGAACATATGATAGAGAAAAGACATTCTCTTAGATAAATGGTGCTGAGAAAACTGGATAACCATATGCAGAAGAATGAAACGAGTCTTCTCTCTCTCACCAGATTAAAAAAATTAACTCAAATGAATTAAAGACTTAAATTCAAGACCTGCAATTATTGAAGTGTTAGAGAAAAACCTAGAAGAAATGCTTCTTGACATTGTCCTGAGCAAGAATTTTTTGGATAGTACCTCAAAAGCATAGGGAACAAAAGCAAAAACCGGCAAATAGAATTACATCAAGCTAAAATGTTTCTGCACAGCAAAGGAAACAATCAAAAAAGTGGAGAGACAATCCATGTAATGGGAAAAAACATTTGCAACTATCCATCTGACAAGAGATTAATAACCACAACATACAAGGAGCTCAAGCAACTCAATAGCAAAAATAAAAAAAAATTGGCAAAGGATCTGAATAGATGTTCCTCAAAAGAAGATATACAAATGGCCAGCACAGGTATATATAAAAAAATTGCCAAATCATGAATCATCAGATAAATGAAAATCAAAACTACAATGAGTATCATCTCAACCCAGTTCAAATGGTTTTTATCAAAAAGACAGGGAGTAATGGATGCTAACAAGGATGTGGGGAAAGGTGAATGCTTGTATATTGTTGGTGGGATGTAAATTAGTACAGCCACTATGGAAAACTATAACATTTCCTCAAAAAACTAAAAATAGGACTACAGTTTGATCCAACAATTCCACTACTGTGTGCATATCCAAAAGAAAGAGAATTAATACATTGAAAGGATATCGGCACTCCCATGTTTATTGCAGCACTACTCACAATAGCCAAAATATGGAATCAACCTATGTGCTCATCAGTGGGTAAATGGATAAAGAAATGTGGTAAATGTACCCAATGGAAAATCATTAAGCCATAAAAAAGAAATGAAATCCTGTCATTTGCAGCTACATAAATGAAACTGGAAGTCATTATGTTAAGTGAAATAAGCTAGGCTGAGAATGGCAAATATCACATGTTCTCACTGAGATGTAGGAGATAAAAAAGAATCCTGTGAAGATAAGGAGTAGATTGGTGCTTATCAGAGGCTAGGAAGGGTAAGGGGGAGGGGATATAAAGAGAGTTTGACTAGTGGATTCAAATATACAGTTTAATAGAAGAAGATCGATCTAATGTTTCAGCTGGATGCGGTGGCTCATGCCTGTAATCCCAGCACTTTGGGAGGCTGAGGTGGGCAGATCACTTGAGGTCAGGAGTTCAAGACCAGCCTGGCCAACATGATGAACCCCCATCTCTACTAAAAATACAAAAATTAGCTGGGCATGGTGGTGCGCACCTGTAATCCCAGCTACTTGGGTAGCTGAGGCACGAGAGTCGCTTGAACCTGGGAGGCAAAGGCTGCAGTGAGCCGAGATCATGCCACTGCACTCCAGCCTGGGCCACAGAGTGAGAGAGACCCTGTCTCAAATAAATAAATAAGTAAGATCTAATGTTTGATCTATCAGTAGGGTGATATAGTTTATAATACTTCATTGTATATTTTAAGATGGCTAGAATAGAATAATTTGAATGTTTCTAGCATAAAGAAACAACAAATATTTAAGGTGCCATATATTCCAGTTACACTGATTTGATCTTTACAAATGATATGAATATATTACATTTTTGCATGTACCCTGAAAATGTGGACATCTATTAGGTATCAATACAAAAATATAATTACTATACTTTTTCAAAAAGGTCATTAGGTTAAAATGAGGTCATTAGAGTGGGTCCTAATCCAATATGACTGGTGCCCCTACTAAGAGGAGATTAGGACTCAGGCATGCACAGAGGAAACATCATGTGAAGACAGAGAGGTCCTCAGAAGAAGCAACCTTGTTGACACCTTGATCTCAGACTTTAGCCTCTAAGATTATGAGAAAACAAATTTCTGTTGGTTAAGCCATCTATTGTGTGGTATTTTTTATGGCTGCCCTAGCAAATGAATACAGGTTTATACAAGATTTTTTAATCCATAAATTGAAGATTACACATAATTCATTCATTTACGAACTAGTCTAACATATCATTTGTTGACTTAGGGAAAAATGTTCACGTGTATTTTTCAGGAATGTATCATCAGTTTGCTTTCAAGAATATCAGCCCTCCACCCCCAACAATGCTACAAGACCCCCTTGAAGGGGAAGGAAATCAGGGACTATAAGAAGGATTAAAACAAAAACGATTCGTTAGTTATCTGGAATTGTGGTATTTATTATACTAACACTAGTCATTCATCATATCTCCGTGGTCAGGATGGAGACTCCTGTGAGTTCAATGTACAATGCATACTCTGGAATGAATACAAAGGGTATAACTTACAAAAATCTCTGAGTACTTTCTTTTGAATAGTGGTCTTCAATAGTTTGTTGCTGCAGAATGAGCATCGATTTAAGAATCTGGAGAACCAGGTTCTGGTTTGAAGTCTGTCACTAGGTCTGTGAAACCTTGGCCACTCTACTTTTTCTCTGTGGATTGCAGAGTCCTCATCTGTGAGCTAAAGGAACTGGATTGGATTAAGTGACCTTGTAGATCCATTCTATCCTTAAAAGTCAGTGTAAGTATCCCCAGTGGATAAATTTGCTTGGGAAACATTTCACACCTGTAAGACTTCTGGGTGGGTTTAAAACAATCTATCTAGCCACAAGTTAGATAAGTAAATATTCAGAAAAACTTAGTTCTGCTTCCCAATTTTCAAGGTGTCAGTGGAGGCATGATACCCTGTCATTTCTTCAATATTCCCCTTGTTATTTCGTTCATGTTTTCCTCTCCACGGTGTCGACATTGTATAGTATTATAAAATAGGTCTAGCCTCTGATTAATAGTATAAAAAGTGCTACATACCCTCAGAACCCAAACAGGTTGTCATGGCAACTGATGACATTTTTATCCTTCAGAGTGCACTAAGAGTACATGGCCTGTGTGTTCCTGCAAAGTGTTTCATGTTATTTTTGCAGTGGGAAAGATGGAACCACTAATGGTGTGAAAATAGGAAGTCATCCAACTCAAATCCTTACTTTATGGGCTTAGTTCAGGCAGGGACAATGTCTTCTTAGTCACTGAATCCCTAAGGCTTGCATTAACATAGGCACTTACTGCATGATTTTTGCATAAAGGAATAAATACATTTCAGAATATCTTGCTGGTACATGACCTCCAGCATAAATGACTTAGCCAATTTAAATTTATCAAAGTTTTATTTATCACAATGCAGTAGATATTTGTCATTTTTGCTGATCAGCATCTACTTATGCCTCAATTTTTTTCTGCTATATCACCCTCTCTCCAAATCTTAAGTGTGTTTTAGTTGAAGTTACTCTTTCCCAAGACACAATAATGAACATTTGACTTGAGACTACCAATGAGAGCCTTGTATTCGTGTGTCTGCAGCAATTGGTTCAGAGCTAATTACACTGAGACACACTGCTGATGGAACTCAGACACACACACTCCTTTTTAGCTGATCCTCATACAAATTTTGATTGGTCTGAAGCTATTGGCAATGGTCTTAGTCTGTTTTGGGCTACTATAACAGAACACCTGAGACTGAGTAATTCATAAAGAATAGAAATGTATTTTCTCAGAGTTCTTGAGCCTGGGAAGTCCAAGAGCAAAGGTCCCATCTGATGAGGGCCTTCTTGCTGTGCCCTACTATGCAGCAAGGTGAGAGGGTGAGAGAGCGGAAACAAGAGGGAGCCAATCTCGTCCTTTTGTAAGAAACCAACTCCCATGATAATGAACCCACTTCTGTAATAAAGGCATTAATCCACACATGAGGATAGTGCCCCCATGAACCAAGCACCTCCCATTAGGCGCCATCTCCCAACATATAACACTGAAGATCAAGTTCCCAACACATGCTCTTCTGGGAACACATTTGAACCATAGCAACAACCATATTACCATTAATGGAACCCGAGGATGAGGTCATTGTGGAGCAGAGGAAAGGGATGAGGAGGGACTGGGACCTGGTGATATTGTTTGAGCCACTCCTAAAGCTAGATCATCTTTCACACTTATCCATTTTATGAGCCAATAAAATTTTCTTATTGTTTTAAACAATTGGGACTCAATCTCTATCACTTGCAACATAAATTATATCCATAGAAAAAAGACCCAAAACAAGCTTTGAGGAATTGTACAAAAAATCCTGATCCATGGACAAACAGTTGACTTTGATTTTGAGCAAATTTCTCTCTGAGAAACAGGGTCAATTCCGAGGCCTTTCTATTTTCCATGGTTATTAAGAGGATCAAACTTGAAAACATATGTTTGAAGTGCTTTGTAAAATATAAAACTCTTGTACTACTGCTAGCTATTAAAATTTTGGCAGAGGTACTGAAAACAATACCAAGGAATAGGACTTAATCTGGAAGCTGCTAATTCCATGATATTTAAATAAGCATCTTAGTTATTATATGCCTCTGACCTGAAGGAAACCATGTGATGCAAAATGATTGGGTGCTGAGGGAAAAGAAATTGAATTTTCTTTTAGAAAGTTTCTGATTACACAGATAATCTTACAGTGTAGAATGGGTGAAAGGATTCTATTAAAAATATTACTGTCGCTCATCATTCATTGACCATATACTATATGTTATGCTTTATATATCCTTCTAATTCTCACAATAACTCTACAAGGAAGGTACTGTTTTTTAATCCTGTTATACAGATGAAGGAACTAAGAGTTATGGATACTGAATAATTCTCTCAGTGTTGTACAAGTAATAGGCAGAACACAAGCTCAGTCCATCCATCTCCAAAATATTTAGTTTTGTTTCTTAATTGAAATGTTTACAAGAGAAAAATAGGTATATGTGTGCTGCCTTCATTATTGAGTTCTTTTGTTAAGGTGAGTTGTTATGGTTGAGTTGGAAGATAGAAAAGGCAGACTAGTAGCCCAACACTCAGTCTGGACTCTGCCCAAACTTGGACAAGTTACGTCATCATTCTGAGAGTTTCTGAAGGGGAATGTTATGAAGATTGAATGAGACACACCTCGGATAGTTCTTTGAAGAACTAAGATGTGTTAGACAGAGAGGAAATATGTTTACTAAAGATACTCTTGGTCCAAGTCATTGTCCCTCCACTGAGAAATTAAATTGGCTTTGAATTTTATAGATGACAAAATTCTTTTACTTAAAAAAATTGAAGTGAGATTTGCATAACATAAAATTAATCATTTTATAGCAAACAATTCAGTGGCATTTAATATTGTCATAATTTTGCCCAACTACCATCTATATCAAGCTCCAAAACATTTCCATCACTCGAAAGTAAAACTCCTTAACCATTAACCAGTTTTTCCCCATTTCTTCCTCCTACAATCTCCTGTAAGCTACCAATCTGTTTTTGTGTCTTTGTGGATTTATTTTGGATATTTCATATAAATGAGGTCAAAACTATATGTGATATTGTGTGTGTGGCTTTTTTCCCCTAACATAATGTTTGGAAGGCTCATCTACCATCTAGCATGTATCAATACTTCATTCCTTTTTAATGGCTGAATAATATTTCATCACATTTATATACCATAACTTGTTTGTCCATTTATTCCTTGACGAGATTTAGGCTACTTCTACTTTTTGGTTTTTGTGAATAGCGCTGCTATCATCATGCTTGAACAGGTACTTGTTTGAATATATACCTAAAAATGAAATTGTAGTGTCACATGGTAATTCTACATTTAACTTTCTGAGGAACCACCAAATTGTTTTCTGGAGTGGCTGAATATTCAGGGGCTAAATATTTCTATTTCTCATCACCAATGTGGAGAGTTCTAATTTCTTTACCTCTTCATCAACACTTGTTATTTTTATTTTAAAAATATATTATTATACTTATATTAGTGGATATCAAATGGTGCCTCATTGTGATTTTCATTTGCATTTCCCTAATGACTAATGAAATCAGGCATCTTTTTATGTGTTTGTTGCCCATTTGCATATTTTCTTTGGAGAAATGTCTAGTGAAATTCTTTGCTCATTTTTAAACTGAGTTTGCCTTTTTTGTTATTGTATTTTGAGAGTACTTTATACATTCCAAAAAATTATCAGATAGATGATTTGCAGTATTTTCTCCCATTCTGTAAATTGTCATTTCATTTTTTGACAATTTCTTAGAACAAAATATTTTTAAATTTTTGATGAGATACAATTTATTTTTATTTTGTTTTTGTTTTTGCTTTTGATGTCATATCCATTACCAAACCCAAGGTCATGGAGATTTAGTTCTATGCTTTTTTGCAAGTGTTTTATGGTTTTAGGTCTCCTATGTTCATTGATCCTTTTGAGTTTTTTTTGGGTCTATGTTGTAAAGTAGGGCTCCAACTTCGTTCTTCTGCATATGGATATGCAGTTATTTTGGTATTATTTGTTGAAGATGTGTCTGGAATTGGTTCCTTCCTGTGGATTCCTGGTCTTGCTGACTTCAAGAATGAAGCTATGGACCCTCACAGTGAGTGTTACAGTTCTTAAAGATGGTGTGTCCGGAGTTTGTTCCTTCTGATGTTCAGAAGTGTCCAGAGTTTCTTCCTTCTGGTGGGCTCGTAGTCTTGCTGACTTCAGGTGTGAAGCCACAGACCTTGGCAGTGAGTATTACAGCTCTTAAAGGTGGTGTCTGGAGTTGTTCGTTCCTCCTGGTGGGTTGGTAGGTTCTCCTGCCCTCACTGGCTTCAGGAGTGAAGCTGAAGACCTTCTTGGCAAGTGTTACAGCTCATAAAGGTAGTGCAGACCCAAAGCATGAGCAGCAGCAAGCTTTATTACAAAGAGCAAAAGAACAAGGCTTCCACAGCGTGGAAGGAGACCGAGTGGGTTGCCAACGGGGATTCTGGTGGCCTGCTTTTATTACCTTATTTGGCCCCACCCACATCCTGCTGATTGGTCCATTTTACAGAGAGCTGATTGGTCCATTTTACAGAGTGCTGATTGGTCTGTTTTACAGAGTGCTGATTGGTCCGTTTTTACAGAGTGCTGATTGGTGTGTTTACAAACCTTTAGCAAGACACAGAGAGCTGATTGGTGCATTTACAATCCTTTAGCTAGACAGAAAAGTTCTCCAAGTCACCACCGGACCCAGAAGCCTAGCTGGCTTCACCTCTCAGAGACTGTACTTCTTTACTGGTGTTGGTGCTCTTGTCAAACATCAGTTAGCCTTAGGTATATGGGTTGCAGTAATTTTATTTTTGACATTACTTGCTTTTTCCAATCCTGGCAGAAACACAGGGAACCAATTCTTTTCTCACTTTAACAAGTGTGGAAGTTATGCCTGAGATGTTAAATGTTTTAATATTGAAAATATTTTCATTTTCTAATAGACTGTCTATGTGCCAGACCATGCTTGAAGAGATGTATATCGAGTTGTATCACAGTCCCACAGAATCATTACTCCAGTGTACCATGAGAAGTATTATGAGGTCAAGTTATACACCCTAACTTTTACAACCCATTAACATCATGGTTATGTTTGGAACACAGAACCTTTGACCCCAAAGCTCATGCTTATTCCACCAAGCCACACTGTCTTTAGTTACACAACTCATCATCTGTCGGTATCTTGTTTCTCATTGCTATTATCCTCATTGTAGTTGGAGGAGTCTTCCTAAAATACAGTCAGATCAAAACACTTTGCTGCTCAAAATACTACTCTTACGATCTTGGTAAGAAGTTATTTCCATTGTGCCCATTTGACACATATTTCTTGCTCAGTTTCTGACGTATTTTGGAGAAAATGCTCCCACACTATTGTAATTTGCATCCCTGATATTCTTATGTTTGACTGCCTTTTCAGTCCTGAAAGGTTTACAGTGGGCTTTGTTACATGCAGCTTTTTCTCAGTTCTGTTGCTGGATTTTAAAATCACCTTTTAGCCTACTTTACTTGCTTTTCTCTTATGACCAAAACAAAAATGCATAAGAAATTGTGCACAAAGTGATTTATTGGCCTCCCCTCCTGAACCAGTAGAGCATTCCTTTTGCAAACAAGGTATACTCTTGTCAACTCAATCATATTTCTCTGTGTATGTTTAATGTGAATGGGATGGTTTCTCCTCTAGTTATTAAACACCTGCGTTTCTTCCTCTTCTGCTGCTGGAGGCAGGGCAATCATGAAGGCTGGGGTAAAAATGCCTTTTATTTCCAGCTGTTACTCATGGAGATGAAGAGGGAATAATCCACTTGATACCTATAGACCAGCACTTTCCACTAGTACTTTTCTGCAGAAGTGGAAATATACCTATCCTATTTAATGCGGTAGACACTGACTACATATGGCTATATAACACTTGAAATGCTCATGAAGAATAGACCAAAGTTTTTATTTTATCTAATTTTAAGTAATTTAATTTAAATTAGCCACCTGTGGCTAATGACTACCCTGTTGCATAGGAGAGCTTATAGCTTTTTGCAATTATGACCGCAGAACTAGCAAACGTAGATCAAAGTAATCAGGATAACTGACGAGTCAGAAGCTCTCGGTAAGAAGTAACCTAGGAAGAACTCCTGAAGCAGAAGGCAAATAACTTTTTGTACAATTCTTCCATGGGCTTATATTCATTTATTTATGTATTTAATAATATTTTGAGCATGTATCAGGTACTAAGTACTGTTCTCAATGCTGGTGATACAGCAGAAAGCAAGATAAATTCCCTTCCTCATGGTGTTTATATTTGAGTGTGGAGTTCATCAATCTCAGCGTTATTTTTGGCCAGATAATGTTTTGTTGTGAAAGTCTGTTCTGTGCGTTATAGGATAACTTGAAGCATCCCTGCCCTCTACCTCAGCAGTTTACTGGTCGGGGAATGCAGATTGAACTAAGGCAAGAGTAACGGAGATAAAGAGGAAAGAGGCAGATTATGGTGATATTTAGGAAGTGATGGCACACATATACATATGTAACAAACCTGCACGTTGTGCACATGTACCCTAGAACTTAAAGTATAATAATAATAGCAATAAAGGAAGTGACATTGACAAACTTGGTGGCTGATTGGGTCTGGGAGATAAGAAAGAAACAGGAATCAAATATGGGTCCAAAGTGACTTATTTAAATGTGTGTGTGTGTGTGTGTGTGCACACTCATGGATTTTACTCTTCAGAGGCCATGGTTATAATAGAACAACTGTACTTTTTTTATAGAGGCTGAGGATTGAATCCATGTTTGGGTGTTCTTTGTCAGGGGAACTGCTTTTAATTTTCATTTTGGGTAGGGTCTAATGCATCATGTATAGGTGCATATATGTGGCTCAACCCTTTGCTTTATCTCTGATAAAACCAAAGAGAAAATACCTGTCTGTAAGCCTCAGCATATCCTGGAGGTCAATATTCTTGGGAAACCTATCAAAGGAGAGAGACTGGGGCAAAAATCGCTGCCTTGTGCTCACAGATAACCCTCAGAATAACTTCCCTGATGGCATTGGTTTGGATTGCCCTCCGAATGTGAATTTCACGCTTGATGAAAGTCATCTCAAAGCCAATAGAAGGAATTTGAGCAGAGGAAATCAGATTTATGTAATCTGCTTTAGCCTCTTTCTATTCTAGTATCTCAAGCATCTTTCTGCTCCTTCTCTACCTCAGTGGTTTTAAGCTTCACTTTGTTATTCTGTTTTCCCAGACCTTTTCCCAGCTGTTATGTGACAGGCCACAGGGCAAGTATAGACATGTATTGGTTGCTTATTTTTAATTGAAAAATTTTGTTTTTTGTCCTTAACTTTGAATGGTTTAATGTGGGTATTTCCTGAGTTTCTCAAAATCATACCAGACAAAACAAAACAAAACAAAAAACAAAAGACAATCTCAAAGCGAAATCAAATGAGTCTCTCAGGCCCCACTTCTCTCTGCAAAAAGGTGATTTATGACCTATATTAAGGTTCCCCTGTGTCCAAATTTGTTTTTGTAGTTGGGCCATGTGTAAATCTATTGTCCTGGGGAGTCAGTTATCTACTTGCATGGGTTGATTTATAAAGGAGACTGCGGCACATTGGATAAAGGAGTAGGAAGAATATTTTTGTGCGTACCTGGGACTTGAAACGAGACAGAATATCATGCCATCAGTACTCCATCTGGTTCCTTGGACTCAGTTTGAATGCCAGTGGGGTAAGAGAGTGACTCAGTGCTGAAGGAATTTGTTTTTTCAAAGCCTTAGGTGACAGAGTGTAGCAGAGAGACAAAGATAGGGCTACTGTCTCCACTGTTGCACAGACGTTACAATTACTCCAGCAATACTAGGATTGGCAGCTTTCGGCACATTCCGGACTTGCTTACCTAGCATGGACATTGATTGTAGGAACAATGATAAAGATGAGGAATGTGAATAGGCTTGTTCTGGAAAACACCAAAGTCAACCCTTAGAATCCAGGGAGAAAGTAAATAAGAGACACTCTGATGGGGAGAGTCTAATGCCATCCAAAACAAGTGGACAGAAATCATATAGAATTTGGGTCATCTTACCTTATTTGTACTAAAAGGCATGGGATGTTGAATTAGCCATAAAGGCCCTAGATAGGAAAATATTTGTCTACATGTGCAGTAGAACTTTAATAAAAAACTTGGTATGAGTTCCCTGACAGAATTTCAACCAATGTCCCTCATCTACTTATCACATACTCTGACTCTTAAATGTCATCTACAGTCTCTGCTTTCTGAGTGACAAAGCAGAGAATGTAAAACTAGAAACAAATTGTCTGGCTAAACTCTGGGCTGCTTAGTATGTAAAACCAGTGAATGCCATTAGCTTTGCTGAGCTGATAATCATCAAGGCTGTGGTCTAGTATTTGTCAAAGAGAATCAGGGACCAGGCTTTCTAAGCTGTTGATTTACATCTAAATGTTTCTGTTTGATTGTGTGTTGATTTGGGAATTGGAATGGTGTGCCATGTATTCATCTTCTCACTTTCTTAAGCATCTTGAAATTTAGAACATCCACATTTTAAAAATTTCAAACGGATCCACAAGTAGAAGTATTTGTCCTCCCCTATTTGTGTGAAAAATACAACAGGCTGTACTGAAAACTTTCAGCAAGTGCTATTTATTCTTATTACTTGGCACAGAGCCATCTCAACTCCGTCTCCAAATAGTACAGCCCTATGTGTTTAATTTCTGGTTGTCTAGTTGGGGAAATGTGGGATAGTATTGAACAACAGCAAAAGTCAAATTTTCTCATCATCTTTGTCTACTGAATAAACAGTAAATGAGTTTATATAATGAAAGAGTAAAGAAATGACCTAATCCTCAAAAATTGGATATTTATTAAGGGGACTATGGGATTCTGTAGAAGAATATGTTACCATTTAAAATGAAAACATGTTTAAGAAGCATATCTAATGATATGTCAAAATACTCCTTGTCTAGTGCTAAGTGAAAACAGTAGATCACAAAAATGAATATATACCCCATGTGGATGTTAGGAGGTGAAAGTAACCTTATGCAATAGTTTATGCAAGTGTTTAGTGAGCATCTACAGGGGGAGGACCAACAAGGACCTTTATCTTATAAGCTCACATCATAGTAGCAAAGATAGATAATGAAGTAGCAACTAATCATTCTCCTAAGACTGTGACATTTGAGTCACTTGAATGACAAAATGGAGCCATATATGAAAAATGAAAGAGAATGGCATTCTCATCAGAGAGAAGTGTAAGTTCAAATGACCTGGTGTGAGAATGAGCATGGAATGTTTGAGGAACAGAAGGAAGGCCAATTTTGCTAGAGTGAAGTGATTGAGGAAGGGAGTGGTAGATGATAAGCTTTGAATGGAGCAAAGACACCGGTCACATAAGATTACATGGGCTCCAGTAGAGTCAGGATTTTATTAAGGGAACATGGGAAGCCAGCTTTTAAGCAAGGGAGTGACATAATTGGTTTTATGCTTTTGAAATATTCCTCTGGCTACTATGTGTAGAATGAACTGTAGGGGACAATCAGACCTGTCAGAGAATATTACAGGCACAGAGGAGAGAGATAATGACTTCTTAGTCTAGGTTACGGGTCTCAGTCAGGTCATTCCTCCCATCCCCCAGCCCTTTCAGAAAATACATTAGACAATGTCTCTAGATACTGTTGGTTGTCATAACTGGGAAGGGGTTGCTACTGCTATCTAGAAGAGAGAGACCAGGGATACTACTAAGTATCTTACAATGCACAGGACAACCTCTCACAACAACAAAAATATTTAGCACAAAATGTAAATGAAACTAAAATGGGAAAACCCTGAATTAAGATGGAAAAACCTTGAACTAACCCAGTGGAGATGAGACAAGTAGGTAGATTCTTAGTTAATTCTACAGATTAAATGAACAGGATTCACTGAGAGATTGGATGAGGAGGTAAGAGAAAAAAAGTAATAAATAACCATTCCCTGGGAATTATGCTTTATCCACCACTGTCCAACCTTTTGTCTTCCCTAGGCCACATTGGAAAAAGAAGAATTGTCTTGGACCACACATAAAATACATGAACACTAATGACAGCTGATGAGCTGAAAAAAAAGATCCGTGCATAATTTTCATGATATCCACCACCACAGATAAGCAAAGAAAGTCCTCACATTAAAAGGGTTGGACATCCATGCTTTATACTGAAGTATGAAAGGCTAGATAAAGTTTAAATAGTACATGGCAGAGTTGGGACCGGCAACTCAGATACTCTGACTCTGAAGTCCAGGACTCTCTACCACATCAAGCTTCTCTGTAAGTGGTAGGAAAACACATGTTAAACTCAGACCTATCATTTTAAATATTTAATGCCCTAAAACCTGCTCTTGTACTTCACTATATTGGTCTAAGAAGCTTCTAAGTGGCCGGTGAAACATAATTGGGTTAATTTCCAGTGTATATGGTCAGCCAGGATTAGTTTTTACAATTGTCAATTATCCCAGGAAATTTAAACTGCATTGACTAGGATATCCCTGCACAGTCATGTGGGGTGGGCAGGCTCATTCATGTTCTTCTGCATCATAGAAAATCAGTAAGTACACAATCCACTGATGGCTTCCCAGCTGAATTAGAACAAAATCTAAAGGCCTTGATCCTTAAGCAGTTTGCACTGGCTATTGCTCACCTCTGCAACCTCAGCTATGGCCACTCTGTCTTCGATCATTTTCTGCTGTTACACTAGAATATAACAGACTGAGTAACTTTAAAAGAGTAGAAGTTTATTTGGCTCATCGTTCTAGAGGCTGAGAAATTCAAGAGCGTGGCTTTGGTGTCTGGTGAGGATGATTCCATGGCAAAAGAGCATCACAAGGTGAGTGAGCCTACCAGACAAGAGACAAGATGGGAGCCAAAGTTATCCTTTTATCAAAAGCCCACTTCTGTGCCACTCCCACAATAAAGTCATTAATCCATTCATGAGAGTGAGAGGAAATCCCTCATTGCCTATAGATCCCACCTCTTAATATAGTCACAATGGCAATTAAATTTCCCCATAAGTTTTGAAGGGGACATTTAAACCATAGCATTCCATCTCTGGCTCCCACAAACTTATGTCCTCACATACAAATACATCTATTGTATTCCAATAGCTCCCAAATCTTAACTCATTCAAGCATCAACTCACAAGTCCAAAGTCCAGAGTCTCATCTGAAACAGATACAGGTGAGACTCAAGGCATGATTCATCCTGAGGCAAATTTATTCCTGCTGTGAACCTATGAAACAAGTAATCTACTCCAGAAATACAATAGTAGATCAGGCATAGGATAGGCATTCACACTCTCCAAAAGGGAGAAATAGGCAAGAAGAAAGAGGTAACTGATCCCAAGTAAGTTTAAAACCCAGAAGGGGGAAAAACTCAAGAAATCTAAAGCTAGAGAATAATGTCCTTTGACTCCATGTCCTGTTTCCTGGGGTAGAGATTGGTTCCCCAAGGCCACAGGCCTATAGCCTTGTTGGGCTCATCCCACCCAGCAGCTCTCTCAGGTTGGAGTCTTCTGCTTGCAGATTTCCTAGGCTGGAGCTGCACACTGGTGGACCTAGAGTACTGGGGTCTCTGAAGGGCCTCAGTCTCATGGTTCCACTAGACATTGTCTTCATAGGGACTCTATGCTGACTCTACTCCCGCAAGTTTCTTCCTGGACCTCTAAGGAATCCACAATATCCTGTGAAATCTAGGTGGAGGTAGACATACCTCCACTACTCTTGCATTCTGTAAGACTGAAGAATTAGCACCACATGGATGTTGCCAAGACTTATGGCTTCTACCTTCTGGAGTAGCAGCATGTACCACGCCTGGACTCACTTGAGCCATGACTGAGGCAAAAGAAGCACTGTGCTGGAATGCAAGGAACAGAGTCCCAAGGAAGCCCTGGGCAGTGAGCTTACGAAGAGCACCTTGGGCCCATCACCTGAAACTATTCTGCCCTCCTAGAGCTCTGGACCTGTTATGTGAGGGGCAGCCTCAGAGATCTTTGAAATGACTTTTTTAAGGTCTTTCTCCCATTGTCTTGAATAGTAACTGATTCTTTCTATTCATACTAATCTCTTTGTCCCTTGCCACATTCTTAGTTTGCTCTCCTAAATACACCTTTCACTCTTTACATGGCGAGATTAAAAATTTCCAAATATTTCTGTTCTGCTTCTCTTTTATTGATAAATTTAATTAAGTCATTTCTTTTTTCTTGCATCTCACTGTATGCAGCTAAAACCAGCCACACAGCAGAATGAATGTATTGCTGCTTAGGTATTTCTTCTGTCAGACGTCCTAGTTTATCATTCCCAAGTTCTGCATTCTATCAAGCCCTAGGGCATTGGCACAATTCAACCAAAGTCTTTCCAACTATATAACCAGGATGGCTTTTATTCCAGTTTCCAATACCTTGTTCCTCACTTCCATTTGAGACATCATCAGAACAGCCTTTACTGTGGATATTTCTACTAGCATTCTGATCACGACTACTTAAGTAATCTCTAAAAAGATTTCCCTACAGCTTGTCTCTTCTATTGAGCTCTCACCAGAATCACCCTTAATGCTTCATTTGCAAAAAATACAGGCTTTTTCTAGCCTGCTCTCTAAAATTCTTCCAGATTCTGCCCATTACCCAGTTCCAAAGCCATTTCTACATTTTCAGGTGTTTTTTTTAAAAATAGTATTAGCTCCATTTCTCACTACCAATTTTCTGGCTTAGCTTGTTTTCTGCTACTGTAACACAGTATTACAGACTGAGTAATTTATAAAAAAAATAAGTTTATTTGGCTCATGATTCTGAAAGTTGGAAAGTCCAGGAGCATGGCACCAGCATCTGGGGAGGGTCATACCATCAAGGGAGGTATCATAGGGCAAGCAAGTGCATGAGAAAAAGAGACAAGATGGGAACTGAACTTATCTTTTTTATCAAGAGCCCACTCCTATGGTAACTAACCCACCCCCTTGATAATGCCATTAATCCATTGATAAGGGTGGATTCCTCATACTTAATCACCTCTTACATTTCCAACCTCTTAATACTGTCATAATGACAATTAAATTTCAACATGAGTTTTGGAGAACACATTCAAACCATATTACTTTTTCCATTGGCCATTTTTCTGTCCCCTATATATGCTACACTTATTCCCACTTTAGGTCTTTCGTATTCTCTGTTCCCTCTTCCTGGAACACTTTGGCCTAATTTATAATAAGGTTAGCTGTTGCACAATGGGAGAATGTAGCTGAGTATGATTGGTAGCAGAGGAGCTCTAGGTTCTAGGAAATGGGATTGCAAATAATATTACCCAGACACTTTGGGAGAAAATGTTTCAGGATAAAGAAGTTGGAATAAACTTCCAGCTTAAATGAGGTTGCTGGTTTGAATTAAGCGGGGGGAGGGGGGTGAGTATCTTGATCTTCTACTCAGGATTCAGTTGTTAGCATCAAGGGCTAGCCTCAATCAAATTCAATAGACATTCCTACTTTATTTTCTGGGCTCCTTTTCTACCTTCCAGTGACCTCGCTTTTTGGAGACTCAGGGTCATATACTCTTTAATTACTCTCCAGAACCCCTATTGTGTTACATTCTCTGAGGAGGGACCCAAACTCTCCTCAAATGGTTTCTCCTTATATTTTCTGATACATCCAAAATCTTGTGCCCTCTTGAATCTGATATCAGCTATTTCTTTTTAAAAAAATTGAAGAAGAGAAGATACATCTTGGATGACTGGTTCACAAATTTGTCTGCATCTTCAAGTCACCTATGGCATTTTAAGTAACACAGATTCCTGCTATCATCCCCAGAGATGATGATTTAATTGGTATGGAGTACAGCCTGGGTGCCTTCCAGGTGATTCGAAGAAACAGCCAAGATTGAGAATAACTGTCTTAGATTATACTCCTGCAGCTAAGATATAGCTCCAGTGGAAATAACATAGACTTTGAAATTACATAAATCTGGCTTCAGATTAGGATATTAAAAAAATGGAAAGGTTACTCCATTTCCTAGTTTGTGAATTGGATTAGGTTACCCAGTCTCAGTCTTGTATAGTTCATTTATCAGTAAAATTAAGGTAATAATAACTACCCCAGCAATAGGTTGTGATTATTGAAATAGCTTAGCACAGTATCTGTCACAGAGTAAGAACTCAAAGAATTTGACCTCTTTCCCTTCATAGCCCTTGACTTGTGGCCACAGAGAGGCTGTGCATGCTCCATTTATAGAGTCCTTCTCCCTTTGTTACACCCCATAGAAGGACAAAGACTTAGTTGGCAATATGCCTCAAAACTCTGTACACTAGGTACGCCTTCCTTAGTTTGAGTATGCATTGTTACATAGTCTAACTCAAGAACATTGGAAATAGATAAAATGGTGATAAGCCATTCTTTGCTGTTGCTTGTCTGTTAATCAGTGTCTTGAAAACAACTCTAGACACCAATATCCTGTTTGTCTCTCTGATGCTAGCACTTGTATAACAGCCAATTACAAGGCATTTGTCATTTTTTATACCATAACTTGGTAATTTGATTTAGACAGGGGAATTTTCTGCTGATAAATCTAGGTAGATTACCAAGTCAGAATACATTTATTAAAACACCAATTAGACCTTGCTTCCTCATCCATCACAAGACCTTTAATTCTTGTGTGGTTTTGTCAGGGTGTTGCAGGAACCATGTTTGCCTGAGTGAATGACTTAAATCAAATTGTCATTTTACAAGGATTACCTTATCTTTAAACTTCAAGGCAAGTCATTCTTTATGTACTCTGTGAATAATAAGCAATATTGTTTTCAAGCCCTACTACTACATCGTTGGGATATAGCAGGGGAAGTAAGTCCAGGAAGCTAAAGCCAAAAGGTGGTGTCCTCCAGAGGGAGGTACACTCCCAGGGTGCCTGTGAAGATGAAGAAACACACCAGTGACAGAGCACAGTGGAAAATTGAGTTGTCAACAGTCAAGGTTGGGAAGAAAATATTTGAGAGGGGCAGATGCTGTTCCTTAATAATTGTTTTGGGTGTTCTTAAGCTGAACACAATGTATTTATCTTCTTTTCTCCAACTTTTGTTTTTTAACATCAGTTGGCAAGAATAATATTTCTTACTTTCCTAAAATGTCTTTTCAAGATTGTGTGTTCTGCTGCTTCCTACCTGCTGATACCTTGCATGAACATATCTGTAGCAGGTGGCAGTAAAAAGAGCTACTCCCAAAGGAGAAAACAATAAAGAAGACAGGGGTTGGGCAGGCAAGAAGGTGAAATCTAAGGAAACGGTGATGAGAAAAGTGGAACAGATTGATTTTGAAGAAAAATCCCTCAGTAAATCTTTATCAAGCACTGATTTGGGACAAAGCATTATGAATGTATTTGTCAGTATTTTTCAGTTGGAAGTGTCAAAAATCCACCTTAGACAAGCTTAAGCAAAAGATTGGGAGGATACTGGCATGCCTTGCAGAATAAACAAGGCAGCTGAGTTCCCTATGGCTGCTTTTCCCTCTGTAAGTTGCATTAATTTTCTCTAGCTACAGGAAGTACTTCCCTGAGCAGCAGAGAACATGACCTCAGGTAGTTCAGGTAGTGAACTAACACCATTTTATTTGAGCGACCCAAGATATAGAATTTTCTCTGAGAGCTCAATTTAAGGTATCTTGGGAAGAACTCTGGACCAGGTTGGATCACATACCTCTCTTTAACCAATCATGCAGCATAGGGAAATGGTAGGCTATGATTGGCAAGGTCTGAGTCATACACCTATCCTTGGCTGGGGATGCAGTACCATGATTGACATTACCATGAGGGCCAAATGTTTAGAGTCAGAAAGAAGCTATTCCTTAAGAAAAGAAGCTATTACTAGAAAAGTTGGTATTATGAGTGAGGAGTGATATTGGGCAAACTCTCCCTGAGCAACAACTGAACTAAAATAAGGAATACAAAGGTGAACAAGGCAGACAGGAATATACAGTGCCGCCAAGGAAGTTACATCCTGTCAGGGAAGTCAGACATGTTCATAAATACCTTTAAATCTAAAGACCAAAGCAAAAGGTGAAAAAAAATTGAAAAGAAGGAAAGGAGGAGAAATAGAAAGGGAAAAGAAGAAAATGGGCTGAGCAGAGAGCAGATAGGCCTAGCTTTTTATAGGATAACAAATGTATGAGGCTACAAGTTGACTGGAATTATAGTCATGGGAAAAGAACAGGTGGTACAATATGAATGTGCAAGCTAGCTGAATCTATATGATATCTTCAGGGGCATCGTACCTGTGTAAGCCCTTGTGTGGTCATTGTTTTTTCTTAACAAAGCAAGTCAACAACAGAGACCTCATTTTCCCTTCCAACTTGGCAAGCATACTTATCTTGCACTAACCAATGAGTTTCATTTTATATTACACAGACAAAATCCATTATTTTTTAAAAATAAAAATATGAGAAATTTGAAATGGGAATTGCTGTCAAATCAAGATGGCAGAGAACAGGAGGATAGAATGATAAGGAAAGGAGTGGGGTAAGGTTCAGGTGGTGTGAGGGAAGATGAGTTCTCTGTGCTTGTGAGTTTGCCTGTGGCAGATGCATTTTAGTAGGAGCCAAAAGGGTTGGCTTCCGGGCCAGGCTCTGACACCAACTTGCTATGTGGCCTCAGGCAAGTCAATTCACCTCTCTGGACCTCAAGTTCCTCATTGCTAAAATGAGAGAGATTGAATTAAATTAGGGATGGCAAATTGTTTTGCCACATGTGCCAATTCTGATCAATTAGCAGTGAGAAGGGTTGTGTCTGGATTCAGTGGGAAAGACTTCAAGCAATAAGACAGGTAACATGTTAAGCCATCATCTGTCGTTAGTGCTTTAGTGGGAATTAGTTTGCCAGGATTTTTCCATGTGACAGATGATGCATTTTTGATCCCCCTGGGAAAGAGTGTGAGGATACTGATCCAGCCTCCCATCTCTCCAACCAAACAGAAGGTCTCTCAATTTTCACTGGCAACATCCCTGGAATGAGTTTTCTGCACATTGCTTTCCTAGTCTTTCATTTTATAGTGCTGTGCAGCTATTTTTTAAGGCATAAGCCTCCTTGAGAATCTAATAATAGCCACAGACCCTTATCCTAAATAACATAAATATTCCATATTTTGCATACAGTTTCAGGGATTCCATAGTCCTCCTGAAGACCAAACGTATAGCCCCAAGAAAGCTCTCCATGATCATGAATTCCAGATTAAGGACCCTTGAGATTAAATGCAATGGTACTTTCTCAGGATGCTAAAATACCACTAATTATGAATTGAGAAATTAGAAAAAAACTCATTGCATATTTAAATGAAGTTGCCTCTGTCAAAACTAACTAGCAGGTAATAGCCTACCTGCATATCCATTTAACATGTTTAGTCCATTCAGTAAAAGAAAATCAGGAATTGTTCTTCTTTTTTAAATAACTGATCGTATGTTTTACTTCAGTATGATAATAATTGTGTTACATAGTAACTTGAGCAAGATGAAGAGACTTGCTTTAGCTTCTTCACAAATACAATGAGGTACTTGAATGACCGACTTAAAGTCTATGTCAGCTGTAGTGCTTTTCATATTCTAGTGTGTAGTTAAATAATTTACCAGTGCACAGCTTACTAATGGAATCAAGTTTGGCTCTTTAACTCAGTTGATTTTAACAGATGAGTGGCCCTTAAGTCTTAGAGTGCACACAAATTGCCTGGAATGTGTTTAAATGCAGATTGCCAGGTCCACATCACAAAATTTTTGGTCCCTGAGTCTGTGAGAGGAGCCAAGAAATCTGCATTATTAAAGCCCTCTTCTAGTGATTCTGATGCAGGTGGTTCCAGCAGCATAGTTTAAGAAACATTACACTAGAGGGTTGGCAGTGGGAGACAAAGCTCGTATTTTACTTGTTTTTATTCCGACACAATACTATGTACAAAATAGATAATACATGCACTCAATAACTTGAATTATTTGTACGTTAGTGATTCATGGAAAAATTGCCTGGGCTTACAAACATTTTGAAGAGTATTGCATACCATAATATAAAAAGTAATGGAAAATGTTAACACCAAACCATGTGTCTTAGGAATCACAACTAAATTTCCTCTATGACATTTTTTCAATATGTAAATCATTTTAAGCACTCATTTTCTAATGCAATGAAAAGAGCTATGTGTACTCTATAATTCAATAAAAATGAAATAGATGATGTGGTACTTTCTTCTTTTTCCACTATTCTAATGCACCTTGCAAACAGATGCTGTTTGGCAATATATACATTTAGGTCTTCATGCCATTTCACTGGGGTTTGACTTACTCTGATTTTCATTTTATAATGAAACCAATATTATCTTTTTTCCTTTTTAATCTGAGTAGGATACTTTTCAAATTAATCACTAGAAGGAAAGTAAATGGGATTACTAGTGTTTAGCTCCTTTTATGTGGTAGGAACATTAATAAGTGCTTACAAACCTTGTGCCAAGTAAGCCTCACTACAACCCTTTAAGAAACAATTATTATACCCATTTTATAGATGAAGAAACAGATTCAGAGAAGTAAATTTCTCAAAGTCATCTAGCTAGTAGCCAGTAGAAGGGAAATTGTCTTTTGTAACATTTTTAGTAAACTTTTTCAAGCACACATATGTTATCAGGACTTGTTGAAATGATATCTTTGAAAAACACTTTATATATCAATGACCATAACATAGCAGTGGTACACCTGGGCAAGACTGAATGACTTATATTGGATCAGATTCATATTCCAGTGGCAAAGACAAAAACATAACACTAAATGTGTGTGTGTGTGTGTGTATATATCAGGGAAAAACAGAGTACTGATAAAACTATTCAGTTTACCCAAACAAATTGCTTTCCTCTGCTAATGTAATTTTATTATTTCTTCTGTGAATGCCAAATTTTCTTGAATTGCCCTAGACTTTCTTTTTTATTTACAGCTTTTTATGTTTGTTTTATGTACCAGCTACCTATATATGTCTATATGTATGCATACACACACACAACATATTTTAAATCTTTTAATAAACATATTTTTAATTTTTAATACACATATATTTAATCTTCACAGTTGACATAGGAGGTAGACATCATTGCCAAAATTATTTCCATTTTACTCATGGGATAATAGATTAGTGGAGAGATTAAATGATTTATTCAAGACCAAACAATATAAAGTGGCAGAACCACGTGTGTACCTAAGTCTGTGGGACTTTGAAAACCTGCTCTTCTATCTTCTTACCTGTCACAGTAGGCATCACAAACCGAAATACCTACAGAAGCCAGAATAGTAAGTGTAGGAGGTCAGGAGTAAGAAAAATGTAAATGAATTACTTGGCTTTTTTGGCCACCTTCTGTTTTCTAGCTTTGGATAGGGACCTGAGAACAGAGAACTCTTTCTCTGTTATTAGAAAATAACAGGTCAAGTGCAGCGATAAACTGCAACTGATGGTCATCCCTGGTGGCATGAGGCAATATGGACTGGCACAGACTGTACTGAATGGGACTTAGAGGCCCAGCCGTTACTCCCCTTAAGACAATTGCTACATGAATCCATGGTAGTGCAGAGACACCGGATTTTCTGATTTTTTCAAGAAAAACTGTAACTCTAGATTTTCATATAACATCTGATTTTTTTAAAATGACCAATTTTTTGAGATTTAGGCAAAATGCTTACCAAACAAAACATGTATGCAGGCAGGCCAAATGAAGTTTCTCAACCATTTGTTTTTGACCTCTGGCATTATCACCTATTTGAAGTTTAAACATAGAAAACCAGCATGTGATGTCACATTCACCTTCACTGGCTTCCCAAGTAGACTGTGATAAGGTCCTCCTACTTCAGCTTTATTATATCCCCTTGTTCCTTCTTACATGCCTGGTAGAGTTAATGTGTCTACGATAATGATGATGTTTGAAGTCCTTAAAGCCTTGTTTTTCTGCTCTAAATACTACATCATACTCTTTTGCTTGTGAAAAACAATGTGGTGGTATACATCTTTTGTTGTTGTTATAGTCACTGCCATCAGGGTTTTCTGATAATGCATTCTGTGAGGCAGCTGCCCCTGTGTATTATATTATCAGCCACTGATTATGCTGGCCCAGAAAGAACTCGAGAAGTGGTTCTTGCCACACACCAACTTCACCAGCAGACAGAGCCCTCAGCTCTACTAATCTGTGAAACTGTTTCCCACTTCCTAGCACACTGAAAGCTAATTGCTTTCTTCAATGAAACTAAAGGATCCACTGAGCCAGTCTGAGCTGGGAGATTACTCACCTGTTACAGTCAGCTTGTCTCTAGGGTTGTTAAATCTTTATTGTTCGGACATAATTAACCTTGAAGACTGAGCTGACCGTGTGGGAAGATTTACCTTTCTGGGTGGTTTTTGTCTCTCATTTTAGAATTGGAAGTCTACTCCCAAGCTAGGAAATGATTTACCTTTACTAGATATTAGAGGTAGTCACGTGCTTTTTAGTTGATGAATTAATAGCTAAATTAATTGTATTTCACAGAGGGACATAATAATATTCATAGACATCATAATATTCAGTATGAGGATCCTGAATGAGGGAGGGGTGTGTAACTCATGGGATACAACTGCTCATATAGATTACGGCAATCCTTTTAAAAGGCCAGAGGGAGGGAAAATTAGGCTCCATTGGTTCTGTGCTTCATCTCATTTATTAATAGTTACCATGTTTTTCCATCAGTTTTCAGGTAATGTTATACATTATACATTTTTGGTATGATACAAAGGAGTTGATTGTAACTGGACAAACCTAATGATGTTTTAAAACAATCATCCAAAGCCTACTCCTTCATTCTTGTTGAAGTGATTAGAATATTGGCCTAATCAGTATCTAAAATATGTCATAATACAGCTGGATCATAGAGGTGGTTATTATCACTGAATAGGTCATGTGAAACACTTTTCTTTCCTGTAGCGCAAATACAATTGTGACACTGTGGGAGACAACATTGTGGGAGCCAAGGAATCACTGGTCTTAATATGAATGCTTATTTCCTAATGATGAAGGCTGTTAGATGGTGGAAATATCTCTCTGCAGAAGCAAGAGGAGCTGAGTTCTTTCTGTCCCTTCAAAGTGGAAGAGGAAGGCGCATGAGGAAGGGAGCTAGAAGATGTGCTGTGAAGTTTAGAAGGGGAAGTGGCCAGAGGCAAATGTCAAGAACCCGTGGGTCCATGGTTTTTATTGGTTTCTTAAAAAAGTTTTTGTGATCCTTTTTAGCTTCATAAAAAATTACAGTTCATTCAAGAAAAATATAAAACAAAGTGGATTATATTTTAAAAGCCCTGATAGCCCCCTTACCCGCTCCATTTTATTGAATAGCTATGACCTTAGCTAGGGCGTTTTACCTGTCTGTAAATTGCTTCATTTGTTTATCTATAAATCAAAGATAACAGTAGTATCACCCGTAGATTTGTTGTGAGATCTGAATAAGTTGCTGATAGCAATGTCTTTCCAGATCACTGTATCTGTTGGTTTAAATCTATCTACTATATTATTCAGCCACTTGGTTTTCCCTACACCAGTTTATCATGAATATCACTTCATGTTTTTAAATATAGAACTACCTCATTCTTTTTCAAAGTATGTTTTATATTTCAAAATGTGAACATACTGTAAGTATCAGTCTCCTTTTAAGGAATATTGTGTTTATTGCCATTATTAGATATTACAAACAAAATTCTGCAATAAATATTCTTGCACATATACTATTCTATATTACCGGAAATGGGATTGCTAGGACAAAGGACCTATATATTTAAAATGTTGATAAATATTGCCAATTGTCTTTCAAAGAAGTTGGGGTTATTTACACCGCCTTGTAATAGTATCAGACAATTTCCTTCTCTTTGTGCTTTTGCCATCCTTGGTAGAGGTGATTTTGTTTTGTGGTGGTGGTTGTTTTTGTGTGCTTTGTGTGTGTGTGTGCGCTTTCCTGTGTGTGTGTGTGTGTGTATGTGTGTGTGTGTGTAGTTTTATTCTGATGCCATTCTCCAAGAATTCTGTAACTGTTATGTTGTCTCCTCTGTCCTACATTCAGTACTTCAGCATTTCTCTGCTATTTTACTGGCCTAGAGTCCATTCTCCAGCATTTTCTGGTACACTGCTTTCAGCCATCCCACACCAAAGGGGTAAAGAACAGTTGTGCTTGTAGGAGCATATTTATAGAGCCGCTCTTTCTAGTTCCCTGTGGGAACCACTTTAGTTTTAACTAGGTGACCTGTTGTGCAGATGTGACTACAAGGTGGAAGCTGTCCAAGTCTCAATTCTTTTCTTCCTCTCTGTTGGGCTAAAGCTAAATCCTGTGGGACTTAATAAATGTTTACACTTTGGGGCAGGCAGACCTGGCATAGTGGCAGATGGGATTGACTTCTAACTACTTATTATGATTAATATGATCTGGTGCCCTAAATACCTCTTTCATGGCTCTGTAACAGTGTTAAGCATGCTCCACTTAGGATTTAATTTTTAGGGACCCTGTAAAACACTGTTCACTTTATTTTAACCCTCTGACCTCATTTTGTAAGGCTATTGTTCATGGCTTAGAGGATTGGCCTCACGGAAAGAGAAAGGATTCTGGGTTCAGGAGACCTAGATTCTAGTCCAGAATAGCAGGTAGTTGGAGACTACCTACTAGGCCTGTGTCCACATTCCAGTTTTGCCAACTACTTCCTAGAAAATATTGGGGAAAGTGTTTAACTTCTTTTTTTTTTTTTTGAGACGGAGTATCGCTCTTGTCACCCAGGCTGGAGTACAGTGGTGCTATCTCGGCTCACTGCAACCCCTGCCTCCCAGATTCAAGCTATTCTTCTGCCTCACCCTCCTGAGTAGCTGGGATTACAGGAGCATGCCGCCACGCCCAGCTAATTTTTGTATTTTTAGTAGAGACGGCGTTTCACCATGTTGGTCAGGCTGGTCTCGAACTCCTGACCTCGTGATCCTCCCACCTCGGCCTCCCAAAGTGCCAGGATTATAGGTGTGAGCTACCAGGCCCGGCCGAAGCAAAAGTGTTTTACTTTTTAAGGATTAAGTTTCTTTTTGTGTAAAATGACTATAATAATATGTACTACTGGTATTAATCAACATTCTTGGCTGTTGATGATAAAAATGGACTCTGGAAGTTTTAAGCAAAAAGAATGTTACTGAAAGGACATCAGGACTTCACAGAAAACCAGGAAACTGTAGATTCGGTTTTGGAAGACAGGCAGGAATTCAGGTCCTCAACAGGCTAGGCCACAGGTATGATCTGACTCAGGTGTCCCGGCTGCTGTCCTCCATGATGAATAAATCCTCATGTATCTTTTGCATTTGCATCATCTCCCTCAGGTGTGAATTTCTGGGAGTAATCAACTCACCAAGCCTGAGTTAAGTACCCAAGCTGCCAGAGAACAGGGAGAAGGAGTAAATGTCCCATTGGGCCTCTACAATGGGAAACATGTTGCTGCCTTCAGCAAGACCACGGAGCAGCAGTAATGGATGGGTTAATAGTGTGGATTCAGGATCCAAAAGCCTAGTTTCAAATCCCAGTCCCATGTCTTAATTTATTTGTTCTTCATAGATAAATGAGGATTAAGATACTTACCTCATTAGGGTCACTCTGAGGATTGAATGAGTCAATATTTGTCAAGTTCTCAAAATAGCATCTGACATATAATATACTCACTAGATATTATCTATTAATATTATTGATTTCCCCAGATAGGAAAGAGTTAATACTGGATAGCCAAACACAAACACAAAACCTAACAAACAAACCAATATCAACATGTACAGGTAGTAACTATTCAATATCCAGCCGTTGTTTTTCCTATTTTTTTATGAATTCCAGCTCTGAAACTAACTTACTTTCATTAGTATAGATCATTATTATTTTCTTTACCTATAAAATGAGAGGGTTGACCACACGACTTTTAATGTACCTGTCAATTCTGGGATGCTAGCAATAGGACTCAAGAGAAGGCAGACTTTGCTGGGAAAAGGTAGGGAATGGCGTAGATCTTTGCTGCTCATTACAATATCCGCATGTGGCTATTGGACACTTCAAATGTGGCTATTCTAAATTGAGATGTTTTAAGTTTAAACTGTCCAGTAGATTTCAAAGACTTAGAAATGTACTTTACATTACAAAAGAGATGTAAAGTAATAATTTTTAAAATATTGATTACGTGTGAAATGATTTTATGTATATTAAATACAATATATTAGTAAAATTAATTTTATGCACTTATTTTTACTTTTTTAAATGCGGCTACTAGAAAACTTAAAATTAGATGTGTGGTTCACATTATATTTCTATTAGCCAGCACTAGAGCATTTGTATGAGTAAGTCTGGAAACAGTACAATGTTCCTTGATCCTGCGTTAGTCAAGATATTTTCATTTTTAATTGACAGAAATCTTATTCAATCTGCTTTTAAAGGAAAAATTGGAATATAATGACTCACACATAGCTGAAAAGCACAGGAATAGACTGTCTTCAGGCCTGCCTGTATCCAGAAACTAAATCAATGTCATTAACACTCTGTATGAGCATACGTGTTGACTCTGTGCATCTGTCTCCGCTCTGTTTTCTGCTGTGTGGGTATCACTCCTAGACAAGTTCCTATTTCATAGTAGCCACAGTAATAAACCTAGAGCTTTGAGAGGAGGCGGGCTCATCCACTCAATTCTAATAAGCCTAGCTTGGGTCATGTTCTCATACCTGCATCAATCACTGTGGTTGATGCAGGATGCTCTGTATCTTTTGAAAACATAGGCTGGGTCACTGGCCTCTCCAGCTCTCCTTAGAGCACAGGTGGAGACAGCCACTTGAAGCCTATGGACTGAGAATGGGTTGCTAAGGAAAGTATGTTTTCTGTTACCAGACCAAGGACAGAAAGTATGTTTTCTGTTACCAGGCCACTGGACAGGGAAAATCAATAGTCAAAGCTTGTCAGGGGTGAGAGAAAGGATGTACTTATCCTGTGTTTTTTGACTCATGTTGATCTAAGCCAAAAAGCCTGTAAGTCACCATCTTCTACCTCTTCCTCACTCTCCTTATTCGGTTAGACACCAAATTCTATTAATTTGCCTCTTTGGAAGATTCATATATATTCCTAACTTCCTCTGTGTCTTGCACATGTTCCTTCCTCGTTCTAATTTCATCTGTTTTTTTTTTCTTTTTTTCTGGTTCTAATCTTATCTTACTGAAATTCAAAATCTCTTCCCCACATTACTTCCAGAGTAATTATTTATTTAATTCATTAAAAAATATTTGGTGCTGCTGGGAGTTGCTTGGATGTTGGCGGTGTGGGGCTGAAAGCTTGCAGACACAGCGATCATATCGCATAAATAAATTTACTATTTGGAGAAATACAATGATGAGGGGTTTGAGTATTGGCATGTCATGTTGCCCAAGGACATAGCCAAGCTGGTCCCTAAAACCCACTTGAATTGAATGGAGGAATCTTGGAGTTCAGCAGAGTATGAATCTGAATGGAGGAATCTTGGCATTCAGCAGAGTCAGGGATGAGTCCATTATATGAACCATGAACCAGAGCCTCACATCTTACTATTCCAGTGCCCGCTACCCAAGAAGCCAGATGGTAAATGAAGTTGGCAAGTCACCTTCCAGCCTCGAGCTTTACACAGCTGTCCTTGCTTCCTAACATCTTTCTGATAACACTATTATTTTGCCTTCTTGTTTCTCACTTTGATATTTAAAAGATGTTCAACACGCTTTTTGAATGTGCTGGTAACAGTTTTGCTTCTTCAGTAGAGCCACCACCACCACAGCCCAGAGAGATGAGTGCTCTGTGGGCCACAGCCTCAGCTGAGTGTGACCCCAGAAGCCATGGTGTGCTCTGTATCCAGAACACACTTGGTAGCTGGAAGAAGCGTCTGAGATTAAGATCATGGCTGTTACAGGTATCGTGTAAACTTGCTGTTTTTGTTTTTTTCCTGCCGGGTGTTGTATGTATGGTGACTTGTGGATTTATGATTCAATATATTGGAAACTTTCCATATTATTCAAGAAGTCTGTTCATGTTAAAATCCTTGATTAAAGAGAAAGTTTTCATAATCTAAAAAAAAAAAAACATATTTAAAAAAGCCCACTAACAACAGACACAGAAAATGTCACAGAGCAAAATGCATTACTTAATGAATTATTCTAAGGCAAACATCTTGTAACCTAACCATGACCAGGTCAGAAAATAGAACTCGGTTAGACATTCTGGAAGCCCCTTCTGTGCACCACATTTCAAACACAACCCCTTTGTCCACCACACCGACTTTTATACTAAACATTTCCTTGACAGTTTTATACTTATCCCTCATCATTTTGTCTTAAAATGTATCTGTTGAAAACACAGGCTGTTTGAACTATGGAGTTTCTCACAGTTTGGATGTGGCTGATTGCAAATGCATGATACAATTCACTATGCGCCATCGTCCTTTGTATTTTCTGCAGAAAATAGAAGTGGAATTGCTGTGTCATATGGTAACTCTTATGTTTTACTTTTTGATGAACTGAAAAACTGTTTTCCAAATTGCCAGCACCACTTCACATTTCACCTCCAATGCCTAAGAGTTCCAATTTCTTCACATCCTCATTAGTACTTATTATTATATGACTTTTTGATAGCCTAGCCATTCTAGTAGGTGTGAAGTAATATTTCACTGTGGCATGGTTCAGCAACTCACACCGGTAATCCCAGCACTTTGGGAGGCCAAGGCAGGAGGATTCCTTGAGGTCAGGAGTTCAAGACCAGCTTGGGCGATATAATGAGGCCCTATCTCTACTGAAAAAAAAAAAATCTGACTGTGGTTTTGATTTGCATTTCTCTAATGATGAATAATGTTGAGTTTTTTTATTTTATTTTATTATTATTATACTTTAAGTTCTAGGGTACATGTGCACAACATGCAGGTTTGTTACATACGTATACATGTGCCATTTGGTGTGCTGCACCCATTAACTCATCATTTAGCATTAGGTATATCTCCTAATGATCTGTCCCCCCTCCCCCCACCCCACAACAGTCCCCGGTGTGTGATGTTCCCCTTCCTGTGTCCATGTGTTCTCATTGTTCAGTTACCACCTGTGAGTGAGAACATGCGGTGTTTGGTTTTTTGTCCTTGCGATAGTTTGCTGAGAATGAATGTTGAGTATTTTTTGATGTGTTTATTGACTATCTGTAGATCTTTGGATCTATTCGGATCCTTTGTTCATTTTTCATTGGGTTATCTATGTTTTTTTATTGAGTTGTGAGTTCTTTATATATTCTGGATACAAATCCCTTATCAGATGTATGATGTGTGAATATTTCCTCCAATTCCATGGGTTTTCTTTTTCATTTTCTCAGTGATATCATTTGCAGCACAAAGTTGCTAATTTTGATGCAGTTTATCTATTTTCTCATTCTGTTGCTTGTGCTTTTAGTGCCATATCTAATAAACCATTGGTGGCTAACCCAAAGACAAAAAGATTTACTTTTGTTTTCTTCTAAGAGTTGTTATTTTTAGCTCTTACATTTAGGTCTGTGATTTATTTTTTTACCTTTTTAATTTTATTATTATACTTTAAGTTTTGGGGTACATGTGCACAACGATATCTTAAGTTACTTTTTGTTTATGATATGAGGTCAGACTCCAACTTCATTCTTATGCATGTGGATATCCAGTTGTCCCAGCACAATCTGTTGAAAATACTATTCTTTTCTTATTGAGTTATCTTAGTAATCGTACTGAGAATCAGTGACTATAGATATAAGGTTTTACTTCTGAATTCTCAGTCGTATTGTATTTATTTATATGTCTATCCTTATGTAGTACCACACTGTCTTGATTATAGTAGTAGCTTTGTAGTAAATTTTGAAATCAGGATATATGAGTTCTCTAAATTTGTTTTTTTTTTTTTAAGATTTCTTTCAGCAATTTTGTATCCCTTCCATTTCTATATAAATGTTAAGATCATCTTGACAATTTCTGCAAAAAAAAAAAAAAATCTGGGATTTTTGTTGGAGATTGCATTGAATCTGTAGATTGACTTGCAGAATACTGTCATTTTAAAAGTATTGTCTTCTATTCACGAACATTTCAACATTTTAAAAAAGTTTAATATTTTTAATTTCTTTCAACAATACTTCACAGTTTTTAGTGTACAAGACTTGCACATCTTTTGTTAAATTTAAATTTATATGTTCAAATTTGTTAGATTTTCCTGATAGATTGATCCTTTTATCATTACAAAATACCCCTCTTCATTGCTAGTAGTATTGGTTTTTGTTACTGCCCTTGGATCAAAGTAGCTTATTAGTCTTCCAGTATTTTGTCAGAAGTAGTGTTTAAGCCCTTTGTGCTAGCAGGGTTTCAGCTTCTGTTGATGTGTCTGAGTGAAGCTTTGGACATGCTTTGATTCTGTCCTAAATCTTTTCTCTTATTGCTTCTGAGTGGATGCTTCCTAGCACATGCCACAGCCTTGTGTACCAGATGCCACAGCCTTGTGACTAGCAGAGTTGACTGTGATATTAAGAAGGCTCTTCTTGGCTCTCATTCTTTTTCTTTTCTTTTCTCTTTTCTTTCTTCTTTCTTTCTTTCTTTCTTTCTTTCTGTCGTTCTTTCTGCCTTTCTATTTATCTTTTTCTTTCCCTCCTTCCCTCCCTCCTTCCAACTTTTCCTTCCTTCTTTTCTCCCTCCCTCCCTTTCTGCCTCCCTCCCTTCTTTTGTTCCTTCCTTTGATTATTTTGACTTATTTTCTGGTTGCTCTGTAATTCTGCTTGTTTTGGAGTTACCAGCCTCTTCTTAATCATTCTTCACCAAGATCTCCATTGTTTTTGACAACACTCTTAGGTATCAAACTCTCCACTCTCTGTTTCACTTAAGTTCAGCTCCCTCAGGTAGAGCTGTGGATCTCTTTGACTTTATAGAACCACAACTAAGGTGGTTAAGCATGGAGACCTGCTCTTTGAGTGACACCTTTGCTCTATACTAGGTACTAGGGATACAAGTGGAAGTCCCTGGTTTTTGTTGTTGTTGTTGTTGTTTTTTCCTTTTTGGCAAGGAACCTCTACCATCTGGGAAAGCTGGATATGAAGCAATTGTGGCCTCAATATTTTCAGCCTGTTATGGTTTGAGTAGAACTTCCTTTATACAAGATAGAACTTGTCAAAATAAGAGAGCTCAAGTTCTCTTGGCCTTGTTTGCCTAGAATCAAGCTTCTGCAACCGGTGTCTGGGGAGTAGTGAGAATGAGAAACGCAGGCAGGCTGCCCTTACTTGCGTGAAACTGGAACCTGACACTAGGATCTGGAAAGTGAGGTTACTATAAACTTCTCTAATGGGGTAGAGTTTCCATTACTTGGAGCTTATGAGGTGAAGGGCACATAATGGAGTAGGTCATGGCTTAAACGCCATAGGTCCATTGTTCTTACCAAAAGTTTGTAAATTTTTCTTGAATAAATGTTTCTCCATTTGGTGTATGCAATTATGATAATTTCTAAATACCTTAACAGTTGTTTTTAATAATTTCACCAGATACATTATTTTTTTTTTCTGGAGAGAGAGTCTGGTGGTATTCTTACTTCATCATTCTAGAAATTCTGTCTACTATATTTTTCATTTTCTGCTTTCATAAAGAGATGCTTCTCTTCTTTTACTATTGTTTATCTTAATAGTATAGTATATATAAGAAAGGTAGGTGAAAGCTTGATATTTCTCTTAACTTACTGATTTTCAAGATGATGAAGTGTTTTTCTGTCATCCTCCATATGTGACAAGTTACATTAAAAATTATCCTCATGAACTCATTGATTTAAACATATTTGATGGCTTAAATCTATTATAATTATTATCACTATGAAGCTCAAGTTGTTCTATCCTTGGCTAGTGGGAGCCTCTTCAACTTGTCTTCTGAGTCTTTTTTATTTTTTGAGGATCTATAGCTGTCTTATTTTATTTTTACACAGTAAGTGAATATATTTATGGGGTACATTAGATACTTTGATACAGGCATGCAATAAGCAATAGTCAAATCATAGAAAATGGATATCCAGCCCCTCAAGCACTTATCCTTAGTCTTTTTGACATGACTTTGGTAATTTTTGATAACTTTCTTGCTATCAGGTGTAATAGGGTATTCCAGGATTATCTTGTATGTTTCCTTGACCAGATCTGGATTCCACTGTCTCCAAGGAGGCCTGGTTTATTTCACTGAGAAGCAACATTTCAAAACAACAATATTCGTGCTAGGCATACTCACTGCTACTGGGATTGCCATCGTTTCATGTTTTTTTTAGCAGAGAGAGTCAAAATACACAAACAAACCCCACCCCAACCCCTCCCCCCTCCACACACAAAGATAAAACACTTCACCAGTTCATAGCGATATTTCCAATTCAAATGAAAGACTATGGAGTGTTTACTTAAGCTCTTCTATATTACAGTTGGGTTCCTTTCTTCCACATCAAAAATCATGGTTCTCAATAATAAAACATCATTTCAAGTAAATATGTGTTTAATGCTCACCACAAATCCCTATCTTAACACCTCTTTAGTCATTTAAGTAAGGCTTGTTCTATTATAGATTTCCCAGAAAGCTTTTAAGCTAAATTCATCAAATTGTATATGTTAAAGATGCATAGTTTTTGTACGTCAGTCATGCCTCAATAATGTTTTTTTTAAAAGATGCCCTCACATTTTACAGTTAATAGTTTATGCCCTTTATACATGTGAGTTTTGCTAGATACAAAACCCTTAGCTTCTACTTTCTTTCCTTGAATATTTTCCACGTGATACTACATTTTCTTCTGGCATAAAGTCTTACTATCAAAAAATCTAATGATAATTTAATATTATTTCATTAATAAGACACATGCTTTCCTCTCCAAAAAGTCTAATAATTTTACTAGAAATATATTGTTGTCGTCTATTCCAGATTGATATTCTGATCTCCATAGTATGCTCTTTCAAAATGTAATATATATATATATATGTGTGTGTGCATGTATATATAAATACTTTCAAATGTGTGTAATATAGTATATATAATATACAATTCTAGTATATATTACATAATGCTATATAGTATTTATAATAGTGTTATATTACATATATTATATATGATATGCATATATATGTACACATATATATTTGACAATTAAATTTTTCTTTTTAGCATTTGTTCTGTTCCCTTGCCTCATTTTTTCTTTAGGGACTCCTATTATATGTATGTGAAAATATATGAAATTTTTTGGCCTACTTTTTATATTTGACATTTCTCTAGGACACTTTTGATCTCAACTTCTTAATTTTAAATTCTAAGACATTCTCTTTTGTGTTTATGTGCTCTTCTGTTCCAGTTTAGTCTTCATTTCTTAAATTATTTATCCTTTTACTTATAATTCTTTCATAAACAACTGTCATCTAAATCTGAATCTTCTCTAATTCCAATTTGTGTTGCTCTTCCATGTTTTGTATCAATTCTGGATGCGTTTGAGAATTTTGGAACAGTGGACTGCAATTCGAATCTCCTTTATGTGCATGTCATTCTGGCATGAATTTATTGTCTGGAAGAGTGTTATTCTGCTCACTTTTCTCTTTTCCTTATAACATCCTTGTATGGAAATTGTTATTCTGTCACTTAGTTTCTCTTTTCCTATTACATCTTTGTATAGAATTTGAACTTAACAGTTTATGTTGTTTATTTATATGTGATTATGTTCCCAGAACATTTAGAATAAGGTGGGGTTCAGGAAATTTTTTAATTCCACAGAACTTCCCCTTCTGTTATTTTGGTATAATTTTCAAAAACATAGTTGCTTGCTTCCTGAGATTTCCTGGCTTTGTTCCTCTTCCTCATTTTGGCCTAGACCTTTTTTTTTTGTTTCATTATGGTCTCTCTATCTTGTTTAATTTTTATTCTACTCATAGTAGATATTTTTTCTCAATATTTGGCCCCATCTTAGAAAAGAGTCCTGATAAGTCAGTATTGAGGACTTATGGGGGCTAAACTGCTTCAATCCTTCCAGTCTAGTTTAGGGAGAGACTCTCCCAGTTTCTGTTTTTGGTCTTAAATTGGCTTACTATGCTTTCCAGTACATATCTGCTGGCTCTTTGGGAGTTGTCCTATTCTCAAGTGCTTTAAGTCCTACTTTCTTGTTTTTTCTTCTTTCTATACAGATGCCATTATCATGTAGGTCTTGTGATTGTAGATGATTTGTTCCCTTCTGCTTGTATTTTAATATTTGTGGGGATACTTTGTCAGCTAATTGTGTCATATATGTCCATGAGTTTCTGCTTCTGTTAGTTAGTTGGTTGATTTTTTTAAATGTGGGTATTTGAAGTGGTTAAAAACAATGCTGCCAATTCTGCCATTTCCCCCAAAATCCTACATGGTGATCTTTTTAAAACACAAGTCTATGACAAAAACAAGCAATGGGGAAAGGATTCCCTATTCAATAAATGGTGTTGGGAAAACTGGCTAGCTGTATGCAGAAAACTGAAACTGGACCCCTTCTTTACACCTTATACAAAAATTAACTCAAGATGGAATAAAGATTTAAATGTAAGACCCAAAACCATAAAATCTCTGGAAGAAAACCTAGGCAATACCATTCAGGACATAGGCATGAACAAAGACTTCATGACTAAAACACCAAAAGCAATTGCAACAAAAGCCAAAATTGACAAATGAGATCTAATTAAAATAAAGAGCTCCTGCACAGCGAAAGAAACTATCATAAGAGTGAACAGGCAACCTACAGAATGGGAGAACATTTTTGCAATCTATCCATCTGACAAAGGGCTAATAACCAGAATCTACAAGGAACTTAAAGACATTTACAAGAAAAAAACAAACAACCCCATCAAAAAATGGGCAAAGAATATGAATAGACACCTTTCAAAAGAAGAGATTTATGCAGCCAACAAACATATGAAAAAAAGCTCATCATCACTGGTCATTAGAGAAATGCAAATCAAAACCACAATGAGATACTATCTCGTGCCAGTTAGAATGGCGATCATTAAGAAGTCAGGAAACAACAGATGCTGGAGAGGATGTGGAGAAATAGGAATGCTTTTACACTGTTGGTGGGAGTGTAAATTAGTTCAAACATTGTGGAAGACAGTGTGGCAATTCCTCAAGGATCTAGAACTAGAAACACCATCTGACCCAGCAATCCCATTACTGAGTATATACCCAAAGGATTAGAAATCATTCTACTATAAAGACGCATAAACACGTATGTTTATTGCAGCACTGTTCACAATAGCAAAGACTTGGAACCAACCCAAATGCCCATCAATGTTAGACTGGATAAAGAAAATGTGGCACATATGCACCATAGAATACTATTCAGCCATAGCAAAGAATGAGTTCATGTCCTTAGCAGGGACGTGGATGAAGCTGGAAACCATCATTCTCAGCAAACTAACACAGGAACAGAAAGCCAAACACTGCATGTTCTCACTCATAAGTGGGAGTTGAACAATAAGAATATATGGGCACAGGGAGCGGAACATCACACACTAGGACCTGTCAGGGGCTGGGGGACAAGGGGAGGCATAGCATTAGGAGAAATACCTACTGTAGATGATGGGTTGGTGGGTGCAGGAAACCACCATCGCACATGTATACCTATGTAACAAACCTGCACGTTCCACACATGTATCCCAGACCTGGAAGTATAATTTAAAAAAAGAAAAAAGAAAAAACAAAAGAAAATGCATGGAATTTACAGGAGGATTTTTTTCAGGAAAAGTAAAAAAATGTGTGTCAGAGTCTGAGACAGGGTAGATATTCACTATTTGTTAAAAGAAAGAATGAATAAATACATATACAACATAAACTAAAAACAAAACAATGAAACACAGTATAAAGTCTAAATATGACACTTCCATGCTTTACAAATAATTATTTTATTTACTATTATCTTTAGATGAAGTACGTGCTTCTGATAATGACCTAGAAGAATGGTTCCCCAACTTTGCTCTCTATTGGAATTAACTAGTGTGCTTTTATCAATGCAGTTGCTCAGATTATACCCTAGACCACTTAAATTAGAAGTTCTAAGGGTGAGACCAAGCATCAGTATTTTTGACACTCTCCATGTAATTTCAGTGTTTAAGGACCACTAACTAGAAGGGCCTTTACAATCTGATCTGGCTCTTTTCTGCTCCATCTCTCTATTGTGATGCCGTTTAACAAGCTCACAGATAGTCCATGCTTCAGTCATATCCAATTACTTGTAGTTACCAAAATTCACTATCCCATTGATGCTGTAGTCTCTTTGCCTATACTGGTCTCTGCCTAGAATTTTGCCTTGCCTCCAAATGACTATTCACCTGATAATCACCCTATTATATGAAGGTAGAAGATCTAAAGATTATTACAAGTATCTGGTTTTAACATAGAGCAAGGAGAATGGTCAATTCATTGTAAATCTAGATTTTGTTTCTTTCTCTCTACTAGGCCCAGTGTTGAACCCTAACTGTCTAAGCCAATTTCTACTTGGAGAAGAGCCTTAAGCTCTCTCTGGTTACCTCTGTGTGTTCTTGGAGATGAAGTTTTGATCTTTGGAAAGTTTGTTGAGAAGGATAAGTTACTGACCAGGACCTCTACAGCATGTTTACCTCTCTGGTTGATGATTTATATTCGTAACACTGAGGCTGAAGTTGGAAATTAGACCTGCCACTTTAAAATATGCTTGGCTTGGTTCTGGTATTGCGAGGAGTGGATTCTTATCAGCAGTTGCATTAAAACAGCATTAGAGACAAGAGCAAGCATATTTTTAAAATGACAGCTCTAAGGAACCTTCCTGTTTTAGATTAAATCATGATTCCAAAGGCTAAGCCCTGGATTAAAGATTTTGACTTGTCTCCATATTCTCTTAATCAAATCTCTTTTTCCTAATGCTTCCATCCTTAGGAAAAATGAGAAACCACTTCCTCCTAATGGCTTTTATTATATCACATTAGGTCTCAATAGATAGCAAGTAATTCATCTTGGTTTAATATATGATAAACTTTTGGTACAATCAAGGAACCACCTTGAAATTATTAAAAATGACATCATAGATTCATCTTCACAGTTGTGGAAAGAGGATCATATAAAGTCTGGGAGCATTTACACAAAAATAGTAAAAATTGTTACCTTTTTGTGATGGAATTATAGGTGGTTTTAAGATTTTCAGTGTTCTTCTCTGACTTTTCTGATTTTCTGCAATCAATATCTATATGTACATATAAATTTAAAGAAGTTAAGTATAGTTAGAGAGTACTCCTCTAAGAGAGCAGATGGTCTCTTTTTCAAGTCTTTAGGTATAAACTTAACCAAAGAAGTGAAAGATTTGTACACTAAAAACCAGAAAACGTAATGAAATAAATTAGACACAAATAGACTCAAAGATATTTAGTGTTCATGGATTGGAAGACTTGATATTGTTAGAATGTGCATACTATGCAAAGCTGTCTACAGATTCAATACTATACCCATCAAAATCTCAATGGATTTTTTATAAAAGTAGAAAAAAAATACTAAAATCCATATTAACCCACAAAAGACCCAAAATAACCAAAGTGATCTTGTGAAAGAACAAAGTTGATGGTATCAGACTTCCTAGTTTCAAAATATACCCATGTAACAAACGTGCACACATACCCACTGAATCTAAAATAAAAGTTGAAATTATAAATAAATAAAAAACTTTATGGAAAACAAACAAAATATGTTACAGAGCTATGGTAATTAAAATAGTATGATACTTGCATAAAGATGGATCTGTAGACCAATAAAAATAATAGAGAACCTAGATATAAATCCATGCAGAGTAAACTAATCTTTGAGAAGTTTGCTAAGAATATGTAATAGGGAAAAGTATAGTCTTTTCAACAAATAAATTGGACCTCTATCTTACACCATAGACAAAAAATCAACTTAAAGTGGACTATACTTAAACATAAGATCTGAAATTATAAGACTTCTAAGGAGATATAGGGGAAAAGTTTCTTGATGTTGGTCTTGGCAATGTTTTCTTGGATATGAACTGAAAGCACAGGCAACAAAAGCAAAAGTAGACAATTGGGATAACATTAAACTAAAAAACTTCTGCATGGCAAAGGAAACGATTAGCAGAGTGAAAAGGCAACCTAAAAATGAGAGAAAATATTTGAAAAACTCATTTACCTGATAAGAATGAATATCCAAAATGTATCAGAAATTTCTATAACCAAGCAGCAAGAAAATTAATAATCAGATTTTAAAACTGGAAAAAGAACTGAATAGCTATTTCTCTAAACGTGACCATACAAATGGCCACCGGGTATATAAAAAGGCACTCAACATCACTAATATCAGGGAAATGCAAGTCAAAGCCACAATGAGAGATCACCTCACACCTGTTAAATGACTATTATCAAAAGTACAAAAGATAATAAGTATTGGCAAGGATGTGGAGAAATTGGAACCCTTTTACACTGTTGGTGAAAGTGTAAAATGTTGCAACAGCTATAGAAAACAATGTGAAGTTTCCTTAAAAACTTAAAATAGAACTATCATATGATCCAGCAATCTCATTTCTGGGCATATATTCAAAATAATTGAAATCAGGATCTCAAAGAGATATCTGCACTCTCATATTCATTGTGGCATTTTTCACAATATTCAAGATATGGAAAAAACCCAAATGCCCATCAACAGATTAATGGATAAAGAAAATGTGGCATATACATACAATGAAACAATATTCACCCTTTTAAAAAGGTAGAAAATCTTCTCATTTGGGTGATAGATGAACCCGGAATACATTGTGCTAAGTGAAATAAGCCACTCACAGAAGAACAAATATTGCATAATTCCACTTAAATGAGGTATCTAAAGTAGTCAAATTCATAGAAGCAGAGAATACAATGGTAGTTACTAGGTATCGAGGGGAGGAGCAAGTGGGGAGTTGCTGCTCAATGGGTAAAAAATTTCAGTTATGCAAATGAAAAAGTTATAGAGATCTAATGTACAGCATAATGCCTATAATTACCAATATGGTATTGTACACTTAAACATTTGTTAAGGGGGTAGATCTCATGTTAAGTATTTTTATTGCAAAAAGAAATAAAAACAACAAAATGACAAAAGAACACAAGGAAATTTTGGAGGTGATGAATATGTTCACTATCTTGCTTGTGGTTTGTGGTAGCATACGTTAAATATGCACAGCTGCTTTTATATACCAGTTATACTTCAATATTAAAAATATTCCATTGAGGAATTTTTAGAATCTATTACCCTCTATATATTTTTTCATCTGAATTGGAGAAGCTGGAGTCTCTCAGAACAACTTACCCTGCTTCTTTTTACTCCTTAATCCAAAAGACATCTCTAGTAAATTAGAGAGCAGATTTTTTAAAAAGTGGAGTAGTCAATTTCTCCAAGTTATTTTTATTCTCAATCTTATACCTGAGATATAAGAGACACCACAGAAGAGATACCACAGAAGAGACCACATGGTGATTCTTTGTCTGTTTGGGTGTGGTATGGACCAGGTCACCTCACAGGATTCCTCAGCCTTAACTGTGCTGTTTCTGCCTCTCCAAGACAGAATGGCTAAGAAGAAGACATTAATTACAGGTTAAAAATGACAAGCCAGTGTTATAACAAATAACTGAAGCAAAAGTCTCACTTTTTTTTTGAAGCTCTATTAAAATCAAAGTTTAATCACGAATTGTGAAATAGAACGCAGGCAGTTAGGAGCTGCTAAAATATTAACACTTCTATTGAAACAGAAACTCAGGCATTTTATTATTTTCATGACCACCTCTGAGATTTCATAATTAAGTCTTTCAGTTTGATTTATTTAGACTCTAAGCAAACTTTCAAAGTGAGTTTGAGGGACTTTGTACTTGGAACATGAATGCATTGCATTTCCTGAGGCAATTTGGAACTGGGGTTTCATCATTTCAATGCCCTGGCTCAGAAGCAGGTATTCTGAGAAACTTCTCTTGAGTATCCTAATTCATTAACTGTAAGAAGGACCTCAGACATTTTCCTTATCAGGGTGAATATTCAGAAGGGAAGGAGGGAGGGAAAGAAATTACATTTAGGAGTGAAACTGTATTTGTCACAGCATATTAATTTATCTAGTTCTGTTCTCTTTGGCGTTACAAACAGACATTTCTTACCTCCCATCTAAGCCTTTAGCTGGTTCTAAATATTTTCTCATTGATCAGAATGAGTGGAAAATTACATTTCACCCCGCTGCTCCCAAAACACATTAAATATATATAATATTATATATATATATATATATTCCTGTCACTCTCTAAGAGGTAGTTTGGCATTGAGGAGCACTGAATGTCACATAACCCTGAGATCCTGAGATTGAACATGTGGCAGATTCCCAGGATAATCTATGTTTGAACATACTATGTAAAATTTAACCAATTTTAAGAAATGGGATTGGTGAATTAAGGAAGAAAATGAAACCTAAATGAAATACTGACTCAAAGGTGGCAGTTATAACACAACAATCTTTTTTACTGGCAGAAGGAGGGAGAGAGGGATTGTGAATCACATCGAACATATACCTAATTATTTTTAATATGAGAGAGAGAGAAGTGGATTGGGGGGAGCAAGAGACAGGTGAGAGGGGAAAGAGAGAAATAGGGACGAGAAAGAGCATTGCTAGATAAAAGTAGAGTATCTCTATTTAAAAATATGGACGGGAAAGAGCATTGCTAGATAAAAGTAGAGTATCTCTATTTAAAAATATGGGGATTATTTTGGGATATCCATTTTGAGCATTTGAAAATGACCAGTTGACCTTGGTCATTTGACAAATCAGCTGCCAAATCTGGACCAAAATAAAATAGAGTCTGTCATCACTGTGAAGATAGAACATAAAGGCCAAGCAAGAATAAAAAAAAAAAAAGGAAAAAAGAAGCCTCACACCAAGAGTATAGGGAAGGACTACCTGAACCCTCCCCATGTGCTCACATCAGTGGAGAATTAGGCTGCTTTTCTCTGAAGTTCCAGGTGCTTTGCAGACTATTATTTGAGAAACAATACGGGTACCCTCAGCGTATCTCACTAATCATACATGAGCTGGAGGAGGTGGCTGGTAAAAATCGTTTAGTCTGTTGCACAGAAAATGAGGAATGTATCTGAAACACACAAAGCAGGAGTTTGGTCCTGAGAAGCCCTTTCTTCCTGAGGACAGAGCTGTTGGCAACATCTTGGGGCATGGTTAGGGCCATGATCTGTAACTAGAACTGGTCCTGGGCAGAGGGTGAAGGGCCGCCATTTTCTCTACATCCTTGTCCCTCCATTTTGGTGCCCATCTCCCTTTTCCCTCAGGTGATGCCCAGGTTCCCTCCCCTTGGTCGCCTCTGACACGTCAGAGTCCCCTGTGACATCCCCAACAAGCCTGTATAGCTGTCTTAGTCTCATCACTTTTCCCCTGATCAAAAGTGATCCTAAGTATGAGTTGATCCCATCCCTCTAGTCTTCCTCTATCTTGATGCCGAAGAGAAGCGATTTCAGCCTGAGTTTTCAGTGTCTCCTTAACACTTTGATGTCTTTATGATCTGTATGAATTTTCATAAGAGTCTGAAAGTCAAAATGCCTTAACAGAAAGGATGAGGGGTTTTAGTGTTAGAAGCCCCTAGTATGAGTCCACATTAACTGCAGAATCTTGAGAAATCTTAATTACTAGGAACCTCAATTTATTAATTTGGCAAATAGAAGAAATAATTATTTATTTTACACGATAAAAAATAAAATGTCATTATAGTTACATAAAATC